>NC_000023.11:7762488-8387488 GCF_000001405.40 Homo sapiens | reverse complement strand
ACATGGGTGCCTCCCTTACCCCACATCTACTCCGGCATCAAGTCTCTTAGATTCCATTTCCTTAACACAGAGCTTTTTCTCTCTTTCTCCACACCTCTACCATTTTTCTCTAGCATCCTCTGTGCATTCTATAAGCGCAACAGCTTCCTAAAGTATATCTTGCCTTGCAAACATTTGCTTTAAACATTCATTAGTCCAAATGCAACCAGAGTGATTACATTAAAGTTCAAGCTGTCCAATGCCATGCAAATACCTTCAGATCTCAACATCTTTCAATGTCCTTAGGATAAAGTGCACAATCTAAAGCATGGCTTGCAAAGCACTCTATGACATGGCCGCTGCTTGATTCTCATCTTTAATGGTTGACCTCATCTAGGTTTCTTTCATAAAATCTCATCATCTATGGGATGGATCTATTTACAGTTGCCAAAAAAGCACCGTCTCTCTCCCCCACACACAAGGCTCTGCACTGGTTGTTCCTTCTGCCTATATGCCTTCCTCTCTCTATCCCTCCACCCCTTTCTTTTGCCAACTTTCTCCATCTTCAAACCTCCGCTTATATAGGAAGCTGTCACCAACCCACATAAACCTAGTGAATGGCTTCTCCTTTTATGCCATCTGTGTAATGTTCATCGTATTCCACCCACTCTACAGCCACAGCCTGCTGACCGATGGAGTTCTCTGCCTAGGTTGTGAGGTCCAGAAGATCATGATACTCACTTGAATGCTGTTCTATTTTTAAATCCCATTATAGAGGTGCTCTAGGAGGTAGTCAATAAATAAATTTAATAAATATCTAACATGTTACAAATGGGATTTTGCTGCCAAGTCAGCACTTCAGATATCCTCTGAACCTGGAATCCTCTACAAAAAAATTAACACCCCATGCGTTCGTACTTAAGCCAGTCCTTGTGATCTACGCACACTGCAGCACTTTTAAGGCTTGGAAAACAACTTGCATCAACTACTTCCGTAGCCCAGCACTTCCATTGCTCTCCCTCTCCCTTTCCCCTTTATGAGGGACACAGAAGTAAAGAGAATTGGGGGCAGCAAGGAATTAGCATTTACTGAGTGTCCAATCTGTCAATCTCTTTAGGCATCATTTCATTGAGTGTTCACAACAACCCTCAGAGTTAAGCATCAGTGTAGAGACCAGGTTACTGAGGCTCACAGAGTGTAATGACACATCCTTCAAGATGTTGGCTGGGATGCAGTCTTTTCTGGAGCTTGAAGTCCTTTTCTAGGCTCACTTGGGCTGTTGGCAGCACCCAGGTCCTTGTGGTTATGGGACTGGGGTCTCCCTTTGCTTGCTGGCTGTTGGCCAGGGATTGCTGTCAGCTCCTGGAGTCTGTCCTTAGGGCCTAGCCACAGGGTCCTCTCTCAACATGATGACTGACTTACTCAAAGCCAGTAGGAGGACCTTTCTTCTGACAGCTACAATACAGGTATATAGAATATAATGGAATCATGTCCACCCCATTACCTTTGTCATACAAAGTAACCTAATGGAGGAAGTGTCATTCCATCATAATCATAGGTCCCAAACAACTCAGGAGAAAGGACTCTTATGGGGCATGTGTGGCAGCAGTGGGGATTCTGACTACCACAACAGTAACCTGGAAAGACATAGAATTTCCTGTCCAGGGAGCGAGGTTCCAATCCCAAATCCATAGGTGAATTATTCAAACAACTGTGAGTCTCAGCAATTTTTAGAAATTTGTGGTAACTCATTATATAGCAATAGGTTTCCAATAAACTATGCTGCATGCTTGTACAAAAGTACTAGAGAGTAGTGTCTGCAGAAGGCAGAAAGAAATTCCTTATCTTGCCCTAGATCCTCAACATTCATGACACATTGGAAAGGACTGTCAATCATCCTTATTAAAAAACAAAAAACTCAAATCTGGTCTGCTAGGAAAGCCCATTTTTCCAGCAACAATGCCCTTCTGTATAAAAATTATATAGTAATACCAGATCCCATTGCATTTCTACACACCTAAATATTTTTCCATCTTTTGGAGTGATTTTACAAGTGGTCAATGACTGAGAACAAAAGAACTGAGTGAAAACACAACTGTACAACACAGTGTCTGGCCAGGCATGCCCGTGCAGAAGGCAGCTCTGCTCAGGTGGGCTTCCTGGCACAGATTTCTGGGGCTAAACTGGTGTGACATCAGACACTAGTTACAGTGGAGCATTCCGGCGGGGCATTTCATGCTGTGGTTCAGCTGAAAAGCAGGTAGGGCTGGGTTCACACAGATCTCTTTCCTGGGAAGACTGAAGCATTGAGTCCCAGCTGGAAGGACGCCTTGCCAACAAAAATTCCAAAGTTTCATAAGGTCAAAAACCAGCCTACCTCTGGTCCAGCCTTTCACAGCCTCTACCCACAGATGCCAGTGGGAACTCCCTACCAAAACCAAAAAGGCCTCCCTACATTGCCAAACATGCACTAGGAGAAAAAAAGAAAGAAAAAGTCTAATAAATCCTGATTTCTAAACAAAAGGAAAAACATAATTGCCCACTCTCTTTCATTAAGCTATAGGTTCAACTCCAATATTGTATCAACCTACCCTGGGTTTAATAGCAATTTCTATTAAAATAAAAACCATATCTCTAGGATTCATATTCTCCTTGTTTTAAGTAGAGATTTAAGAACATAATTACATATTTTAATACACCTTAACATACATGGGATTTATGTTTATTGATGTGGAAATGAAATTAAAAAGAAATGTGCTCATTTTAAGAATACACCTATCAAGGAGTAAAAAACATATTCCCACCACCCAAGAAGATAAATTGGAAATTAGAACAGTTTTACCTGAAACAACTCATTCCAAGGGGGAAAAAAAAAACCTAATTTCTATGTTGCTTTCGTTCCTTGCTTTGAAAAATTTTGATTATAACTCAAGATCAACCAAACTGCCTCACCTTCTTTAAAAATAAGATAAAAGACGTTCACAGGAATAGTTTTAAAATAATGAGAAACATTTCTCAAACTAGCAAGGGAAATGTAAATATTTTTCTGATGATGTAGACTTTGAAAGTGATCAAATATGATCCTGGTGATCCAGGGACCAAGACTAATCTCCTAACAATCTACCTTTTATCAAGTTGTGTGCTTCTTAGGAAAACAGAGCACAGAGAAAACTGAGCTCAAGCTGCCAGGTTAGTAGCTGACTATATGATTCAGAAGAATCATCCTCTTTACAAAGAATACAGTCCACTATTCTTTAAACATGAGATTACTTTAACTTTCTTAAGAATAAAAATGAATTCCCCTGAAGGATGTTCCAGAGAAATGTCTATTTTGACTAGTCTGCCCATTCTTAATGCTGGCAGGCTCTTCCCTATCTAATCCACAAATGAGTTGTTCCTTTAAAATCTGAGCACTTTGGCTGGGTGCGGTGGCTCACGCCTGTAATCCCAGGATTTTGGGAGGCTGAGGCGGGTGGATCACCTGAGGTCAGGAGTTCGAGACCAGCCTGGTCAACATGGTGAAACCCCGTCTCTACTAAAAATCAAAACAAAAAAAAAAATTAGCTGGGCATGCTGGTGTGCACCTGTAATCCCAGCTACTCAGGAGGTTGAGGCAGGAGAATTGCTTGAACCTGGGAGGTGGAGGTTGCAGTAAGCCAACATCCAGCCACTGCCACTGCACTCCAGCCTGGGCAACAGAACCAGACTTTGAAAAAAAAAAAAAAAATCCAAGCTCTCTAAGAAGGCAAATGGTATAGGCACAATCAACTTGTTTATTTTATTCTCTGGCTTTTTTTTTTTTTTTTTTTGAGGTTAGGTAACTAATCTAAAAGGCATCTTGAGAAATGGTGGATGTTGGACACCCTTGTGTTTTGGAATTCCAGCAACATATCTTAGATCTTTACCTTTATTAGCACAGACGATCCCATACATGCTAGGCCATTTGGCTGCAACTGGGCACGGAGAAGAGAATTAATTTCTTTGCTTAAACAGTCGCTTGCAACCCTGCCTCCTCCTCCTCCACCCACAGCAATGCATGCATTCAGGGGCAATTGGACCTATACAGGTTTTCTAAATGAACATAATTGATTTCATAATTAGTTTTTCAATATCACTGAAGCCATTTGGCAAATTAACTGGTATAATTATAAAACAACAGTATTTGAAGGGCTAAGTAGCCACCTCTGGACTGTGGATTCCCAGTGGGGGTCTTCCATTGGAAATCATCCCTGAATTGGGAATTCCTCATAAAAATCCTTTCAATGCTAATTCACCACCCCTGAGGTGTAGAGTGGGGTTGACTTGCACACACACATGTACATAGCATGATTGTATTTTTTTTTAACAGAAAATCTCAGATAATAAGATTTCCGGATTCCATAATATACACATAGTTCTAAAATCGTTGGTGTGAGTAGATCTAGAAACTACTGTGTATTCAGGTGGACATTCTCTGTTTCTACAATGTGTGATTTAAAACTTAGCAATCAAAATTTAAATGTGTTAAACACTTGGAACACACTCTCCCACCTCTTTACATCTATTTTACAGGACTTCCCACCTGAGTGTATTCTGATATTTCCATTACTGGTTGTCATAGCTGAACACTGGTAATAACATAAATGCCATGGTTAAGTACATTAGGACATATTCATAAAATGGTATGATTTTTAGCTGCAAAACAGAAGGAATAACTAAATATAGAGTGAAAGAAAGAGGATGACCAAAATCTATTAAGAGACAAAAATCTCAGAATAGTACATATTTTAAGGGAGTACCTTTTTGAACTTTTTTACAATGTATGTGTTACAATGTTTTTAACTTTCTTTTTTTCTATTAATATATAATACACTACATACCACTGGTTTTTCTTCTGTGCAGAATTGGGGCAGATTATAAAAAAGTAAAATGGAGATTTTTTTTCCTCCAGACATTTACATTTTTGCTGGGTGCAAGTAGTAAAAGTGAAATCACCTTTACAAAAATTATGAGAGTGAGAAAAATCTGACAAGAAAACTGTGGCAGTGAAAGAGATCTGAACTAACTGACTCTGTTTTGCTTTTAACCTCCAATCTGCCCTTTTTCATTCCTTGGCATAGGGAAATCTAACTTTAGGAGGAATTTAGTTTATACTTTAACTTTGGAACAAAGATGATAACAACCCCTTCCTGAAACAAACCCCCTCCTTGACTGAGGATCAGACCTCCTTAGTAAAACTAAAGAGTTAGCCACAAGAGTAGAAATTTTGGCTCAGGAATCATGCAGCCAGAGGCCACAAGATTCCTAACCTCCTCAATTGCTCCTAGGGATAACATCACTATTGTAAAACCTATAATTGGTGTTCAGGGTATTTTTCAGACCCTGTATCCTGATGAACCAGCTGGCGCCACTAACACCAGTAAACTGGCCCACCTAGTTCTGCAACCCCACCCAGGAACAGAAGGCACACAGAAGAACCCCCTTCCACCTCCACCCACCATGATTTAATCCCCAACCCAACTAATCAGCACTCCTCACTCCCTAGCTCTTTGCCCACCAAATTTTCCTTAAAAACCCTCCCAGCCTTCAGCGAGACTGATTTGAGTAATGACTCCGTCTCCTGCGTGGCCAGCCTCCAGTCAATTAAAGTCTTTCTTTACTGCAATACCACGATCTCAGTGAATTGATTTTGTCTGTGCAGTGGGCAGGACAAACCCATGGGATGATTACAAATTAACTTAAAATGGTGTTTAAGACTAACTGTTGTATAAGGACGTAAAGAGAAGAGAAGAAAGTTGGGGGGTGGAGAGAGAGATTCACATGAGTTCAGAGAAAAATCATTTTTAGAGAAGTTGAGATTCAGAGTTGAGGATTATGTATGGGTGGAAATTTAGTAAACAGGAGGAAATTAGATGGATGTTCCAGTGGAAAAATTTAATTAACATGTGAAAATATCTATGAAAAAAATATTTTTTTTCTATGCATCTCTCAGAAAAGGGACAAATAACTACTTTTCTATCAGGATTAAAATTGGTTGACAGAGTTTTATCAATATCCCCTAATTGTACTAGTTGAACTGACCAAAATGCCCTATTATCTCATTTGAAATAAATCACCCACATGTAAATACATATATACATGCCCATTCACCAAATATCATTGTTCGTGCAATCAATCCAAGGACACAAGAAACCAGCTTGTCTTTAATACATACAAAGTGGACATCAAATAGCAGTGAGAGGACTACAGATCTGCTCTCTCAAAGATTCAGACAGAAAGTTCTGAGGTAGATGAACCCAACCGCAGCTGTTCAATCAGGTACAAATAAAATTGCTTAAATAGCAGTAAATACTTAGAAATTAGAAAATAGCAACAGAAAAACAAATACAAAACAAATCAGTTCATGAGGCAGTTTAAATTAAAATGATTCTCTAATAATTTGATCTCAAGTGGCCGCCAGGGGCATGTGAAATTATGAAAAATAATGAATACAAGATAAATGTGTCCCCAGTGTCAGTCGGATGTGTACCTTCTCTGTTATTTTCCAGTTTCTAAACTGTTAGCAAATTAGGAAACATTTCCATCTCCGTCAGTGGAGGATTCACTCTGCTTCCAAAGTAAACACATTCGTGAAGAAGTGCGTCTATAGCGAGAGGCTCTTTAACATAGAACAGAGGCATTTAAATCGCTTTCAATTTGGCTAATATCCTGAGGAATCTTAAAGCTATATCTTTACTAAAGAGCATCAAATACTTCCAAAGCAATTGGGATTTTCCCTCTCATTTCTGGAGGCAGATAAATACCCTTGAACGAAGCAGCGCTCGGTTACTTCATTACTTCTCATATGTTTGCTGTGAGATATTAGTAAACCACAGCCATGAAAACAGACATTCCTTCCACTTCTGCCCAAGAAGGAAAGTTCATAATTTAGAGATTTCTGCACATCTTGAGCCTTCAGTGTGCAACTTGTGTCAAAATACGTGTTCCCTTCAAGTTCGATGCCCACGGTGGTATTGAGTGGATTGGCTTACTGGAAGTCAGGTGCATTCTTTATCTGATGTTCCCATCTCCCTTTGACCTTCCTCTTATTTTTTTTTTCCTTGCACATTTTAGGAAATGCAGACAACAAAATAAATGAAAAAATACACTTTCGATGGCAATACTAATTTTCTGTATTTGATTGAATTTAGTTTTTCTTTCAATAACTACCAACGTTGATGCACAGTGATGGGAATAAAACAGATTGCTCTAGATTAATGAATGGTTCTCAAAATGTGGTTTCCAGACGAGTAGCATCAGCGTCCCCTGGGGATCTCTTAAAAATAAATTATTTGGTTCCTGTAAGGTGGGCACACAGTTTTAGACGATTAGCAAGGCGATTCTAATGTGTGATTGTAATGTGTGATGATGTTTATGAGCCACTATTCCAGATGTTAATCAGAAATGCCAGCATACTTCAAAAAAGAACACTCCTATGTAATATATTTCCAGCGTAGCACAGTGCTATGCCTATATTTATATTTCATGGTTAAGCCCTTTTACTGTTAAAAAAACACTTGATATTTTTAAAAATATTATGCTCATTGATTAATGCATATTTACAAATAGTAATATGCTTTAGGTTATCTGATAATATCAATGTATGATGACCTATACAACTTTCTCTTCTTTGAAGGCTTAAATAACCCAAAAAATGAGGAAACAATGAAAAAGAATGGCACTACCTTGGAAAAACAGCATGAGTGATGCAATTTAATGGACGCACATTTGATTTATGGCATGCTAAATGCTAAGTATGGGTTATTTCATTTAAACCTCACAACAAACCTATGTGAGGGATACTCATAACATCTGCACTTGACCTAGAAGAAAACTGAATTTCAAAGTGATTGAATATCTTACTGAAGGGGCCATGGTTAGGGAAGCAGCATTTAATATCCCAGAACCACAAAGCCCATACTTTTCCCCGTCTGTGGCTGCCTCATTCATTAAAATAACTCCACTTGTGTTCTTTTTAATTAGAGTTGAAAATTCTTTTTTGCAAGAAATCAGCTTTACTGTCCATGCTCTGATGTAAGGGCATGTAGATAAACCACCATGAGTGAAATTACAATGAAGCTTCTTATCAGTTGTTTAGAGTAGGACTGTGTGTGGGGAGAAGAGAGCTAGGTGAGGATGGAAAGTGTGGCCTCCCTCCAGTGTGACGGAGACAATATTTTTACACCAATCTCGCTTTAACCATGCTCATCTAAGCCCAGGAGCTAGGAATATGACTCTGGGTGGAATGGTATCTCTTATAAGATGTCATTTCTCTCTGTCTCTTTTTTTTTTTTTTTTTTTTTTTTTTTTTTGAGATGTCGTTTCACTCAATCTCCCAGGCTGGAGTGCAGTGGTGCGATCTCGGCTCACTGCAACCTCCGCCTCCTGGGTTTGAGTGCTTCTTGTGCCTCAGCCTCCTGAGGAGCTGGGACTACAGGCACGTGACACCATGCCCGACTAATTTTTGTATTTTTTGTAGAGACGAGGTTTCGCCATGTTGGCCAGGCTGGTCTCAAACTCCTGGCCTCAAGCGATCCACCTGCCTCTGCCTCTCAAAGTGTTGGAGTTACAGGCATGAGCCACTGTGCAGGGCCTAAGACGTCACTTCTCATAAGCAGTCTGCTAGCACCTTAATCTCAGCATCTACTCAACAAAAGTTTATTCTGGAAGCCAAAAGAGCCACACACAGGATGTATAATAGTTAATAAAGAGTTAAATGAATTCAAATGATGGAACTCAAGACATTTGTAGGCATGTTGGTTTTCATAGCTTAGGTTAAAACTATTGATAGTTTAAATTATATAGAAACATAGGTTATGTTTAACCTATGTGTGTGTGTATGTGTCTCTTATATAAGAAGAGATACAGCAGAAATGTAAATCATTAGAATTTTTAACCTTCTGTCTTAATATCTCAAGCCTGCTCAAGGAACGTTGATCTCCTGCTTTCAAGTTAACCTGGATTGTCAATTTTCTGGTTTTTAACAGAAATTCCTACACCACTGGAAGGGTTGCCTGGCAAGATGAGTCCACGCTGGCCAAATCATTCACCTGGTCTAAGGCAACAGGCTCTTAACTCTCCTCCCATTCTCGCCCCTTTCAACTTATCCCCACCCCGAAGTCAGAGTAAACTTATTAAAATACAAGTCAAATCTTATTCCTTCCCTGTTCAAAACCTCCCAGTGACTTCTCAACCAATTCAGTGTAAAAGCCGAAGCCCCTAATATGGCCCCTGCCCCTACACAATCTGTACCTCTATATTCTCTGATGGGTTCTTCTTTTCTTTTCCCTGGCACCCCTGTATCCTGGCTTACCTCCTTGCCATTCCTGGAAAACCTTAGATTTCCCCATCCTCATGTCCCTACCTCCATCATTCTCAAGCCAGCCTATTTTGACTTGTGTAGTTTGTGTTGTTACAAGATGTATGTATTTCTTCTTTGTCACCCCTTCACTCTCTAGGGCTAAGGACTAACTCTGAGCTCCTACAATAGTTCCATGCACATCATGGGCACCCAGTAAATGTTTGTTTCATGAATGAATATATGGTGAGACCATCTAGGGCAGCTCAATACAAATACAACACAAATCCCACCAAAATATTCAGCACAGAGTCAAGAATTGTCACTCAGGAATGGTAGGCCATAACTCTGTGTTTTACATATCATTTGAGATGGCCCCAATTTAAAGCAGATTGAATGTCTCCCATTTTTCTCATTGATGGTAAACTGGACACAGCATGTTTTCATTAGTCTTGTTGCATCTGGCCTGTGCTTTATATATAACAAGCTCAACTGAGACTTTAAGTCATTGGCACTGGTTCTGGTTTTCCACAGTTTGCCTCAGCCTCGTCTCTCTTGGTCCTCAGAACACTATCATTACCACCTCAATGACTGGAAAGAAAGTAACAAAATGTGTACCTTCCTAGGATCTTCTACTTCATTTTCTGGGAAAATCTTTTCATATCTCCTCCCAACCTGGCCTCTGGTTTTTCTTTCTGTTGTCCTGCACTTGCTGAAAAGAGGTAGGACTCTGAATTTGGGGGAGAAACTAGAAAGAATTATATTATTTTCCATATGTTTTCTTTAGCTTGAATTACAACAGTGATTCAAGCATTGTTTCTTTTTGCAATCATATGAATCATACAATTTTACAATTTGTCTGGCAAATTGGTTAAAGCAATTTCAATGCAAAGATGATTTAAGAATAAGAATGTAGGAATGTTACTGCCTAGTTGAACTATCTTGGATGCTCTCCCTCACTTCCGTGTATTTCAGCTGCTTCATCTATAAGAGGAACCATTTGGACTAGATTTCCTTCCAATCTTGTGCAGGTCTACTTTCAGTTTATTGTGTGCCAATAAAATCTTTCTATTTAACTTCAAGTAGCACCACATCTGTGCTAATTTAATACAAGTTTCAAGATGTCTACTGTGACCATGGGACAGTCTTTTATGCTGCTATACAGTTATTAGTAATTCCATTATAATAGTCAGGAGAATAAAAAATAAAAACCTCATTAAGTAAACAAACAAAAATAGCTATAGGTCCATGATGTCAAAAGCTAAATATACATGGAAAAAAGAGGTTAAGAAAACTATACTTTATCCACAGGATATTAAACGTTTTTGGATTTTTGACTCTAGCATTAAAAAATAAATAAAATAGACATGTCTTCATCCTGTGCAATTCCTGCCTAGATTACCGAAAGTCACTGTGGCCACTGAATCATCACTACAGCTGCCCACAGATACTCTACTGAGCTTTAGGACCCATCATCTTCCTAGCTGGTCATTGAGTCTGTCCAAAGTTGGCATGTATTTATGTTTTTCAAGTGAGGAAGAAATGCTTTGTCTTTTCTAAAGCAGGAATTTAACTTCAAGTCATAGAGCCATGTGTTACTTAATGACAGGAACACTTGTGAGAAATGCTTCATCAGGTGACTTTGTTGTTATACAAACATAATAGAGTGGACTTTCACAAACCTAGGTGGTACAGCCTACTCCACACCTAGGCAAGATGGTGTAGCCTAGTGCTCCTGGGCTACAAACCTGTGCAGCATGTGATTGTACTGAATATTGTAGGAGATTGTAACATAATGATAAGTATTTGTATAATCTAAATATAGCTAAACATAGAAAAGGTAATGCATTGCACTGTGACACTATTGACAGCTACAGTGTCACTAAGTGATAAGAATTTTTCAGCTACATTATAATTTTAAGGGACTACCATTGTATGTGCAGTCAACCATTATGTGTCATGTGACTGTGTTGAGAATTTCTTTTTGCTAGTATAAGATCATCCGTAAATTCCAGTCATTGTTATTCACAATGGACTATATCACTCACTGGAATTGCCTTCTTTTTTACTTTCAGAGTTGGGCCCTGTCATCCAGGCTGGAATGCAGTGGTGCAATCGCAGCTTCCTGCAGCCTTGAACTCCTTAGCTGAAGCTAACCTCCTGCCTCAGCTTCCTGAGTAGCTGGGACTACAGGTGCACCACCAAACCGCATAGCCTGCTTTATTAGAAAACTTATCACCACCCCTTGATTTATGACACTTAATTTTTTGGTTAACATTACACAAACTAGTTATTAATATGACTTTTCTAACTAATAACTAAAAATAAGAATCCTCTTGGTTGAAACTTATCTTAAGGCTATCCATATGAGGTAAAGTTATGATACCTAAATGTAAGGTATGCTTGAGATAATCTCTTCTAAAACACACACACACACACACACACACAAATGCACATTTCCATTCCTGGTCTCCTAAAGTGATGGCTCTCATCCAGGGGGAGATTATGAGTTAGGTCTCCTCCCTCATTTCTATAACATGTCTAGAAGCAATTTCAGTTGCCACCATTGGGGAATAAGGGTGCTGCTGGCATCCAGTGGATAGAGAGTGGGGATGCTGCAAAACCCCATACAATGTACACGGCAGGCCCTCATACAAAACAGTCATCTGGCCCCCCAAATTCTGTAGTGACAAAGATGAGAAACTCCACCCAAAACAAAGAAAAAACACCACACACACACAAAATAATCCTTACCTTTCAAAAAAAAAAGGCTTTTAAACTATTTTACCAATAGTTTTTGTTTTTTTAAAGCATCTTGGATATTTTGCATTATTTCTTATTTTGCGTTGTTACAGGACCAATAGGTCCATATGCCTACTGCCTAGTAACAGACCAACCCACCAAGACAACAGGGTTTGCAGCAGAGAAAGAGTTCAATTATTACGGGGCAGCTGAGTAAGGATGACAAATGATGAGAGGGACCCTCAATTCCACCTCCCTGGGGACTTCTTGACTGGAGTTTTAAGGGGCTCTTGGAGGGTAAGGGGCTGGAAAATTGGGATTGTTGATTGGTCAAGGGAAGAGGAATTAAATCATGAGGGTGTGGAAGCTGCATTCCTTGGTGAGTCGGCTCCTCATGGGGTTCTTTAGACTAGCTGATGTCAGTGGTTTCATTGGTACTCAAGACCTGAAAGAGTATCTCAAATGCAAAATGTAACACTTCACAATACTTAAGATGTTACCTATAGAGCAGTCAAGGGGAGCTATAATGCCTTAAAGGGTGTATGTGATCCGGGGGCCATAGGCAGCAAACACCTATGAGGAAGGGTGTTGGAGAACAGGCTGACCTAGTCATTAATGCTGAGTGAGCTGCAAGCTTGGTTTACTTTCATTTCTCCTCTTCCCTCCTTCCCTGATTAATTTTATAAGATTTATAGGGTTGGCATCAGTATTTTCAGTTTTTTTCCCCATTCAATTTGTTCTGGACAATTACCCTAGTCCTAGAAATGCTATGCATGCTTTGCTGATGATCTCAGCACAGTTCTCAGTGAAGACAACAGACGAACACATTGACACCAAGGTGAGCCCAGTGCAGATGACTAAAGCTCTACTTCTAGAAAAGTTAACATATTTTACTGCAATCCTTTTAGAAACTTTACCCTCCTGTCTGAAAAAATTAGTATTTATTGCACTTTCTTATGAATGAGTAGCTAATCACACATAAATGGGGCAACATAAGTATATTTTTTAAGTGTTTTATTTTCTGATATCTGTAATAATTCATGTGGCTTGAACTCAAGCCCATTTTTTTGAAGTTGCTTGCTAGTTTTTCTGAAGATACAAAGGTACGACAAGATTATTTTTATTTGTTGAATGCAGGATGCGGCAATGCTTCATCAGATTGCACTCACAGGTTATTTTCTTCTCCTCTGTTATTTGAATCAGCTCAAAATTCCTGAGAGAGTGTAGGAAGATGAGTCATGATAATGCTCTTTCATTGAACACATGCTGCACTTTCTTTTTTCCTTTTTTCTTTGAGACGGAGTCTCGCTCCTTCACCCAGGCTGGAGTGCACTGGCATGATCTCCGCTCACTGCAACCTCTGCCTCCGGGGTTCAAGCAATTCTTCTGCCTCAGCCTCCTGAGTATCTGAGACTACAGGTGTGCACCACCACACCCAGCTAATTCTTGTATTTTTAGTAGAGATGGGGTTTCGCCATATTGGCCGGACTGATCTCGATCTCCTGACCTCAGGCAATCTGCCCACCTTGGCCTCCCAAAGTGTTGAGATTACAGGCGTGAGCCACCACGCCCAGCCCATGCTGTACTTTCTAAGAGTTAGGGAACTTTGCCACAAGTTTCTTCACGCTATGGCAACTACTACTGCTCCCTGATCATATAAAACCCTGTCGGGGCGGCTGGATCCAACACCAGGCCGTGGGGGCTATGAAGTCCAGCAGAGTCAAAGGAATGAGAAAAAACAAGTTTAAGAGTGCACAAAGTGGGTTCAGGGGGCCAACAGTAGTATGGAAGCTGCGAAGGCCCTGAGCTCTGGGAGCCCACACTATTTATTGGTAATCAAACAAAGAAGCAGGTGGTAAGGATGTGGGGGTTGAAAGGAAGTGGTGCATCAAGCACATGATCTATAGCTGTGATGGTTTAGCATTTCCTTTGAAGCATATGGAACATGTTCTGCTACTTGAGATAATGGGGAACATGCTCTAGTTTAAGATACAATCGTTTTATGAGCCTGGGAGTGCTAGAAGCAAGGAGCCAGCAAGTCTAGACACATTCCAGAGGCCATTAGGGGTTTTATGCCCTGAGCCCTGGATTCCATCCAAGCCATGAGGGGTTTTATGCCCTGGGCTTAGATTATGGTGCAGCAGGGCAGCCTTCCACCCTTTGGCACAGAGCCTGGTGTTCCAAAGGCCACGAGGGGTTTTCGGCCTTGGACCCCGGACATCTTCCAAGACTCTTTTACATTATGTCTGACATGCAAGCCCTGCATCAGCTTTTCTCCCAACAAATCTAACCTAATAATAAGAGATATACCAGAAAATCACATTTATTTTCATGATGAAAATGTTCTTCAAAGGAAGCAATCTGTTTTCTTGCTTTATACCACTTTAACTTCCATCCAACAAAAATTTTCTCAATTATTTTAATGCATGGGGTAAAAGGATAGATTTTAGTCAAATGCCTAGACATACAATGGTGACCCTAAATAAACAGGTGTTGTTTTGATCCTTATCTTAGAGTGACTCCGGTGGAAATATTTACAGATGAAACAATGTGATGTCTGAGAATCTCTTCCACCTACTGTGATGGGGATAGGATGAGGCTGTGGCAGGACTGACAGTCTGAGGTGAAGTGATGGGAGCAAAGACTCCCATTATACTATTTGGTCTATTTTAGATGTGCCCCAAATTCATCTCATCATGATATTTGTAAAAGTGGCCTTTAAGGATATATATGTGTCACATTTATATAAATGACACTCATCATTTATAAGTGAGGGAGCTAGACACAGCATTTTGTGGGCTATTCAGATAACTGGAGGGTTCTGGATGTTAAGGTGCACCTTTGCAATAAGGTGTCATATTGCAAAGCCAGCTGTTGTCTTGTCCTGATGTGGTGCTGAATGTCCTGCAAACTACTAGTGTCTGTCTTGATTCCTTTCTTAGTTCTTCAATTCCACCTTCACATAGTTACTGTTTCCTGCCAAGAACAGAGTTCAAAAAATGTTGCTTATTTCCCTTAAAATCTTTCATTTTTCCCATTTGATATGGTTTGACTGTGTCCCCACCCAAATCTCATCTTGAATTGCAGTTCTCATAATCCCCACGTGTCATGGGAGGGACCCAGTGGAAAGTGATTGGATTATGGGGGTGGTTCCCCCATGCTGTTCTCGTGATACTGAGTTCTCACAAGATCTGATGGTTTTATAAGTGTCTTGCATTTCCCCTGCTAGCACTTCTCTCCTGCCACCATATTAAGAAGGATGTGTTTTCTTCCCCTTCTGCCATGATTATAAGTTTTCTGAGGCCTTCCCAGCCACGCAAAACTGTGAGTCAATTAAACCTCTTTCCTTTATAAATTACCCAGTTTCAAGCAGTTCTTTATAGCAGCGTGAGAACGAATTAGTACACCATTGTTCACAGTAATAGGTTTTCAACTTGATTAATGAGATATCTATATGTTTATTTTTCTAGTTGCTGTGCAGTCAGCATTTACCAAAAGTATAGTTTCATATTTTTTATCTACCTCATTGCTCAGCAAACTACAGTGTCCACCACTTCAGGCCAAATTGAGGCCCACTGGTTAGTTTTTGTAAGTAAAGTTTTATTGGAACACAGTCATGCTCATTTGTTTATGTACTGTCTATGGCTACTTTTGTGTTAAAAGGGCAGAGTAGCTGTGACAAAGAACATACAGTATGCAAAGCCTAAAACATTACTTTTGACCATTAAGAAAAAATAAATTGCTTAACCCTTATCTACTCTATAGTTTCAAGAATCTGTGTTGAGTATTTTTTCTTTTCAATTTGATATATATTTATGGTGTTTGATTTTATTATACATTAATATGCGTACAACTCAAAAGAGTTCCATTATATTTTGACAAAATATCCTAATTGCCAAGAAAATGAAAATTTGGCCCTTGTACAGAGGAAGAAAAATATCTTAATTTCTTTTTATACTTGAGGCCTTTAGTTTCACTTTATTCTACTTCAAAATATTTCCAATGCCATTGCTCAATTTTATATAACCAAAATATTTTCTTCTAAAAGTATCTTTGTAACTGAACAAATGTCTAAACTCCCTGGAATCCTGCTCTGACTAGAGGTGAACAGTAAAGTCTTATAAGGCTTGCTTAGTTTAAGAATGTAATTTGGCATAAAATAAAGAAGGTGAGTAAATGCAAAGTTTTAGCAAGTTTAATGTCTATTTGAGCAAAAGGTGGGTCAGTAATTTGAAAATGCATGGGAATGGGTTGGTTCCTTAAGCACTGGTAGAGGTAGAGGCTTGGCATGGAAACAAAAGAAGAGCTTAAAAAAATTGGCAATGCTTTCTTAGGGGGTTATGCTCCACTTAGGAAACAATTTCTCTTTTTGACCATGATTTAGGTTGCATTAGCTTGTTGTTAATCTTTGAAAGGATGCACGTGTTTGTGTGTGTGTATGTGTGTGTGTGTGCGTGTGTGTGTATGTGTGTGTGTGTGTGTGTGTGTGCACTTGATATTAAGTTTTCTAATAATTATCTGGTTAAAGACCAAAAAGATTGAGGAGATAAAACTTCCCCTCAGAGTGACAAGGCGACCTGGAAGGGACTTAACCATAGAGTATTTATTTATTTCAACTGGAGTTCTTCTGCTCAATACATACGGTAGCCACTCACTGCATGCAGCAGCTTAAATTCAAACTAGTTAGAAATCAATAAAATGAGAAATTCAGTTCCTCTGTCTCAGCACATTTCAAGTGCTCATATCCATGTGAGGCTAGGACTACCACATTGGAAAGCACAGGGTCATGGAGCTTTGCCATCATGGCAGAAAGATGATGAATGTCGTGTTTCTGAACTGTTCTCAAGAGTTGGGTTACGAAGCCCCTTCTGCTAACACCTGAATGACCATAACTCAGATTTTAGAAAAGGCAAAGTTTCAAAACCTTGTATTATATGAATTTCACTCCTAGAGAAATAATGGTCAATTTGGAGGTGGAAGCAAGTTTGGCAAGTTGGAGGTAATGTTGTCTCGACTTTGAGTTGATGGTTGGGTTGGTAGAGGGCTGAGAACTGTTATTCTGTCTCTTTATCTTTCTCTCACTGGTTTCCAGCTTTTGTTTTTACATTAACTCTACCTTTGTCTATCTCTGCCCCCAATTCAAAGAGAAAATGAGTAGTCTTCAGGATCACTGCACATGGCTAGAACTGGAATATATTAAGTGCTGATGCCATGTGAATTTTTTTTTTCATTTCCCCTGGACAGTAATATTTGACATTCAGTTGTGGGGAAGGTTTATTTTTTGCTCACTAAAATTAGCTCTAGATATTCTTCAACTTCCACTAAAGTTTGCTTCACAATACTGTATTGTAGGGAAATGAAGGAAAGGAAGTGTCATGTTATTCACATCGCCATTCCACAGGCCCACATGCCAATGGTGATATTTAGTGATTGCAATAACAGAGTCAACTGAGAATACTGGTATTTCAGTATTTAACTGCAGAAGACATGTTTAAAACATTATATTTTGAGGGGAAATGGAAGTCCAACTTTTTATTGTAACAAAATTATAAATTTTATTTCAAAAACAAAAATCGTGGCTCACCTTTTTCTTTCTTTTTCAAAATGTTTTATCATTTATTTATTCTTAGACTGTCCCAAGGAACAAACAGCTTTATCTTCTTCAGTTTCATTATGTATAGATGGATATACTGAAGAAGAATTACCTGTGTTAATTTCAAATTTTCATATACGTATTTCACTTATTTGGAAAACTTCTAAGGAGTTACTTTGGGGATAGGATTCTCACCTTGTCTTTTTCATTGCTATTCTTCTTCTTAAGAATTTTGAAATTCACTTCTTGGCATACATCACTATGTACCCAATGAATATGTGCAATTATTATTTGTCTATTTTTTTAAAAAGAGAAGAAAAGAAAAAAATTTTTTAAAATGTGGAGCTAAGTACCAAAAGAAATACTTAAAAAATTGTTTTCAGTATAAAAAATTTCTAACATTTCTATTCCAGGATACACTTTTCTTGGTAAAGAAGAGTCTTATTCACCAAATATTTTCATAATAAATTATTAGTTATGAATAAATATTGAATTCATCAATAAATATGAGTGAACATGGGTGACTCACCGGAATTAATAAGTTGTGGATCCCAGTTTCAGGTTACCGTTACTGATCTTGATTTCAGGGCTATAATATAACCTGCATATCCTGGTAATCATGTATCATACGATTCATATCAACTTTTTGTAGTTGTTTGTTTTAATGCCATAAACAGCCCTTCAGGAATGGCCCCAGGCTGGTTCATTCTTTTTTAATTTTTATTTTATAATTATTAATATTTTTTGAGATGGAGTCTCACCCTGTCACCCAGGCTGGAGTGCAGTGGTACGATCTCGGCTCACTGCAACCTCCACCTCTGGGGTTCAAGCGATTCTCGTGCCTCAGCCTCCCAAATAGCTGGTATTACAGGCGTCTCCCACCACATCCAGCTAATTTTTGTATTTTTACTGGAGACGGGGTTTCACCATGTTGGCCAGGCTGGTCTTGAACTCCTGACCTCAAGTGATCCACCCTCCTTGGCCTTCCAAAGTGCTGGGATTACAGGCATGAGCCACCGTGCTCGGCCTGTCATTTATTCTTTATCTGGTTCAGGAGTTGAACTAGGAGCTTATTTATGTATTTATTTATTTATAGAGATGAGGTTTCACCATATTGCCCAGGCTGGTCTCAAACTCCTGGCCTCAAGTGATCTGCCTGCCTCAGCCTCCCAAAGTTCTGGAATTACAAGTGTGAGCCACTGCTCCCAGCCTGGTTCATTCTTAGGCTTTGGACGTTTCCCTCTTTGGATGGCAGGCAGCCAGTCATTCAGTTTCTGTTCACTTTTTCTAACTGGGAAAATTAGCCTTAGTATTGTACGATTCCTCTAGTCTAGGAGGTATAGTTTGAGGATGCCCTAATTTCTCCTCTTTCCCAGCCAATTTTTGGGGGTGAGGGAAGGACAAGTTAGGTTGAGATGGCTTGAGAGCATAACAAATGAGAACATCAAAAGTGTCAGAAGTGCAGATAGAAAGACAACAGAGTTTCTATTTTAATCCAGGAACAGACTGCATTTTATCAGCTACTCTTGGTTTTTACCAAATAGCATAGTTAAAATGCTATATATGTAAAGTGAATTTGCAACACATTACTTATGCAGTTGACCCTATCTCACTTTTTAAGGATTCATGTCCTACTGTATTCCTAGACACCCCAGCCTCAAATATTTGAAGATCAGCAATCCCTTTGGTATCACTTCTGGTTTTTTTTCTAAAGCAAAATTTAAGAAAAATACATTTACTGGTTCTTACTTTAAACACATGGTCCTTAAAACATTTCTATCTGAATCTCTGTCTATCTGCATATCCTGGTATCCATATATCAAAAGTCTGCAATCATGTCCTCTAGACTGGTTACATTTGAGGTGAACTTTGGGTATGTCATTTCAATGCCTTTTCCCCCAAGTACTTTAAATTTTGTAGAATTGAATAATTTTTCTATACACAATAAAGTCATTTCTATAATTTAGTTAATGAGTTCTATGATGTTAGATATTTTGCTTGGCTTACTTTTTTTAGTTACAAATTTTTATGTAGGTAATATCTGCATTTAAATCTTGGCTTTTTTTTTTTATTGTGTAGGGCCAAATTCTCTGAAATAGAATTGCTAAGTCCAAACCAAATATTTGTTTGCACTTGAGGCATATCTTCATGCTGTCTTCCAGAAATGTGCAGCCTCCGAGAATGCCTTCTTCACTGCTGTTCTGTTGGTGTCATTTTAGAGCTGTTGATCTAGACCTCTCTCCTAAAATAATAATGCTGTTGGAATCAAAAGACAAAATATAGAAATTATAGGTCTCTTTCATTTTCTGTTTATACAAAGATGGGTTGATGACATCATTTGGCAATGGAGATCTGGGGAAAAAAAACCAGATAAATAGGTGCAAGCATGATGCTTTTAGATACTCTTCAGTGAGTATCTATAAAAGTTCTTCCCTGAATGGAAATTTGTCTCCAAAATAGGGTTCCTGTGTCTCTTCCTCTATCACGTTGCAACCTTTCCAAGGACTATTTTTGCTTAAACAATATATTCAAACATCGGAGACCATACTGTTAGAATCATAATTATTTAAAATGTACATATACTGGACTAACCAGTTATATATGCACTGTCTTTTTTATGTGTCATAAAACCAAAGTCCCATACATTCATAAAGTAGTGTACCCTATGCTGAAGCCCCTGTATTGTTAAATATACATATTGAAGCCCAAAAGGCTCAAAGAATTGACATCATACTTTAATATCACAGACTAACGTGGCTCTTCATGGAACCGGAGATATCAGTGGATTGAGTAGTTTCCACCACCACAAAACCTCATATGTCTTCATATCTGGACTTGGTGTCTGATACTTAAACCAGCTAAAAATTCTGCAAGATTTAACAAACAGCTTCCAAAGTGTTTTTTTTTTAATCCGTGATGTTTGCTAACTCATTCTAATCACCTTGAAGGTATGTACTTTACTCAGTGGAATCTCAAATGAGGTGCTAGGAGGTGGCTTGTGATCTGAACACTTTAGGAAGAGCTAACTTAATCACGAAAGTTTCTAAGTTTTTCTTTTTCAGCCCAACTTTTCTTTCATCCTGTCTTGTTTAAAAGATTTCACTTTCTTTAGACTGATGAGGATGGTGATTCAAGCCAAGAAAGTGTGGGTGGGAATTCAAAGCCTTGCTTTGTAACTAGAATGCAAATGCTATTCTAACATAATTTGAACCTGATTGAGCTGCCCAAATTTCAACCATCCTGGAGCAAAACACAGGAAATCTGTACCACAGCCAGAAAGATTCCCTGAATTCCAAACGGAAACAGAGCATTTCTCCATTTCTTGGAGTTGTACTGGGCCCAAATGTGTAGCCTAGAAAATAATGGTTAAATGTTGTTTTTGGACCAACTGTTGAGTTAGTTTTAAAGTTTCTACCAGAAAAAAAATAAAGAGAAAATTACCTACACATAAAAAGTTCCAAAATCAAATTGTCTTTTTGGCTTAACATTTTCTTCACATTATTTTACTGAAGTTTGTATTAACTTTTTCTTGAAATGAAATGTTCTATGGCTTTTGTTCCAAAAACTGTGAGTTTCCTTTCATTTACCCTGCTGTCACAGCATCCAAGAAAGAACATGTTACCATGATTGCAGCCCAGAAAGAACTGGTCCCTTAACTTTTGATAAGAACAAGAACAAAATAATAGACATCACTTTCCTATTTCTTCTTGAGTACTGGACACAATTCTGATTTTTTTTTTTTTAACTCAACCTTCATTTTTGGCTTCAATAACTTGAATTTGTAGTATAAAATATACTAGAATGGCTATAATCATAAAAGATAGAACATAATAAGTGTTGATGTGGATGTAGACAAATTGGAACCTTCACACATTGCTAATGGGAAGGACAAATGGTGCAGCCACTTTGGAAAATAGTTTGGCAGTTTCTTACAAAGTTAAAGACAAATGTACCAAGTGCTCCAGCAATTCAACTCCTACGTAGCTACCCTGGAGAAATAAAACATATGACTTGCACATAAATGTTCATAGCAGCATTATTGCTAAGAGCCAAACAAATGGAAACAACCCAAATGACCATCAGTTGACGCATGGATGAACAATATGTGGTATACCTATACAATGAAATACTGTGGAAGTTTGAGTCCAGGCAAAAGACAAACCATGCAGTGGGATTAAATAGGGAGAGTTTAATGTGAAGAATTATGAAGAGTTATAAAAGAGTAACTATAAGACATGCATGCATAGACTCGCCGGGCGTGGTGGCTCACGCCTGTAATCCCAGCACTTTGGGAGGCCGAGGCGGGCGGATCACGAGGTCAGGAGAGCGAGACCATCCTGGCTAACACAGTGAAACCCCACCTCTACTGAAAAATACAAAAAATTAGCAGGGCATGGTGGCGGACGCCTGTAGTCCCAGCTACTCGGGAGGCTGAGGCAGGAGAATGGGATGAACCCGGGAGGTGGAGTGGAGACTGCGCCACTGCACTCCAGCCTGGGCGACAGAGCGAGACTCCGTCTCAAACAAACAAAAAAAAAGAGTGGAGATGTTTGGAGATTTGGCCAGGCCAGAGTTGGTCTTGAGTTGCTGGGCAGACTGTGGGCCACATTCTAGAGTGCAGGTGAGAGGGCAGGTGATCGGCAACCACTGTGTTAGGGAGTCTGTGCATTGGAGTGGACAGAAGGTTCAAAGGGACACAGCCATGTGGGAAGTTTGAAGAAGGACAACAGCTTGATGTGTCAGACTCGGAAGGGAACTCTGGTTTCTCAGCTGAGAAAGCTGGGGAAATAATATTGCCAGGCTTAGGTGTCAGAGTTGCTGAAAGGCTGCAACCTGGGCCTATGGCTGGAAGAGGTGCCACCAGATGTCATAACCGCACTTCCGATCTCGCCCCCTGAGCCGAAAATTGCAGCCTTTCTTTTGCACTATCTCTCCAGCACCCTCTGCTGGGGAAGCTTAACGTGGTGCTCACGTTAAAGGAGCAGAGCTTCAATGGATCCCCTTGTTTATCTGAAAATATATTAAGGGGTGCATGGGGAGCTGATATCAATGTGTTATCAACACATTGATAACAGAAAAATTCTATCCAGCAATTTATAAAAAAGGAAAAAAGTATTGGCACCTCCTACAACATGGATGAAACCAAAGCATGATCCTGAGCAAAAGAAGCCGGTCACATAAAACCACATCCTGTAGGATCCGATTTATGCAAAATGTCCAGAATAAGCAAATGCATGAAGGCAGAGAGGAGACGAGTGTTTGCCAGGGGCTGGAGGGGAAAGAATATGGTGTGAGTAATAAAGGGTGCAGGGTTTCTTTTTGGCGTGATGAAAACACTTCAAAAGTAGATTACGGTGAAGGTTGCACAACTCTGTACATACACTGAAAAAACATTGAAATGTACTCTTCAAAGGGGTAAATTTGATGGTATATAAATTACATCTTGATAAAGCTACTGGACGAATTCACTATGTAAAAGTTTTTATTTTTAAATATTTATTTTTAGTTTTGCAGATTTGAGGGTACAAGTGCAATTTTGTTACATTGATATATTGTGTGGTGGTAAAGTCTGGGCTTTTACTGTAACCATCATCCAAATAGTGTACATTGTACCAAATAGGTAGAATTTCATCCTTTAACCCTTTTCCTACCCTCCCTTTGGAGTCTCCAACGTCTATTATTTCATTTTGTATGTCCGTGTGCACCATTATTTAGCTCCCACTTGTGAGAACGTGCAGCATTTGACTTTTTTGAGTCATTTCACTTGGGAAAATGGCCTCCAATTCCATCCCTGTTGCTGCAAAATATATAATTCCATTCATTTTTATGGCTGAGCAGTATTCCATGGTGTCTGTGTACTACATTTTCTTTATCCAATCATCTGTTAAAGGGCAGGTAGGTTGATTCTGTGACTTTGCTATTGTGAATAGTGCTGCAATAAACATATGAGTGCAGATGTCTTTTTATATAATGATTTATTTTGGGTAGATACCCAGTAGTGGGATTGCTGGGTCAAATGGTAGTTTTATTGTTAGCTCTTTGAGAAATCTCCATACTATTTTCCATACAGGTTGTATTAATTTACATTCCCACCACTAGTGTATAAGTGTTCCCTTTTCTCTGCACCCACACCAACATCTGCTGTTTCTTTACTTTTTAATAATAGCCATTCTGACTGGTGTAAGATGGTATTTCATTGTAGTTTTAATTTGCACTTCTCTGATGATTAGTGATGCTGAGCCTTTTGAAAAAAAAAAAAACTTTTTATGAGACGCCACTGTGTTTGAATTGACCATGTTGTGTTGCTCTTAACCCAAAGAAGAGAGGAGTTGGTAGCATCGAGAAAAATCATTTAGTTAGTGTTCAGAATTTTGTGTCAGCTAGACTTGGATAATTATAATAGTTTTAGAAGTCATGATGACTCTACATTTATTTGCTTGCAATGTGACTAAATTCTAATTTTATTTCTGTTCTTTTTTTTTTTTTTTTTTTTTTTTTGCTGTTACCTCTTTTTAATAGTTAGATATTTATATGGTACAAATCTCCGGACTCAACATATTAATTTCCATTAAGTCATCTTTCCTATTCTGGATCTTTTCTCCCTAGCTTAATAGTACACACTGAAAATAGGAGAAATCTAAATCTGTAACTCGTTTTGAGAGTGTTCCTGAAGTAAAAGGGTTGGCACGTGGAGTGACAACAGTAAAAGGCCAGTCTCCTGCCTTTTATCCATCCTTTTTCACTTAGGTGTGAGCTTAATCTTTCCAACATATCCTATTTACAGGCAGAAGAAAGGCTTTACATTGACTGACAACTGCAAAGGGCCATGTTAGACTAGGAGAAGGGAGGTTCGCTGTAATTAATAAAAACTGACCCACAGGAGTGACTGTTTGGTCCAATTCCATCCTGCAACAAACCCAAATCCAATCAGATGCACATGTTCTGGTGTGTGCAGTCTAAATTTTGCAGCAGTGTGACCTGATATGCAGATAAAGAGGACAGGGACAGATAGACCATGCATCACACCTGCTATATATTATTGGATTCTTATATTTATCAATATTAAACCTCTGTTTTGCCACACAAAATTGAATGTGATGTGTTTCTAATTCCCATAATAGATTTCTTCATTTCCATTTTGCAGGAGTAGCTTATTAAGGCTGGCTAGGCTGCCCGTAACCATGTGAAGTACTTCTGTTTGGTCTTTTAATCACTGCAGACATGGGATGCTGATTTTGTGAATAAAGAGCACAAAATGAATGGGGGTAAGATGTTAATGGGTCAAAAATCCATTTCCCTATTATGAACCAAGGTGAGAGGAGAATTACTAGCATGGCACTTCATTTAGAAGGCCATCTGCTGTGCATTGTGCCTGGGAAAGAAGGATGTTGCTGAAGTCACCAGGTCTGTCCTGGGTCAGAACTCATGTCCAGAGGTCACCTCTTGGAGCACAGTAGACTCATTTTATTTCCACTCTCTCCTCTGCCTCTGCAGCCAGCAAAACATCTTATTCTTTGAAATTCGCCAAGAGAAGGGAGAAAATAAAGAGACTTGGATCCATAGTCATCCTTCCATTTCTAAGCTGAAGAAGAATAGGGAGGGTTTTGTCTATGTCTTGGGCAATTAGATTAGCAACCTTGGAATGTGAGCATGGAATCTTTGTTCAGAGGGCTAAAATTCAGACATAGAGTAAGAAAAACTGAGATTTGAGAAAGACTTGTAGAAAGATTGTCCTGATGCAAAGAAGATGATATGAGAAGATACCTGGAAACTCAGATACACAGGGTGCAAAGCTTATGACTCAAGTAAAAGACAAATACCCTGCTGGCCTGACTAGGCTTTAGAAAAACAGAGGGATGCTCATTATCGATTAAGAACAAACCCAGAGTAGACTGAGAAGGAAGCAGACATATAACTTACCTGTTATTTTAGCACCAGAAAATCAGGACTCATGAAAAGTGGAGAGGTCTTTCCCTTTTCTTTTCTTTCCAAGTCTACCTAAATAGACTATGCAAACGCTGCTCTCTCAGTGCCTCTTGCCCATCCAGTAAACACTTCATGTGGATGTAGTGCTGGGCCCTTTTTGGTTACTGTGACATCTACTCCACATATATATTTGTTATTTAACACAGGCCTTCTAAAGATACAACTTCTTTACCCAGTTGCTTGACTTGGGGTGGAAACATCATGTACAAGACGGACCGTGGAAAAGATATTTTGAAGCAGATGGACCTCTTTAAAAGACTAATTTTAGATAGATTCAGAAAAATGCAAATATGTCATTTCATTTGACCATAGTATTAGCATCATATTTAACATTTCAGTCTGGACCATCTGGGGCTGATTCTTATCTTTAGAAATTTTATGGGAGCTATTTTGGCTCTGCTTGGGAAAGTTTTGGTTGAGTTACTAGCAGTATGAGAATCTAGTCCTGTTGCTGAAATAGAAAGATGATTTTTTTAAATCTCTTTTAGACAAAAGTTGCTTTAGGAAGAAGAATTTGGGAACTTAGAATATATTTAAGAGATGAAGAACATTTCAGCTACCAATTTAAAGCTCAAATAACAATCACTTGTATACGAGTAAGACCTCCTATTTCCTTTGGATTAGAAGACCCTCAATTCTCCCACACGGTTGATGTTGGTGTGCTATTCCTTGCTGCAGACATCTTTGGATG
Source organism: Homo sapiens (assembly GCF_000001405.40). Lineage (NCBI taxonomy): Eukaryota > Metazoa > Chordata > Mammalia > Primates > Hominidae > Homo > Homo sapiens. The sequence goes on along the minus strand of NC_000023.11, from coordinate 8,361,181 downwards.
AATTTACTCTGTTTCTGGAGAAAGTTCTGGGTAAGGATTCACGTGATATGGTAAGACAGTGGAGGAAAACAGTCTTTCTCCTCCCTATGTCTGTGTAAACACCTTCCTTTTCAGTCTCAAATGCTCTGTGCAGGCTGCTAAAAGATGTTGTGCGTCATTCATTTTAGAAACACAATTTATTTTAGAATGTGCACAAATGCTGTTATACATCCACATAAGCCTTCTCAGGAAAAAATAACACCCCAAATGTTTCAACCTTAGCATCTTCCTTCTTTAATTTTTTTAAAATGTCCCTTCTTTGTTCTTGCCCATATGAGTACATATTTTTTTTAAATGGTTCAATTATAGTAAAACTTGTAGTACAAACTATTTTGAGGACGGAATTATTTTACTTGATTTGCCCTTGTACAGGACTGAAAATTTTACTCAAATAATTTTGTTAGATCTATCAAATCTAATAATATTCATTTAATACTCCCTAAAAAGATTATTTAACTCAAACATCAGGAAAAAAAACGAATTTGTATTCTGTCTTAAAAACAGAAACCGTTTTAAGGTTATAGTAAGCATTTCAAATTTAATACAAAAGTCTGAGTAATGCTTTCGTGGACGAATATACATTATACATTCCATTTAAAATTATTTTCTTGTCACATAGTAGTGTGTCCATTTTCAATTATTCCATTAATTCAAGGTGCTACTGCTGTCTGTAGAAATTCAAGTTGGCCACTGGCACAGCATTAGTGAATTACAAGTGGGTCACAGATGATTGAAACTACAAATAATTGGATGAACCCCAGCCATGGGTTATGTAGGTGGTCCTAGCTACAGATCCAGAGCTAGTCATGGCCTCTGATTTGCCTCTCCTTTTGTGGTTGGGAAATCAAAGATGGAATTCAAGACATCTGCCTATATACTTCATTATGGACAAATGGGTTGTGGACATGTGTTTGCTTTTGTCTGTTTTCATCTGCTCCCCACTTCATCTCTTGCTAAAAGTACCCTGATTTTCCTTTGTGCAATTAATTACTCTCCCTTGCTTAAGAATATGGTATGAGAATCTTGAGCCCACTACTGTATTCTAGGAGATTTTAATTGCCTTGTATGATCAAGAGATCTTGTGATACTAAGCACAATGACCAGTCTTGGAATGGTCAGGTTACCCAATTCAGGACGCTGGGAGAATATGAACACCACAGTGCATCTACCAGCCATTAGCTACAAGAGATGCTCATTTCTTCCATGACCAGGATGAGGACTTGAGGCTGGGACTAGACATTAACTATTCAGTGAATACAATGTAGAGCCCCATCTACTGAGAAGCTGCCTGTTGGAGCCTGTGGTTTGAGTCAGGCCTGGAGAAGACAGCAGTGAGACAGCAATGGGTCCTTGGTTACTTGATTTGAGCAAGTTTCTTGATCAGGTCTAGCCCAGTGGATTTTTTTCCCAATGAACCCAGTAAATTACCTTTGTTATCCAGTACAGTAGCCACTAATCTCATGTGCATATTGGACATTTGAAATATGACTCCTCCAACTGAGATGTGCCATAAATATAAAATATGCACTGGATTTCAAACTTAGTACAACAAACATTTTTATATTGACCTCATGTTGAAATTGTAATGTTGAATTTAGACACAGCGGGTGTATTGGTCAATTTGCATTCTTATAATAAAATATTGAGACTGGGTAGTTTACAAAGAACAGAAATGAATTTTTTTACAGTTCTGGTGGCTGGGAAGTTCAAGATCAAGGCATCACAGGTTTGCTTATCTGGTGAGGGCTACTCTCTGCTTCCAAGTTGACATCTTTTGCTGCAACCCCAGGAGGGGAGGAACACTGTATCTTCACAGGGCAGAAGGTGGAAGAGCAAGTTAGCTGAGTGCTGGGTGAAGCTTTTTATATAACTCTACCTCCTAGCACTATCACATTGGTCATTTAGTTTCAACACTTGAATTTCCAAGGGGACACATTCAAGCCATAGCACTGGGTCAATAATTATGCTATTAAAATTACTTTCACCCATTTCTCCAAGAAAACATGAAATTACATGATCAGCTTGTATCTGTGGCCCTGGATGTAGTTCTATTAGAAAACACTGGCTTAATCCATTTTGAATTTTCTTGATGACATGTAATGTAAAGATTTTAAAAGTTACACAATAACTTACTTTTCAAATCCTAGTTGGATAACACCAAGTTTGACTGTCATACTTTGAAAAGCCAGTTCTAAGTTAGAAATGATATGTATATAAGCATCCGAGCTAGCAAAGTCCAAAGTCAAGTTAATGCTGCATGTGGTTTTTTATTGGTGACATTCTCCAAAGTTCTTTGGCCGATATGCTTTATGTGTGAAGACTCTGAATGGCATAGGCTTTATTGTCTTTCAAAATATACAATTGCTTTGTGTACTTATTTTCAAAGTCACTGCAATAGCCTAAAAGTGAGCTGAAATCCTTTCCCCCTTGGCTATAATATCAGTATGGTATCTAGCCTCCAAGATGGCCCCTAAAGACTGGGCTGACTTGTATAAGCAATAGGATACTGAGGTAATGATGGCATATGACTTTGAAGCGTAGGCCATAAGAGACATTTGAGTTTCCTTCTTGCATTCGTTTGGCTAACTCACTTGGGAGAAAGCCAGCACCATGTTGTAAGGATACTCAAGCAGCCCTGTGGAGAGACCCATGTGATGAGTAACTGAGAAGGCAGGCCAGTAGCCATGTGGCTGAGCCATCTTGCCAGCAGATCCTCCAGTCACATAGAACCTTTCGAGACTAAAGCCCTGATGGACAACCTGACTTCAAGCTCATGAGGGACTTTGAGCCTGAACCTCCCAACTAAGCCACTCCAAAATCCCAGACTCATGAAAAAATGGTATATCTTCATTGCTTTAAACTGTGAAGTAGTAGGATCATTTGTTACATATTAATAGATAACTATTGCAGTCACACTTTATATGGTAAGAATCATCCTATAAATTATTTTTATTTTTCAAGAAAAACAACCCTCAAACTTGTTCCCTGTTGCTAAGTCACTTACTTACTTTCTCCTGTTGATTTTTCCACTGAAATACTTGCTATCCTATTTATGTGGTTCCATCTAAGATGTCTGAGATATGCTATCCATTTTCTCTTTAAGCTCAAGAGGAGTTTAGGCTGTAAAAGGTGACTGGTTGGTTCTCAAGAGGCAGATGTCTGTTTTTAATGCTTCGCATTACTTGAATCATAGACAATTTCAGGCTTAAAAGGTCTTTTGGAGGTAAATGAGCCCAGTGCCTCCTCCAGATGCTTGGAAATTCTCTCCACCATTCCTTCCATGGGTCACTCAGCCTATACTTAAATATGGTGCTAGAGGACATCTACCTCTGACACTAGCTCCATGGATAATGTGAGACTGCTCTAAATTTTAGAACAGGGTTGTTTATCCCGGGGCCATTGGATTCTGCTGAAATATATAAATAAACTACAGGTGTCCCTGAGCCCCCTGAGATGAAATTCATGCATGAGACTGCACTCCTGTGATTTTTTTTTACATGGAAAATTATTATGACTTTACTACTCAATGAGGTTAGTAGGTATTTTTAGAACCAATATATAAGAAAATAGCTTATATTGAGTCAAAATAGAGGTCTGCAATTTGTCCACTTCAGTTTTGGATCTTTACAGAGGCACATACAATAAGAAAAACCCCTGTGCCCTTGTCTGGTTCCTACATTCTACTTCCATGCTCTTATTGGAAATCTTGACGTCTAGCTGCAGGCCCAGCTGTCCTAGTGTCTAGCACTAATGTAGACCTCAGATCTAAGGGGTTTAAGGAGCACCTGTTCAGTGCTCCGAGGTCTCTACCAAGTTGCTTAGTTGCTGCATTGGCCCTGACAGCCACCTGACACCATAGTCTGTTTAGTATTGCTGATCAATTTGCTCTGCTCAGTCACCATACAGGGCCTGGCGTGCCAGCTATGAGTCTACCACAGAAAATTGAACCCTGCATCCTGCTAAAATGTTTCACTGGGGTTAACTTCAGCCTAGCTTACAACTGTCTGTTGCCCATTTCTTGGCTTTAGCTTTGCTTTACTGGTTTCATGATGCCTCACTTTTTTTCAGGCAATAACCTCTGAAGGTAATCATCTACTACCTATTATTTTCCTACGGAAATATGAGGCCCTGTTGTCCCTGAAGAACTAGACTAGATTTCCTTCCCTATCATTAAAGCGGTTTAACTTAATTGCAAAATCTTGTCCCTCCCATCATCATGGAAGTTAAACTTTATTTATTATCTATCTATCTATCTATCTATCATCTATCTATCTATCTATCTATCTATCTATCTATCTATCTATCTTCTATTTGAGGCAGGGTCTCATGCTGTTGCGCAGGCCACGGTGCAGTGGTGCAAACATAGTTCACTGCAACCTTGACCTCATGGGCTCAAGTGATCCTCCCACCTCAGCCTCCTGAGTAGCTGGGACTACAGGCGTGTACCACCACAAATGGATAATTTTTTAATTTTCTTGTGGAGATGGGATGTCACTATGTTGTTCAGGCTGGTCTCAAACTCCTGGCTTCAATGATTCTCCTGCCTCGGCCTCCAAAAGTGTTGGGATTACAGGTGTGAGCCACTGCACCCAGCCAAGTTAAACTTTAGAATCCTCACCAGCTATGGTATAATCTTTGTCAACAGTGTCAGGCCTCTAAGCTCAAGCCAAGTCATCATATCCCCTGTGATCTGCACGTATACATCCAGATGGCCTGAAGCAAGTGAAGAATCACAAAAGAAGTGAAAATGGCCGGTTCCTGCCTTAACTGATGACATTCCACCATTGTGATTTGCTCCTGCCCCACCTTAACTGAACGATTAACCTTGTGAAATTCCTTCTCCTGGCTCAGAAGCTCCCCCACTGAGCACCTTGTGACCCCCGCCCCTGCCTGCAAGAGAAAAACCCCCTTTGACTGTAATTTTCCACTACCCACCCAAATCCTATAAAACGGCCCCACCCCATCTCCCTTCGCTGACTTTCTTTTCGGACTCAGCCCGCCTGCACCCAGGTGAAATAAACAGCCTTGTTGCTCACACAAAGTCTGTTTGGTGGTCTCTTCATACAGACGCACATGACAAACAGGACAGTTTGTCAACCATTTGAATATAACTATTATGTATGAATTTAATAAAACCATTTTCATCTAATCCTGTCATCCATAGAAAAAGTGTTCTAAATGATTTTTGAGATTTCTTAAGCTCTAAATGTCTGGATTCTTCCTAAATATTTCAACTATTATCCTACAACACCACCAACTTTGTTTCCACCCTACCTTTTCAGTGTCCCACTCATTAGCCCAAACTAAATGACTATTTTCAAGTCACTTTTCACAGTTTTGAGTCCAGAGTCAGTGTTTTGTTGATTTTTGTAACCCAAATCTAACACAGTAGTACCTAAAACATCAACATCTATTACATGTTTATTGAAGAAAAGCATGTTGAGTTAATTAATATTCAAGAGCCATTATGAGTATCTTTGAAAACAATGTAATATTCTTCTTTCTAGAAATCCAACCCCCCCTTTATTATTAATTATAAGAAAAAAACTTTCTCCAAAATTTGTTAATGTCAAAAGAAATATAAAGTCTTTATTTCCTAAAGGGTTGTTTACCTGGAGATTTCTTTACATTTTAAGAAAATAGGACTAGGTCAGCCTTGGGAGAATTGTTTGCAATTTCAAAAGTGAATAACGACTTGGGAAGCTTGTTTGCTTGTTTGTTTCCCCTTTTCAAAGCCCTTCTGGTGGTCTATTTGCATAAGTATTTGAGTGCACTTTAATGCTTATGCAAATAATGATCAGACCCACAGAACTTGGATTTATTATAAATATGAAACATGTATAAAGATAAAATCTTAAGTAGAAACTGATTATCCTGAAATCCCAACTAAAATCATAATAAAAGGCTTTTTAAAAGTGAATTTTGCCTAAAGACTGCCTTTATCCAATTCCAGCACTATATTGACCCACAAAAGTGGGCCCATACAGACAGCAGGTGTGGGGGAAAAAAAAACAAACAGTCCATTGACTTAGACAATTACACTGAACTCTACAGGGAGATGGAACGTAAATTTAAATTGAATTAGTCAAGACTCAAATGTATGCGATCATTAAACAAATAAGCAAACACCTGTTGACAAATTTGGGTCATTCAGGGACTTAGAATATGTCAACTATAAAAAATAGAATAAAACCAAATGCATGCACAAAGAAATAGAACTAAAATGTATTGAGTGACCCACATCACCACACACTGAGCTAAAAGCTTTACACAATTGATGGGTTTCCAGCCTGTGGCATATTAATGCATTGGCCTCATGGGTAGGGTTATAATTTAAAGCTCCCCATCAGGCTTCAAAACCACTAAAAGGTTATCTCTTCTAATGTTCCAACCATCCTAAAACATAGGCCATTGATTGGAAGTGTGGTCTCTCTACAAGCAACCTTATCATTGCCTGGATACTCAGTAGAAAGGCAAACCTTGAACTTCAGCCGAGGTTTACAGAGCAGTGTGGAGTCCAGGAATTCTGTGTTTCACAAGCCCTTAGTGCACACTTAAGATCTAGAACCACTGGTCGTCTGATTTCACGACCATTCTACAGATAAGAACTTTGAATTCAAGAGATGCTAAAAAATATCCTGAAAGTCAGCCAGGCACAGTGGTTCATGCCTGGAATCCCAGAACTTTGGGAGGCCAAGGTGGGAGGATCACTTGAGCTCAGGAGTTTGAGATCAGCCTGGGCAACATAGTGAGACCCCATCTCTACAAAAAAAATTTAAAATAAATTAGCCAGTTGTGGTGGTGCACACCCATAGTCCCAGCTACTCAGGAGGCTGAGCTGGGAGGATCACTTGAATTCAGGAGTTTGAGGATGTAGTAAGTCAGGATTGCACCACTAAACTCCAGCCAGGGGAATAGAGTGAGACTCTGTCTCAAAAAAAAACAAAACAAAGAAACAAAAAAACAAAAAAATCCCAAAGTTAAGCAAATTAGTAAGAGATGTGGGTAGGTCATGAAGCTGGATTTGATTTGGCCAGAAAATGTGAGCTCTTCTGATTTCACCACAAGGTCAACCAAAAAGAACTTAGGGTCTGTTTAAGAAACAATTCCTGCTTAGTAAGCATGAAATTATGATTTTAATAATTTGATTAATGATTTTTAATCATTATACTTATAGGCCAGGAATAAATTCAAACAGCACAAAGTAGGGCATAAGAATAAATTATAGTGCTAAGTAGTTTCTGTGTCATTTCAGAATGCAGTCTCTTCACTCTAGCTAGCTTGCTTGCTAATTACTTAGTGTAATGCTCTATCTTCACAATGCATGTGCTTATCATATATTCTTAGTTATTACTTCACTGGAAGGGAAATTACCACTCATTTCATGTCAGTTTTGTATGAATCTTGTATACTCCAACTACAATAAAAATGAGAGATGAATAATTATATTAAATCTGAGTGACGGGCTGGCTAGACAGTATTTAAATGTATCTCTGAGACAACATTTTGTTAACAGTATACTAAGCAAGATTCACATCTTGAATCTTAAAAGCACACACCAGAATAATTATACTCTTTGTTCCCAAAGGACTATCATTATGTAACTACCATTAATGATGTAAGTATATAGTTAACAGACTTATAATGATATACGTATATATGCTTGTATAGAGTTATAAAATATAAGTGTGTGACTAGTGTAAGTATATAATTATTGCTTGCATGGCCTTCTTTTATGTTATCTATTTCATTATTTATTTTATTAGAGTAAGGAACATCTTGTTATTTTAATCATGCATTATTTAGGTTAAATATGGGAGATATTTAGGAGAAGGAAGCCAATATTGAGCACCATAAACAGAAAGCAAACAGAAGTGAAAACCAGCAGAATGAGTGCTGATAAACAAAAATATGAACACACATTCCAAAACTTCAGACAGCTGCAAAAAGGGAAAGTGTTAAGCCCTAATAGTTTTGCATTGGTAAAGGTCCTGGGAATTTTACCAGCTTGTAGAGGATTGTACAGAAAGAGTAAGTAGGTGAATTAAATTAAAAAAATCATTAAAAAAACAATGAAGAGTGGCGGAGGTTACCTGTCTGTCTCTGAAGCATAAGCAATAACAATTATTAGGGCTTGCCACCTTTCAGGACTTGCTAAATCAAGATAATGGACTTTTGGAGACCGAGGTGGATGGATTGCTTGAGTCCAGGAGTTCGAGGCCAGCCTGGGCAACATGGAGAAACCCTGTCTTTACAAAAAATACAAAAATTAGCCAGGCGTGGTGACATGCACCTGTAATCCCAGCTACTTGGGAGGCTGAGGCAGGAGAATCACCTGAGCCCAGGAGGCAGGGTGCAGTGAGCTGTGATTGCACCACTTTGCTCCAGCCTGGGCAACTGAGTGACACCCTGTCTCAAAAAAAAAAAAAAAAAAAATCAAGAGAATGATGCTCTGAAATCAGAAGTTATCTCCTCTATAACAGGAGATGACAGTCTTCATGTTTGGACAGATGGATGAATCTAGTATGGGCTTTTAAGAAAATCTCAGAGGAGAGAGTAAATCCCAGATTCTTTAAAAAAAAAAAAAAAAAAGTCACATATTGACCCGAAGGAGTCTCCCTCCTGCCACAACCCCTCCCCGAGCAACACACACACAGGATTGGATAAAGCCAGAAAATACTACGTCCAGCTTTCAAACCGCTTCAACAGAGGACAAGTTTAAGCTGCACTGCGTGTGTGCATGTGTCTTTGTTTGTGTGTATTCTCATCCTAAGGACTGAGTCTAAGAATCAATAGTGTTCTTTCGTGATTTTTGGTTTTTGTTTTAGAGACACGTCTCACTATGTTGCCTGAGCTGGTCTCGAACTCCTGGGCTAAAACCATGCTCTTGCCTCAGCCTCTGGAGCAGGTGGGACTACAGGTGCACACCACTACCCCTGGCAAGAATCAACAGTGCTCTTAATGAAAGATGAGAGCAATGGGAATGAAAGAAAATATGAATACTGTAATTTAAAAAAATTCCTGTGCTTAAACATGAAAAGTATATAATTAGTAGGTCCATTGAATTCTTGACAAAATTAACAAAATTAACAAAAAAATTAACAAAAATGCACATCCTCTATGAATCTTTTCAAAAATTGAAGTATAAAGAAAGGCAATGCCTCAAATATCAAGTAAAATAAACAGGTTTATGACACTATGAAATGAAGCTGGCTTCTCCCTGTAATCCATAAACAGGAAAAATATCAGAAGAAAAAAAATCAATGTACAGGACTTTGATGAAAGAACTTTGCAGAGCCAAGGTACATGTGAATGCAATAGAGACATACTAATTCAGAGAATAAAAGGATTAAATCCAGTTCATTCACCAGGAACCATTTATTTTTCCCTTTAAAAACATATTGATTTGAGCATTAATTACAGATAAAACACTTTGCTGAAGAATAAAGCTACAACAGGGAGACATTGGTTGTTACACAGCCATGTGGCAATAGATACTTGATACAAGAAGTGAATCATGCCATGACTGAATGTAAGGGGGAAGCAACTTAAAATGGATATTAGCAATGGCCACACCAAGGAGAGAGGTAGAGCGAGGTTGGGCACACACAGAAGAGGAGAAAGGTAATGGAATGCCAGAGGCAGATATTGAAGTCATGTGGCACAAGCCAAGGAATTCCATCAGCCACCAGACTCTGGAATAGGCAAGGAACAGACTCTCCCCCTACAGCCTTAGAGGGGAGGGTGGCCCTGCCAGCAGCTTGATTTCAGCTCAGTGATGCTGATTTTGTACTTGTAAACTTCAGAACTGGAGGGAATAAATGTGTCTTGTTTTAAGCCACTGAATTTGTGGTAATATGTAACAGCAGCCACCATCATACAAGATTATTAAATTTATGCTGAATATATTATCTCAATGCATGTAAGAAAGTTGAAGCGTACCACCACTTCATTCTCCTTGGTTTTTTTTTTTTTTTTTTTTTTTTTTTGAGATGGGTTCTTGCTCTGTTGTCCAAGCTTGAGTGCAGTAGTACGATCATAGCTCACTGCAGCCTCAAGTTCTTGGGCTCGGGTGATTCTCCAGCCTAAGTAGTCAGGATGATAGGTGCATCCACCACACCCAGCTAATTAAAAATATATTTTTAAAAGATATGGTCTAGCTGTGTTGTCCAGTCTGGTCTTGAACTCCTGGCTCAAACAAGCCTCTCAAGCAGCTGGAACTACGGGCATGTGCCACCATGCTTAGCCCACTTTGTTCTTGATAAAGCTAAACAGAAAAATCTAAGTGAGGAGTTGTTTGTGAGCTTTAGTAAAATCTTTGTGGACACTAATGGGCATTGCAGGTGATGGGAAGACCGTTGTTAGGCAAAGTGGCCTCTGTGCTCTTGGAAACAGGCAAGGGCAGTGTCATCATGGACATTGGCATCAGTGGTGATGGTATCATCATTGGGAAGTACTGAGGATCTTTGGGGAGGTATCGGTTACAGAGAAGGAACCTCAGTATTTTCAGCATTAGGAAACCTCACCACAGCTAACTCAAGGAGGAGGATCAAAGTGGATGTGCTCTACAAGGCAGCAGGACGAGCTTACCAATCACACAGGAACACTTTACTCAGGATGACAAGAATTATTGGGTGATAGGCAACAGGAATTAGATTTCCTACAGTGTGGGAGGGGGAGGAGCAGAGAAATAGGATGTTGTAACTCTAACTGTGTTCCTAAGTTTATTTCCAGTTTGTTCTGTTCTAGTATCAGTTACCTATTGCCATGCTGCTGCTGCACAACAACCAACCACATGGCTCAGGGGAAGACAAGAGTGTGTATTACTTACCTATCTGGAGCCAGCAGGGAGTCAGCAAGGTGGTTCTGTGGAGGTCAGCTGAGCTTACTCATAACCATAGAGAGGTTTCCCTGTTGACTGGCTTTGCAATGCTGCAGGTTCCTCTAATCCTTGAGTAGACCAGTATTGGGACTCAGAAAATGATACCCCAAAACAAAGGCCTCAGAGGCAGCCTCAAAAGCAAAAGTTTCTCTCTGACCTCCTCTTGCCCTCCTATCTCTCAGTTCCATCCTCCTGACAGGCGTCATAAAAACTAGAATTTCTCTTCCACAAGGCAGGTCCTAGAAACCAGAACCCTCTTTCCCAACAGCCAGCCACAAAACCTAAAAATAGGACTCTACTTTTGTTTCACCTGTTTGTGTAGAAACAGGTCACAAATAATGATCTGACCTACTGGGTTTGACTGCAGGTCCTAAGACCCCCATTCCAGAGAGGGTCCCACCCCATACCCAGAAGGAAGAAGTGTTGCTCAGAGAGGCCAACAAGAATTCAGACAGACAGGTCTTGCTGGGTTTCCCCACTCAGCTGATTAGCATTAGGTTAGACCCTTTTGGTCCAGTCCTATTTCTACATGGCTGTCCATACTTTGTTGAACCTAAGCATAAAAATGGTCAACTTCCCCTGTATCTTTGGGTCTTCATTCTAAAGGCTCCTGGGTACACATTAATAAATTTGTATGTTTTTTTTTTCTATTAGTCTGCCCCTTGTCAGTGATTTTTTTCAGTAAAGCTTCAGAGGGCAAAGGGAAAATATTTTCTTAGCCCTTTGTTACAGTTTGGCTGTGTTCCCACCCAAACTTTATCTTGAATTGTAACTTCCACAATCCCCACATGTCACAGGAGGGACCTGGTGGGAAGTAATTGAATTATGGGGGCAGGTTTTTCCCATGCTGTTCTCATGATAGTGAATAAGTCTCATGAGAGCTGATGGTTTTATAAAGGGCAGTTCCCCTGTACATGCTCTCTTGCCTGCCACCATGTAAGATGAGCCTTTGCTCCTCCTTCACCTTCTGCCATGATTGTAAGGGACCATATGGAACCATGAGTCCATTAAACCTCTTTTTCTTTATAAATTACCCAGTCTTGGATATTTCTTCATGGCAGTATGAAAATGCACTAATACATCTTTCACTAGGTTGGACATAGTCTTATACCATTTGCAGAGATACAAAAGAGAACTCCAGCCTGATCAGGCAAGAACTTCCCAATGTTCCACTTGCATAGAGGCTGGTAACATCTCATTTGCCAAAGTAAGTCACGTGGCAGAGACCAGAGACCAGGGTTAGAAAGAACACCATGACCACAGAGTACAGCCACATAGATACATGATAAAGACAAGGACATAGGGAAGGGTGAGAAGTTGGGGATAAGGAAGCAACCTACTACCTGTGGGTTAAATATTAAATATTACACTGGATTGGATGGTTAGTTTCCCTGAATTTAATAGTTGCTTATATTACCTAATGTAACAAATTACATTATTTGTTATTAAATATATTTATTACGTTATTTAATACATTCATTTACAGCCATCTTTCTGTTTTAACATGAAAGTTATTTCTTGATGTTTGTTTTATCTCTATTGCTATGGTCTAAACGTCTATGTCCCTCCCACCAAAATGCTTATATTGAAATCCTAACCCCCAAAGTGATGGCATTAGGAGTTGGTCCTTTGGGAGGTGATGAGATCATGAGGGTAGAGCCTCATGAATGGGATTAGTGCCCTTATAAAAGAGACCCCAGAGAGCTCCCTCACCCCTTCCACCATGTGAAGACACAGAGAAAAGGCGCTATGAACCAGGAAGCGGGTCTTCACCAGACATTAAATCTGCCACACTTCAATCTGGGACTTCCAGCATCCAGAACTGTGAGAAATGTCTGTTGTTTATAAGCCACCCAAGCTATGGTATTTTGTTATAGCAGCCTGAACAGACTAAGACATCTACCTTCACTCTTTGTATGTCTAAATTGACTGAATTTCCTGAAGAAACAGGTATATATTATTAGTGTCTTCAGTTTTGCCAGTAAACAATGTCATAGGTCACCTAAGAAGCCACCAAAACATTTTATGAGCTAATTCACTCTGTATGATTTATTTGCAGAAATCCCCCAATCCCCCTTAAGTAAGGTTGACTCTTGTAGGAGCTCGAAGCCACAGTTTAACTTCCCTAAGGGTGCTTGCCCCCTTTTTTCTCACTGGAGTAACTCATCCATTAATGCTGTCCTTTTATAAGCTTTTCCTAATGGTTTTCCAGGTTGGTTAAAACAAGCTATGTCCTGATTTCTCATTGCTCAGTGTACTTTTCTCCCCCATTATCTGTTTCCTTTATATATTTCACATATTCAGTCCTCTGCCTTGTATGTACAGTGAAAACACAAATGTTCAGATTTATAGAACATCTAATCTGGACTGGCTACTATGTTGAATGCTGACACCTGGATAAGGTTGCCAGATTAAATACAAGATGCCATATTAAATTAGAACTTCAGAGAAACAATGAACATATTTAAAATATAAGTATGTTTCAAAAACCGTATGGGGTATACCTATAATAAAAAATAAAATCATTGTTTCCCGAAATTCAAATTTAACTCAATCCTATACTTCTATTTGCCAAATCTGACAATGCTAGATTTGTAACAAGAAGCTGGCATAATCTCTGCCTTCCCAGACTTCATCATATTATAGATTTAACGGGAACACAAAAAGATAATAACAAGATTTTTTTAAGTGGAAAAAAGGGTGAAGTAAAAAATGTGTTTTGGGATATTTAACAGGGAACCATAACCATCTTGCAGTTTCGGGACAGGCTTCCTCTCCTCCATACCTACTTGTTAAAATAGTTAGCACGTTATGCTAGAATTGTTATACTACACTAGAATTGCATTTACTGTAGGCAAGCAAGGTATTTCTGAGAAACAGGGATGTTATGAGGAAGTAGGTTTTTCTGCATACAAGTTATAAAAACACGCAGCCTCAGGCAGCATCATTAAAGTGCAGTGCTGCATCAGTATGGGCAACCCTCCCATCTGCCAGGTAAACCTGTCTTCGCTGTGTGAGAAGGATTCATTTGGGGTGTCTGCTGTAAGGTGGACAATGTGGGCACCTTTGCAAATGGCTAAGAAGTCTGTTAAGCTACTTGGAAGAAAACAGTTACTCCTCCCAGCCTCCCCTGTTCTGGCATGTGTATACATGGACACACCCATTTGCACACAGAGGCACGTGCACACTCCTCCCCCATACAGTTAGTCTCATCCAAGTTAAGTAGGAGGGAGAGCTGGACTGAGAAGTTTATGCAAGTTGATCCCAAAGTAACTGTAATCATAAAAATTGGTTGCAACAAATTGATCGTAATCACAAAAATTGGTGGTAAGCTAGGCAATGACTCTCCCCTAATGAACCAATGGAGTGATCTAAGGTAGTGTTTCCCAAACTCAAATCACTTGGTGTTCTTCAGAGAAACAGAGCTAATAGGATCTATGTATCTATATCTACATATTTTAGATGCCTAACGTGTGTGTGTGTGTGTGTGTGCGCGCACGTGCATGCATGTGTGTACATATATTTAGAATACACACACACATAAAGAGAGTTATTATAAGATATTGGCTCATGCAATTATGGAGGCTGAGAAGGCCCACAGTCTGCCTTCTGCAGCCTGGAGACCCAGGAAAGCTGGTGATGTAGTTCGAAGGTCTGAGAACCCAAGAGCCAATGGTGTAGATTCCAGTCTGGGTCTGAAAGCCTGAGAACCAGGAGCACCCAGGGCTCAAAGATTCGAAGACTGATGTCCCAGCTCAAGCAGCCAGGGAAAGAGAAGGAGAATCCAACCATTCTCTGCCTTTCTGTTCTAGAGGCCATCAGTGGATTGGATGGTGCCCACCCTGATATTGGGGAGGGTGTGTGTTCTTTATCAGCCTACCATGTCAAATGCTAATGTACTGTGGAAATACCCTCACAGACACACCCAGAAATAATGTTTAACCATTTATGCAGGCATAAAGTGGCCCAGTCAGGTTGACACATGAAGTTACCACTGTGGTATGAAAAGGGGCATGCTGATTGAGCAGGTCTGAGTGAAGTCTGAGTCAGTGTATTTCTAGCATGCTTCCGGGAGATGCTGATGCAGTGGGTCTGGGGACCTCACTTAGTAGCAGGGTCCTAACCTGAGGTTTTTGGCCCAGCCATTTCTATACCATCCTTCTGCACCAATAAAGATCTATAAATGCAGATGGTGGAGTGGAATGTTGAGGTGACTCTCCATGGGAAACAGCTAGACCTTTATTGGGAGAAACATGTTGAGATGCTGGGAGGTCTGGTCTGGCCCTAGATTTAGCTTACTGAGTTGTCAGATCCTGGTCTACCGACTTCCGCCTCACATCCCAAATGGCAGAGGCTGTGTGGGGTGACGGAGAAGCCCTTAATCCTGAAACAGGAACCGAGTGTGTTGGTGTATGGACTGGCCAGCTTGTCTTCAGTTAAAATCCATCAATTCAGTACCTTTTAGGTGCCCGTGGGTGCTGAGCATGAAGAGGTGGACACTGCTTAACCATTGCAGGCTAAGCTATGCATCAAGTCATGCAGAGGAGATCAAAGGGTCTCACCAGATGACTCATTTCACTGATGGTGCATCTGAGTTCCAGGTGAGTCATGGGGCTTTCTTAGGATCACACAGTTGGCTCCGGCCAGGACTGGGACCCTGATTTCTCAATGGAGAATCCAGTGCTCCTTGCTTCTCCTCCAGGAGCCAATAAAAACCACAGACAGCACAGTGGAGAGCCTTTAATTGGAGTCTGGCCCCGAATTAAACTTTCCCAGCTGGTATTTTCATACCAGCCCTCAGGATCTAGTTCATTTTCTCGATTGTGTTCACATTCCCATTACACAGTATTAATCACAGAAATATTTCCTGCCATGAAAGACTCTAATTAATTTCCCGTGCGTCTTTGGTCTGTTAAACTTAAGCCATTGCATACCTTGGGGTCCACCAACATCTTTAAAATATCGTCCAAGTTGGAAGCTTAGATGTGGAAGGTACAAATAAACCAACAGCAGCCCGGATTAGCCTGAAGGATGATTTTGGTTCACAGAAAAATAAACCGTGATTTAACAACCTTGTCTGATCTTGCGTGAGCGAGTCACAGTGCTCGAATATGCCTGGGCAGGAGGCCGCCTTATAATGATGAATTATGGATGAAAAACCTACACATTTTCTGCTGAATCTGGGGAGCATGAATGCCCCCTTCAGAAGGCTGGGAATTTCCCTTATGTGCCTCCATTTTGAGGAATAAAATGAATCACTAAAATGCATGAATAATTCGACCAACATGAAATTAGTACTATTCGCCATACATCACAAAGTTTGGGTGAAGTACTCGGCAGAGAGGCAAATTGTATGAGGAGGGGTAAAGAATTACAGCTTTCAAAATGCTTAGTTGTCTAAAGGCCAAAGATATTTTTTTAAAAAAACTTTATTCCTGAATGTCATCTCATGCATAGAGAAGAGTATAACATCAAATTTGATGATAAGCCTCAAGTATCTTGGAAGATGAATTGGATAGCTGGAAAAATTGGAACAAAATTCCATCCCTTGGGGGACATATTTCTAACTTCCTGGGGACCTTAATTTATGGTGAATTTACACATTATACAATTTTACCATTTCAACAAACCAGAGCATGCCAAATCAGATAGACTTATTCATGCATAGGGAAATAAGAGATAAGAATGAACTATCTGCCTTACCCAAAATTTTGCATGCAGAGCCCACCAAACTATCCATCTATCTATTATCTATCATCTGTGTATTATCTATTAATCTATCTAATATCTATCTATCTACCTACCTATCTTGAAACGAATTACTTGTGTGTTAAACAAGCACACCTGAGCTTGTCCTGATTTGGTTTTGTTTTCTTTTGTTTGAGACAGAGTCTCACTCTGTCTCCCAGGGTGGAGCACAGCGGTGTGATCTTGGCACACTGCAACCTCTACTTCCTGGGCTCAAGCGATTCTCCTGCCTCAGCCTCCCAAGTAGCTGGGATTACAGGTGCCTGCCAACACGCCCGGCTAATTTTTGTATTTTTAGTAGAGATGGGGTTTCGCCATGTTGGGCAGACTGATCTCAAACTCCTGACCTCAAGTGATCCGCCCGCCTCGGCCTCCCAGAGTGCTGGGATTATAGGCGCGAGCCACTGTGCCCAGCCTTGCCCTGATTTTGAATGAACAATTTCTGTGGCTAGTTTGATAAATCCCATGTAAATCACTGATTTCTATGCCCGATATACAGAAGGTTTACAATAGTATTAGTTCTCTTTCCTTTTCTATTGAGACAGGAGTCTTTGTATTATATAACTTTATGGATGGAAGGAATATTGAAAATTAGTTGTTCAACTATCTCGTGAAAAAACAAAACAAAACAGTTTAGGTGCAGTGGCTCACTCCTGTAATTCCAGCACCTTGGAAGGCCAAGGAGGGAGGATAGCTTGAGCCCAGGAGTTTGAGACCAACCCGGCAACATGGTGATACCCAATCTTTACAAAGAATTCAAGAATTACCTGGGTGTGGTAGCACATGCTTATAGTCCCAGCTACTTGCGAGGCTGAGGCAAGAGGATGGCTTTGAGCCTAGGTGTTTGAGGCTGCAGTGAGTTATGATCACATCACTGCATTCCAGCCTGGGGAATAGAGGGAGAACTTGTCTCAAAATAAGTAAGTAAATAAATAAATTAAAATAAAACCAAAGTAAGACACAGGAAAAAAAACCTTCAGAGCAGATATGTTTGTTATAATCAATTACTTTAAGGGTATGTCAACATAGATAACCTCAAATTAAAATATGAATGGTCACTGAATGAGTCTGAGAAAATAAGTAATTTATGGAATTCAAGGTGGTCCCCTTCCCCAACCTATTGTCTCTCAACCCAGCCACCATATTTTCCTTTGCTTCAAATAAAATATATAAAATGACTCTCTTACCACAGGGCCCTTGCATATGCTTTTAACCTCTACCTGAAATGCTCTCTCTCTGTATCTTAGCATGGCTCATTCCTTGTCCTTCAATTATTAGCTTTATCCCATTTTGTACTTGTGTATTTGTTTAAATAGTTTTTTTATACAGTTTTCTTTTTCTTTCTTTCTTTTTTTCTTTTTTTGAAACAGGGTCTTCCTCTATCACCCAGGTTGAAGTGCAGTGGCAGTGGCATGATCACTGCTCACTGCAGCCTCGACCTCCTGAGCCCATGATCCTCCCACTTTAGCCCCCCAAGTAGCAGAGACCAAAGAAAGGCAGGTATCATCACAGCTTGCTATTTTTAATTACTTTGTATAGCCCGGGATCTCATTATGTTGCCCCAGCTGGTCTTGAACTCTTGGGCTCAAGTGATCCTCCCACCTTGGCCTCCCACAGTGCTGTGATTACAGGCATAAACCACTGTGCCCAGCCTGTTTAAATAGTCACATTTTGACTCCCGGTAAGTTATAAGCACAAGGAAAGAAGAAATAGCAAATCTCAGGGTTATTGCAGTATACCTAGTACAGGGCCTGCTGCCTGGCAAATAGTAGGCACTTGCTAGACATTGATTGTATAAATAAATGAACTGCTTTGGATCTTTATTTACCTTCCTAGGTTCCATCAAATAGAGTCATTCTATGTATTCAGTCCAAGGCACGGCATGGGTTAAGATATCCCCAGAAATACATTCTCTGTTTAGAATCTGGTCCCCAGTGCTGCTGGGGCAGCCCAGACAAACCAGGACATGTACCATACTCTTGCTGCAGTAGCATCAGAGCTTCCACTGGAGCCTACACATCTCAGGTGACTAAATAACAATCATAATATGCTGGAGCCTATTCCAGCCTTGGGTGGGTGTAACCCCGGGGGAAACTCTGGAGAGGGTAGGAGGATTAGCTAACTACAGGATAATTTGCTTGGGTAATGTGTACCGAGGACACACTTACGTAGGTGGAAAAGGGAAGTCTGATGAGTCACAAAGACCTGGCACAGATCGTGAAAGCACAGGGAGAAAACCTAAACTCCATCCAGGGTGGCATGGAAGCCATCTTGGGACATTAATTAGAAAGCCTGAAAGCAGACAGGAAATCAGGAAATGGAGGAATTGAAGAAATCACAGAGGTGGAGGTAGTGCTGGTGGCAAGAGATTCAAGAAATTAAAAGAAAAAGAGGAGGAAGAGAAAGAGGAGGAGGAGAAGCAGGAGGAGGGAGGCAATGATTCAAGGCAACGTGCTTGCAAGCAGCTATTCAAGTCAGACAACACAATTTGGCATCCTGTGGGTGCAGAGCAGTGATACCCCCCTCTCCTGGGTTATTTATGGTTTCCCGAAATGAAGAAGACGAGAAGTCCCATGGCTGAATGTATGCAGCATGCTGAGTTGTTAGAAACATTTCCAGCTTAGATATTTATTTCTATGCAGAGTTACCAACACTCTTGTCCAATTTGGAAATAACAAAAGAACAAGCAAGACTTAGAACTTCTTCTCTGCACTCATAATCTTGGCATGTAAGGATGATGCAGAGTCAAAATTGTGGGCTTCATTTATTTAGTCATTTATTAGTAGATTTATTCAACAAATGGTTATATAAATCACATTCTACATCCTTGATACTGTTAGGCACTGGGGGTGAAAGAAAGAAGGAAAGAAAGGAAAGAAAGAAAAAAGAAAGAAAGAAAGAAAGAAAGAAAGAAAGAAAGAAAGAAAGAAAGAGAAAGAAAGAAAGAGAAAGAAAGACAGTTCCTGCCCTTTAGAAGTCTTCAAAGAACCACACAAAAAATTATACCATGTTGTGCTCTAGTTATAGAGAGACTTATAGACATAGGAACCCATCTGGGGTATCAGGGACAGCTCCCAATAGAGTTGCTGTCACAATGGCTTTGCTAAACTTTCCGAAGTCATTTTTGACCACATATGCATTCATTTCACAAATGTCCCTTGAGATCCCAATAGATGACACTGACTTGCAAAAATGAACAGGAAATTGTTCCTGCCCATAGTTGGATGTAAATAGTGATCTTTGAAAAGAGCATCTCTCTCAGATGTCCAGTGTTAGAGGATCCAGTTTTCAAAAACTTCACACTGTGTATACGTCTCACCCCAAGATGTGCCCCAGTCGTTTTGTTACTGTGTATTTTGCCTGAAAAGTTCTATATTTTGATTAAGGTCACTTAAAAAAAGTAGGTATCATTCAAGGGTGTAGCATCAACTCAAATTAGTTCTTGTTTACAATGTTACCTCATTGGATTCAGAAGGACCTGGGCTTCTAGCAGAGCTAATAGAATGGAATCAGGAAGTTAGCAAGACTTCTAAGGCCAGTCACCAGTGGCTCACACCTGTAGTCCCAGCACTTTGGGAGGCCGAGGTGGGCAAATCACCTGAGGTCAGGGGTTTGAGACCAGCCTGCCCAACATGGGGAAACCCCCATCTCTCCTAAAAATACAAAAATTAGCCAGCTGTGATGGCACATGCCTGTAATCCCAGCTACTTGGGAGGCTGAGGCAGGAGAATCACTTGAACTAGGGAAGTGGAAGTTGCAGTGAGCCAAGATCACGCCACTGCACTCCAGCATGGGCGACAAAGCAAGACTTTGTCTCAAAAAAAGACATTAGTAAGACTTCTAGAGAAAGTAACTTATTGGTATGGTTTGGATCTGTGTCCCCCCACCCAAATTTGATGTCCCTTTGTAATCCCCAATATTGGAGGTGGGGCCTGGTGGGAGGGGACTGGGTCATGGGGGCGAATTTCCCCCTTGGTGCTGTTCTTGTGATAAAGAGTGAATTCTCAGGAGATCTGGTTTTTTAAGAGTGTGTGGCAATGTCCCGCAACTTGCTCCTGCTCCAGCCAGGTAAGACGCTCCTTTTTCCCCTTCGCCTTCTGCCATGATCGTAAGTACCCTGAGGCCTCCCCAGAAGCTCAGCAGAAGCTGCTATGCTTCCTGTACAGCTTGCGGAACCATGAGCCAATTAAAGCCCTTTCTTTATAAATTACCCAGTCTCTGGTATTTCTTTATAGCAGTGCAAGAAAACACACTTATCATCTTGACAGTGCCTGGATGTGGCATTTAATTAAGCAACAGCGCATTACGCTCCATGGATGCCCGGAAGACAGGGCACTGTGAACGATGACAGAATAGTCCAGATCCCTTGCTTCTTACATTTGATGTCCCTGTTAGAGGCACAGGAATGAAAATTTCTTTTGTATTTGTATTCGTTTCCAGTGGCTGCTGTAATACATTATCACAAATGGGGTGACTTAAAGCAAACTAAATGTGTTATCTCACATTTCTGGAGGCTACAAGTCTAAAATCAAGGGGTCAGCAGAGCTGTGCTCTCTCTGAAGGCTTTTAGGACAATCCTTCCTTGCCTCTTCTAAATCTTTGTGGTTGCTAGAAGTCCTTGACATTCATTGGTTTGTAGATGTATCACTTCAATCTCTGTGTCTATTATTATAAGGCATGTTCCTCCGTCTGTATCTCTGTGTCCATATTTCCCTCTTCTTTCTTTTTCTTCTTTTTTTTTTTTTTTGACAGGCTCTTGCTCAAATTTTGCCCAGGCTGGAGTGCAGTGAACATGACTCACTGTAGCTTTCAACTCCTGGGATCAGGTGATCCTCCTGCCTCAGCCTCTCTTGTAGCTGGGACCAAAGGCACATGCCACCATGCCTGGCTAATTTTTTAAAAATTATTTATTGTAGAGATGGGGTTTCATCATGCTGCTCCAGATGGTCTCCAGCTCCTGGGTTTAAGCCATCCTCCCGCCTTGGCCTCCCAATGTGCTGGCATTACAGGCATGAGCCACTGCACCTGACCATATTTCCCACTTCTTATAAGGACATCAGTCATTGCATTTAGGTCCCACCCTACATTAGCATGACCTCAATCTGCCTTGATTACATTAGTAAACACCTATTTCCAAATAAGGTCCCATTCACAGGTTCTGGGTAGACACAAATTTTGGGTGGCATTATTCAATCCAGTACAGTGCAGAGTTTTTTTTAAAAAATGCTAAATACAGGTTTACCTGCTTTATGTTAGCTTTCTAATTAGCCTCATACTTTATACAAGTGTTACAAGAAAATTACACTACCTCCCTTCAAAAATCTGCTTTGGGCTTAAGGGTGACTAGCTCAATTTTGTCCTGGGTTTCAGGAAACCCCTCAATCCCAGGCTAGCTGGGGTGGTTGCTCACCAAATAAACTCCTTCCAGCCCTTGGCTGCCACCAATTTCTGTCACAGAACAAGCTATTTGTTCTTCTTCCAGTTTAAGTCAGGATTATTTCTTCATGGATAATCTGCTGAGCATTTTCCCAGAGGCGGACACTGGGGTCTGTGGTCTGCCCTATGTCTCAGGATCCACTAGTGACTGGACATCTGAGCATGGCGGCAGGGGCTGGACCAGTGAGGACAGAGCAGCACCTTGGTCTCTGGGACTTCTGGCTCCTCCATGGACCACTGGGCTCATGGTCCTCGTGGGGAGAAATGCAGATGCAGGTCATTTGGTTTTCATTGTTCCTCAATCTCATTGGTAAACTTGAGACTTGTAAACATAGTCTTGTACTTTGGGGTGCTCTTATCTTCTCCCCAAATTCACTTGCCCTCACACTGCCCACTCCCTGCCTAGCCTTCATTCGGAGACCCATACGTGGGCTTCCATGTTCCATATCTACCCATTTTCCTGCTCTAATCCAATTTTGTTTAGTCAGGAGATGGGGAAATCAAATTAACTTGGCAAACAGAATAGAAGGCTATTGACAGTTAACCATGAGTGAACCTGTTAACTCTTCCCTGGCATTCAATTGTCACATCTCAATACTTTAAGGTAAATGGTAAAGAAAAGCCAGAATTGTCTAGGAAAATCTTATGAATGACCAAACGGTGACGTTTTCTTCAGTTGTGCATTCCTCCCTTATTCTGCTTTTCGTCCCATCTTAGACAGCCATCTGAGTCCATGTTTGCTCATCTGTGGGGACTATAGACAGAGCTGGGTCATTTTTTTTTCCTTCTTACTGGAGACTGAAACTAATACGAAAGATGCAAATCATCTCTGTCTCAACTGAAATGATGGAAAAGAGAGCGCCAAAAGATATCCTTGAAATCTGCATACGTTAATTATTTACTGAATAGCTGTTGTGCACCAAGTTCCCTCAAAACATTGTCTATTTATTCCTCACAGTTACTCAGTAGGGGAAGTCTGAGATGTTTTACAAATGTTCAGAGAGTGAATGGCTCTATTAAATCATCTCAAAGAAATTCAGCTCAACAGATACTTGTTGAAGTTTGACTGTGTATGAAACAATATTGTAGATCCTGGTTATTTACAGAACAAGGCAATAATTCCTAACCTTTTATCAATATTGCATTACTGGCTGGGCACAGTTGGTCACACCTATAATCCCAGCACTTTGAGATGTCACGGGAGGAAGATCACTTGAGGTCAGGAGTTCAAGACCAGCCTGGGCAACATAGGGAGACCCTGTCTCTACAATAATAAAAATAAAAAGTAGCTGGGTGTGGTGGCACTTGCCTGTAGTACCAGCTACTTAGGAGGCTGAAGCAGGAGGATCTCTTGAGCCCAGGAGTTCGAGGCTGCTGTAAGCTATGATGGCACCACTGTACTCCAGCCTGCATCCCTGCAGACACATTGTGTGTGTCAATAAAAAATGATTTCAGAGGGTGATAAATGCTGTGGAAACAATAAGACAGGGTCATGCAACAGTGGGTGTGAACCTCTTAAGATGGGATGCTCAGGGAAACCCTCCCTGAGGAGAGGACATTGGAATTTAAACTTAGTGATAAAGGAGCCAGGTATTATAGGTGAAGGTCTGGAGGAAGAGCTTCCCTGAAGGAAGGAACAGCAGATGCAACGTTCCTGAGGCATGAGAGCACTTGGCAGTTCATGTTGGAGGAGCAGAGTGAAGATCATGTGCTTCATACGCAAAGGAGAGCACGGTACACAATGAGGTCAGAGACCAGGAAAGCTGTGTGATGATGTACTGACCTTATTCTGCACACAGTAGATGCCTGTAAAGGGGCTTAAACAGGGAATGCCATGATCATATTTATGCTTTAAAAAGCATGCTGAAAGGCATGAGGAAGATGATTTGCAGTGCTGCAAGAGAAGAAGAGTCATTTGTGAAGAAGCTGTTGGAATCGTCAAGGCAAATGAGGATAATGACTTTTGTGGGGCAGAAGTGGATGAAGAGATGTGGATGGATTCATGCGTATTTTGGCAGATCTCAAAACAGTACTTACGGAGCATTCTATCAAACCAACCAAACACAGCAGCCACCACTGAGAAGGTAAAGAACATGAATGCGCTTTCTTGTTATAAGAGGTTTTTTTTCCTTTTAAATGGAAAGTCAAAGAACCATCCTTCCTTCTATCTGTTTATTGCTTTGCTGGTTACCCCTGTGCCAGATGCATCAACTGTTACCACATGAGTGGGAAAATGAGAAAAACGTTCATCAATCCATTTTTTAAAAAATAATCAGACTGTAGAAAATCCATAAAAGCTTCAGAAGTATTATTAGATGTGGTTAGCATAAAACAAAGCATTCAGATTAAAAGCTTCCTGTATTGAGGCAATCTCTTCAGTACTCAGAATTACAAGGAAGGTTAAAATATTTTATCAGTTTAATAAATGCTCTCTTGATGGAGAAAGCTTTTTTTTTTTTCTTCTGCCACAGGGACAGTGGTAACCAGAGAAAAGGAAAACATTTGAGTTAATACTTTTAATTTATATATGTATATGTGGGTAAGGTAAAAAATAACCAACTGTTTCTCTTACTATAGTCCCAATACAACACACTTCTGGTCACCAAAATGTGAAGCAATTCTGCAACATCAGCAGGGCATCCTACAATGTAACTCAATTCTGACACTACCTGGAAATAGTATCAGTCTCAGAGGTTAAGGGCTCAGTCCCACAAAACTGCTCCCTCCACCCCCACTTTAAACACTAATTACAGGCCAATGGTTGTTCCTCTGTGCTTCTGAATAACCACCTATAAATCAGAATTCCCATGACCCTCTACTCAGGTTCAATACATTTGCAAGAATGACTCACAGAACTCAGGGAAACATTTATGTTTACCAGTTTAATATATTAATAAAGGATACGATGAAGGATACACGTGAAGAGCCAGAAAAAGAGAGACATAGGGTGAGGGTCCCCAGCACAGATGCTTCTGTCCCTGTGCAGCTGAGATGAGCCACCCTCCTGGCACATGGATCTGTTCGTCACGGTGAAAGAAACTTAACCCCATACTTTTCATATTTTTATGGAGAATTTATCACATAGGGATGGTCAATTATCAGGGAGTTTCTGTGCCTGTACTGAGAAGACTGTCTTATCCTCTGCAGCTATAATGCTGAGATGGCCAAAGAGCAAAGGGCTTGACCTCCTAGGTCACAAAATGGCAATCTTAGTTGAATAACCATGTTGATTGAATGGGTAGCTTAACCGGTTTTCTTATAAGAAAGTAAGGCTCCAGATAGAGGAAAATGAGGGGCCCTCAGAATTTAAATCAAGGCCTATGAGGAGGTTTGGGAAGTTGAGAGTACACTAAGCTGCAGCCTCTCCTTGGAGCCAAGGCAGCCACTTATTTCCACTTTGGGGAGAGAGTCTGTAGGGACCATGCCTGTTGGAGTGGATTGATCATAAGCAACTGCCACCTACCCTGTAATTATCTTTCCTGAGATGACCAGTAGGGTAGGTTCCTTTTGTAAGTTGTCGAGGAAAGTGGCATCATCCATGAATAGTTCTGTAACGACTTGTTTTATGCAGAATGGAGAGGCTGGTGGGAGAGCTGGAAACAGGGCCCCTGCTTTTAAGGGAATAAGTATCTTAGACATCCACAGCAAGATAACCTGGTTGTCAGAGTAGCAGCAGAGCAGGCATGAGAATTAGAAAGAGTCTGCCCCACAGGATACGTGGAGGTGGCAAATGATTGAAAAATCCCTACCAGCAAAGAAGATGCATAGTGCCCCAAACTCTTCATTGCTTTGTATAAAGAAATAAACAAAAAATCCCAAACTGGCAAAGAGAGTCCTCATGTGAACTGACATAAGAGTTCTCATCCTTCACGAATTTCAAGACCCGTGTCAGTCCTTAGATTCAGAGCCCCTGGACTGAATGGGGGGGCTGAAAGTCCTCGAAAAGATGTCCTTCAATAATATCTCAAATATGTATGTACTATGATCTCCCTCCTGGAAAGAGTTATTGTGCACCAAGGAAATGGATAGACCTGAGTTGTTTAAGGTTTAGTAGATGCTACATCTGAGAAGCAGCACTGTCAGAGCGTGACATTATGGGGTTAGTTGATACTAGAGGTCTGACATGAGTCTACTTTACAAGAAGTCAGATATGACCAGTATTGCGTCCCGTGTCTATTTCTCCATTTCTTAACTGTATATCTGGAATAGATCATTTTAACCTGGGGGTGCAAGCCCCACATGGGCTTCCTGATGCTAAAAGTCCAATGAGCCCCTGTCACTCTCTCTTACCACCCAAATGGTAAATTCACACTACCCACTATATCTCTGGTGTCCTTTTAAGAGATGTATGCCATCACCAGGTTTAGCCTTCTCTTCAGGTATAACAGCAATACACTTTCACCATCTATGATCTTGTGCCATACTTTGGTCTACAAGGTCCTTCGTTACTTCTATCTCTATCTTCCATCCTTGAGCAAGGATCAACCCATGATCCACTATTAATGATATCATACTGATAGGACCTGGAAAGCAGGGTGTAGTAAACACTATACATACTTTGGTAAAGCCCATGCTGACACAGCGTTCTGCCATCCTGTTAAGATTTCCTCAGACCTACTGAACTGGTTTAAGGTAGGACAGCCATGCCACAGGAGAGGAATGTTGCCCCATCATAAAGTAGGCACATTGCCTTGTAGGTATCCTTGGACTTTGTAGTCAGTACTACATGAGATTGTTCCAGGCTCACCCGTTGACTCAGCAACTTCAATGATGCCAGATTCCAGTGATGCCTTTAGCAAGATAAGGTTGACCAGATGACTCTCCCATTTATTATTTTTTCAGTTTCTAAAGATAGCAAGAATATTATAATCCATCATATCCCTCCCAGTCTTTGTTGTTATTAAGAGTAGCTTGCTACCCATTTCTATCCTGAAGACTTTCTGGGCCACCCAGGAAAGAACTAGCTGTCTGATTTTTGCACTATATGCACTATCTGTACATGACTACTTTCTCAAATCTCACCTAAATCATGAAGTGTTTCCTCTTGGTACACTCTTCCTTAATGGAAGTGGCTTTTCCATGAGTTCGACTGGGCAAATTATCACTAATCTTCTGTACTAAGAAGAATATTTTATCATCTATAGCTAAAGAGCTGAGATGGCCAAAATAGCAAAACGCTTGACGTCCTAGGTCCCTAACTGGTAATCCCACTTGAACCACAATGTTGACTGAATGGGTAGCCTAACTGGTTCTCTTATGTAAGTGAGTTCTCTTCCATCTTCTAGACAGAAGCCATATAATTGCTCTAATATTTGAAGTTCTCTAAGGAATTCTCCCTGAATTTTAATAGAAGCAGCTAGTATTTATTGAGTACTTATTACATGCTAGGAACTTAAGTCATATATCCTTATAACACCATGGGGCAAGTGCTAACATTATTTCCCTTTTCCAGATGGACAGTCTTAGGCACAGAACACTCCATTAATTTGCTCAAAGTCATGCAGTTCTCAAGGGACAAAGCCAGGATATGAACCAATGCATTCAGGCATCAGAACCACAATCTTAGTACTAAAAATATAGTTATCCTACATTTTAAAGGACATCTTTAGAATCACCTAGGAGAGTCCTGTGAATGAGTAAATGTTTAACTCAAAATTTGGACAATGATTTAAACACAACAATTTTTTTGCTTGTTTTTAAAAACACCTAAAAATACCTAAGCAATTAACAAAGGCAGACAAGAAAACACAAACAAAAGGAAAGAGACAAACAAAACAAAACACCCACTGAGAAGTATTTTTCTTTTTAGAAATGATGTCTCTATATTATAGTGCTTCAATACAAAGGATTCTGTATTCTTACTTGTGTTTTTATGGAAGTAGAAAACTGCCCTGTTTCCAAGGCAAAAGCTTTCTTCTTAAGATGCCTCAGACCAAACACATCCCTGGCTACCCAGAGTGGCAAAAGAAAAGGGCAAGAGGAAATCTGAGAACCAGTCAAAAAAATACATTTCAGAGAGGAAGATGAGTTTGCTTTTCCCTTTGAAAAACCAAAAAGAGTCATGTGGCAGGAAACCGAGGGAAGATTTCACCAAGTTCCCACTTCCATCGAAAGTTTATGTAGGAAAAAAAATTAACCAGATTCCAATGAAGGAGCCAACTAAATGCCAACCTAAAAAAAAATCTGTGTTATGGATAAGGACAGTTAGACCATCTCTATGAAAATACGTTACTTGGTTTACAGGGAACATATTATGAGAGAATCAATAATCAAATACTGTAACTAAGCTGCATATGATAAGATGTTCTGAAATCAATTTAGATGGGAAATCCCCAAGCCTTGTAAACAGAAACAGATGTATGGTCAGCAATGATTAATTATGAACTGTCACACAAATGTTTGCAATTCTGTTCACTTATTGAATCTAGAAGGCCCTTTAGTATTTGGTATGTAACAGTTTGGGTACTGGAGAAAGATTCCCTGATTTCAAACTTCAACCTTTTTGGCTGGCTATTCTGGAGTAGATGATTTAAACCATGGAAGCCGCAGTTTCCTTCTCTGTAAAGTTGGAAAAATAAAGCTTGATATTTCCCTGATAGTGTTGATAGGATTAGATGAAATCACCCTTGCATATCATCTAGTCTGGTACATAATAAATGCTTAATGAATACTGGGTACTATTAATTTTAGAGTCTTTCCAAAATGCTAATTTGTAAGCTTTGCTCTTGTTTAAAAATAAAACAGACTTCCAGATACCCTTAACATATTTTTGTTATATAAATGATACTATCAAAATAAAAATTCTTCAGAATAAACGCACTTACATAGTTCCCCCAAATATTGCCCCATTACAAAATAATACAATAATTTTTCTGATCTTTGGGAAGACATGTAAATCATATGGATTGCAGAAAATAAAATTCATCCAGTGGCAAACTTGAGAAAAAAAAGGCTCCCATCCTATTTTATCTCTAAGTTGATTTCCTGAATACAGTATGCAAAATGAGCTTGATGATTTTCAAGATGAACTCTAGCTCTAAAATGTCTCCTGGGAATGACACATCCCTTGAGTTTTTTCAGAAAGTCTTACTGTGGGAAATAGCACCATTCCAGAGTTTACCTCCTAGGGAAGCTTCTATGATTTTATACAGCTACTACTTCTTCCTCTTCTTCCTCTCTCTCTCTCTCTCTCTCACTGTCATTCACTCTGTCATTTTTATTTGTATTCCTGATCCAATGCTCAGTCCTTATCCATCCCTCTTGTCTCCTAACAATTTTTTCTCTGTCCTTTGCCTTTGTCCGCTCACAGTTTTTCTGCATTCAGTCTTAGCTAATGTGTTTTTAATTATTAGTTTAATTGTTGCTATTTTGCATCATTTGTTGCCACTAAGTGCAACAGCGTCCCATAAATTATTAAATTAGATTTCATGCATTCAGTCACAAAACTTGTATTAAGGGCCTGCTTTTTGCCAGTCTGAGGTCTAGGAGCCAAGGAGATGTGGTCAATGAATGGCAATTCCCTGTGTCAAGAATCCACTGCTGTAAACTTTTTCTAAACTGGAATCCACAGCCCTCCAGACCCTTAAGTCCTCATGCGTCTTTGCCAATCTAAGAAGTCTCTATTCAAGCAAACTGGTTTCCGCTCCCTGACTTCCACAATCCTCCAACGATTCCTCACAATGTGCTCTCTCATGTGCTCCATATTTTTATTCCAGTTGTGCTCCTGCTTTATAAAGAATCCTCCCAACGTTAGACCACTCACCCAGATTCAAACATAACCTCCCTTTCAGGGATAGTTCTGTCTTGGTGAAGCATTCTCAACCACTCTGGCCTGCAATGACCTTCCTGACCTCCAGTAGAGTTTCCTTCTAACACCCCTTCTCTGTGAGATCAGGTGGTCTATCTAGGCATGCTGTTGGGAATGTGCTCACTCAGCCTCCCTCCTTGTGCTATGTCTTTTTTGTACCTCTGCAAGAACCTGATCCGTTGTGGAGAGATTCACTAAAAAGCCCCTGGGGTTGAATGCACCAAGTATGTGTAATGCACAGCCAGGCATTTCCTTTTGCTGTGATTGTGTATGTGATCCAGAGGAAAATTAAAGAAAGGTCTCCCCTCCTTCTAAATCCAGTGATCAGGCCAAATTATTCAAGTGTTCTGTTGTTCATTGGAGGAAAATGTTGTTCAGTGACTAATATATTATATATATACACACATATGTATATTTATATCATACATATATTATTACTTTACATATGTTATGTGTGAATGTATACATGTAATCAAAATACATGATTCTTGATTGCAGCATTGAAAATTCAAGTATTAAAATCTGTCTTTTCCAAACCAGGTTTTGTTTCAAAATTATAGGTGGAATGCAGTAAAGTCTCAGTCATGTCACACACATCTTGAGACAGAACCCCACAGGTTTTGATGAGTTAGTAAATGTTTCCTCTTTGAGTCTACTGAGTGCCCAAGTTTCAAAAAGCAGTCATTTAAAACATGAGAGTTTGAGGACAGATGAAAACTATAAAATATAAGATACCACTGATTAGTTTAATAGTTGAATTCAATAGCTATGGCTCAATGAAGCTCAGAAATCTATACATTCAATTTATGATGAAAAGAAAGATTCACCATGAAGGGACTGTGGGCTGTGCTCAAAGTGAGATGTTGTAAGGAATCTAAGGATGAAAACACCACTACGTTATGAGCAGACTTTATAGCAATTCTTGTCTGTAAAATCATTACATTTTCTCCATCGGTCTTCAAGGAACTTTGATTTAAATCAAGGCCTTTAAGTCATGAATCTCACAACAAATTAATGGTGTAAATTCACGAATTTCATAAAGCAGGCATAGGCAGTTATACTATCAGCCCCACTTAAGCTGCATTCATGTCTCTTTCTACTCACTCCTCTAGAACATTTGACATAAGCCTTGTTGAGTTAACGGAATTATGCCAGAACACAGTGCATGCTATGAATTCATTATCTGAAATTAGTGAAACTGTATTTCTGCAGTACAGTGCATCATACACGGCTACAGTGGAACATACTATATTGGTCACATCTTTTCCCACTCAGAAAGGTCTTTGCAAAGCTATAACTTAACAATGCGCCATGACTTTTAGTGAGATATCTTCGTTTGGATTCCTTCAAAGGAAATCGTGAGTGAAGGATTTAAAGGCAGGCTGTTTATTTGGGAAGGCATCCTAGAAAGAACCACTGAGGAAATATAAAGTTTCTAAAAAGAAATGAAGAAAATCTAGAATAGATTCTCACCGTGAGTATATAGAGCTTCTTCCAACTGAAGACTCTGAGAATCCTCAGAATTGTCCAACCAAATAATGCAGAAGTGGAGGCATTGATCTATTGGGGAGTGTTTGCCTCTGAGGGTTGCTTTAGGGGAGCTATCTACTCTGTATTTCCTGGTCATGACTGCCCAGGCTGGACCAAGCTCCAATGAAGCTAGCTTCTGTGAATACAAGAGCTACTCAAGCCTGAGCAAACTATACATCAGCATTCCAGAACCTGAGCTATGCAGTTGAAGTCATGTGGCATTAAAAGATCTGTTATCAGACAATAGAAGTCAATATGATCCTGCTTTTTGGAAAACCATAATTACAATATTGTCTTTATTTTATTTTATTATTTTTTTGAGACACAGCCTTGCTCTGTTGCCCAGGCTAGAGTGCAGTAGCACAGTCTCGGCTCACTGCAACCTCCGCCTTCCAGTTCAAGAGATTCTCTTGCCTCAGCCTCCCGAGTAGCTGGGATTACAGGCATGCACCACCACACCTGGCTAATTTTTGCATTTTTGGTAAAGACAGGGTTTCACCACGTTGGCCAGGCTGGTCTCAAACTCCTGACCTCAGGTGATCCACCTGCCTTGGCCTCCCAAAGTGCTGGGAGACAATATTGTCTTTGTACAGTTTAATATAAAAGTATGTGCCATAAACACCTTGCAGACTCAGGAACACAGCAGTCTCCTCTAAGGACAGAGCAGTCATCATCTCATTAGAAAACAAGCACCTTCAACTCATTGTGTTTCTCTCCTTGCTAGGGCTCCTAGGAACTCAAGTTTTCAGCTGCCCTTCAATAACTTACCTTCCCTTTGCATTTCTTTTGTAATTATTTCATCACCATAGTAATGTCAAGATTTTATCCTGAATTTTCTAGATTTTTCATCCCTTCAAGTGTCTTAGATATTGTCTCAAATCCATTTCAGAACTAAAAGAAAAGGGCCTGGATTACAAATAACAAATAAAAGGCCAACCCACGGAAAGGAATAATTCATTATGATATTTAGTAGGAGCCAAGGGAATTGAGTCAGAGATAATACTTGTGTTGAGTCTGTGCTTTTTTCAAGGTGTGATATATTTATTTTGAACCCCACATGTCTTCGTTGTGCAGATAAGGAACTCAAGTTTCCAGGGAACCAAATGTCCTGCCTAAAGTCAATCATCTAGTGAATGGAAGAGCCAAGACCTGCAGGCAAGTCTGGTTCCATCTGTTGTGTTCTTTATGCTATGGCCTTTGGGTACTGAAAACACAGTGACTCATAGTAGATCATTTGTAACAATGGAGAGATGCAATATATATCTGTAATCATATATTACATATTGTTATTTCTGCTTTCCTTTAACTTTGAAACTTTTCCAAAATCATAGCGATAATGGAGAACGCAAGATTTAGCCTCAAGTCAACATTTCCTCTTCTTTTGAAATATTTCTAGAGCTGGTTGGTAATTTACAAAAGAGCTAGATTATGAATCATTTTAATCTGATATTATTTATTTTGAAAAGCAGATTAATGATGGGTACACATTTCAACTGAAGTTTGCTTGTGTTTTGGGAGCCTTGGTGCTTCCACAGGGATGGTGCAGGGAGAAACAGTACTTACAAACTGCTGGTTCCCACTGACCTGGCCCATTTGCTTTGGACAAAGCTCATGCCGAACAGCCTTCTTTCTAAATAACTGCGGCTTTCCAAATCCCATCATGTCACAGTGTGTACTTAGTCATGGGTATGAATAAATTTTTATTTCATAAGCCAATTTTATGGCAGTCACCAAGTCAAACTATTTGTATGATAAACTTCCTTGATTTGTTTAAAATAACCATCCTGATGGTAAATAGTGGGCACCTCAGAGGAGTTAGCCAATTCCAAGACTTTTCCATCTCAAGGTACTTGTTCGGCCAAACGATTATTTATTCTGGACTCAGAGGACACACCTGGCTTAGTTCAGAAAGTTTAGTTAGTTCACAAAAATGGGTGCTAGTAGGCAAGGGTGATTTCAAATATTGAATAGTGGCATAAAGGTATGCAGTGATCAGAATGGAACTGCCTAGTTCAGAATGACATTTTCTACAAGCAGATATACACAGACTGGTGCATTCAGGTGGGATAGTCCTGGAATTAAATATATCCAGGGATTCTTTATCTGATAGCAAATTTCACAAAATCCAAGGCAGTGGGGTTCAAATTAGTAGTTTATGACTTCAACAGAAAATGTGGACCATAGATGTTTCCTGTTTCCAAATTGGATTGAGATGAATTTAAATGTGTTAATTTGCTTCAGTAGATTCACATCTAAAAATAACAGTGAGAGAAATGTATATACTATCAACAAAATTCAGTTTGCTTGGGAACCAAAACAGCCTTTCACATTGCACATCCTCAGTGATTTCTAAACAGCTGGCAAGGGCTTAAAAATCATCAAAGGTATTTATTAATAACAAACTCAGCATCAAACTTTTGAGACATTAGCATAGCTTTATTTGTATTTTCATTTTGTGACCATTTCTCTAGTGGGAGGAGACTTGACACACGCAGACAATCTGTAGTGAGTTCAGCAATGATACTCATGAATTGAACAAATGCTCACACATACATGCAAAACAGAAAGTTACTCTAGGTAGAGAAATGGATCTCTTATATTCAACTAGAGACAAAGGAAAAGAGATGGCATCATTTTTCTTACCAGCTGTCATCAATGCTTGATATGTCATATAGCTAGATGTAGGTGATTTTTGAAATTCGTAAATGATTGGAAACAATTCAAGTATCCCTTAACAGAGATTGCTAAATAAACTATGGTGAACTACACGATAAAACATTATACATCTGCACCAAAACAAAACAAAACAAAAAAGTGTAAGATTGTTATTAATCAGTTTGGAGAGAAAGTAGTGTTTAATGGTTTATATTAGCATAAAGAAACTAATAAAAGTAGTTATTTATAGTGGGTAGGGTTGGGCTGAATGGAGAAAAGAGTAGAGGATGGGAGTGAGGTCCTCCATACTTTTTTATGTTAAATGAGTTTGTTTTTCTTTCTGCAAAGTTTTCAGGACTTTGCAGCCTTTGTCTCTTACATCCAGACATTGCTTCAGGGGTTTATTATCCTCTCAAGAAAACCTTCCTTGAATGTTCGGCTGGACATAATTTCCCAATTAAATGCCCTATTATACATTAGTAGTAGTAGTATTTTGAGATAGGGTCCTGCTTTGTCACCCAAGCTGGAGTGCAGTGGTGTGATCACCATAACCTCCTCTGCCTCTCGGGCTCAATCGATTCTCCCACCTCAGACTCCCAAGTAGCTAGGACTACAGGCATGCACCTCTACGCTGGGCTGATTTTTGTATTTTTTGTAGAGATGGGGTTTTGCCATGTTGCCTAGGCTGGTCTTGAACTCCTGGGGTCAAGTGATCCACCCACTTGGGCCTCCCAATGTGCTGGGATTACAGGTGTGAGTCACCACGCCCAGCCTATAAGATGTTCTTAGAGCCCTGTACTTTTTCTTCTTTGTGGTTGTCTTTATTGCAATTGTGTATGTGTGTATATATATATTTGTTTACTTATATTTGTTTACTTATTTGATGTTTCTCCTCAAACGCTAGCCTGGGGTCCCTCAAGAACAGGGTCTCAGTTTCTGACTAACTAATTGCTGAATCTCCAATACCTGACATTTCTCAGCTCAGGTTGGCTTCCAAGACCCGTTTCTTGATTGAATAAATGACAGTGCATCCACATCACCCAGCTAATATAAACAAACTTTCATTTTCTGTCTGCATCTGCTTTTTAAATCCACTTTATTTGGGCAATATAGATGGCATTGAGACCCACAGGAAAAATTTTTCAGAAACACATTTATCATTATCCTTTCATACAATAAATTCTATAAAAATACTTTTGCTTATTAACTTTGTATTTGGAAAACATTCTGATGGCAAATAGTGGGCATGAAAAGATGGTGAAACATGAAAGGCGGTGCTCATTTTCTATGTCCAAAATTCTGCAATTACTAAAATTTGTGTGCAAAACTGAGCGAAATACCTGTTTATCGGGCAATTTGGCCATGAGGGAGAAGTGAAATATCTGCAATGCATTTGCTCTTGTCCCCCTTTCCTGTACCGTATTACTGCGACGCTTTCATTTCACTTATTATGACACAATCTCTATCTCAAAAAAAAAAAAAAAAAAAAGGCCACAGGCTTCTTTTTCATTACTTTCAGCATGAGCTTTTTTTCTTTTATAAAAATTATTTGCGAAATGCTTACTCCACTTTTTTCTTCATCCTTTCTTCTGGCAGTCTTACATATTTCAAAGTTTTGGAAATTAAATATTTGCATAAATATCCCAATAGATAATGCATCTTTTACTTTTATTTCAGAACACAAGTAAACTCTTCATTTGGGTACAGTATTTCATTTTTTCAAGCTTTCCAAGATAAAATACTATTTTTCCTCTCAAACTAATAAGTAATAAACAATGCAAGACCAAGTAGTAACACTTAAAAAAAAATTTTAGAAAAGTTTATTATTCTTTTACTTTTGCTTCACATATTTTTACTTTTAATAACTGTTATAAATTTTCTATTTCAATTTGTAACCATGTTTATGGTTATGCTTTAAAATTTAATTTAATGTTTAGCTTTCAAAAAAATATTTTCAAGTGACAAATAATTTTGCATAGCTATGGGGTACAATGTGATGTTTTGATCTATGTATATATTGTAGAAAGATTCAATCAAGCTGATTAACATATCCAAAATACTTTTAATCATTACTTGAGATGAATTTGTGGGTTAAATTGGCAGAAATGTAAGAGTGATTAAAATTTATTTTGTGCTGTGAACTGATCTAAACATCTGGTGATACTGGACCACTAAATAGTGCTGTCCATGACACCAGACCATTGAACTTTAGTTATTGGTCTGCTCCTCCAGCTGCTGTAACATATGTTAATTTCTCACAACTGTACCTCTCTCTCTACTAAATTGCCAGTGACCTTCAGACAAGGCTCCAGTGGGTCTTCCAGAGCACCCATGGGATCTAGCTGACCCATTCTCCAGCTGAGACTACATCCTTGTCTTAGGCTGCTCTCCTCATCCCTCTTGTTCCAAAACGCATGCACTGTCAATCACCTGCAGCAACATCCTTATCTCAGGCTCTGCTCCCAGGGAGGCTGACTTATGACTGTGTTTGAAAATATCATAGAATTATGGGAAAGTGATCAGTACTTTATGATATGCTTGTATCCAAAACTTTAGTTTTTGTATAATGTTTTGAGAGATGACTGCCAACAATGTGGCAAGTAAAATTATTGTTTGACACGTATTTTATTTAACCCCCTAGTGTTTTTTTTTCTTATCTGTAAAATAACAATAAGCACATCTAACTAATGAGTTTATTGGGTCAGTTAAATAATTTAGCATAAGGAGAAAGGGCTGCTGTGCCTGTACTAGGTACAAGGAAATTAGGATTAGTTTTTCTTTAATTACTGGATAGGTTATGAATAAATGTAGCAGAACATTGACTGGAATAATCAGTTGAGAAATTCTGGTACTTTTTTTCCTAGTAATATCTGGTGAATTTTCTAATTCAAGATTTTATGTAGAAAAGAAGTAGGTTCAAGTGAAAATATATAAACTATATCATGTTTCCCAAATGGACTTGACTATACAATTAACTTATATTCTTGACCATGGTATTTTAGTACGCATTTCAAATCCTTCTACAGTGATGTTTGGAAACGCTTAATGTTAATGACTCAGCATCTCTGTGACTTTCATCCTTAGCAGGAGGCAAATACCCATTGGAGACTATTATAACACAGTTGACCCTTGAACAACATGGGTATGATCTGTGCAGGTCTACTTAAACAGGGATTTTTCTCATGACTCTGCCACTCCTGATGATGCAGGATTTTTCTCGGCCTCTTGGCTAGACTTGCGGAAGGAGCACCCCATCTACTCAGCTCACCATGCTCAACCCCTTGCAGGAGAGAGCACGTGAGTGAGCAAGTGCAGGATCCAGCCAGCCACTCTGGGCACCGACACAGGAGCAAGCTCTGTGCAGGGCCCGTGGCTAGACCAGGTATATCACCTTGAGGTGAATGTGGCAGCACCCAGGTGAGGGTGCCCATGAACCCTAAGCCCCAGACAGGGTGTTACAGTGCTCTCTTAGTTCTGTCATCCGTGGACAGCAATGTTAGCAGCTCAGTTGGTCCCTGGTGATGGTGCCCTCTGCTGGTGAGGGCAAAGGGTCAGTATGACAGCCTTTCTGGGTACCTGCAGTCAATAGGTCCCAAGCTCTTGTCTGGTGTCCAAGAAGAATGAAGTTGCACAGACAATTGAAGGATGGTGAAGGCAGAGAATTTTATTGAGCTATGAAAATGGGAGGGGAGCTAAAGAGGGGACGGGAAGGGAAGGTCATCTTCCCCAAAGTCAGATGAGTCTGGGTTCTTTACAGGCACAGGATGGGGAGTGCACACTGACTGGTTTGTGAGTATGCAAAAAAGGTTAAAATGAAGACACCACTCAAAAATGGGCATGACAGCATAGAAAACCAATTAAGGAAGGGTAGGTATATGTAAAATAGGTGAAGGGTGGGGATCAATCAGAGGAAAGAGTGCCAAACAGGAAGATGAGTTCTCAATCCACTCCAGGGATTTAACTTGTAGCTTGGCTTTCAGACTTTAAACTGTGTTGAGCTTGGAGGTGGGGTTTCACTGGGGACCTGCCCCTATCTGCCTAGGCATTTGGCTGCCTCCTGTCACTATCACCAAGACAGCAAGACCAACCCCTCTTCTTCCTCCTCCTCCTCAGCCTCAATGTGAAGACGATGAGGATGAAGACCTTTATGTGGATCCACTCCACTCAATGAATAGTAAATATATTTTCTCTTCCTTATGACTTTCTTTTTTTGAGATGGAGTCTCGCTCTGTCACCCAGGCTGGAGTGCAGTGGTGCGATCTCGGCTCACTGCAAGCTCTGCCTCATGGGTTCAGGCCGTTCTCCTGCCTCAGCCTCCTGAGTAGCTGGGACTACAGGCACCGGCCACCACACCCAGCTAATTTTTTTGTATTTTTAGTAGAGATGGGGTTTCACCATGTTAGCCAGGATGGTCTCCATCTCCTGACCTCGTGATCCGCCTGCCTCGGCCTCCCAAGTGCTGGGATTACAGGCATGAGCCACTGCGCCCAGCCCCCTTATGACTTTCTCAATAACATTTTCTTTGTTCTGGCTTACTTTATTTTATGAATACAGTATGTAGAACATATAAAACATGTGTTAGTCTGCTGTTTATGTTATTGGTAAGGCTTCCTGTCAACAGCAGGGTATTAGTAGTTAAGTTTTTGGGGAGTCAAAAATTATAAATGGATTTGACTGCAGAAGGTCAGTGCCCCTAACTCCCATATTGGTCAACTTTATTTTTTTCATTTACATGTATTGCTATTTTTATGTTTTAGTTTTTACCCTTTAGAAAACATTTTACTCTATTTTTTGGATAGAGATTTGACAATCATAATAAAAAGAATGTCCCAGACATATCTTTAGTACAAAAAGCTGATAGTGCACCTTTGTACTACTCAACAAAAGCAAAAAAAAAAAAAAATCACTCCAAAAAGTTGCAAGAAAAGTATCTTCCCTTTCTGCATCCTCCTCTACCTTCCCCAGCCCCTGGTAACCACCATCTACTTTCTACTTCTAGAAGTTCAACTGTTTTATTTGACTTAACAAAATGTCCTCCAGGCTCATCCATCTTGTCACAAATGACAGTATTTCCTGTTTTTTTTTTTTTTTTTGAGTTGAATAGTATTCCATTGTGTATATGTACTACATTTTAAAATCCACTCTTCTTTGATGAACATTTAGGTTGTTTCCACATCTTGGCTGTCATGAATAATGCTGCAATAAACATGGGAGTGCAGACATCCCTTTAGCATACTGATTTGATTTCCTTTGGTAGATACAGAAAAGTGGGATTGCTGGATCATATGGTATCAGATAAGCAGAATAAGTTCTGGTGTTCTGTTGCACAGCAAGCTTGCTAAGGTTAATAATAATGTATTATATATTTCAAAATACATAAAACAGGATTTTAAATGTTCTTACCATGAAGAAATGATAAATATTTGAGGTTATGGGTATGCTACTCTTTCTAATTTGGTCATTCCACAATGTGTACAAGTATCAAAATACCACTTTGTACTATAAGTATATACAATTATTGTCAGTTAAAAATAAAACACAGCTTAAAAAAGAACGGCAAGAAAACCTTACAAACTATTTGAAAAGATAAATAATTTGCATATTTGCATTTCTCTCTCTCTTTTTTTAATGCAGACGTCTATGATCGTGAATCACTTCTTTTACTTACAGAAGACAGAAGCATTAGCTTGTGCTTTTGGAAATAATCCACAAGGATTTCAGGAAGAAATCAGATTTAGAAAATATCTCCAAGTCTGTAAGAATCAACTTCATGATTCAAGCGAGGGCTTCTCTTTTAAGTTTTTTTTTTTTTAAGTTTCTTATCACTATGCCAAGATGAGCATAATAGATTTTCCAAGAGAAGATTCTGACTTTCTACCCCCAAGACAATTTGAAATGTTCTATGTCAGAAATTCAGGACAAAACTTCATTGTCTTTGACAGAACTTCAAATTGTTTCCTCTATCATGATGGCTCATCACCTGCTTTTGTGTTTTGAGAGTTGAAGTGTTTTACCATCAGATTGTTCTGCTTAAATTCCTCTTCTAGCCTAAAATTCCCTAAACATAAAATTCATGTAGCATAACATTATGCTTCGTTGAACCCATTGTATGTTTTTTTTTTTCTGAGTCAGGTAAAAGAAAAATAGTGTAGAAATAAACTTTAATGATCACACTTTTTTATAGAGAATCAGACTTAAATGCTCACATATTTTTAAAAGAGGTCTTTCATTCTTACAGGTGTCTTCAATATATTCATCTGAATAGCTAAAGGAACATTAATGTTTCAGAATCTCTTCTGATTTACTGCTTAATAATATTTAATATGATCCTTGATGCTGAATATGTGTTTTAAAATGTCTACTACAGGAATTAAGAAAATAGCAATGCATGAGGTGCTGAGTCATTAATGGCATAGCTAGAGCATGCTACTTGATTTTTCTGGAATGATCTTTACTTGCAAGTAAGAGTTCCAGGCAGTGACTTCTGAGGTTTCTGATGGGTCTAAATTGTAAAATTTAAACGAGTCCCATTTCTGCAAAATGCCAGAGTCTCAACTGGTTATAAAATGTAAGTCATTGTGGATTATGGTCAAGGTAAGAGTGACTTCAGGTGTTGGGGCTATCCTCCAAGGAAGTTTAAATAAGATATATGTTCATCTGCATAGCACCCAAATCTGGGGGTAATTCTGATTTGGGGCTGTTGGAATAATCAGAGAAAGAATGTCCAAGTATGTGATGGGGATGGCTGTACTCTGTCGAGGGGTGGGAGGGGCTCCAGCTTTTATTATTGGTGATGTAGTGATGGGAGGAAAAACTCAGAAAAGGGAGACAATGAATGAAGGCAGCCCATGTCATCTTGGGCTGGTGTCAGGGAGTCTGCAGGATGCAGACAATTTGTTTTTCTATCCCAAGTGCTGAATGGATGTCTTACATTTGCAAAAGAACTTTCAGGAAAATTTCAGCATTTTGAGGTTCTGATTGGTCCGATTGGCTCAGATTGGGTTAGATTCTACCCTAATATTTTTGTTTTGCTTTGACTTTTGGAACACATTAAGAAATTGATTAAAATTAGTACAAGGGATTGTTCCAGTAATCACTTTTCAATATTTTAATAACTCTATCTTATAAATAGAAAAATAAATCAAGTGAATGACAGAGGATATTTTTTCCCCTGTGATCCCCAATTGGCCATGCTCAAATTTGCTCATAATTCCAAATAAAAGCATCCTTAATATGTGAAGAAAAATAACTAGCCCCAAATGGAGACAGCTGTCTAGACCCGAATATGTTAACTTATATTGACCTGCATTTCAGACGCCAGTATAGACAGTTGTTATTGTTCCTGGTGAAAGATGAGTGCCCCTCTTCCCCGCCCAGCATGGAGAAGAATAAACAGGCTGGCAACACAGGTTTATGGGGATTTTGTGAGCCTCTGATCTCAGCCCTTAGACACCTTCTACAGGAGCATTGATCCCAGGCTGGGGTTGCGCAGTCAGCAGAGCAGCAGTAGCCCTTCCCCGACCGGCAGGCACAGAGCAGGTAGGTTCCACGGCAGCATCTCCTTCCTGGTCTCTTGGGGCAACAGGCAGTAGCAGCAAGTGGGCTGAGATAGTGCTTCTCAGGCAATCTAAAGTTTAAAAAGCCTTTTCCCAGGAGCACCACTTCTCGTCTTTATTATGATAATGGTGATTATCATAATAGTGTTGTGGCATCCGTAATTTCAAAGCCTTTTTGGCATTCTATTTGAGGGCATTGTTAAAATTCATCTAGGTAAGTGTTGACAATGTGTAGTTATGGATAATGGGAGGGGTGAAATGGACATCATAGTTGGAAAAAAAAATAGTCCTTTGTCTTCTCTAAATCACTGATGACAAGAAGGCAAGCAAGAAGTCTGTATTCATAAATCTCCAGGCCAGGGATGGGAGGAAATTCAGGGCCCTCAGAAACTATTAAAATGTATTTTCTGGAATGCTACCCTAACTTATAAAAGATGAGAGAGGTTTTAGAATGTGAGTAGAATGATTTTCTTCTCCAAGGCCATGGTCATAATGTGGAGATAGTGTGTGTGTGCATGTGTATGTGTGTGTGTGTGCGTGCAAGTGCAACATATATGTGTATGTTGAAGACGGTGGTGTTACAGAGCCTGTCTGAGCTTCCGCAGGGCCAAAACAAGAAGCCAGAAAAATCAAGAACAATTGTGACATCAGACAAAGAAGGTGCGCAAACGGTAGAGACAAGAATCACAACAGGAAATTTAGATTTCCCCAATAAAAGCAGTCTTTCCTTCCTTGTTAAAAACACTATTTTTCCCCTCTAGACTTTTTGATCATCCTTGAGATTTTAGAGAAAGAATAAAAATATCGATTATTTTTAGGTTCGTTTGTATGTATGATCAAAAAGAAAATGTTTTCTTTCATAAAATGTTTAACACATGCATTAATAATTTAAATCCATTTTTAGGCTATGCTTCATTTAGAAATTAATTGAGAAAAAAGAGATCTCAAAAGGGAATTCTCTATGAGCTCTGATAGACTTTACATGTAAAAATGATTTTTTTTTTTTACCTTGCTGGAAGCATACACAGCTCTAAACTAAGTGTCTCTGGCATTTATTCCACTGTGTACATTGAACTACAAAAAAGCAACAACATTACATTGACATCATTGAAGACTGGCTGACTCCTTGAGGGAGTAAAACATGTTGTACTTTTAAGATAACACAAAACAATGGGAATTTCAGCACTGAAATGGCGGCTTACACATTATGTTGGAAAATGTATGATTTTGATACATATTTTAATTCTTTCAAGTGGTTACAGATACAATGATAGGAATTGCACAGACAAAAATTATCAGCATTTCATAGAGCTTCATGCATCTATGGAATGAAGTATTTAACTTGGTTAAACTTGGAATTCATTGAATTGTTTACGTACTGATTTTGACAGACTGAAGAAGTTAATGGCCTTTAATCTAACAGAATCTGCTGCATCAGGAACCAGGATATCTCTAAAAAAATCACTTTGTAAAGTGGGCTTGCTCATGCTCTCTATCTCCCATTACAGATGCCACTCCAACAAACAAATATTGTTAAAAGTGAGTATTTTTAGTTAAGCTGGGATTCCGTATCCCTAATTCCAAATATGTTTATATTGCCATGTGTTGATCCATGAGCTTGAGATACAGGCTATTAACTTCCAGCTTTCCTAGCTGCCTGACATCATTCCCTCTTTCCTCCAAAAATCCTCACAATTTAGCTACATCAATAATTTTAGTAACTCTTTGGTTATTGGTAGAGCTTTAAATTTTGGCCAGTACCCAAATCCATATAGAGATCTGAAGTGGGGGCTTCTGACTCTCCCTTTTCAGAAGACATGGATATTAATGCCCCTACTCTATGCTCCCTTTCCCTGACCTCCTCTCAATCCCACTTAAAAACTGTATTGTCTCTCTGTTGACTTGAATACTGTCAATAGTGATATAGTATTTATGTGTATTTCTGGAACTATAACTAGATTTTCTCTGCTTAATATATATAGGTTAATTCTATATATTTTTAAAAATCTGTAATCTTGTTTAACATTAGCATTATAAATACTACTTACTTCTGCATCAGACAATATATTTGACTGTGTGTGTGTGTGTGTGTGTGTGTGTGTGTAGAATGTATTTTATATTCCTGGGTTCATACATGTTTTCCTTTACTTCTTGGTTTTCTTGTTTTGTTTTGTTTCTGGCATGTGCCTCTAGATATGATTGGTTTCCTTGTATGTCAATATCCTTCCATGCCTTCTCATTATATGCTAAGGGATAAGGAGTTATTTTTTAAAATAAACAAAAGCTCTTCCTCCTGGAGACCACTGCTTTCTGCTCCAATCAGAACTGCTTGGCAGTGATTTAGCATCCCAGAATTTTCCTCCACTACTCAAATATGTTTAAGTTATCTTAGATTATGGGGCTTCCTTTTTCCCAGTGTACTCATTTTACTGAAGCATGTATTTGAAAAGGATTCATGGAAAGTGTTTTAGCTTCCTATCATTGCATAACAAGCGACCTGCACATTTTAGCTGCTTAAAACAACATGCATTTATCTCACACAGCTTCAGAGGGTTGGGAATATGGGAGTAGCCTAGCTGGGTAGTTGTGGCACAGGATGTCTGATGGGGTTGCCCTGAAGCTGGCGGCCAGGGCTGCAGTTATCTGAAGGACTGACTGGGGATAGACGGTCCATTTCTGAGAGGGCTCACTCATGGGTAAGATAACTAGAGACCTCAGTCCCTGGTTGGCTGGCCGCAGAAGGCTTTAGTTATTCGCTATGAGGGCCCTCCACATGGCTGCCTCATGTCCTGGCATTTGGTGTCCCTCTAAGCAAGGGCTCCAAGACAATCAAAAAGTCCAAGATGGAAGATGCAGTTCCTCCACATGACCTATATTCAGAATTCACACACCATTGCCTCTGCCTTGACTCATTATGAGTAGCTAAGTCCATCACATACTAAAGGTAAGGGGAACTAGGGTCTACTTTTTGAAGAAAGAAGTATCAGTGAGGTTGGGAATGGTGGCTTATGCTTGTAATCAGAACGCTTTGGGAGACCGAGATGAGAGAATAGCTTGTGGCCATGAGTTTGAGACCAGCCTTGGCAACACAGTGAGACCCTGTAGTCCCAGCTACTCAAGAGGCTTAGACAGGAGGATCACTAGAGCCCAGGAGTTTGAGGCTGCAGTGAGCTATGATTACACCACTGCACTCTAGCCTGGGCAATAGAGAGAGACCTTGTTTCCATTAAAAATAAATAAATAAATAAATAAATAAATAAATAAAGAAGTCTCAGGGAATTCGTGAACATAATTTTAAAGCCACCACAGAATTCATTATTCTTTCCTTGTTCT
Organism: Homo sapiens; assembly: GCF_000001405.40. NCBI lineage: Eukaryota > Metazoa > Chordata > Mammalia > Primates > Hominidae > Homo > Homo sapiens. The sequence continues at coordinate 8,316,195 of NC_000023.11, read as the reverse complement.
TAATAAGGAGCTTCAGTGGGTATCACATTATAATTCCAATACCATTTTTCATTTAGAACATTTTAGGTATTAATCCATTTTGTTTTGTGATAAAGTCTTGCCTGTGAAAAGCTCAGCTTTTGTTTTCTGTTGGAAGAAGCAAGGATTTTTGTTTTCTTTTGTTTTGTTCTCTTCTTGTCTAGATTTAAAACATATACATACATACACACAAAAATACACACTCATACACACGACACACACACATATAAAATTCTCTCTACATATATCTTTTACGTGTGTGTGTATATACATATATGTGAAATTTCTGAGCACTAAGGATGAAGAAAGCATACATTTATCTTCATTATTCATGACTAAGCACCTAAGTTAAGTGTTTTATTCCTTGTGCTCAAAACTCAATGGGTTTTCAGGTTGAAGATGTATCTCTGCAGTGTGTGCATATATATATGTATACACACACACATATATATACACACATATATATAGGCAATTCTCATTATTCACATAAGTCATGTTCTATTGTACACTCTCATATATATCACATATTATATATATATATATATATATATATATATATAGAGAGAGAGAGAGAGAGAGAGAGAGAGAGAGAGAGAGGCAAATCTCATTATTCACAGTAGTCATGTTCTATTAAAGTCTCTGCAAACACTGAATTTGCAAATACTAAACTGCACCTGCAAGGGAAAATGCAGGGTTAGGTTCCCGCCAGCCTCTGGTCACGATACATTCATCAACAAATCAATGCATAATTTTGTTTTATGTGTAGTTCTATATAAAGACATCTTAGTTAATATAAACTGCTGATCCATTAACATTGAACTCATGGCCAACAGCACTATAACTCATGCCTCAACAAAGCCCATAGAATGTTTGTATTTCTTTCATAGGAGCATCACTGCCTTCTGGCACTTAGGGACCCTAGACAGCACTTCAACAATGCACTTGAGAGTGAAATCACTGAAATTAAGGACAAAAATTTAAAAATGTGACAGAAAATAAACTGCAAAAAAAGAACAGTTGTTTACAGTCTGAAAGCTGAAACGAGGCAGCTGATCACCCTGTTCAACCTCAGCTGGAATTGTGTGTGCTGGTGGCTCAAACTTTTTACCACTGTGCGCATGTCCACAAACGATCTTGAAAGTACTCCAAGGATTGATTTTCATGTTTACTGACAAACAGGTGAGTCTGCAAATAAGAAAGTCTTGAATAATGTAGACAAATGTATGCTTTCTTCATTCTTAGTGCTCAGAAACTTCACAACAGTGCACCTTAGTTAAGTGTTTTATTCCTCGTGCTCAACACTCAATGGGTTTTCAGGTTGATGTATCTCTGCAGTTCTCAGACGATTCTCTGCATCATTTCTTTGCTATTTCCACCTCTTTGCCTCCTCTGATCACTCTTTTGGGAGCATATATTAGTCACGTTTTAGCCAGTTAAGAGAGAGTAGTAGTAAAGGGAAGAGGAAAATGTTTATGAAAGATTTAGAATCAGGAGGAAATAGCAAAGATGCTACATGAAGGACACGGTAATAGGAGAATTTTAAATCAAGAAATAGGTAATCACCCTATCATTTATTAAAAATAACTTTTGGGAGACAGGAGAATGGCATGAACCCAGGAGGCGGAGCTTGCAGTGAGCCGAGATCGCACCACTGCACTCCAGCCTGGGCGACAGAGTGAGACTCCGTCTCAAAAAAAAAAACAAAACAAAAAAACAAACAAACAAAAAAAACTTTTGGATTTGGAAGCAACCTAAGTGTCTATCAACAGATGAATAGATAAAGAAAATGTAGTACTTGCACACAATGGAGTATTATTCAGCCATAAAAGGAATATCACACATATACACACAACACACACACACACAGCAGCCTCTGGTCACAATATGTTCATCAACACACGTGTGTGTTTTTCACCCATTTTCCCAAATGTCTTCCCGTCTTGAGGTCATGGTTGGAGGATAATGTTCTACCATCATGGGTACGAGGGTTGTGGTGCCTGGGAACTTACTGCAAGTAGAAAATGAAAACTATGAACATCTACTTGAAGAATGTATTTATCACCAAAGCGGGATTCCTGACAGAGTTTGCTTTTACTTCCTCTGGCTTCCCCCGGCTTCCCCCTATATAATGGAAGGAGCAGAGAGCCTTAGTCAACATAACAAATGCATAAACATATTTGGTTTCCATGACTTTAATATGTGAGGATAATTAAGCCCAGACAGAGAATTGAATTTCAGAGTATGGAATTCCTGATAGTAAGTTCCTCTCATAATTAGCTGACACATATTCATTTTCCTTTACTTTCAGTTTATAAGGAAATCGTTTCTCTTATTTTTCATTGTTTTATTTTTATGGCTTCATTTTTTATAAATTAAGCTTTATCATAAGGAAATTGTTTTTCTATGCCTTTTTCTGCCCAGACGAACAGCAGAGAAATCATGATTGCAACAGCCTGGAGGAAAACAGTACCACTAATATGGAAGAAAGTAAATACTCAGCTGTGAGAAGCGGTAAGCTTGTCTGGCTGTGTTGAAGAGTAAAATGAAGGTAAACTCATTAGTATTTTTTTAATGAAAATTCCTAGGGTCTGCACACTTCCATATAATAATCATTTTGGACATGAAAATCATTCTATTCTAACAGACTCATCTGTTGGGAGAATTATTTTTTGTCTGTTTATTTTTACTTTAATCAATTTTTGGAGGAAAATAAATTGATTAATAGTTTAAAAGACATCCATTTCCCCCATTATGGGTCTCTGGCACAGAAGATTGAGTTAATGATACCCCACACTGCTGCAATTATGGTACAACATCACAGTTGGTCCATGTGATGGGCCCATTTTCCATCCAGACTCCCCTTCCTGCCTCATTGGAAACTATGTAATACACTTATTATGAGATATTTGCTTATCTGACCTTATGAAATGTGTATTGTTTTATGTGTGTATTTCATGTTTAACTAAATAATATTGGCATATGTCCCATTATGTGTTCATATTTTCACTCCAAACTATGCTTTTGATTTTTAATCCGTGTTTAATTTTTAATCCACTAAAGAAAATGTGTATTGGTTATCTATTACCACCAATTTGTGGAGTCACAAATTGCCACCAATTGAGTGGCTTAAAATGATGATCCCAACCTCTGCCCTATAGTTGTCCAGCCAAGAATGGTGATTTCTTCCTGAAATTACAATCTCTTTGTTACTTTGGTGTTTTTGTTTTGCTCTTTTTCAGTTCTTTCATGATGTTGATAGCTGCAAGAAACTGGATCCTACTAACAATTCAAGGGAGCTTGGAAGTGGGTCCTTCCCTGGCCAAGCCTTCAGATGAGAAACAGTCCTGCCTGACTCCTTTAATGCTAGCCTTGTGAGACTGTGCAGAGGGTCCAGCCAAGCCATATCCTGACTTCTGACCCATGAAAGCTTTGAGATGATACATGCATTTTATGCAGCTAAATTTGTGGCAATTTGTTACACAGCAATAGGTAGCCAATATCACCCCCAGTAATGGCTTTGTCACTGCACAAAGCCCACCCTTTATTCCCAAGACAAAGAAGCTCATTGCTTCTCTTGTCCTTGGCTGCTCTCTGATCCCTTGACTTCTGAAATATAGGCTCAGTATCTCTTTGCGGTTGGTGTTAAGCTTTACAGCTCTGGGTTCAGGATGTTAAACTGTCTTGATTAATCCTGGATTCAAATCAGTGACCTTGGGCAACTTGCTGCTATTGTTTCTTCTTGCATAGAATGAGGATTATATACTACCCATCCCATATTTATATAAAAAAAGGATTAAATAAGTTAATTCATGGACATGTTCAGAGTATCACCCAGGACTTAAGTGCTCACAGAATATTACTATTAAGTTACTGCTGCTTAGCTACATTTTATAAAAGGAATTTCTGTGCTATAGAGAGCATATGTTCTTAGCAGATGAATATAAAAGCTAACAAGAATAAGTTAAAAGAAACAGCAGCAGTATTTCATACCAATTAGGAGATCAACTGAAGGAAACTAAAGGAACATAAAAGCTATTCCATTTTTGGACACAAAGGATGATCGTATTTTGTTTCCACCCGATTTCTTTATTTTTATTTATTTATTCTTCTTAACTTTTATTTTAGGTTCTTGGAGTACATGTTTGGGTTTTTTATATAGGTAAATTGCATGAGATGGGGTTTGGTGCAAAAATTATTTTGTCACCCAGACAATAAGCATAGTATCTGACAGGTGGTTTTCCAGTCCTCACCCTCCTCCCACCCTCCATCCTCAAGCAGGCACTGGCGTCTCTTGTTCCTTTCTTTGTGTCCATGTGTACTCAGTGTTTAGCTCTGACTTATAAGTGAGAACATGTGATATTTGATTTTCTGTTCTTGATATCAAATCTATTTGAATATTAGGTTTCTTCATGTTTAATATTAGGTCTCTGTAGCATCAAGTTTCATCAAGCAGAATATTCTCCTAGCACTGGGGACAGAACAGAGATATACAGCCATTCACCAGTCAATGATGGACTACATATACGATGGTGGTCCTGTAATATTATAATAAAGCTAAAAAACTCGTATCGCCTAGTAACATTGTAGCTGTCATAATATCATAGGACAATTATTTTACTTTTTAAGAATCTTAGTGTAGCATAAGTGTACAGTGTTTATAAGTGCTACAGTTGCACAGTAATGTCCTAGGCCTTCACATTCACTCACCACTCATTCACTGACTCCACCCAGACAACTTTCAATCCTACAAGCGCCATTCATGGTAAATGCCCTATACAGGCATACCATATTTTTGTATTACTGTACCTTTCTATGTTTGTATTAGTTGGTTTTTATGCTGCTGATAAAGACATACCTGAGATTGGATAATTTGTAAAGAAAAAGAGGTTTAATGGACTCATGGTTCCACATGGCTGGGGAGGCCTCACAATCCTGGCGGAAGACCAAGGAATATCTTACATGGCTGCAGGCAAGAGAGAATTTGTGCAGGGAAACTCTCCCTTATAAAACCATCAGATCTCATGAGACTTATTCACTATCAGGAGAACAGCACAGGAAAGACCTGCCCCCATGATTCAGTTACCTCCCACCAAGTCCCTCCCACAACACATGGGAATTGTGGGAGCTACAATTCAAGATGAGATTTGGGTGGGAACACAATCAAACTATATTAACGTTTATATATGTTTAGATACACAAATACTTACCATTGTGTTATAATTGCCTACAGTACTCAGTACAGTAAGATGTTGTGCAGGTTTGTAGCCTAGGAGCCCTAGGCTCTGCCTTACAGCCTAATTGTGTAGTAGGCTGCACCATCTAGGTTTCCTCAAGTGTACTCTAAGATGTTCACCCGATAACAAAATCATCATCTAATGATGCATTTCCCACAGTAAATCTCTGTCGTTAAGGGACACATGACTGTACAGACAAAAATTTCAAGTTCAACCTTTTTGGTCACTTCAAGTTACTTTAGTAGAGAACGTTTATTTTATTGCAAAAGCTTAAAACTACCTCGCAATGCAAAACTTGTAAGCAGTGGAATATGGCCAATTGGAATTCCTCCCTGAATTATGTGGATTTACAAAATTGTGTTTATTCAAATAAAAAATAGCTGCATATGCAGCACATTTCACTTAGTGACTGGGGACAAGAAAGATCATCTTTCCTCTTTCTCAACTCCTGGCGCCATGAAAACTTCTTCATCTTTATCTTTCAGAAACTTTGCTCAAACGGTAGCCACCTTCCATTACTCTGACTTTTGGGTATGATGAGCTCACACTGTACTTCCAATAAACACACTTTTTCATGAGTTTTCCAGTTCTCTAATCTCTCCAGGAATCATGCCTCAAGGCCTTCTTCCCCACATAAACACACAACACATTCTGTCTAACAGGCAATTTTGAACAGGATTAAAACTTTCTGACATAACAAGACTAACCTTGTAATGAAGTAGGATGACAGCAGAAACTTATGAAGGTGGTTTCCTATTTTGGAATTTATGAGGAACAGCATGGGAGGGAAGAGTCATAGCATGGCATATGGCAAAGATGCAAAATGTGGATCTATCAGGGGTGGGGGGAATGTTTGTTGTTTTAAGGAGAAATAATGGTATAATTCAGGGACAGATAACCGTGGCCCTTGGACCAAATATGACCCACCACCTAGTTTTGTAAATAAAGTTTATTGGAGCATAAGCACACCTATTCATTTACTTTTTTTTTTTTTTTTTTTTGAGATGGAGTCTCCCTCTGTCGCCCAGGCTGGAGTGCAGTGGTGCGATCTTGGCTCACTGCAACCTCTGCCTCCTGGGTTCAAGCGATTCTCCTGCCTCAGCCTCCCTGAGTAGCTTGGACTACAGGCACGTGCCACCAGGCCCAGCTAATTTTTTTTTGTATTTTTAGTAGTGACGTGGTTTCACCACGTTGTCCCGGCTGGTCTCGAACTCTTGATCTCAGGTGATCCACCCGCCTCGGCCTACAAAAGTGCTGGGATTACAGGCGTGAGCCACCATGCCTGGCCTATTTATTTACATATTACATATCACATCACCAACTGATTTCCTCCTACAACAGCTGAGTTGAGCAGTTGAAATGGAGATCCTACGGTTCACAAAGCCAAATATACTTACGATCTGGCCCTTTACCAAAAAAGCACACTGACCCCTGCACAGCAGGTAGAGAACACTGATTTTGGAACCAATGAAAGATCCAAATTCCAGGTAGTAATTGCAACCTGTACTTTTGATGTTGTTGATTGGATTCATATTGGTAGAGCAAGATTTAGCCCATGGCATCAATGTTGTCCATCAAATGACAATTATTTTCTCATTCCTTATGTAAACAATTTGTTAAAGAAGCAAAACATTTTGTTTTCACATCTCCCATTTTTAATGAGTGTTATGTCAGAGAAAAGTGCACAGCAAAATCTGTTACCAGTCAGTGCATTTCTGTGTGGCTCAACTACATATTTTTAATGTAATATTCACCAAGTAAAGGCTCTGCTGAACATTTCCCAACTATGATTTTGTTTCATATTTTATGCCACCAGGAGACATATACATTTTGTGATAATTTTTGGAGAAGAAAGTTTATTCCAAATTAGATCACCAAAATAGATAAAGATATGATGGAAAACAAACTTGGATAACCTACTATTAATATCTTCAGGTGAATGGGATGCAGAGAATAATGCCGTGGTTAGCGTATCCTGTGAATTTTATCTTTGAAGTTATATAATAAAGTAAAATTTAAATAGAATAAAGGTGGCACTGTTTCTTGGAACAAAGGGAAATTACAAAGAGAAAATTACCAAATCACCACAAAATAAATTGGCAAGGAAAAACAAACATGAAATAAATATGTGTTAAGTATTGAATTTTACTTTTATTTTATACTACCCCAGGCAACAGAAACTGAAGAACCACGTTCTTTTTTAAACAAATTTTTTTGGGTACATAATAGGTGTATACATTTATGGGGTACATGAGATTTTTGATACAGGCATTGATATGGCTTGGCTGTGACCCCACCCAAATCTCATCTTGAATTGTAGCTCCCATAAGTCCCACATGTTGTGGGAAGGGCCCAGTGGGAGATAAATGAATCATGGTGGCAGTTCCCCCTACTGTTCTTATGGTAATGAGTAAGTCTCATGAGATCTGATGATTTTATAAGGGGAAACCCCTTTTGCTTGGTTCTCATTCTCTCTCTTGCCTGATGCCATGTAAGACGTGCCTTTCGCCTTCCACCATGTTTGTGAGGCCTCCCCAACCAGGTAGAACTGTGAGTCCATTAAACCTCTTTTTCCTTATAAGTTACCCAGTCTCGGGTATGTCTTTATCAGCAGCATGAAAATGGACTAATACAGGTGTGCAACATGAAATAAGCGCATCAGGAAAAATGGGGTATCCATCCCCCCAAGCATTTATCCCTTGAGTTACAAACAATCCAATTACACTCTTTTGGTTATTTTAAAACATAAAATTATTATTGACTGTAGTCAACCTGCTTTGCTATCAAATAGCAGGTCTTATTCATTCTTTCTAACTATTTTTATGTACCCATTAACCATCCCCACCTCCCCCTCCCCCAGGCCTACACTACCCTTTCCAACTTCTGGTAACCATCCTTCTACTCTCTATGTCTATCAGTTCAACTGTTTTGATTTATAGTTACCACAAATAAGTGAGAACATGAAATGTTTGTCTTTCTGTGCCTGGCTTATTTCACTTAGTGTGATGACCTCCAGTTCCATCCATGTTGTTGTAAATCACTGGATCTCATTCTTTTTTATGGCTGACTAGTATTTCATTGTGTGTATGTAGCACATTTTCTTTATCCATTCATCTGTTGATGGACACTGAGGTTGCTTCCAAATGTTAGCTATTGTAAACAGTGCTGCAACAAACATGGGAGTGCAGATATGTCTTCTATATACTGACTTCTCTTTTGAGGGGTATATTCCCAGCAGAGGGACTGCTGGATTGTATGCTAGTTCAATTTTTAGCTTTTTGATGAACCTCCAAACCGTTCTCCATAGTGGTTGTACTAATTTACATTCCCATCAACAGTGTAGGAGGGTTCCCTTTTTTCCACATCCTCACCAGTATCTGTTATCGCCTGTCTTTTGGCTTATAACTACCTGTTCTTTTAAAAGTGTTCTTGGGGCATCTCAGGTTGCTGATCCAGGCAAGTGGGTGCTCTAAGTACTTGAAGATCTGCCTGGGCATGGAGCAGAGAGGGCCAAATGAGATATATTATGTCGTTTTGTGCTTCGCGAGTATTATTTGTGTACATGTGAACTTTAGTATTTGTGAAATATGCATGACTGTATAGTACAGTTAATTAATTATCTGCAAAAACAAAAAAAAAAAAAGCAGTCTTGCATAAACTCAATAAAAAAACATCTGTGATTTTGGATTTCTGGATTTGCCCTTTGTGATTTCTCTTGGGCTCCTGTGTCTGCACATCCCCACCCAGAAGATGGCCCCGTCTTTGGTACATCTCTAGCACACTTCACAAAGTCACCTCTAGCCTTATGGATGGAACCCAACTGTTTCTCCTAGCTCACTCTTCTTCGGTTCTCATCTGTCACATTTAATGTTGTTTCTGGTTCCACCTGTACACCTTTAATGATATTCATTTGTGTAAGCTTCATCTTTGCGGCCAATGAAAGGGGGCATTTCTCCAGCACTGCTATGCAAAAATCTCAAAGAATGAATGCTGTGAAGAATTGCCAGCACCAAGGACATAGAGTTTATTCTCAGTATCTAGCCAGTAAAAGTGTGGAGTTCTAGAGTTTCCTTTCCAATGGGATGCCAGTCTGAAGTTGCCTCCTGGGCAGTCTGGGAGTCACTGTGAGGGATTTTCTCAAGCTTGGCTGGATCCCTGCCCCGACAGAGAGCCAACATGACCACCCGTGCAGGTGACGCCATCTCTGGCCCATTGGGAAACCTCTAGTTGGGCCAAATAAATGTCATTCTACTAAAAATCCATTTGGATGACTGAATTGCAACAAAGGGATGGCCATGAGAGCCAGAGCAGATGTATTGATCAGGAACATGTTCTCATCTTAATGATCTCAGAGTTTGAACGTAACCAGAATGTATTTGAGTGAGCATGTCTGGATGAAGAGATTAATCTTGGCTTCAGTCTTGCATATGTAAAATTGCTCTCAGGATGAATAGGCTAGGCTGTTTGTGTGCCAGACTCTTCAACTGGGATGAAGATACAAAAGATCATTGTTGGATGAGGAAAGGAGGTTCCCAGAATTTTAACTTTCCAAAGTAAGGGAGAAAAAAGGATACTTTTATTGATGCCAGAATACCTGAATAATAGGAAAATGAAAAAGACTTAGTAGCAGTTTACATCTATGTATTTTTAGGTCAATAACCAACACTAGTGGAAAAGCCTTTTCCTGCAAATGGAAATTTACCTCTTTCAATAGTTACTTGGAAGAAGAGCTCTCAAATTAGCAGAGAATCTGCTGATGGAAACTATTTGCAATTTGGAGGCAACACCCTTGGCCATAAACATTTAAGAGATTAAAAAATAAAATAACAGTAAGAACACACGCGCGAGCATGCGTAGACACACACACACACACACCCCACCATGCAGGTGACTCCATCTCTGGCCCATTGGGAGACCTCTAGTTGGGTCAAATAAATAAACTAGCAGGCTTGTTTTAGGAATATAGAAGAGTGGACCTTTTCTCACGGAGATCCAGATTCACAAACAGAGCCTATGTATCCATATGTTCCTGCTTTTTCACAATTTATTATTTCATATTAAGCTCAAGGAAAAAAGCGGCTAAAAAAAAGTCTAATTTTAAGGAGCTATAAATGAGTTGTTTGCTCATTAAAAAAAGCAAAACTATAATAAAACTTACATTGATCCCATCAACAGTTAGACTTGGCAGGTTGCTCATTAGGACAATTTAAAGCAGCTTCTGTCTAATTCGACTTTTACGTTTAGACGTACGGTCAAGCTGCAGTGATTCAGTTCTATAAAACACACTTTCAATTAGGTCTGTTTGAGCTTGGCCTCTCCCATGCCACGATCTCAGACAGACCTGGTTTGATTTATGAGGACTCTGAAGACAGCATACTCAGGGTCCGCCAAGTGCTCCCTTCTGTTGTGCCTCGCGCAGATCTTGTTGCTGTGTGGCGGCCTCCCTGGCCTCACTCTCAGTCCTGGGAGGCATTCTCCAAGGATGAGGTGGGTGACAGTGGTTTGGCTCTTCTGTCTGCATTTCTTGTTTTTCTCTTTTTCATCACACACAAAAAAGAAACCACTTTTTACTTGAAAGTAAAATATCTTTTCCTCTAAAGAAAATGTCTGTTTTAAATCGTTATAGATTGGCCCATCTACAACAACTCGTTTGTATCTCCTTAAAATTAGACATTTTTGTAGCCTTTTTATTTTCTTACGAGATGGAATAACACAGAGTTTAATATGAAATAACAAATTGTGTAAAACAGGAACACATGCAAATCCTCTTCCTCTGATTCATCGTACTCTATCAGACCTCCTCAAATAAGAGTCATAGACCTGCTTTCAGTATCTGGATCTCCATGAGAAAAGATCCATGCTTCCATATTCCCAAAATAATCCTGTGAATTCAAGAACTGATTCCCCATAATGAAGCTTTGTGGTAGATTCCAAATGGAATAAGCTTATGAAACACCTCAGATGGCATACAACATGTTGCAACAGAGATCAAGAAACAGAAATAAGGGCAAATGATTTCTCCTCTTGTTATTGGAATGAATGATGCAATGGGTGAGAGTCTCCTACTCAGTGTGCAACAACTCTGCGGCAGCTACACGAATTCCCGCACACCATAAATCAGAGCAAAAGAATGTCTGCTTCCTGGATCTTGGATAACCTGCTGTGTTTACAGAGGAGAAAAAGAACACATATCTAAGAGAACCAGTTTCATTTCAGAGAACCGTACCTAGGATGAAAGCCCTGCCTGAAGTCATGATGTCTTCATTTAGCTGCATCCTTAAACTCATCTCTCCTTTATGCTACAGCTGGGAAAGCTGAGCAGTGAACCAAACTCAACCCATTACTTTCTCTGGGGTTTTTCAGGCTACCAAAAGCATAAGCTTATTTCTTTCAAAATAAACAAGTAATCTTATGCACAGAAGAAAATTGCACCCTGCTGCATAATCAATAAACTCAATAATTAGATCAAGAAACAGAACAAAGCAAAACATTTCAGGAACACAGAGAAAGGAAAAGGAGCTTCTTGGAGGAGATGTGCTCAGAGAAAGACTCAGGGTTTCACTCTTTGATGCAATTTGAAGATCCCTGAAGAAAGTGCTCCCCAAATATCCCCCGGTAGGATGCCTGAAATTTCATGCTCAGATATCCTTCCTTCCATTGGGATGAGGGTCTCTCAGATGCAGTTCTGCAGATATTGGAACATACAGGGTTTTGGAAGAAGCAATGCAATAAACAGTAATAACCTCTGTGCAGAAGTTTAAAGGATGTTTTGCAAATGACAGATAAATGGTGGTTCTGAGAGGACAAGTCCTATTTAGGATAGTTTTGTTTGAAGTATTTGGGGAATGAAGCTGGGTACTGCCTGCCCGAGGTAGCTGACTTGATTAGAGAACCTAGCTGAAAGGCACTGGGTTCTTGAGCAGATGCTGGCTAGAAGAAAAAAAAAAATGTATGGATCCGGAGTTCTAGGATCAGGAAAGCCAGACTTTACGGTCTTATTTATGCCCTGTAGCGGCAGTACCGGCCATTTCAGGATGGAAACCTAAGCTGTTTTGCTTGATGAACAGAACACTTCTATTTTCACTCAAAAAGACTCAGTGATATGTTAGATTCAACAATTTAAAAGAGAAGTTTACTTAGCTGTGGCATACTTGAGCTATTTTATTACACCAATTTATAATTTCTTGGCCCTGTGGGCTTAAATGTTTCCAGGTGGCATAATGAACATTTTTAAAAACTAAATTTGAAAATTTATACTGAAGTCATTTGGCCTAAATAATTACATGGAAGAGAGTGAAAAAGTTTATACATCAAAGTGGTATTTTTTTTCCTCATAGCTAATATTTTATATAATGCAGAGTTAAGTACGTTTTGCTAAACCTCAGAGTGAAACACAGACCTTGGCAACATATAGTACCATGAGGTTAAATAGGGGCTGAAGACAGTAGTCTCTAACTATTCCTATATTCATAAAAAGAATTTCTGGACACATTATTTTATTACTTAGAATAAAGATGGCACATCATGTCCTGTGACAACCTACCAATCACCTACCTGTGGCCCATAAAGAAGGGTACAAATTCAAGAGAATTTTATCAAAAATAGTGAATGTGTGCTTATAATAGGTTATCATCCAAATAGAAGACTTATGCCATTAAGGGTGAAAGTGAGGGCTCCCTGTATTTCATGATAGGGAAGGGGCAGTTCAAAAGAGCCATTCCAAGGGATCAAGCATGACAGATAGGCATGTTACTTAACAGAATGCTTACTGATTTGCAGAACTTGACTTACTTTCCTGCCTTTTGGGTGTGGCCATATGTTTTGGAATGTTCTTGGAGGGCCTTGCATATGTCCCTGAGACTTTGAGGGTCTACATGAAGAAGGTGAGTGGTATCTACTGACGAACTGCAAAATCCTCCAGCTGGGGGCAGTGGCTCACGCCTGTAATCCCAGCACGTTGGAAGGCTGAGATAGGCAGATCGCTTAAGCCCAGGAGTTCAAGACCAGCCTGGGCAATGTGGTGAAACCACATATCTACAAAAAATAGAAAAATTAGCCAGGCATGGTGTCTTGCACCTGTAGTCCCAGCTACTCAGGAGGCTGAGGAAGGAGGATCACTTGAGCCTGGGAGGTGGAGGTTGCAGTGAGCTGTGATTGCGCCACTGCACTCCAGCCTGGGCTACGGTGAGACCCCATCTCAAAGAAAAAGAAAAAAAATCCCGAGGGCCCGAGAAGCTTGGAATAGCCAAAAGCAAGGAGAGGGTGCATGGTGTGCGGTGAGGGAGGGGAGTGTCTATATCCCTTCACCCTCCACTTGATGTGATAAGAACATGTTTTTCTTTTTTCTTTCTTTCTTCCTCTTTCTTTCTTTCTTTCTTTCTTTCTTTCTTTCTTTCTTTCTTTCTTTCTTTCTTTTCTTTCTTTCTTCCTTCTTTCTCTTTCTCTCTCTCTCTCTCTTTCTCTCTTTCTTTCTTTCTTTTCTTTCTTTCTTTTTTTTTTTTTTTGATGGAGGAGTCTCGCTCTGTCACCCAGGTTGGAGTGCAGTGGCACAATCTCGGCTCACTGCAACCTCGCCTCCCTGGTTCAAGAGATTTTCCTGCCTCAGCCTTCTGAGTAGCTGGGACTACAGGCGCCCACCACCATGCCTGGCTAATTTTTTTTATTTTTTGTAGAGATGGGGTTTTGCCACATTGGCCAGGTTGGTCTTAAACTCCTGACGTCAAGTGATCGCCTGCTTCGGCCTCCCAAACTGCTGGGGTTACAGGCGTCGGCCATCCACCATGCCCTTCCAGAGTATGTTTTTCCTTAGTTACATGGACAATGGAAAAGGGCACCAGGCTGAGGTCTATCTTAAAGTTAGTATGTTCAAGTTAGTATGTAAAAGTGGTACAGCCCTGGAGAACTTCAGCCGTAGGAGCCTGGGTCTGTAACCCTTGGGGAAGGAGGTTGGAAGGTCAGAGGGAGGCAATCTAGAGAACACTGCCGTAGCAGGCAGCTGTGCAATGCTCAGCACCCCGTGGGCCTCCCAAAGAGCTCCTGGGCCAACCCATGGAAAGACCAATGTTCTACCCTCATACACATGCCATAGCGTCCACACTGATCACCAACCAGCCTTAGCCAAGAGAATCCTGAAATATTAATAACAAGACTAGTTCAGAGAACGAACTCCCCTTTCTTTTTCTTGCCCCAAATCTGGAAGAGGCAAAGTGGGAAAAGGAGGCGGAGGAAAGAGTGGAACCATCTCTGTTCTTCTACATGTCCCTAAGCCTCAGCTTGGGGTAAAAAGAGAAGCTCAGTATTGGATCCAAATTTGAAATCAAAATTTAAACTGGAAAGCACATTTTAATACAAGAAAATAAGACTTAATTACAACAAGGAGACTTTCCCGCACCGTTGGAAATGTCTGGAAAGCTATGGGAATGGTCAAGACGTCTTTGGGAGTTGGAAAAAAGGTCCCTAGGATGCAGTATGTTTGAGGGCAGTGTTAAAGAAAAATAAAGCCTTCTCCTCTGTGTTGGTCACTTAGTTCAGATTAGATCCATTTTTATTCGAGTAGATCCTCGGGTACATTTCTTCTCTCTGGTATCTCCATTAGTCCAACTTCTCCAAGCAGCCAGAGTTCTCATTTCACTTCCCCTTCTGTGCAATTTCAAGCCTTACAACATCCGCTAAGATGTAGAAGAAAGAATCTCTTTGTTTTTTTTTCGTTATCGCCTTCCAAGGAGGCTTCTGAGACCATTTTTTCCTAATCAAGCCGACATAAAGTTTTAATATCACAGAAATACATCTGTTTATGTACTGTACTGTATCTTACTTGATATATAAGTATAGTACGATTTTTTTTGCCACTTCCCACCGAGAGCATTTTTTGAGAATGCATGCCTTTGGTAATTCACTTACTCCAACTGCCTCAGGTAAAATAACGAAGTGAGTCGAGTCAATGGTTTTCCATACTAAATATGGAGGAACTCTTATGGCACAGAGAGTTGATCCCATGAACACCCAAGGGGTAAGGGTGAGAAGGGGGTGGGCACCAGTGCGAGTGCCATATTGCTCTCACCCAGAAGGGCCACCATCCACACTGGGTTCTACAAGAATACCGTGGAGTAGCCCTTCTAATGCAGCCTGAACAGCTGTTTTAATATATCTCTGTGTTAGGGTTCTGTGCAATATGACAGTTCATAAAAATGGTTTAGTGAAAAAAGGGGAAAAATTTTCTTGTATCCATACACCTGAATGTCCCCCACATTTTCAAATTCTAGCTTTGTGGTTAATAATGCCATAATGAATACTGGAATTTTAACAGAAAGGTGACTATGTACTCAGGAAAACTCAAATATTTGTGGAATTCCAGCAAAGGGGGAAAATGTATTTTTATGGGATTTTCCTCTGTGTCTTTCAAATCAACCCACTGACAGTTTGCTGATAAAATCTACTCCATGAGTTCATGGGACAGTCCTTCCAGTGATATATGTTTATAGCTTTATATTTTTTAGGAAAAAAACGAAACCTATAATATAGTTGGTAGATATTTTGTACCTCATGACATTTTATTCAATGCATTATAAGAGGGCTCATTGAAATTAAAATACTACCACTGTAAAATCTGATTATGATATATTTGGGTCTCATTTCATGGTGAGAAAAATGTTATACAAGAGGTCAATAATGTATTAACTTTTATCACTTTTTCAGTTTGTATGGTTTGCAGCATGATAATCCAATCAATCACACCATTAGGTTTGATGCAAAACCAACAGAACTGTACATATAGATACATGCTATAAGCCCAACTTAAATTCTTGCCCTGTTGTGAGGAGGTGTTAAATAGGGAGAGATCTATTCCCTCATTAATGTATGAAATATTACGGGGAAACAGGAAAGAGTGGTTAATTCAGTCTAAGAGGTTCTAGTGACAGGATCAGGTGACTTTTGAGCTGGGTTTTGTAGATTCTTGGAAAGAAGGGAATGGAATAATATTCCAGATGCAGGAAATAACTCAAATAAAATGTCCCAGGAGTCTTATAGTGTATGGTATTTCCATCTAGTTCTTGGATTCTTTGGGAAAACTGATACGATGCATGGTAAGAAAGAGGGGGAGATGAAAGCAGGCTCATAGAGACAAGAAACCACTACTAGGTTTCTTATTAGTGGTTTCTTATACGACTTCTTATATGATGCTGTGTTTTAGATTTACCGTGTATATGATGGTGAGGCCCTGGGAGTTTTAAGCAGAAAAGAGAGGTGTTGTTCCCTACAAAGCACAGAGTGTATAAACAGTAGAAAAGTCAGTAATCTGATGGAACCAACGCTAGGTTTGGCTAGTCTTATGTCCCAGAATCAGTATTATTCAGAAGTTCTTGCTACAGAATTGAATTAGCCAATGTCCATGTAAAACAATATGATTTAGTTCTGCTCATAATAAAGCCACTTGAAATTGTTCAGATATTTATTTTTTGGAGCACTGATACATACATATAGATGTAATTATAAATCAATATATGGATGATATCTATATCTCTACCTATGATTGAAAAGTAATGATATTATGCTATTTTTATTTATGGATAATTGTCTTTGGGTGAGAGATTTCAAGTTCGGAATTAACCTATATAATATTTTAATCCCAAACAAGAACAGTGAAATGTAAAAATATCACAGCATAGAATCTTCAGAAGAATAGCTTCAGATACAGTCCTGAAGAGATTTCAAAATGGCAGAATGGAAAATAAAATGAAATAAAAAAGATCAAGCAAGCTACACATCTCAGGTCAGACAGCTGTCAAGTGTATTCTCTGTTGAACCAAGTTCTGAACTGAATCCACGTGAACGCAATGAATGAATGAGCTGTAAACTTATTTTATGATGAGACAGAGAGAAAGAGAGGTTTTGCTCAAGAGTTTGTGCCAGAGTTTTGATTTTAATAAACAAAGTGTGGCATATGAGCTCTGCTACACCCATGTCAGGACATTGCCTTTAATACATACTGTCCCAAAAACACATATCTCATTATTTTTGTAAATCTGATTTCAACATGAATACTGTACTCTGTGTTGAAAAGTTCCTAGCATTTGTGCTATCATTGCTGATAACTATGTATTTATTTCATACTTTCATAATAATGCCATATTAAAGTATCCATGTGCACATTTTCAAATTGCAGGCATGATCCGGGCCTGGCGGGGTCAGGCTGGGAGTGAATGCCTCTTGGGTAGGGAATCCTATAAGCTCTATTACTTGGATGATTACCAAAACCCAACAACTTAGTTATCTTTAAAATTATACTCTCTTTGCTGAAATAGAGAATTTTTTATTTCTTTGAGATATATAGCAAGCCAAAACTTATAGTTCTTCCAATATGAAAAATGGTTCTTTGAGATTATTAAAATCAGACTGATTATTGAAGTGGCACTTCTTCAAGAAAATAATATGCAGGAGAACAAAAGCAAAGTTTACACATAAAAATATTGATACTTCAGATAATGAATTTTTGTTATATGGAAAGATTCACAGCAGGATTACTTGAAATGCTGAGCCCTCCCAGTTGCCCACACAAAAGGAAAGAGTTAAAATTCAAGATTTGGGAATCATCCATTATCAAGCAAATAACGTCAATACATCAACTCATTTACGTTTAAACTCTGATGCCTCCAGTGTTTCTCCTTGTTAGGGTTTGTCCACATTGACTGAGAGGGAGTATTAGAAGACATCGCCCATAGCTGCCTGTGGCCCTCTGAAGGCCACTCTAGTGAATCTGTTTCAAAGACACTCAGCACAGGCTGAATGAATGTTTTGATGAAATAGCTTGTAGAGTAGAAGCAGTTCCAAATGGAACGTCTCTTCTATACCTCACCTTTCCCAGAGGTTACTGGCTAGAGTTTGGACATGGATTTATGCTGGATGATTTCATGCACTGGAGTTGCCTGCCCTATCATTTTTAAGCAGGAGTGACAAATCTCTAGAGATGATTAAGCCAGGAATGTATGCTCATAGTATAAGACTGGATACTATTCCTCGCTGGACTTATAGACATAACATTTAACGTAGGGAAATGCCAAGGATGATCTAATTTGAGCTGGACTTGGCTGATGTTCCATGCATATAATAGCTATAGTAAGCAGTTCATGACTGGAAGAAAAATCAAATAAAAAAGGTATCTCCTGGATATTGCTAAATGAAAAAACAAGCAGCAAGTCATAGTGTTATTGTTATGAAAATAAGACTAGGAAATCTAGAAAAGTATTTACGTAGCTCACTAATGATAGAGAGCAGATTATCAGAATGAGGTAGGGTAGAGAATGTACTTTATATTATCGTGCTTTATTTGTGTCTTTTCTTAAAAAAAAAAAAAACAGGCACACACTATATTTGTAATCTAATTTATACGTTAAAGAGGCTCTATCATGTACTTTCTGTTCCTGACCTTACTCAAATTTTCCTGTTACAACCACCATGTCATCTTTCCTCAAATACAGGGAAACTTGGTCTTTCATCACTAAAGGAAAAATTATTGATTAGAAATGATCTGCTTTTACTGATTCAGATAAACTTGTCTTTAATACACAAATGTTTCTTTAGAATGACTTTTTAGCATTCATTTTTTTAAATCATGTTTAATGCAGATGATAGATAAGACAGATAAGACATAGAAAGTGTAAGAGAGAGAAGGAAGGAAAGGGAAGGAAGGGAAGGGGAAGAGGAAAAGAAAAGGAAAAGGAAAGGGAAAAGAAAAGGGGGAGAGAGGGAGGAAGGAAAGAAAGGAAGGGAGGGAGGGAGGAAGGAAGGGGGAGCGGGAGGGAGGGAGGAAGGAAGGAAAGAAGGGAGGAAGGAAGGAAAGAAGGAAGGAAGGAAGTTAGTTAGTTAGTTATCTTATTCTGGGCCTCTCCCAGAAGCAAAGCCTCAAACAAGAACTTTGTGTACGTGGTTTATTCCATTGCTGATCTCAGAAATCAAGGGTAAGGAATGGAAGAGTTTGGGCACACGAGTTCAGTGCTCCCCTTTCTGCTTAGGAGTATACGAAAAGACTTTGCAATTTCACCATAGAGAGAAGCCTTTATCCAACAGCACCCATCGCCTGTGGACTGATAGTTGCCTCAGGAGGATTAATTTAATTAATTCCTCAGCTATGAAGCACGCCCAGGGGTCATCTCAGAGTTCTACAAAGCACATGTTGGAGAAGGTCCAGGATAGAATGCATAAGATGCATAGTGTGCCCCTAAAGAGTGATATTGTCAAGGAAAAGTGGGTGAAACTTGAAAGGAGCTGTTCACTGCTGCAGCATCTGGGCTCACAGGTAGGGCCGACAGATGTGTGGCTGCCCAAGGGAAAGGCTGGATAGAAAGAACGGGGAAAATTACATTTCTTGCTTTCCGAAAGATATTTTTCCTGTTGTCAATCGTTTTGGCATGAAGCCTGTGTGCTGAAGATCGTTTCTTTACAATCATCATTCACGGGAAGTGATTCCCCGCTCGACTTGCAGAGGGCAAAGACCAGGGAGACTTTGGGGATGTTTGCTGTGCCATTACTGCTAAGCCGTGACCATCAGCACTGAGAAAAATAACATGAAAAATATGATTTTATTGTCATTAAAAACATATAGAAATTCTCACAGTATAATTGGTCTGCATCATAAATGTATTTATCTCATCAGTGACAATCTATGTCCTTTTCTGACTTTTTTATTGTGTCATTTTTAATAGTATAAAAAGAACAGTAAAAATCATTGGCCTATTCTTCAAATTTAGGATTCAAACAGCAATGCAAATATGTAGTGTTTATTCAAGACTCTACCAAAAACCAGGAGCATTGACATAACTTTGTATATGGCCTAAAAATAGGAGGAATAATGCTATTTTCCAAAGGTCAAGAATCATTATTAGGCATCTTTGTGTTTTTATCAATGTTCTGTCTCTACAGGGTTCCAGGTACCATGCATTAGTCAAGAGATTATGAAAAATGTGTAGCAGTTAAAACATTAATAAGAAATAGAGTGCTGGTATGTTTCATCTGTATTTTAAAAGAGTGAGATGACATAAAAATTACCTTGTATACTTATATACATTTATCATAAAATTTGAGCATCTGTTTACTGAAATTCAAAAGCAAAATTACAATGCTGTTGAAAGCTTTTAGCCTGTGAATCTTCAAGAATTGGAGGGATATCCATTTGTCTTGTAAGAGATGAATACAAAGAGATGAATACTTCTGCCTTGCAGCAAAGAAATACATAGAATAACCTTTTGAGATCCCACTTAGTTTCTGAATTCTATAAATAATACTGAAAATTATTTCAGAAGCCCACGTAATGATTACTTTTTCTATTTGTAATAAATAGATTATAAAAGTAATATTTTAATTATAGCTTCTGGGTCATTAAATCAATCAATGAGGTTTTGGCATTTATTTGGTTTGATAGTTCCGTAAGTGGGTTGGCTGGTACTATGTTTTATTCTTGAAATGCCTGAATTAAGATTGAGTTCCCTGAGTCACTACTTTTAGGGACAGATGTGTTTCCACATTTAGTTAACATGCAAAGCAGTTCTACACAACACAATCTGTTAGCGTACACTTACTTCCTAAGCACAACCAAGTGCTTTTCCTTTTTTTTTAATTCTGCCAAATTATTCTGCTGTCACATATTCCAAAGCATCAGTGTCTAACAGATGACTACTTAAGTCCTGAGATTTTTCTTAAATTATTTTATAGTATGATAGAGTGTTGCAGGTACCCAAAGATACAAAGGAACAAGTCCCTCTGGTTTCAGAGGCAATGACATGAGATCTAAATAATATATGTAATTCGATGTCATTATTATCCCCATATTTTAACACTGTTTGCCAGTTCCTATGGATTAGAAAAATGTATAGTGATTGTGTTAGTCGGGTGTTTTCCCAAAGCAGATCTTGAAATGAAGATTTGAGTGCAAGTAGAAAGCATGAGAAACATGATGAAGAAATGAGGTAAGACAGGAAAACAGTTGGGTTAGTAGTTGATATGTTGATGCACAGGAAATTGCTGTGGGCTACAGAAACTCAGTCCCACTACAAAACCTCTGCAAGATTGTGGAACACACTTCAGAGTTGTCTTCCACTAGGGACTAACAAATCTCATCTCTCTTTAATTACAACCAGATCGGGATTCAGCCAGGGGATTCACTTGCCAGCATTTCCAGCATCCAGAGAAAATTTTTGAGTGCAGAGACACAGGAGTGTGAGGCTTGAATCTGTGGTCCTGTGCAGAAATTGTCCACCCAGATGTATGTGATCTCCAAGGTGGTTGGAAAGCCTATTCATGGTAGTCTCAGTCTATACTACAGAGTCATTGATTGAGCATTCTCAATCAACTCTAGTAATTGGTTGACTATTTAATTAATTACTATCAGGCATTTACCAGAGGGCAGACCCTAGGCTAGGTGCAAGGCATAAGGAAAAAACCAACTTAACTCTTTTCTTCTTCTCCTGGAAACAATGCCTCAAATAAACAGCCCCTCCCTCTGTTTAGTCTTTCCCTATTATTCAAATTAAGGGTACTCTATTTTCTGGACCCTATGGCATTTTTGCCGTATTTCCATTTCAATACCTACTGTGCTACATAATTAAATGAGTCGGTATCGTGTCTCATTTCTCTGACACTCAAAACATTGAGTTTGTAGATTGCATCTGGCGGTATGGTAATTTTCACAGTGTTGATTCTACCCATCCATGAGCATGGGATGTGTTTGCATTTGTTTGTGTTGTCTATGATTTCTTTCAGCAGTGTTTTGTAGTTTTCCTTGTAGAGATCTTACAAGTTTTCCTTGTAGAGATCTTTCACATCCTTGGCTAGGTATATTCCTAAATATTTTCGTTTTTATTTTTCCTCTTTACCAATTTGGATGCCCTTTATTTCTTTCTCTTGTCTGTTGCTCTGGCTAGGACTTCCAGTACTATGTTGAATAGAAGTAGTGAGAGTGGGCGTCCTTGTCTTGTTCTAGTTCTCAGGGGGAATGCTTTCAACATTTCCCTGTTCAGTATAATGTTGGCTGTGGGTTTGTTGTAGATGACTTTTTTTTTAAGTATGTCCCTTCGATGCCGATTTTTCTGAGGGTTTTAATCATAAAGGGATGCTGGATTTTGTAAAATGCTTTTTCTGTGTCTATTGAGATAATTGTGTGACTTTTAATTGTGTTTCTGTGGTGTATCACATTTATTGACTTATGTATGTTAAATCATTCCTGCATCCCTCTTATGAAACCCATTTGATCATGGTGGATTATCTTTCTGATATGCTGTTGGATTCAGTTTGCTAGTACTTTGTTGAGGATTTTTGCATCTATGTTTATCAGGGATATTGATCTGTAATTTTCTTTTTTTGTTATATCCTCTCCTGGTTTTGGTATTAGGGTGACAATGGCTTTAGAGAATGATCGACTTAGAGAGGATTCCCTGTTTCTCTATCTTTTGGAATAGTGTTAATAGGATTGGTACCAATTCTTCTTTGAATGTCTGATAGAATTCAGCTGTGAATCCATCTGGTCCTGGACTTTTGTTTTTGGTAATTTTTTTTATTGCCATTTCAATCTCATTGCTTGTTATTGGTCTGTTCGGAGACTCTATATCTTTCTGGTTTAATCTAGGAGGGTTATATACTTCCAGGAATTTATCCATCTCCTCTAGGTTTTCTAGATTATGCCTGCAAAGGTGTTCATAGTAGCCTTGAATAATCTTTTGTATTTCTGTGGTATCAGTTGTAATATCTCCCATTTTGTTTCTAATTGAGCTTATTTGGATCCTCTCTCTTTTCTTGGTTAATCTTCTCTCTTTTCTTGGTTAATGGTTAATGGGCTATCAATTTTATTTATCTTTTCAAAGAACCAGTTTTTTGTTTTATTTCAATTTTTTTTTCAATTTCATTTAGTTCTGCTCTGATCTTCATTATTCATTTTCTTCTGCTGGATTTGGCTTTCAATTGTTCTTGTTTCTCCAGTCCCATTAGAAGTGACCTTGGATTGTCTATTTGTGCTGTTTCAGATTTTTTGATGTAGGGCTTTCCTCACTAAAGGAAAAATTATTGATTAGAAATGATCTGCTTTTACTGATTCCGATAAACTTGCCTTTAATACATAAATGCTATGAACTTTCCTCTTAGCACTGCCTTTGCTGTATCCCAGAGGTTTTGATAGGTTGTGTCACTATTATTGTTCAGTTCAAAGAATTTCTTAATTTCCATCTTGACTTCAGTGTTGACTCAATGATCATTCAGGAGTAGATTATTTAATTTCCATGTATTTCCATGGATTGGAGGGTTCCTTTTGGAGTTGATTTCCAATTTTATTCCACTGTGGCCTCAGAGAGTACTTGATATAATTTCAATTTTCTTAAATTTACTGAGACTTGTTTTGTGGCTCATCATATGGTCTATCTTGGAGAATTTTCTATGTCCTGATGAATAGAATGTATATTCTGCAGTTATTGGGTAGAATGTTCTGTAAATATCTGTTAAGTCCATTTGTTGTAGGGTATAGTTTAAGTCCATTGTTTCTTCGTTGACTTTCTGTCTTGATGACCTGTCTAGTGCTGTCATTGGAGTATTAATATCCCCCACGACTATCTTGTTGCCATCTATCTCATTTCTTAGGTCTAGTAGTAATTATTTTACAAATTTGGGAGGTCCAGTGTTGGGTGCATATATGTTTCGAATTGTGATATTTTCCTGTTGGACTAGATGTTTTAACATTATATAATGTCCCTCTTTGTCTTTTTTAACTGCTGTTGCTTTAAAGTTTGTTTTGTCTGATATAAGAATAGCTACTCCCACTCACTTTTGGTGTCCATTTGCATAGAATATCTTTTTCCATCCTTTTACCTTAAGTTTATATGAGTTCTTATGTGTTAGTTGAGTCTCCTGAAGGCAACAGATAGTTGGTTGGTGAATTCTTATCCATTCTGCAATTCTGTATCTTTTAAGTGGAGCATTTAGGCCATTTACATTCAACATTAGTATTGAGATGTGAGGTACTATTCCATTCATCATGCTATTTGTTGCCTGTATACCTTGGCTTTTTAAATTGTATTTTTGTTTTATAGGTCCTGTGAGATTTATGCTTTAAAGAGGTTCTGTTTTGATGTATTTCCAGGATTTGTTTCAAGATTTAGAGCTCTTTTTAGCAGTTCTTATAGTGATGGCTTGGTAGTAGCAAATTCTCTCGGCATTTGTTTGTCTGAAAAAGACTGTATCTTTCCTTTATGAAGGAAATTCACTGGATTCAAAATTCTTGGCTGATAATTGTTTTTTTGTTTTTTGTTTTTTTTTTTTGAGACAGAGTCTCACTCTGTCACCAGGCTGGAGTACAGTGGTGTGATCTTGTCTCACTGCAACCTCTGCTTCCTGGGTTCAAGTGATTCTCCTGCCTCAGCCTCCCGAGTAGCTGGGAGTACAGGCATGCACCACCACACCCAGCTAATTTTTTGTATTTTTAGTAGAGACAGGGTTTCACCATGTTGGTCAGGATGGTCTCAATCTCCTGACCTCGTGATCCACCCACCTTGGCCTCCCAAAGTGCTGGGATTACAGGTGTGAGCCACTGCGCCTGGCCAATTGTTTTGTTTAAACAGGCTGAAGATAGGGGCCCAGATCCTTCTTGCTTGTAGGGTTTCTGCTGAGAAATCTGCTGTTAATCTGATAGGTTTTCTTTTACAGGTTATCTGGTGCTTTTGCCTCACAGCTCTTAAGATTGTTTCCTTCACCTTGACTTTAGATAACATAATGACAATGTGCCTGGGTGATGATCTTTTTGCAATGAATTTCCCAGGTGTGCTTTGAGCTTCTTTTATTTGGATATCCAGGCCTCTAGCAAGGCCAGGGAAGAGTTCCTTGATTATTCCCCCAAATATGTTTTCCAACCTTTTAGATTTCTCTTCTTCCTCAGGAATGCCAATTATTCTTAGGTTTGGTTGTTTAACATAATCCCAAAATTCTTGGAGGCCTTGATTATTCATTTATTTCTTACTCTTTTTTGGATTGAGTTAATTTGAAAACCTTGTTTTCGAGCTCTGAAGTTCTTTCTTCTGCTTGTTCAATTCTATTGCTGAGACTTTCCAAAACACTTGGCATTTTCTAAGTGTGTCTTTTATTTCCTGAAGTTGTGATTGTTTTCACTTATGCTATGCATTTCACTGAAGATTTATCCTCTCATTTCTTGTATTATTATTACTTTTTTGATTTCCTTAAATTGGACTTCACCTTTCTCTGATGCCTCCTTGATTAGCTTAACAATCTACCTTCTCAATTCTTTTTCTAGCAACTCAGAGGTTTCATCTTGGTTCAGTTCCATTGCTGGTGAGCTGGTATAATCTTTTGGGGGTGTTAAAGAATCTCATCTTGTCATATTACTAAAATTGTTGTTCTGGTTCTTTCTCATTTGAGTAGACTATGTCAGAGGAGAAATCTGGGATTCAAGGGCTGCTGTTCAAATTCTTTCGTTTCATGGGGTGCTCCCTTGAAGTGGTGTTCTTCCCCTTCCCCTAGGAATGGGGCTTCCTGAGAGCCAAACTGTAGTGACTGTTTTTGCTCTTCTGGGTCTCGCCACCCAGCAGAACTACCAAGCTCCAGGCTGGTACTGGGGAGTGTCTGCAAAAAGTCCCATGATGTGATCCATTTACAGATCTTGCAGCCATGAATACCAGTACCTGCTCCAGTGGAGTTAACAGGGTAGTGAGGTGGATTCTGTGAGGGTTTTTGGTTGTGTTTTTGTTTAGTGTGTTGGTTTTGTGTTGGTTGGCCTCCAGCCAGGAGATGGTGCTTTCAAGAATGCATCAGCTGCAGTCCTATAGGGAGGATTCAAACCTGCCCTAGGGACACCTGGTTAAGTATTCAGGTTTCTCAGGTGGTAGCCAGGGCCATAGAGCTCCCAAGAGATGATGACCATTGTCTTCTGCTAGCAGGGTGGGTAGAGAAAGACCACCAGGTTGGGGCAAAGATAAGCATGTCTGAGCTCAGCTTCTCCTTGGGTGGGGCTTGCTGTGGCTGCTGTGGGGGATGGGGATGTGGGTCCCAGTCCAATGGAGTTATATTCCCAGGGGGATTATGGTTGCCTCTGCTGAGTAATACAGATTACCAGGGAAGTGGGGGAAAGCTGGCCCAGACCACAAGCCTCCTCATTGAGAAAGCAAGCTGACTCACAGTTTTTCAGGATTTCAGGGAGCCTGCAGTAGTGATCCAGTTCCTTCAGAGGGTCTGTGGATTCTCTTAGCATTCCTGTTATATTCCTGCGGTAGTTCTTGCAGCAAAAGTTCACAACATGAATCTCCACATGCTGCTATCTGTGGGAGCAGGAGCTGCAAGCTAGTCCTGCCACCTATCTGCCATCTTAATCCCCTGCTCAATGAACTTTGAAGTTTAGTGCCTTGTTAGTGGTGAGTAGCCACTTCATGGGTAACAAATTTTATTTGAAGACAAGCTTCCTGGTGCTTGCCCTAAACTCCTAGTTACAGCTCTGGGAAAGAGAATGCAAGTCAGAGAGGACTGCAAGGGGAAAGGTGGTTGTAAAGACACGCTGTCTTCTGTCTTGGTACTGAGTTTATGTTGATGTAGGGTCTTCCCCGATCTGAGTTGACATAATAGGATGGGACCAGATTATCAAGAACTGTTTGAATGCCTGTGACATTTGTATGGTGACGAGGTAGCAAATGTGCACCATGGTTTACCCCATAATATGCCTGTGTCAGATTCTGCATTTCTGCTAGCCATCAGCTTAGCCTCATTTTCCTTTCCTTCTTTTTCTTCCCAGTCATAATGTCATTTGGGATGTTTTAGGCAACAAAGAACAATCCAACGTGATGACATTTTTATAGTATAGTTATAGATAGCTCTGTCAACAGCATAAAGGTGAATGGGTAAAAATGAGTTCTGTAATGATGTTGACAAAGCTAATTTAAAAGTGGGCTCTTGCTCTTTGAAAAGTTGTTTTCGAATTCCCATTAAGGTCTTGGGGGATGAGAAACTTATTTTCAATATCTTTAAGAATAATAATCATTTTTGAGTCTCACTTATTTTTTCTCTCAACTATTTATGGGATGATTACTGTCCACATATACCTGCAATGGTGAGTCATAGAGTTTCCCAGAAGGCTGATCATGTCTGTGGAGGACAGGATGAGAATGACTAGTCTTCTTTATAATGAAATACTTCAAAGATGCATGTCATCATTTAAGTTCCTGGTGGCAGGGGAAGTGATCATATATCAAAGTGACTGAAAGGACCTGATGGGACTATTACCTTGTTTGTTATGTCTTTGTCTGTCATCACCAAGGAGCAGACATAGTCTATACTTTCAAAGGAATGAGCAGAGAGATAAGGCTTTCTGAATATTCCCTGGCTTTACCTCACCATATGAAGATTTGATACACTGGTGTCCTCCATATTTGCAGGATTCATTAAAAGAAGGGCCATCTCTAATGAGTGATGACAAAGCCCACCTTCTCATTACTCACTCAGAAGATGGTGGTTGTTGGAAACCCAACAGCTCACTTAGTTTTGTTCCTTCCCTTTCTTTTACAATTTATGCAACCAAGATGATAGGGGATGTCTTTAGTCTGGAATAATCACTCATGAACAAAGCTTTGCCTTTCATTTTATAGTGCATTTGCTAATATCAAATGAGGAAGACAAAAGTCTGAATACTTTTTTTAAAAAAAGAACAAAAAGTTGTGCCAGCCTTCAGTTACTTAATTATTTGTTCAACAACTATATTAGTAAGGGTTCTCCAGAGAAACAGAATGAATAGGATATCTATCTACTTACCTATCTATCATCCATTTATCTATCAATCAATCAATCAATCACCTATCTACTATCTATCTAGATATTCTATCATAGTCTATCTAGATAGATAGATATTGGGATATTGATAGATAGATGCCTATATACATTATATATACATATATATAATAAGGTATTGAGTCATGTGATTATGGAACTTGGGATTTGCCAGTCTCAACACCCATAGTTGGCAAGCTAGAGACCCAGGAGAGCCATTGGTAGTCTGAGTTCAATGGCCTGAGGACCAGGAGAGCCAACAATATAGTTCAAGTCTAAAGGCAGGCAGAGTTGAGACCCAGGAAGAGCCTGTATTTCAGTTAGGGTCTGAGGGCAGGAAAATACTGATGCCCCAGTTCAAAGCCAGTCAGGCAGACTAAATTCTCTCTTACTTGACCTTTTCTTGTATTCAAGCCTTCAAATGCTTTTTTGTTCTATTCTTTGTGCGTTGGATGAGGCCCACCCACATTGGGGAGGACACTCTTCTTTACTCAGTCTATAGATTCAAATGTTACTCTCATCTAGAAACACCCTCACAGTCACCAGAATAATGTTTAAGCAAAGGGCACCCTGTGGCCCAGTCAAGTTGACACATAGAATTAACCATCGCAGCAACTATTTACAAAATAGTTAACAGTATGCATTGCTAGATTATGCAATGTGAGGATGACAGAGATGGATGACTTCCATCCCCTACCCTTATAAGTTACAAGCTTTAGGAGACGTAGTGTTTTTGCAGGTGTGTGTGTGTGTGTGTGTGTGTGTGCGTGTGTGTGTAAGAGAAGTTAAGTGCCAAATAAATAAAACTCAAATATATGTACACATGCACATATACATACATACATACGTATATATACACACACACATCTAAATATGTATATATACACGGAGAATCTATATCTATCTATCTATGAAAAGCTCATTTATAATTGGTGTTAGCAAGCAAGAATTAAAGAAAGTCTAGCACTGGATCCAAGCCATAGGTAACAATTCAGAGTTCAGCAGAGCCAAGGAGAGGAAAAGCATTCAAAGATGCAGAAAGATATAGCAGAGAACTCTAGCTGTTACTCATACCCTGAGCGAGTCCTCTTGCAGGGTGGTATGTCTTCACAATCAAGTATGTGAGTGGAAGTAGTAACTACTCCCAGGCATGGCTCATAAAATTCCCTATTGCCTATTCCTCCAAGCTCTTTTTGTTTTCTGTGTAGCTGGCTGGAGACAACTTCCAGGGCCACCTTAGAAGCCACATGTCAAAGACGGCACCCTCTCTGCTAGCCAGGGTCTTTAAGCACCTACCCAGGGTCTATGAGAATTGCTGTGTTGGTCTGTTCATCTGGTCAACACCATGATATGATCCACAAGTGAACTGCTATTGTGTTTGAGCCATTATACACTTTGGGATCTCTTTGTCACAACAGTTAACATTACTCAAACAAATATAAGATGGATGGATGGGGAAGAGTATGACTATACAGGCACGATGCATTTGTCCAGTGTGAAGGAAACATAGAATATACGTGAAGGATTTAGCAGAGAAGACAGTCCAATGACGTCAATCAGAGAATACAGAATTTGGACTCCATAAATTGGGGATGGGGAGTCACTGAAGCTACTGAAGCAGGTAGGAAACTACTGAAACAGTGTGGAGAAACATGTAATGTTCCAGCAGGGAATGGATTATGAAGAAGACAGCATCTAGATCTTCTTCTAGAGCACAGGAAGGATACCCAAAAAGTACTGTCCAACACAACATAACAGGGACAGAATTTTAGAAGGATGGGTGAGATGGCAAGAAAGAAATAACAGAAATAACAGAAAGTGAACAGAAATGGATTTTGATAGCACAAGGAGAGTGAGAGTCATCAAAGTTAGAGCACTAACACTTTCAGCTTTGTGGATAAAAATGTTTATTAATGAGACAATCTCTGTATATTTTGTGTTTCAACTGTTTGTTATATTTAAGAGACTAGGATGACTTTACAGTCTGGGAAATTAGCCTTGTGATTCCAAATTAAAATGTAACTATATTTTGAAATATGTAATAGAATTTTATTAAATAGATCAACAGTATGAGATTTTGCTAGACTGATACATTTGCTACTGTCCTGTGTGTAACTAAATAAGTTTTCAAAGGTGATGCAAAAATTTGGGAAAGGTTTTTTGCTTGTTAGGGTATTATATTTTCTGGCATAGGCAATTGATGTAACTCACACAAATACTGAATATTTAAAATTGATGAATGTCTTTTAAGATGTTTATGTATTTGTAAATGGAATTGATTACTTAAAGATATTTATTCTGTAAAAATGAATAATTATTGTAAGACTGTTGCAAATATATAGTTAACATTGTTAAAGCGTTAGTATGTTCAAGGCATTGTAAGGAGAGATGTTTAAATTCATTAATTCTCAGGTTTTCATTCAGTCCTAGAAAGTTCAAGATTCCATTTTTTGGGCAAAGTATCATCATCATCAACAACAAAACCCCCAAAACAGAAATCATTACATTGTTTTATCTTCTCACAGGAAGGGAAAGGAAGCACAGCGTTTGACTCCCTGGTTTTCATCCTTTTCCTTTTGTCTTTTCTTCCTTTATGCTATTTTGGTGAAGGAACAATGTGCAAAATAATTCCTTACTGGTAGTTCATACTTCAGTATTTAATAAAAAGCCTCTGAACATTCGTCAGATGATTTCTTACTTCCCCTTCCTTTGTTCTGGTCTAGTTGGTTAAAAAGAAAGAGCAGAGACCCAGCAGATCTGGGATTTGTTTAACTGTGACACTCTGTAATGATGGGGTCGTGCTCTCAGGAGTTCCTACGAATCCAACTTGGGGAAGAGGGGAGGAAAGAGATGGCAGTAATATTACCAAAGGACTCTGGTTTATTTATATGCAGGCTATTATGCCATATCTTCCTCATCCTGTCCCCACAGAATCATGTGGAAGGTCTTATTAATGCATCAACAGGCTCTTATCATGAATATTAAAGAAAAAATAACCAGACACAGAGTTCATGACTGGATACCCCCCGCTCCACACACATACATACCCTTAAGGCAAAGGTGTGAGACTGAGTGTTATAGTTTTTGTTCTGCACTGTGTGATAAGATTGCTATTATAAATTTAAAAATATAATGGGGCATATACTGCAGCCTGACTACTAAATATCAAACACTTTTAATAATATAACATTAGAAAATATGAGTATGCATTAGAATCAAATTTTAGACATCAAATATTTTATAAAGGAATTATAAATAATGATATGAAAGTTAGCATTTTTAGCATAAATATTTAATCCAAAACATAGCAATTAAAATGACTGCTATTTATGCAAAAGTGCCTTCCATGTGTATTCAAAATTATTTGATGTTTATTATTTACTATTCACATGTGACACCTCTGCAAGCCAGTTTCCCATTGTATAGATGAGAAAATAGAGGCTCAGAGAAATTAAGAAACTTACAATCACACAACAATCAACTTTGACAGCTGGTATTCAGAAGAACCCAAAGAGAGTAAGTCAGCTAATTTTATGTTAATGGAAGCTAATGATGATAAATAACTATGAATCATAATAAGAATTATTTTCTTTTCTAGAAAATAGACTATTTTTTTAGTTCAATATGATTTTATTTAAAAATGTGTACAGCTGAAGGAGGGATCTGATCTTTTGTTAAAAGAACCCAATTTTCACAGTGTATATTTGGCCATTTTAGCTTTGTAGTTAATAATAACAGAAAAGGAAGTTTCTGTTCAAGATCCTCACTCCAGCACACTCAGTCAGGTGCTTGGCAAGATGACACATTTCCTGGTCTGAAGCTCATAGCCAATCCTCTCACCCAAGTGGAACACCAGTTCTCCTCCAGGCACACACACACACACACACACACGAAGTCTTATTTTCACTGCTCTACACGGGGCCCTGAGAATCCTTAATTTTAAAGTTGGGAAAAAGGTGAAAGGATTCCTTAACTCATTGTCTGCAACAAATCCAACTACCTTTTAACTCTTAACAATTGCAAGTATAAAATACTTGAAATTTATGAGATGCTCCATACACTATTTTTTAAAGCAGTATTAGGTTATCTAATAATGCAAAATTGAGTAGAAAATATGGAGAGTTGCCATATACCCCTGCTTCTACACACAACCTCACCCACTGTCAATAACCTGCATCACAGTGGTCCATTTGTTACAATCAATGAACCAACATTGACACATCATCATCACCTAATGATGTCTGTATCTATATTAAGATTCTCTTTTGGTGTTGTACATTCTATGGGTTTGGATAAATGTATAATGACATGTTCCCACCATTAAAATATCAAACAGAATAGTTTTCCTGCCCTAAAAGTCCTCACTACCCTGCCTATTCAAAGTTATTCCATTTTGAATATTATCTCCTACATTATTTGTTAAAACCTTGTTAGATCTCAGTTTCCTCAATTATAAAATGAGAGGTCAAATTAAATTATCCCTTTGCTTCCTGCAAAGATATTATGAATGTATTTGCAAATGGAAAAATCTCTCTGATCTACAGAATTTTGAAAATAATATGGATTAGGTTTCTGAAGTCTCCTGTAAGTTATTCGTTATTAGCTCTAATTCGGTGAAATTCAAAGGAACCCTTGTGACACGCTGTCTGCAATTCAGGGTTATAGGCCTCACTCTTCCATAGCAGTCGCCAGAGGAAGCCGACCCCACCTCTAGAAGGTGTGGTCAGTCAATTCAATCAAATTTAATGATGGCAAATTTTAAAGACACCATATTCCCTCAAGGCCTTAAACTATATATCACTCTCAAGATGGATTTGACTTAAAGACAGAATTAGTTACATGAAAATAATTTCACTTCAAGCATGGAGTTAATAACAGGGTTGGATTAAACTGTAGCTAATTGGTTATGCATAGCCAGCTCAACTAAAATTCACTAAGTGAACTGTATGTAAGAAACATGGAAAATAGGAAAATGAGAAAATTGGAACTTGTAGCTGAGTACAGTCCTTGCTCTTAGAGATCAAAGACAACACATAAGTAAATACGTATTTCATTAAAGTATGCCAAACTTTAAATAAAATATGCTAACCGTTGAAATAAGAACTATTTTTCCCTTAGTAGGTGGTACTCAGCAAGACTTGAAACTTTGGTGCCTCCAATTAACAGGACTAATGCCAGCTACTAAACTAATTTAATAAAACTATAAGTATAATCACGAAATGGGTCTTGGAACTATCACCCCCATGAAATCATAAATCCTCTCCCATCTTTCTGGCCCATGGTTGTCCAGTGTGTGCATTCCCTTTTACTGGTCATGTCTTTCAGGCAAAGCAGTTAAGTTTTTGGCAGGATTAACTCATTAGACAATTATTAATCATGAAAACCAGTGCAGTGCTAAACTGTTTATTCCATTATCCAGACGAAGAAAATTATTAAAGACAATTTTTTTTTTTGAGACAGAGTCTTGTCCCGTCACCCAAGCTGGAGTGCAGTGGTGTGATCTTGGCTCACTGCAACCTCTGCCTCCCGGGCTCAAGCAATTCTCGTATCTCAGCCTCTCGAGTAGCTAGAACTACAGGATGCACCACCATGCCCAGCTAATTTCTGTATTTTTAGTAGAGACGGGATTTCACCATGCTAGCCAGGCTGGTCTCAAACTCCTGACCTCAAGTGATCCACCCACCTCGGCCTCCCAAAGTGCTGGGATTAAAGGCGTGAGCCACCATGCCCGGCCTAAAGACAATTTTATCTAGAACAATCATGGTGGCTACCCTTGATTAGCTCATGTATATCATTTTGAATGAACCTTTAGATTCTAGGTAGAGAGTGCCTAACTTGGTATTTTTCGGCCTTCTTTTTTTTTTCATTATCATTCACCTAAGGAGGATTTTAGGCATTATTTTTCTGAATTGCCATTTCCAATGAAATTTTAATACCTCAGACATTTTGTATATCTCTGCATTTTATGGTATATCTGTGTTTTATAAATGACAAGTGTGAATTTGGTTAAAATCAACAAAAACTGTAAAAGCCAATTTCCATCCCCTTAGAGGCAATATTCCTTCTGTTGAGAATGCATGGCGTAGATAAACTAATTAGTAGCCAAAAAGAAAGCATACAATATCTAGACACTTCTCTACTATAGCACTGTGTGCACTCACTCATAATATGAATCACAAAACCACTGAGGGCCTACTTTTGGCCAGGTATGGTATTATACAATACTTATTTAAATATTATATATCTTATATCAAAACAAGCATTTTTTAAGGCAAGCAGCACTTCATCTTTATTTTTGTAATTTTCATCAAAGATAGAAAAGTGCATTGAATAATTTAGGTTTTGCTGAATGGATGAATGAAAAAGTGAAGGGATGAGTGAATGATTATTATGTAATAGGACACAGAAAACAGTTTTGCTGCCCTAAAAGTTCTCTCTGCCCTGTCTATTCAGAGTTTTTTCTTTTGAATAGGCAGGGCAAAGTTACTGACTAACTATTGAGGAGTGAAGAAGTTATATCGTCCATCTGTATCAAAAACTATCTTATCTTACACAGAATTTTATATTCGAGTACTTAGTAACAACTAATTTCAGAAGCAGAGTGTGCACATCAACTGTACCTGATAGGCAATCAAAATCATATTGAAGTCAGCTGGGGTTATATGATGCAAACTTGTTCTCCTTATAGTGTATATTTACTAATAAGCAAATACCAAGTATCCACTCTGCCTTTACTCCCTGACATATTTAATAGAGGCAACTCACTTTTGAAAAAAAGAAGTTAATTATTCTTGTACTTCTTAAAGATTGTAACACTTCAAATGTTTGCCTCCCATTTGTGGGAAAGAAAAATTATAATCTGCACAGGATTATCGATGAGTGAAACACTGGAGTGACTGTTTCTGGCATATTCACATTTGCTGGCTGATTCTGCAGCTAAATGCCAAAGAGGAATTTGTCAAAGAAAGAGACTTGCATATATTGAATCCAAAGCATTTTCAAAATCAATACATTTCTTACACGAAATAAGCAAAATATCTATGTACAGAGGCTTTGAATAATTCACAAAATGATGGTGTTTTCCCCTAAATGGCCTTTAAATCTCAATCACAGGCTAAGATTTGTCTACTTAATAAATTATTATTTCATTGCCATGGGACATGAAGCTCTCCTTTTGTCTTTATTTGTAAAATGGAGAGAATTCTCTATTGTGCTATATATATATGTGTTCTCTCTCTCTCTCGATATATATATACATCTGTGTATATATATATAATCTGTATATATATATATACATCTGTGTATATATATACATCTGTATATATATACATCTGTATATATATACATCTGTGTATATATATACATCTGTATATATATACATCTGTGTATATATACATCTGTATATATATACATCTGTGTATATATACATCTGTATATATATACATCTGTGTATATATATACACATCTGTATATACATCTGTGTATATATATACAGATGTGTATATATATACAGATGTGTATATATATACAGATGTGTATATATATACAGATGTGTATATATATATGCTATATCTTTAAGGTAGTCTATGGACTATGAACTAGGAAATCAAGGAATGCTATTACTTGGTTGTTTCAGAAGAGTTTTGAGGGCCCTTACCAAACTTGTAACCTTAGTGTCAAACACATACACATGCCCACATACATCACACAACACACACACACATAGACTTGCATACTACATATCAATTTACATTTCCCACTCGAGTCACCAGATTATTACTAAGTGTACTTTTTTCCCTTTTTTTGGAAAGTAAATGTAAGCATGTTAAATTAATAGGATTCCTTTTTCATAGAGTGTACATTTGAACTGCAATAATGTATAAAGGTAAAGTAGATTAAGATGCAAAAATTAAGCTGATGATTATATTGCAGGACCTAGTATTTCTAGAGTAAAGTTTGGCTATGAACCTTACAGTCAATTATTATGCGAGACAAAGTTTCCCACAATAAAATTTTGATTGTTGTTGAAATCAGGGCACTTGATATTCACAATGCTGTAATTAATTTTTACTTAAAACATTGGTATGCTGTTTTTCAAATCCAGGAATCACAGGGTCAATTTTACTTTCCTTAGCATAGGAGATTAGAGGAAGCTTATCTTTTCTCATCAGTAGGGTCAAAAATGCATTCCCTTACAAATTTTGGAAACTGCAATCAATCAGTGGGATAATTTTTAAATGTGAAGACCGGTTCTCACACCCATTGATCCAAAAATTAAATTTATTTTGGAATATTCATGGCTTTCCATGACCTTCCTGAAATAGCTGTAAAGTACATTTTATGCACATTTTTCTCAAATGTATGAAAATCAATGAGTCACATATCTTCATAAGGAACTCTTATAGAATATCATTAGTAATAAAAAAAACAGCACATTATGGCTTTGGTTTAATCTTAAAACTCCCTGAAATTAAGTATGTATAACTTAAAATGGAACATAAAATAATTGCGTCTGGAAAGCACAATTTAGCATTTAATGAAGAAAACATATAAAATTAGATTGAAGAAGTCATCCCATATGGTGTTCTTTGATGTAAATAGAAACCTTTGTTTTCTTTTTGTTACTCATTACCTACCCACTCTCCCTGGCAACGCAAGTGCAACTTTCAATTTTACTGTTTTTGGAATCATGTTAATGGTTTCAATGATATTTGCTGGTATTAAAGCTTTTTTAAGAAGACAACAAAATTAGGAAAAATAATATGAAAGTAAAAATTTCCAGAGAAAACATTTTAGGAGAAAAAAAAGTATAGTACTTTCATAATCAGTTACTATTTATAAATGTTCAATTGAATAAATTATGTAAACTGAAAATTGAGAGTGACCTTTTCCAGCTCCTTCACATTACAAATGTGAACCAATGAAAAATTTTAAAAACTAACTTTAAAATAAAATATAATTTTCCCATGGAGAAAAAATTAGGAAAATATAATAAATGGTCCTAATTATCTGCAAAAGATTTTATGTTTTTTTTTCCTCTAATTTCCTATTATTTTTCTTCTCATTATTTTGGGAGGTCACAAGTTGTTTTATCCAATGAAATACGACTTCTGAAATGCAATCAATGATGTTTTTTGGGGGGAACTTTTTGTGACACTAAATGGGATAAGACAGTGAGGCACCCATGTTTCCAATGCAGGCAGAGACCAATTTCTGTATCTTGGGTTTGATATTGTGTCCTGCTGAGTAGAACTGACAGGAGTAGGAACAATCAATTACCCCTTAGTACACTGAATGGAAGATGGGGAAAACAGAAAGTTTATAGAGAGAACCTTAACAAACCAGAGAAAATGGAGTTTACCGATGATAGTGCCTATTGTGTAATACCTACCACACCCGTCCTCAACAAACTCCTCTCCTCACCACTACGTTCCTGAACCTCCACTTAATCATTGATTTTCCTCTGGTATGCAGAATTAGCCAAATCCTCTTAAACAATGGATGAAAGAACTCCAACTTTGGTGCTGACAAAACAGGAAGTAAATCCCAACTCTACCACTTAGGATCTGTGTAACCCAGTCCAAACCAGCCCTCAGTGATTTTGTAGATTAAAGAAATAATCATTTTGGAAAGTACCTGAAGTGTCTTTTGTAAAATGTAGATTGAATCCTTTGCAGCACTGGACTAAACCCCTGTTCAGTGAAGGCACATTCAGTACTCAGGGCAGAGTTTTGTTACAAGAAATTGTAAATTATCACACCTACATGATTTCTTGGGCACTCAGAGGAAGTTTGAGATCTCAAACTAAATTTCAGTCTGAAAGGGTTTCTAGTTGAGTGAATGTAGGGAAAACTAAAAATGTAAAGAACAAAACCTGATGGGAAAGATTCTAATCCCCAGCTCTAAAAAAAAAAAAAAAGAAAAAGAAAAAGAAAGAAAAGAATTCTCAGGACCAGCAGGGGCAAAGCTGCTACTTTTTCCTGGATAGGGCATGTATATGGCAAATTGTACCTTCCTCTTCAGAAGCCAGAACATAATGCAACCCTGGCTGAGGAGTCCACAAGTGTTGTTTTAGGAGAGTTTCTCTGACCTCAAGGTAGTTCTGTTCTACACCTGACATTGGGAAATGATCCTGAATGTTATGCCAAAATGTTGTATAACTGTACTTGATAGTAAAATGGTCCTAAAGCAATCCTAGAACACATGAGGAAACTGTGCAGTCAACCACCATCAAGAATGAAAAGTACACATGTATCCTAGGTTTCAAGTTCCAACACCAAAACCCATAGATAGAAAAGTGCTACACTGTTCATCACCACAGCTTTCTTCCTGCCTAACTTTTGGAAGCAGACTTAAGTTAGGAGAATTTCTAAGGATATATATATAGAGAGAGCGAGCCCTGAAAATCCAGAAAAAGAATTATTACTGTATTTCATAGATTGCTCTTCTGAAACAAATCTTCCTGTCCATGACATATCTTCACCATGGAGAAATTCTAAGAAAGCACTAGAAACTTAGTAGTTTAAGGTAGCTCTTAGTCAGTGACACCCAGTCAGTTGATTAATTTTAGATGCATACAGCTATGATTTTATGTAGCCCTCTTATCAGCCCTCAAATCATCACAAACTTAGCAGCTTAAAACACCCATGCATTAACTCATAGTTTTTCTGTAAGTCAAAAATCAGGGCATGGAATGAGTAGGTCTTCTGACTAGCATTTCATTGCGCTGAAATAAAAATGCTGGCCAGGGCTGTGTCCTCATCAGATGTCTAAAGTGGGGAAGGCTGTAATCTCAAGCTCTCTCAACTTGTTGGCATAATATTTTTTCCTCATAATTGTAGGAACCATGTTTTATTTTATTTTCGTTTAAATTTTTTTATTTGTGCATGTTTATGGGGAACATGAGAAATTTTGTTACATCTACATACTACATAGTGGTCAAATCATGGTATCTATAGTCCCCATCACCTGAGCACAATAAATTTTTGTCTAGTCATCCTACTCTGCTATCAAACATTGAATTGATTCCTTCTATCTTACTGTATGTTTGTACCTGTTATCCCATTTATCTTCATCCTCCCACTTCTCTCTCTTCCCAGTGTCTGTTATCTATTTAGGAAATATGTTTATGTTGTCTTGAAGCTCATCACCTTGGGGCCACTCTCAGCCTCCAGGGCCTACTCTCAGGTTCTTCCCATGTGGCCGTCTCCATTGGGCCTCTCACACTTACAATTTTTCTCACCAGGAAGACTTACATTCTTGTTTAGGGCACATCTGTTTGGGTCAGACCCACCCACACTATTTCCCTGGCGTAAAATCAACTAATTTGGGACATCAATTATGTCTGCAAAGTCCCTTCACGACAGCACCTAGATTGAATAACTAGGAGAGGAGAAGATTTGTGTGCAACAGAGGGCAGGAATCTTGGAGATGATCCTAGAATTCTGCCTGACACATTGTTGCTAATGTTTTTAGAATATATGAATGTATTCAGTTATGCTATATGCCCAATAATTATGAAAATAAATACATTCATGGCTGAAGATTAACTACTTCATCTTCCACAGTGGAAAGAAAGAAGTAAATCATAAATGATTTAAGGCAGCATTTTTTTCCCCAAACCCTTCTATCTAGGGATAATAAGAGAACAAAAGCGTTTTGCAGTTTGTTTCTCTCTTTTAAATTTTTTAAAAGTAATTTTTAGTCACTGATAAAAATAAATATTTTTTTCACCTTTCACATTTTTTTTTTTCAAATTGCTGATTGGGGAGGAAACAAAAAAAATTTTAATCACTTGTCATTTTACATGCATGTGAAATTTGGATCTTACATGCATGTGAAATTTGGATTAAAAATTGTAATACAAGTGCTATCACTGGATAAAGTTTGAATCCCACAAAATATTTCCATATATTAAGCTATTTGAGGGAATAATATTTCTGAAAAGTGAGTGCTAAGCTTTGTTTAAAGTGGTATTCATGATTCAAAATAAATCTGAAACAACATAAGTAATCTTAAGGGATTTGAAAGCATCAAAGATAAATGGCTGTTAGTTTCTTGTTTTTGTCAAGGTATTCAGTTGGCCTCCTTTCAATTGTTCCATTGGTTTGGATTTAAAGGCTCAAAATATGACATTCTTCCAAACTGATGAACTATACCAGAGCATATAACTTACTTTATCTTAGTTGAAAATGTTGTACATCTGTACAAAATTTATATTTGGATTTTCTTTTTTATATGCTTAGAATAGCTTTAGTTTTATGATTATGCTATGTAAGGCTAGGGAAACTTGATAGTTTAGTCTCAGTATGACCCAAATAAAGGAGATTATTTTAACCTTGTTTTTGGTTTTGTTTTGTTTTTCCCTCAGAATAGAATAGAATTAGGTGGGTTAAAAAAAACACCAATGATGGATATCTCCATCAGTGTCATTTTTTGGCGACAACCTCGAAATATTCTCAGTTAGTAGATTTAGAACTGTTACAGATTGCAAA
The DNA here is from genome assembly GCF_000001405.40 of Homo sapiens. Taxonomy (NCBI): domain Eukaryota; kingdom Metazoa; phylum Chordata; class Mammalia; order Primates; family Hominidae; genus Homo; species Homo sapiens. The sequence continues at coordinate 8,275,655 of NC_000023.11, read as the reverse complement.
ATGGCCACACAGCTTTGCAGCTCCTTTATCATAGACGGAGCCTATTTTCCCAGCCCTTGCAACTTCCTCTCACACCAGGAACTCATCTGCCACTATGTGAACAGACACCAGCTTCCTGGGGTTTGAGAGACCACATGGAGCAAGTCTCCAGCCATCCCATATGGCTCCTGTCCCAGCTGTCTCAGCAGAGGCCCAAACACATGTGAGCCTAGCAGCCTAACAGCACTATGTGGGGCCATCCACAGAACCACAGCAGGTGAGCACAGTCCTAATTGTTGATCCAAATAATTATAAGAAAACACATGGTGGTTGTCTAAGTGACTACGTTTTCATTAAAAGTTCAAAGATACAAAACCAATACATTTTGTCTATTTTCTTTTATTACAGTCACTAGAGGTTTTAACATCTAACTTCCATTGTTTCACATGTACCTTTTACAAGCCCACCTTTTTAACCTTCTCTTTCACTTTGTATAAAAGGTAAATGTCATCCTCCACCATTTCTGTTCTCTCACACCCATTCCCCAGATAATTCTATTATAGCTTAAATCTACCCTCCTCTCCATTTTCAACCTACTAGGCACAGCCCTAGTTTGCACTTCCATTGTCTTCTACTTGCATTAATGTAACAGCCTCCTAAACACACTTCTTAAATACAACACTTTCTCTCTCATTTGCATCGTGTTGACATGTTTTGCCTATAGAACCATCTTTCTGAAATATCAAACTGCACATCTTGCTCTCTTGCCTGTATCCTTCAATGGTTCCCATTGCCTGTGAGTAAGTCCCAGGCTCAGAATAACATACGGACCCTAGATATCTTTTAGTTGTCATTTCCTACATCCACATCTGACATTCTATATAGTCCAGACATAAAGAATTACTCCAAACTAAGAATGATCAGTAAATTGTTCATGTAGAATCTGGACTATAATGTTCCCATCATTCTCCTTCTGTATAAATTCTGTTCATCCTCAAAATTCATAATCCCTAGAAAGACTTCCCTGATTATAAACTCACTCCATTTTCTGCTCTCAGTATAACTATTAAATAAGTTATATCTGGTTATGCAAAATATAATGATTGAAGTATATGAGGCATAGTCTTTTTGACTCTTAAAGCCGTGAAAATCTTCATCCTTTAAGGCAATCTTTAATTTACAAAAGAGTCATAGCTAATTTGGCATCAATCAGGTCAGTAAAAAAAGAAATTAAAAAATTTATTGACAAATGAAATTGTACAAGTTTGTGGTGTATGACATGATGTTTGGAAATATGTATCCATTGTGAAATGGCTAGATGAAGTCAATTCCATGTGCATTACCTCACATACTTATCATGTGTTTGTGGTGAAAATGCTTAAAATCTACTTTTATCAATTTTAAGTATATGGTACATTGTATTACTTATAGCCACCATATATTGTACAACAGGTCTCTTGAACTTATTCCTTATGTCGAACTGAATTTTGTATCCTTTGGCCAACATCTCACTGATCTTACCTCCCTCCCTCCAGCCCCTGGCAACCACCTTTCCACTCTTGGCTTCTATGAGTTTGATGTTTTTAGATTCCACGTGTAAGTGAGTCCATTTGGTATTGAAGAAAATGATTTTACCTGGTGAATTTGCCAACAGAAAAGGAATAACTGAAATATTGCTATTTGAATTTTTGGACAATTTATTTAAAGTCTCAGGACCCATTTTCTTCATTCATAGAAAACAAAAATAATATTTACTTTGTCTGGTATATTCTATGTGAAAGTATTTCGGTGGTGTCTGGGACATATTTTTCCAGTGAATATCAGTCATCTTTTCCTTGATGTGACTCATAAACTAGTTCTGATATCACTTAAAACAAACAAACAAAAACGGTTTTGACACTCGTTGGGGCTGTGATAACATTTTTGAAATACCCGTGTCGCCACTCACAGGGACCAGTTTGAAGGAAAATACTCATTTGCATGTGTAAGTTCTCACCTTATTTTTTCAATAGTTGTCATGTGAGGTAGATTGCATTCCAGATACCTTGTCTGTAGATATGGGGCTGACTAGGGATTGGTATTTATGACATTCAAAGGGAAGTCTGTGAGAGGTCAGTCCCTTCTGCTGGTTCTAATTGTTACTCACCTGAAATAGTTTAGGAATGAGAAGGTTTAAGGACCTACCAAAATTAGGAATGCCTTCCCTTCCTAGACAGGCTGCAATGTTTTGAGACTGAGGTATCTGGATACCCACAGTGAGAAAACAATCCAAAGCTTTTTATGTTTGGGAATTAAGAACTGGTACCTGTGCCACTTCCACATCCCTGTTGAAGGTGGGAGGCTGCTATTGATGTATTCCTGGACCCAAGTCAGGAATGTTTTATGCAGCGTTCATCAACAGGTATTCATATGCTCTCCATGGGCAAGACTGGAAACCTACTTCGAATTCCTCTAAGCAGCTAGAATCCTTCTAACACTGAAGAACTAAAATTTATATTCTCCAATAGAATCAGTGAACATCAACTACCCATGCTCTTTTGACAAGAAGACACGTCCCAGAGAAATTCTGCAACACACATTCTTCCCTTGTTGTGCAATTCTCTTTCTTTATTACTCTATTTTGTAGAATGCATATAAATCGTAGGAGTTCCCTGCTCAGGCATTTCCATGTATTACATAAAGGAGAGGAAAACAGATATGCCTAGGGGACTCCTCAAGGCTCTCTCGAGAGACAGGATTTGTAGAAGATTGTTGAGAGCATGGGAGGCTTGGCAGCCTGAGTTCACTAATGGGTTGTTAAGATTTAAATGTTCATATGTGAAATGGCTCGACTGTTTTTATGTGAGATGGTTCTATAATTCATATGTAACATTTTGTCACTTTGATTATTTTCCCAGAAGAAGTTATATACATAGAGATTATCTTTTCATTAACACTGGACATGCAGTTGCTTGGAAGAGAGTTCCTTATTCAGCCTTTGTTTCTTTTATTGTTATAGATTTATTCGGGGATTTAACTTCTTGAATCAACTTTGACACTACTTTTATTTCATCAATCTCTTTCCTTGTTTTTCATAGCGTTTTGAGCTTGGTTTTGCTTCAGCTGATATTGATTCTTTTGGGTTTTTTTGTTTTGTTTTGTTTTTGTTTTTGTTTGTTTTTTTGTCTTTGCCTGATACAATCTGGTCCATGCCCCTCTATTTAGCCTTTCTTTGTCATTTGGTGTTACATGTGATAGTTTTGGTAGAAAAAACATTGCTGGACTTAGTACATTAAGCTAGTTAATTGCCTTTGCCTTTGAAAATTTCATTCTGTTTACTTTTAGAATGATAGCTGATATGTTTCCTTGTATTTCTTTCATCTTATTTTATATTTATTGTGTGCATTGTTATTGAGGTACTATTTCCAAAAGGCAAAACACAAATTTTGAGTATGATGTTCAGCAATTTTTTTTTTTACATAGGAGCATATGCAGGCAACTATCACCCAGATCAAGATATATAGGACATTTCCATTATCAAAAAAGGTTTCTCATGCTCCTACCCAGTCGACAATCCCTTCCCTAAGATAATCACTATTCTTTTTTTTTTAAATTATACTTTAAGTTCTAGGGTACATGCGCACAACGTGCAGGTTTGTTATATATGTATACATGTGCCATGTTAGTGTGCTGCACCCATTAACTCGTCATTTACATTAGGCATATCTCCTAATGCTATCCCTCCCCCCTACCCCCACCCCACGACAGGCCCTGGTGTGTGATGTTCCCCTTCCTGTGTCCAAGTGTTCTCATTGTTCAATTCCCACCTATGAGTGAGAACATGCGGTGTTTGGTTTTTTGTTCTTGCGATAGTTTGCTGAGAATGATGGTTTCCAGCTTCATCCATGTTCCTACAAAGGACATGAACTCATCCTTTTTTATGGCTGCATAGTATTCCATGGTGTATATGTGCCACATTTTCTTAATCCAGTCTATCATTGATGGACATTTGGGTTGGTTCCAAGTCTTTGCTATTGTGAATAGTGCCACAATAAACATATGTGTGCATGTGTCTTTATAGCAGCATGATTTATAATACTTTGGGTATATACCCAGTAATGGGATGGCTGGGTCAAATGGTATTTCCAGTTCTAGATCCTTGAGGAATCGCCACACTGTCTTCCACAATGGTTGAACTAGTTTACAGTCCCACCAACAGTGTAAAAGTGTTCCTATTTCTTTGCATCCTCTCCAGCACCTGTTGTTTCCTGACTTTTTAATGATCGCCATTCTAACTGGTATGAGATGGTATCTCATTGTGGTTTTGATTTGCATTTCTCTGATGGCCAGTGATGATGAGCATTTTTTCATGTGTTTGTTGGCTGCATAAATGTCTTCTTTTGAGAAGTGTCTGTTCATGTCCTTCGCCCACTTTTTGATGGGGTTGTTTATTTTTTTCTTGTAAATTTGTTTGAGTTCTTTGTAGATTCTGGATGTTAGCCCTTTGTGAGATGAGTAGATTGCAAACATTTTCTCTCATTCTTTAGGTTGCCTGTTCACTCTGATGATGGTAGTTTCTTTTGCTGTGCAGAAGCTCTTTAGTTTAATTAGATCCCATTTGTCAATTTTGGCTTTTGTTGCCATTGCTTTTGGTGTTTTAGACATGAAGTCCTTGCCCATGCCTATGTCCTGAATGGTGTTGCCTAGGTTTACTTCTAGGGTTTTTATGATAACTACTATTCTTAATTTTGTCACCATAAATTAGTTTTGCCTGTTGTAGTTTCTGATGTAAATGTCTATCATCAGTATGTAGTGTTCTGTGTCTGTCTTCTTTTACTCAATATAAGATTTTTGGTATTTATGAGTGTTGTCACATGTATTGCTTGTTTGTTCCTCTTTATTTCTAGGTGGTATTTAGTTGTATGTATGGCTATACGAAAGTTTTTAAATTCATTGCCCAGGTAATGGATATTTCAATAGTTTTTGTTTCTTCCTATTACCCATTAAGTTTCTCTCTATACATTTTTTGTCAACTCTTTCTAAAGAAAAGTACTCATTTATTTTGGGTATACATTTAGGAGTGGAATTGCTGGATCAATTTAGTAGGCATATGCTTCATCATATCAGAGACCATCAAATAATTTTTCAACAAGTATCATTTTATATTCTCATCAGCAAAATATGAGTTTCAGTTATCCAGTCACCTTGCTATCACCTTATATTGTCAGTTTTTAAAAATTTACCTATTCTGCTACATAGGTTCTGATATCTCATTGTGATTTGAATTTATATTTCTGTTGAATATCTTTTCCTATGTTACTGGAAATTTGGTTATCTTCTCATATTAATTGCCTAATGAAAACTTTTATCCATTTTTTTAAGAAATTAGCCCATCTAAAAACAGGGTTGTTTGTCTTTTTCTTGATTTGTAAGTTTATTATAAATGTCGATTAAAGTTCTTTTGTTTGATATATGAATTGCACATATTTTCTCACCATATGAGAATTATAAAACTTTCTTAATTGTGTATTTTTTGAGGGCATGTTTTTCATTTCCATGTAGTCCAATTTACTCTTTTTATTACTTATTAAATAGTGCAATTTTCATCCTGACCAAGAAATTATCACTAATGCTGAGATTAACTACATACATTCCTATATCCTTCCAGAAGCTTTATAGTGTTAGCTCTTGCATTTTGCTCTCGGTTACATCTCAAATCAATTATTGTGAATTTTGGTCAGAGTATACTCTTTCCATATAGGTATCCAGTTTTTATAGTATAATTGGTGAAAAGACCTTGCAATCCCCACTGAATTTTGGTAGTGCCTTTGAAAAAAAACTAGTTATCATTTATGAATAGTTGTATTTCTGGACTCTACTCTGTTGCTTTGATTTATTTTTTGGTCCTTAGGTTAACGCCACACTATGTCTATTACTGTAGCTTCACAGTAAGTCCTGAAATTAGATAATATAAATATTCCGATTTTATTCCTTATCTTCCATCCTTGTCTTGGTTGAAATAATTCCTTTGCATTTCTATATACATTTGAGCAACAACTTGTTAATTTTAGTAAAATTTTTGGAATTTGTATTGGAATTGGATTGAATTTTTGTATCAACTGAAAGAGAAATTGCATTATAAAATGATGAGTATTCTAATATGTCTCCATTTATTTCAATCTTCTCTAAGCCCTAAAACATTTTATATTTTTTGGTGTAAAAATCCTGCCATCTTCCATTGAAATTGCATCCTTAATACTCAATGTTTTCTAATGCTATGGTGAATGGTATTCTTTATGAATACCATTTTAGAGCCATTTTCCAACAGTTTGTGGCTGTCCTATAGGCAAGCAATTGATATTTTCTATTGATCATGTATCCTGTGACCTTGCAAATTATTTCGAATAGTTTTAAAAATAGATTTCATAGGATTTTATGGGTATAATGGCATGCCTGTGAGTAATGACAGTTAAGACTATCTCTCAGACCACAGTGCAATCAAACTAGAACTCAGCATTAAGAAACTCACTCAAAACCGCTCAACTACATGGAAACTGAACAACCTGCTCCTGAATGACTACTGGGTACATAACGAAATGAAGGCAGAAATAAAGTTGTTCTTTGAAACCAACGAGAACAAAGACACAACATACCAGAATCTCTGGGACGCATTCAAAGCAGTGTGTAGAAGGAAATTTATAGCACTAAATGCCCACAAGAGAAAGCAGGAAAGATCCAAAATTGACACCCTAACATCACAATTAAAAGAACTAGAAAAGCAAGAGCAAACACATTCAAAAGCTAGCAGAAGGCAAGAAATAACTAAAATCAGAGCAGAACTGAAGGAAATAGAGACACAAAAAACCCTTCAAAAAATTAATGAATCCAGGAGCTGGTTTTTTGAAAGGATCAACAAAATTGATAGACCGCTAGCAAGACTAACAAAGAAAAAAAGAGAGAAGAATCAAATAGACGCAATAAAAAATGATCTGTCTTCATTTCTAATAGCCTGTAATTGCATGCCTATTTTTGTGAACTGACTCAACTTATTTAAGCATTTTATAGTCATCCATTCTATATTCTCCATCTGAAGGTTCCAAAAATCCATACACAATGTGCTCTTTGCTGTGTCTCTGGATGCCCACGATAGTGGCTTTCCGTCATAGGTGCCCAATAATCTCTGACTGTGCACTCAGTGTTGATCATAATCATTAGGACTCACAGGCATAATGTGGAAGTGCTTGTTTCTCCTGTAGTCAGGGAGTAATGCACCCTTGGCCAGCTTCCCTCTTCTCTCTACTTGTTTGCCGAAGCATGGAGCTCACAGGTTACGCTTCTTCACCTCTCCTTCAGCCTCAGGTTTATTACCTGCTATCACATGGACCCTCAGGAAATCAGGTTTATTATCTGCTATCATGTGGACTCTTAGGAAAACCTTATCTCTTCCAGCACCTTCTGGAGTCTTTAACCCTGTACTTCTGGCTATAGATCAGGCTTGTTTTCTTTTGCATGGAAGTATTACATCACCACTCGTGAGACCAGGTATATTTTTCCAATTCTCTTTCTACCACTGAATATTCCAATTGTAAAGTGTTCTCTCTGTCCATCCATCTATCTACCTATCTAGAAAGACAGATAGATACCTAGTAGACAGATTATGCATATTAGTAGCTATGTTCAATTTGAAACATTTTAAATTTTACTCCGTCTTGCATCACTTCTCATGAACTCATTAGGATTTTCTTAGAGTCCAAGCCACTCAATTTCATTCTGCAATTCACAGAAAGAAGCATAATTCTATAATATTTCAATGAAACATGTGTGTTATAAAAATGTTTGAATTTGTCATTATTTTTAATTGAAAAATGTATACCATATGAACAGCTTACAAACATTCAAAAGGTATGGGCATTCAACTTTTTACCCATTCTATTAGGACAATCCTCATTGACAGGTGGATTGGAGGGATTGAAAAATAAAATTATATGTTGGCATAAAAATTTTAAAAAAGGTGACATTTTAATCTTTTCCTTTATGGTTTTTACAGAGTGGTTTGAATTTATACTTAACTGGGATGACTTATAGAGGGACATTTACTGATTTAAGCTGGGAGTTTTAATTATCAAAGTTCAAGTAGATATGACAGTTCCTTTGCCCTGTGTCACATTCAGTTAACTACAATAACCTGAAAAGATAAATACTACGCATGACTTTGGAATGCTTCAAAATTTTAATATTTTCAAAAGTGCATCTGGGTGCAGTGTTTTGTGTCTGTAGTTCTAGGTACTAGGGAGGCTGAGGCGTGGAGGATCGATTGAGCCCAGGAATTCCTAGTTGCAGTGAGCCATGATCGTGCTACTGCACTCCAGCCTGGGTGACACAGTGACACCCTATCTCAAAACAAATAAATAAATAATTTAAATTAAAATGAAACTTACATAAACGTTGTTATAAAAACATAGCTACCAGAATATGACTACTAATGAATAATTCTTATTGCATCATGCCCATTTTTTATCATAAAGATATTTTAATTATTTTTGTTATCAACAATATTTCATTGACCTTAGGATTTTTGTGAAAATATATTTTCCAGATAATATAAATTTGTACAAGTCATCATTCAAGAATGTTTTTGCATTATTTTTGATAGAAAGTGAAAATGATAAAAAATATGAAAGAAAGTCAGATGGGGGCTTTCTAAATTCACACCTTTATAACATTGTTTACCTTTTTTTTATCCAAGTGCTAGACTCAGCTTTCTGATGAAAACAGTGCTTTGACATTATCTAAGGGAGTGGAACAACTGCATGAAATTAAGCAGCTTCATAAATCTTAAAGTTATTTGAATTCAATATTTGGCATTTATTTGTAGGCAAAAGTAAGACTCTAAAGATTTTTCACAAAAATAAAACAGTAATAAGTTGTGACAATATAGTCTTTTATCAATTATGATTTCCTTCTTTAAAATTTCAACTCCATTTGTTCTTGAGGCAAATACTGCAATGCTTTATAATTCAGTTTCAGGTGATGACACAGCGAATATGCAATTTATTGTGCAGCTTCTGCTGACATGTGCTTTTCAGCTGGCTTAACTGCTCATCCACTCAATTTCTTCATGATAATGATATTTTGATATTTTGAGATCATCCCTTTCATTTACAGAGAGATTTCATGAGATTTCCAAGGTGTATCTGCTTCTCTCCTATTATCTTAAACTTGCTTGTGCATACTGAGCAAACATATTGAGGCCATGGCTTTAAATGCTGGTGTCTTTGGAGAGGTATACACACTGATTAATTCACCAAAATGTCAGCTTTATCTTGTGGCCTGGCCATTGTGAGCATAAATAAATAAATAAATAAATAAATAAATAAATAAAATAAAATAAAGAACATTTACACATAGCTTTTCAAAATGTTTCTTCACATTTGTGAAAACATCATAAGATTATGTAAGATTATGGATTTCCCAGGGTGAACCTCAACATCTTTCCTCTGACATATTTCTGACAACCTATCCTATTATCCCCAGTGTCACAAAGTGGTACATAAGCCAGAACCTCCCTGCTCCCTATCCCCTCACTGCACAGGAACAATTAAACTCACTGTGGTGGTTCCAATTAAAGCCAAAGCATCAGTAAAGCCCCACAAAGAGCTTCATCTTTTTCAAACTAACACGTATTCTCATTCTTCACCCCTACATTACTAAAAACTGTATATACAGTCCAGGGCCCTCCTGCACTCCCTTCCACCTCCCATCCCAAGCTGATTTCAAGTTCCATGCCTAGGCCAATACAGGTCTTCTCAAAGTCATCTGTATCTTTCACTTCACTGAATTTAAAGAACATTTCCCAGTTATTTTGTGTATTTTCTCAGCAGGATTCATCTCTGCTGACCACTATTACCTTCTTGAAAAATCCTCTCTCCTGTCTCCATGTTTTGGGGTGAAATCTTCATGAATAATTTGGAAATATTAAGGTTTGTTGTGGGTGTGTTCAGAATGCCCTTAACCTCTTCACTGTTGAGTTGAATGAAGGCTGACGAACATGTTCTTGTTCCCCATAAGGATGACCTTTAATGAATAATTCAATCATCGTCTCTACAAGTAGTGTGACATCACCTTCCACTTCAGAATGTAATGTCAAGTCAAACCTTAAGTGATTAATCCTCCATTCATCTAAGTATTTAAGTATTTAGATCTAAAATATTTACATTACTAAGTATTTACTGAATGCCTACCTTTCTAATTTTTATGTTTCTTAACCAATCCTACTTGGTAAAAGACAGTGTGTTACAAGACAGTATGTTACCGGGAGTCGAGATAAATCAGACATGAATATTGAACTCATAAAGCATATTGTTTTATAAAGGAAATAAAATATATATGCCAATAAAGGGTTCATTGTCACACACACACACACACACACACACACACACACTTATAAAGATATATAGCACCTACTACACGGCAGATACAGTTCTAAAAAATCAGACATGGACCACCCCCCTTGTAGATCCTACAGTGTAATAGAGAAAGCAGGCATTAATAAGACCATCTTACAAATATGAAGTTACAGTCATGATGAATTTCCTGTAGTGGGAGGTCCAAGGTACTTTGGTAGAATGTAATGGAAGGATATGCCCTGGTCAGGGCTGTGTGAGGAGCATCCACTTAGAGAGCGACACTCATTTTAGACCTACTGTGAGACTGGGAATTGAATATGGGCAGAAAGGAGAGAAGGACAAGGGTAAATGATAGGGCTTGGCTGTGTCCCCATCCAAATCTCACCTTGAATTGTAATAATCCCCATGTGTCAAGAGTGGAGCCAGGTGGAGATAATTGAATCATGGGTTGAATCATGGGGGTGGTTTCTCCCATACTGTTCTTGTGGTAGTAAATAAGTCTCATAAGATCTGATGGTTTCATAAATAGGTGTTCCCCTGCACAAGCTCTCTTGTCTGCCACCATGTAAGACGTGCCTCTGCTTCCTCTTTGTCTTCCACCATGATTGTGAGACCTCCTTAGCCATGTGGAACTGTGAGTCTATTAAACCTTTTTCCTTTACAAATTACAGTACAGTCTCAGGTACATTTTTATTAACCAGCATTTCCCAGAGAAACAGAATGAACAGGGTGTGTGTGTGTGTGTGTGTGTGTGTGTGTGTGTGTCTGTGTGTGTGTGTGTCTGTGTGTGTGTACAGATGAACAGCAGTATATATAGCATGTTTGAAATCAGCAAGACAGACTGGCAGGCTGGAGACCCAGAGAAGAATTTGTGCTACCGTCTGAAGTCCAGTGGCTGTGAGGAAGCAGAATTCCTTGTTCCTTGGAGAGCCTCAGTGTTTTCTTATAAGGCCTTCAACTGATTAGATGAGACTCACCCACATTATGGAGGGTAATCAACTTTCTTCAAATTCTACTGATTTAAATGTTAAAAATATCTAAAAAATAAATTCAAGGCAACATCTAGACTGGTGTCTAACCAAAAACTGTGCCTACAGCAGCTGACATATAAAATTAAACATCACAAGGTGTTAGTTGCCAGCTTACAAGGCAAGGATGGAAGAAGCAAGCTGATGGAAATGAATTAGTGAGTGTATTGAATCTTAACAGATGGCTGGCATTTGCACAGTCTGCTCTTGGAATGTGGGCAAAGGTGTAGGCAAAGGTATGCCAGGTAAAGGGCACAAGCTAAACATGCAAAGGCAGGTAATTGCTGGGTGTGTGCGAGGCACATTGATTAATCTGAACTGAAAGTATATTAAGTCAATCTTGGAAAATGAGGATGCAAAAACACGACAGGATCAGAATTTGGGTAAGGAGTTTGATTTCATTTTATAGGCAATGGATTTTTTTTTCCTTTTTGAGTAGGGAAGTGACGTTATCACAGCTAGAAAGTGACAGTGCTTATATAACATAAGATGTACTTAGGTAAAATGGGGTGCATGAAAAATGTAATCAATTAATAGAATATGTACTATAACATATAATATAATTAATACACTTCAGAATAGGCAAAGAAAACCACAATGCTAGTCAGTAAGAGTTCTCTGTATTACTAGTTATCAATTCAAAGTTACATTTTAAAATGCTTTTATTATGTTGTAATCCATAAAGTGAATATATTTCAAAACCAAGGAATTTTTAAGGCGAAACATGATGACTTTATTTGCCTTAAATCCATAAAGGTTTCATTGCATATAAGCATAAGGTTTCACCTCCTTATTAAAAAATTCAATAACGAGTTAAATATGTACTCAATTTTTCTGCCCAGTTAAGTACTAGACATCCAAGTCAAGAAAAGGAACAACTGATTATGCCATAAAAGCATTGTGGATTGAAGGTTGTGTGTGTGTATGTGAAGTCATTTTGTGCAGCAAATCTTTTCAGCTCAGAATTAAAATATAATTTATTTATTTTGATAAAACAGAAAACAGTAGTAGGCAAATACCAGTGAGGCCAGATTGTTCTTTTCACTATGTTATGACAAGCCCCTCCCGTAGTGCAACAGGTAATCATCAAGACTAACTGCCACATGAGTACAAGCAGGTTGTCACACGAAACTCTATTCTAAACTGCTGTCTTCAGCCCTGAGACATTTCATATAACCAAACCTGCACCTTGAACATGTAATCTTTTTTCTTTTATCCTTTGAATCAAATCCGCTTGATATTACACCTGGTGCATCAATCAATTGAGCTTTATTACCATTATACCATAGCATGTACCATAGAAAGTGTATGAATTCTACACACTAAACATTGCTCACCATTAAATAATTATTCCTGTTTTTTTATTTATTTTTTATTTATTTATTTATTTATTTTTTTTTTGGAGACGGAGTCTTGCTCTGTCACCCAGGCTGGAGTGCAGTGGCGCAATCTCAGCTCACTGCAAGCTCCGCCTCCCAGGTTCACGCCATTCTCCTGCCTCAGCCTCCCGAGTAGCCTGGGACTACAGGCGCCTGCCACCACGCCCGGCTAATTTTTTGTATTTTTAGTAGAGACGGGGTTTCACCGTGTTAGCCAGGATGGTCTCGATCTCTTGACCTCGTGATCTGCCCGCCTCGGCCTCCCAAAGTGCTGGGATTACAGGCGTGAGCCACCGCGCCCGGCCACCTGTTTTTTTATAATAAAAAGTATTAAATGTATATTTTCAAGAAAGAAACATATTTAGTAAACAAATATACACTGTATTAAAGTTTATTATAATACAGGCCCCACCTATAACGTTTATAACTGTGGCATGTTTACAATTTTCAGTTACTTGAAATTTTTAAAGTTTTATGCTAAATATTTAAATAATTTTTCATTTCACTATGCTTTTTTATCTACGTTAACAACTGATCTGAGTCTTGAACGCATGAGCACACACTCAAACATGCACACACAGACATGTGTGTGTTTGCAAACACAGAAGCAAAAATGGAATGATATAGAAAATAAAATAATCATTTTATTCCTGTTCCTTAGGAGTAGTGATTAAACTGATTTTTCAAAAATTTTTACTCACAGTTCTTATATTTTAAAAAATTATTTTGCAATAAATGCATGCATTACTAACATATTTTATTTAGCTCTGTGTGTTTTCAAAATTTGTATAAATGGGATCATATTAAATATATGCTTCTGACTTGGTTTTCATTCATTTTGATGTTTCTGAGGTTCGTCCATGTTGATCTGTATAGCTGTATAATATCCATTTTATGGAAACACCACAATTCATCCACTCTCTTTGCCAGTGGCTATCTGGGTTTTTCCTGTTTATCTATTACAAATAATGCTACAAAATGTGTACAAATGCCTTTCATGCACATATACAGTGATTATGTAAGTAGTAGAATAAAACTTTGTTGTACACCATGTGCTATTCAAATTTACTAGGTAACTCAGATGTTTTCCAAAATACTATTAATAATTTACTCCCCCAAAAGTGATGACCCATCATTCCACATCCTCTTTTACACTCATCAAACACTTAGAGTTTGGCCAATCACAGGAGTGTAAAATGGTATCTCATGATAGTTTTAATTTGTATTTCTTCCACTGATAATGAGAATGGGCATCTTTTCATATATTTATTGGCAATTTGTGTCTCCTCTATGAAATACTTTCTCATGTATTTTCCCTGTTTTCCTCTTGGTTTGTTTCAATTTTCTGTTTTGATTTGTAGATGTTATTTACCCATTTTTGAAGAATAATCCTTTTGTTGGCAATATAGATAGCAAATATTTCCTCAGCTTGTGGCTTGCTTTTTTGTGTGTATCATTTGTTAATTGAGTCATATATCACATACAATAAAATTTACACATCTGAATGAAATGCAAAGCTCAAAGAATTTTGACAAATACATACAACCATGTAGCCATTTATACTTAATGTGATTATTGCTATGTTGAGGTATAAGGCTACCATCTTGCTATTTGGTGTCTACTTGTTCTATCCATTCTTTGTTCCCTTTTCCTCATTTTCTACTTCATTTTGGCTTAATTATCATTATTACTATTATCATTATTTTAGATTCAGGGACACATGTGCAGGCTTGTCACATGGTGGATATATTGCTTCATGGTAAGGTTTGGGTTTCTAGTATACTCTTCACTCAAATAGTGAACATTGTACCCAGCAGCTAATTTTTCAATCTTCATCCCCGCCACATCCTTCCCACTTCTAGAGTCCACTGTGTCTATTATTTCCATGTGTTCCCAGCTCCCACTTGCAAATGAGAACATGTAGTATTTAGTTTTCTGTTTCTGAGTTGTTTAAGATTATGGCCTCCAGTTCCATCCATGTTGCTTCAAAGGACATGATTTCACTCTGTGCTATGGCCTTATAGTATTCCATGGTGTATATCACATTTTCTTTACGCAATCAATTGTTAGACACTTAGGTTGACTCCATAACTCTGCTATTGTGAATAGTGCTGCGATGGACATACAAATGCAGGTGTCTTTTTAATAAAATGATCTGTTCTCCTTTGGATAGACACCCAGTAGTGAGACTGCTGGATCGAAGGATAGTTCTCTTTTTAGTTCTTGGAGAAATCTCCATAATGTTTTTCATAGAGGTTGTACTAATTTACATTCCCACCAACAAGGTATAAGCATTCCCTTTCCTCTGCATCACTGCCAACATCTGTTGTTTTTTGACTTTTTTAATAATAGCATTTTGGCTTAATTATTTTTATAGTTCCATTTTACCTCCTTTTGGTGTATTAGCTATAATTTTTTTATTGCAGTGATTGCTTTAGTATTCATATTATGCATCATTAACTTATCATAGTCTAGTTTTGATGATATGAGACCACTTCACATTTAGTGTAAGAACCTTGCAGTGGTTAACTTCCATTTCCTATCCTGGAATTATGCTGTTGTTGTCATACATTTCCCTTTTACAATAATTGAAATCCTCACAATACATCCTTATTATTTTGGTTAAAACAGTCAGCTGTAAGAACAATATTACATATTTACTTGCATGGTTACTATTTCCAGAGTTTTTCATTTCTTTGTGTAGATCCATACATTTAGTTTGATAATTAATATCAATTATCAATATATTATTTATCAATGGGCTTAAAACTATATTATTGTTTGCGACATTTTTCTGCTTTTTTATTGCCTCTGTGATATTTACTTATATTATATTTATATTATTTTAGTGGTTATTTTAGGAGAATTATCTTGCATGTTTATTTTAATAAAGCCTGGAACTATTCATTATCTTCACTCTCCTGAAACCTGAATTGTTCTAATCTCATACACTTTTATCTTTTAAGATAGTTAAAATTTAATAGCCTAATTAGTATAGTAGAAAGAAGATTGCTATGAAATCAGACTATCTTGATTTTAATCCCAGCTGCATCTTTTCTTGGCTATAAAGTTTGGTAAACAGCATACCTTCCACGAGCCTGGATCTTCTGATGTGTAAAATTGGGACACAATATTTAATTGCATAAATGAAAGAATAGGATTGAAAGGCACACAGTAGGGGCTCAATAAATATTAGTGACTTTTCCCTTCCTACAAGATTTAATCAGGCAGATTTTAATAAGGGAATCATATCCACCCAATTAGGAATACTCAAGATAATATGGAAGGACATTCCCACAAACTGTTCATATTATGTCTAATGTGAAACCACATTTAAAAAGAGAAGGAGATATAAAAACACTGCCTCAATGAATTAAAAAAAAAGTGAATGTACTATATCTTAGCATGGAAATGACATAATATGCACGAGTCAACTGCTATACTTCAAAACTAGACACAGATTCGAATCCCATCTTGATTGTTGAATTATAACATTTGACAAGTCCCTTTAGTTCAATGGGTCTCACTCAACATTTCTAAAATGCAGATATTGGATTATAATGTCTTTAATATAATGTGGATTTCTACATTTTTTGGATTTTCTGATTTGCTAAGTTGAGAAAGTAAATTATATATTTCTTTGTTCATGAATGAAAGTACAGCAGGTATAGCATTTTGTCTTGTAATATAATCACACAGATAATTTTAGAAATGAGGCCAGGCACAGTGGCTCATGCCTGTAAGTCCCAACACTTTGGGAGGCCGAGGTGGGTGGATCACGAGGTCAGGAGTTCAAGACCAGCCTGGCCAAGATGGTGAAACCCCGTCTCAACTAAAAATACAAAAATTACCCGGGCATGGTGGCGGGCGCCTGTAATCCCAGCTGCTTGGGAGGCTGGGGCAGAGAATTGCTTGAACCCCGGAGGCAGAGGTTGCAGTGAGCCGAGATCACTCCACTGTACTCTAGCCTGGGCGACAGAGCGAGACTCTGTCAAAAAAAAAAAAAAAAAAAAGCAGTTACCATGGAGGGAATATTTTAGATGAATAAAATTATTCCATGTGCTATAAAGTGGGATGTTTTGACAGAAATTGGTAGCTTCCTACTTAGAAACAATAAGGACCATACTTATTTTCCTCTGATTTTTTATAGAAATGTGTTTTGCTGATGCAAGTTCCTGTACTGTGAAGTTGTTCTTTCTAAATCATAAAATATTTACTTTGATGCATTTTTATTTTTCCTTCTCAGAATGCTGATACATATAGCACTCTTCTCTCTGAGAGTGCACCAGGCTGTGTTGTTACTAATTGCTTTTTTCCATGTTAGGTTTACATGGTGTAGGAAGTTATTGATTTTCTTTATAATGAGGGATTGAATCTCATTGTCCTAAGTCACAATTATTTCTGCAAACTAATAACAATGAACCAAAATATGCTATTATCATTTGACGGAATGACTTAAGAATGACAGATTTTGTAGCAACAAAATAAAATCAATTTCTTTACTGCTTTTTCAAAAAATGAAACATTGAACATCTTTTTCTGATTCAAAGACACTGCCTCAATTTCATTTTTTTAAATTAAATGTTTGCATTCCATCTTTTTCTCTTCAAGGAAAAATAATATTATGAAATAACATTCTCATATCAATAATGCCTCTTTTTTCTTCCTCATACTTCTTTCAGCTTCTTGCAATACAGATTCAAACTCTATTATTGAATTGAAACTCTTTCTGTCATTTTCTTCACCATGTGATCTTCTTTAATGTTTGTAACCTGCTTAGCTTTGCAGCATTTGAAACCACAGACTACTCTTCTTTCAGATTTCTGTTATTCTTTACCTCCCTGGCTCTCTATCTCTCTCTGTGATTGCACTTTCTAAATCTTTCCAGCTGGATGTTCCCTCTTCTTCCTCCACCTGCCCCTTTATGGTGACATTTATTCAGGTTTCATAATCAGTCATCATCTTTTATTTCTAAACTGTTGGCAGGATCATCTACTTCCATGGCTTCAACTACATCTCCAGGCCAGTGTCTTCTCTTATAAATCTCTTACTTTTTTTTCCAGACTTCTCTTTCGTTGCAAGTGCCTGCTGGGCATTTCCATATTGATGTCCCATAGAGAAGTGAAATGCATTTTATTGAAGAGAAAATTCCGTCTTTGTCTGTCCAAACATATTATTCCTTCTGGTGCACGCCTTGGTTGCAAGCACCACTGAATACTCCTCATAAAAGATAAAAGCTTGGATCAGTTTTACTTGTCTCCTTCAACTTCTAACTAGCCTGACTAGCTAGTTAAATTACGCAAGTTATTAGTACTTGGTTAAAATACTCCATTTGGAGTTGTATCTATTCTTTTATTTATTATTATTATTTTTTGAAATGGAGTCTCGCTTTGTCGCCCAGGCTGGAGTGCAGTGGTGCAATCTCAGCTCACTACTACCTCCGCCTTCTCAGTTCAAGCGATTCTCCTGTCTCAGCCTCTCGACTAGCTGGGACTACAGGTGTGCACCACCACGCCTGGCTAATTTTTGTATTTTTAGTAGAGACAGGGTTTCACCAGGCTAGTCTCGAACTCCTGACCTCGGGTGATCCACCAGCCTCGGCCTCCCAAAGTGTTGGGATTACAGGCGTGAGCCACTGTGCCCGGCTAGGTTGTATCTATTCTAACAGCGCCTGTTCAGGATCTATCTCGATGCTGTTGGACTATTCCTTATTTACATACTTATTCACTGTCAACTATTAATTGGGAGCTTAGCATATGCCCAGTATTAGTGAGGGTTCTAATATAGGAGAGCTTTAGGATACATGAGAAAGGAGGAGAAACAGGTCAGTAAATAAATATGCCTGTATATTACAAAATAAGTCAATTATAAAGCATTATTGTAAATGCTTGGTGGAGATATGTGCATGACGATACGGGTGCAAGTATGACTATCTAGATACCTGAGAAAGTTAACAACAGGAGGTGAGATTTAAGAGGAAATTTGAGAATTACCATAGACAGACTGAGGGAACTGCAGGTCATTACAATGGCCAGAGCACAGGGCTACAGAGAATAGTGGGGAGAGGTGGGAGTTTAGAGGTTGGCAGAGACCAGAGGATAAAAATCTCTTCTCTACTGGGCTGAAGAAGTTAGATTTTGTCTTAAAGTTAATAAAGAGCCATTGAAAGAACCTAACAGATGGGATTTATGTCATTAATTTCTCTTCGTGTTGTTCACTCCAACAGTTGTCTGGAGTATCACTTGGTGTGGAGGCAGTTTAAGAGTATAGGAAGAAATATTTTGGATTTTGTCTTAATAAAAAAAAAAGCCAGAAGCTGGTGGAACAAAGGTATGTCTTTGAGAGATAATAAGCAAGTTGAATATTCAGAACTTGACATAGGATTAAATGTCAATTTATTAAATGCAAGGGGTAGGATGGAAGGTATAGGCAAGATTTGAGGCTGAACCCATTATGTGGATGAATGGTGGTGCCTTCCATTGAGGAAGGGAAAATGGAAGAAGGTGAAGATTAGAAAGAAAAAATAAATTGAATTTTGAGCATCTTTATTTCAAGAAGTTTTGCTTATGACCAGAGAAAAAGTCTAACTGTTTCTGGGCTATCAGGATGAAGAAATTAGAAGGCTCCGTGATGGAGTTAGAAATTCAAGAGCTATCGGGCATTGGTGTGTATATGCTATTGGGAGCTACGAGAACAGGCAATAGCTTACAGCATCTTCACAATTTTTTTGTGTGTGAATTAAAAATAAAATAATCTATCCCAATATTCCCAACCATTCTCTGCCCCAATTCAGTCTAAACAATTTGGGTTCTCATAAAAAGTATGGGGTCTGTCTTTTATTCCGTCATGCTATTCAGCGAGATTGTTCCCATAAGGTTGTGGGGATGGGTGAAATTTGAATCCCGGACCTCAATATTCAAAGCTCCTCATTACTGGGCCCCAACCAATTCTCATGTCTTCCAAAAAGCAATCATGAATCTCCTTAGTTTGAATCCATCTCTTCCTTTCTTCTCTTCTTCGTCACTGCCAGTGGGACCCTGTCATTGCAATAGCAATTTTATAATCCACATTATACTGGGGCGTATTTATTTGTGTTTCTCTGTGTCCCACTGGACTCTGAAAGGTTTGCTTTTGCACTTCATAAATACATTTATTTTGGATAATTATTGTGACTTTTATTGTCTTAACGGCAATTGTTCTAAGAATTCAATTCCCTCTCTCATTTAGAATTGTAGAAATTTTAAGAGTCAAAGGATCTTGGAGCTTCTTGAGTTCCAAAAGCTCATTTTGCAGACAAAACCAAGGTCAAAAGTTATTTGCGTAAAGTCACAAAGCAATCAGTGGCAAAGCAGACATAAACACTAGTTCTTGATGTGGTACAAAGTAGAAGTGAAAATTATTTCAATTCATGTGATTAATGTGAATTTAGTGGAATCCACACTGAAAGTTCTCAGATAAATAAAATGTCACAAATGACAGTGTTTACGGAAGTGCCTCAACCAGAAATTTGCTGACATGTTTATTCTACAAAATAAATTGTTATACATATAAAATTTATTATGATTAACATGCACGTCATACCTTACTGCTTAGGAAAATATGTTTTCTATTTTTTTTAAGAGTAGGGTTTCATAATTGTATTTACAAGGTTCCTGGTTACACTTGCATCTTCAAAACATATTCCTTTAGAATGGAGAACCAAACAGTGTGCGTTCTCACCCATAAGTGGGAACTAATCTTTGAGGAGGCAAGAGCATAAGAACCATACAATGGACTTTGGGGACTCGGGGGAAAGGGTGGGGGGTGGGTGAGAGATAAAAGACTACACAATGTGTACAGTGTACACTGCTCGGGTGATGGGTGCACCAAAATCTCAGAAACCACCACCAAAGAACTTATTCATGTAACTAAACACCACCTGTTCCCCCAAAACCTATTGAAATTTAAAAAACCCTTTAAACGACATGATTTTGGGTGCTCAAGTAATTTTGACAAAGTCAACCAAGTCTGCCCAAGATAGATGAAGAAATTAACCCCAAAACCAGATAATTTGCTTTCAAAAATAGCTATTTCTACTAATGTGGGAAAATATTTATTGTTGAATTAAACTGATTTTATTTTTAAATATCACCATCCCTTGGAAAAGATCACCATAGCTTGAAAAAACATATTTACTTATTATTCACACTTTTGATCCTTAAAGAAATGACATTTATAACTCCAGTACGTGGTATGCATCTTTCTGAGTCAGTAGTTTTATCTCGGATGCCCTTTAAAGCAACATTCCTGAATGTTAACATGATGAATGACTTCTCATTAAACTTACCAGCCAATTTGGTGATGCATATATTGAAAGCAATGCTTTCCTTTCTTAACAAGAAATTGCTAGTTTCAATTTACATGTTTAGAAATGTTATAAGCTTGAAGTTTTAAATCATGTGGTTTTAAAATTTAAGCTAGTGAATTAGACACCATCTTCTGAGGTACAAAAATGTCATATTTTAATGTAACTTTAACTTCATGGACCCCACTGTCAACTTTTTAAATTTTGCAAAAACAGCAAATAAGTTCCTGTTTTTCATTTACCCTTAGGCAGTCTTTTGCTTGCACTAACAATCTCTGCACATAAATCTTCGTGGAGGTGGCCCGAGGTCTATTAGTTCTGGAGTCCAGCATCTACACTTGACCGCCGGTTAGAACAGAAAAGAAGGTAATTATCTAGTTATCGGGAAAAATAAAATTCAACCCAAATTATCAAAGTGATTGCTTTGTTTGAAAGAGAAGTCCTGACTGGTATGTAAATGAGATTGAGAGATAAGTTATAAAAAGAGCTCGAATGACAGGGCCACGCTGAATCTCCTGTCTGCTGCCGATTAGGCAGGTCAATTCTAACACTGTGCTAACAAGGTCAAGGTCAAGGTTAAGTCCCCGAAGTGGGTGGTTAACTTGGCTTTGATCCAAGGCCATAGAATTCACTTTTATTTTCAGCTGTTTCTGAATATCCTTATTAGGGATAACAATTCTTAAAATGAAAACAATTCTAATAATTATTTACATATATGTATACATGTAATTGGGAAAATAATTTATAATATGAATTGAAGTAATTGAGAAATAAATTATAAAATTATTCAATTGCAAGTGACAATTTCTCCGACGTGACTACCATCTGATGATCCTTAGACATTTATTTAAAGTTGTATGTTTTTATAACTAGGCTCATAAATTTTCTTTAGGATATGCCAATGTGGCCTTCTGTGTCAAAGTTAGGCAAGCCATACAGATTGGGATTCTTTTGACCAACTTAAATGATAAACTGTTAGCATAAAATACTCCAAACTATTTTTTCATGAGTAGCTAACATTATGCTTTCTGCTGTCTAATTCTCACCAAAACTAGATGGTGAATATTAATATTCATGAAGGATTTATGGAAGTCTATGCAAACTATCTGTCTCTGAGGGTTATCCTTGGTTCTTGCTTTTAGAAAGGGAATCCGACAGCATGGCTTTTGTGATAACATGCATTTAGCTCATTCGTGGGCTTATTATCCTAACCTTACTTGCCTTTGCTCTAATTACATCTATTTCCCCTAGACTATTGTAAATGTTTCTGCAAGTTACCACTAATTGTTTTAGAGTGAGGTAAGCTGACTAAACCTAATTAAATAAAAGAGTTAAAGCAAGTAAGAAAAGTAACTGCAGACTCGGTGCCTTTTGGGAACTGCATAAGATTTGTTTAACCATCCTTTTCTTTCCTTCTTCTCAACTGTGAAAGTACATGAAAAATGTGAATACTTACTATGTAAAATGTATTGCAAAATGCCTTGGAAAGAGCCTTTCAAATACGTTGAAATTGAGGGTGGAAACAGTAGGCAAGAAGCAATGTTGCTTTTCTCATTTTCAGCTTTGCCAGTCTCAATACTAGGAATCAGATCCATTCGTCCCATTATTACTGGTATACATTTTTGCAACAATTAATATTATTTTGTACAGTTCATAGTGAATGTTTACCTTGGTGATAAAACATTTAGAACAAAGTGCTATTTTGTTTTGTTTTATTTTCCTGTCAGCTAATAATAATTTATAGATCTCTAATAATCATGGAGATAATCATGGAATAATCATGGACATATTACTTATGATTTTACCAAACATTATAAAATAAATTGCAAGAAATTCACAAATGAATACGTTTGTGCTGGGACATGGGAATTTGAAAATAAAATATGCATTATGTCCGAAATAAGCTTTGCAAGTAATGAAAAACAATTAACTGAAGAATTCTACATACTTTTTGGTTAAACTGTTAGAAAGACTAAAGGCCATCATAATACTTACATCCTGGCCTATGGAGACAATAACCCTCCCATTGTTGTTATAAATGTTATTAATGGCAGTGACAGCAACCAACCATAATTTCATAATTTCATTGAAGCCTGTCCTCTCCTGCTGTCTTTAAGCTCATTGCTGTGGATCAATCCTATATCAGACTCTGCCTGGACTTTCTGACACCCACAGCCTCTGCTCTATCCTTTAAAAGACATCGTCCCAGTTCTCCTACCAAGGTTCACATCAAGCCATCATCCTGTCTGTTAAAAAACAAAAAACAACAACAACAAAAAAAAACCCCAAAAAAACAGCAGCAGAGACAACAAAAATTTCTCTATTTTACTTCAAGAATAAAATATAAACTCTTTAGCTTAATATTCAATATCCTACAACTCACTTATTTGTTTATTCATTCATTAACTCATTCAAATAAAATGTCTGAGTGGCTACAGGCACAATCACTACCATCATAGAATAATGATAATCAGGTCAGATGCTAAGGAAAAGAATAAATAAAATACCATAAAAAAGCACCCATAGATTCTGTTAAATAGTAGAAAGGAAACTAAAAAGTACTGACAAAAAGCCTGTAGCCTAGTGGCTAAATCTAGGAGTCGAGGAAGTATTTTTATGGGAACCTGACCTTAAAACTTAGACCAGATGGACGGATACAGCTAAACTTGGAGAAGAAGAAAGGGGAGATTTCAGAAGAAGGAATAGTGCTTACAAAGAGATTTGTCCAGAGGAAGCATGATGTGCTCAGGAAACTGAAAATGTCAGCGTTGTTGCTCAGACAGAAAGATGAGGAAATCAGTTCCAGGTGAGCCTAGGAAAGTAGCCTAGAGCTAGATCTTTGAGATGATGGAGGAGAACGGTGGGGCATAGTCACTTCTGAAAGGATGACTATTTCTGAAGTAATGAGAAGGGATTCATTTTCTGTGACCAGAGTAGCCTCCTCCCAGAAAAGAGTTGACAGCAACTGGGCATTCAGTGTTTGCAATGTGTACAGTCCATGGGTCTGAGACATAGGAGGGAAAATTGACGGGACTAGGCAAGAGATGTAATGTGACTGGCAGAAGGGGGATGAGCTGGAAGAGACTTATTTAAGGGGAATTATCAGTTCATTCAGTTCTGTTTAAGTTCCAAGTACCATTGAGATGTTCACTGAGATATTCAAGTAGAGATGGCAAATACGATTCTGAGGGTCAAGAGACAGGTTAGGAAAGGAGATAATGCCTTTGGGGGATATTGATGTTTAGATGGCAGTTGGAGCCCCTGGGGCATGGTAGACATTGCCCTGAAGAGAATGCAGGATGAAGAGAGCCCTGGCCCTGGGCTTTGCTTTCAGGAGGTCAAAATGGCATCTGGGGGCTACATATGCCTCACAGACGTGTTCTCTTTGTTCAGCAGGGCATTATAAAAATGGAGGATTTGGGTCAGTTTTGGATGGGCCATGCTGTCTCCAGTTTACCAGAATCTCCATAATTTCCAGGCTTATCCCCAAGTCGACTAGTTCCTCTCTTTTTGTTATCTCCTTGGTCCCTATAGGCACTTGAATTTCAACCTTTGCTTTCAATCTTCATAGCCCAGTTGTTCCAAGGTATGGCATCCAACATTGTTTTTTGTTTCAACTCCCGTTGCTGTATGCTAGAATTCATATCTTCCTGAATGCAGGGAGAATCAGATACCCTCCTCTGGTCATAGTTGGATATTTCCATTCTAATTCTTCCTTTATGGACATCTTCTTTTTTCTTCAAGGATCAGCTCAACCCATTTTCTCACAATATTGACCTAATTCCCATGCTTGTCAATACTTCCTTCATCCTCTGTTCCCACAGCAGTTTGTTTTAATTTCACATTTAATTGTGAATAAATTCATATTTATTTAATTTAATTATTTGATTGATTTAATTTCATACTTATTTTCTTATACATTTTTGCATACATGCCTGTTCCATTTGCTGTTATGTAGAGTTGTTAGGGCCATGCCTTTATTGCTTTTATATCCTTTATAGCAGTTAGCACAATGTTATTCTCAGAATAGGTGATCACATGTTTGCTCAGTGAATTCTGCTGGAAGAACTGGAAACATTAGGATTCCAACACCCTGTCTTGTGCTTTGTGAAAAACAATGTCAGTGATCTTGAACAAGGCATGGACCCTGTATAGCTTCAGTTTCCTAATCTGTAAAGGAAGAATTCGGAATCACATTAGTGGCACCTAAATTTATCGGTATGCCAAGGTTCCATGAGGGCAGAGGTGTGATTTTTTCCTTAAAATATAGATTCCTAGGCTCTATCTCAGACTGTCTGAATTGGAATACTCAGGGTTATGGCTTAGGAATCTGTATTTTCAAATAGCCCTCTGTTAGATTCTAAGGTGAGTGACTGGTGATATCTTTGTTCATTACTTTTAGTTTTATTTTTTGCATTATTTAGAAATTATCCATCTACTCATACTCTATCTTTTTTATATTTTAATATGTGATTTCTTTCTCAAGACAGACATGAGTAATGTGAGACAAATAACTTTATCTATTTCTCCTTTGATAAATAAATGCTATATATTTATCTTGGTATGTATAACCAACCAAGTCATGCTAAGGTTTTTAAACTTACTAGACTTTTTTCTCTTCCCAAGTGAGATTTGAAAAGAGACCATCTTCTCCTAATTAGTGAGGCAGCAACATTTGCATACATGGCCCTGAAAAAAAAAAAGCCCTACAAAGATAAAGACTTAAAAATAATTCCAATTTCAAGTAATACAATGTGGAAATTGTGGGCTAATTTAACATTAAACAGTGATGTGAATTTTGTTTCTTTAATTTAAAAAGTGTACAAGTCAAAGTTTGGTCTTATTTCTGGCTATTTGTTATATTGAGCCAACTCGAGCTAGTACAAGAGAGATGGGAAAATAATCTTTTAGCCGAAGGTCAATCAGTGTGTACATATACATTATAGCGTGTTTTTCCAATTAAGAATATCTGAGACTTCCCAAAAATTCTGGACAATTTGGAGCAGAATCATTCTGGGCCACCCCTTCTGGTTTGTGCGGTTGTGCTGGGATTTTGATGTTTTTTCTCAGGTTTCCAAGGAGTCTCCAGTGAGTTGGATAGAGTTTTGTTTCTGCGTTCCCATGGCGGAGGCCAAATTTGATTGACAAGTATTTGCAGAGAGGCTGCCATATGCCCCGGAATTTGGCACACCAAGAAATAACAGACAGCCTCTATCCACAAAGAGATTTATGTGTTCATGCAACAACTACAGTGCAAGGCCACTCATGACTAAAACTGTCTAAGGCTACTGTGTCCTAGTTGAATTACTGAGTCCAAGGCACATGAAAATGATGAGGACAAGGCCCAAAGTAATGCCTCCTTGCAGATGTGGCTCGGAGTCCTCCCCGGTCTCTGTCTGATGACATTGCTTCATGAAGAACCTTACCTCTAAGAAATGGTTTTCTCCTGGACCTCACCACTTCTTTTATTTCCAAAATTAAAATGTTAGGAACAAAAATAATAATAATAATTCAAAGGCAAGGCAGGTAAAACACTAATTTTAAAATTAGAATAATAAAAATCAAGTTGAGAGTTATAAAAATAAGCTGAAAGTTGATATAAATCCCCCAAAAGACAAGAGTTCTCTCCAAAAAACGTGAGATTCTGGTTGCTTTCAACGTTTCTTGAGATGTCATCAGGCCTGACTTTTCTTTTCATTACTGAAAAAGGCGGTGCATTTGCAGTGGATGCTTGCAGGACAAATGCCATTGAGGCGTCTTATCACAACTTTCTCTTTGTCCCCAACTCCTTTTACATATGCATTTATTGGACTATGATTCCCCTCACTTTAGAGTTACATATTTATATGACTTGCCTGCTCCTAAATCTGAGGTTATCCAAAACGGGAATCATACCTTCTTTCCTTGGTTGTTTGCTTCATGGGATCTTAGTTTCTAATCCCATGTACAAAAAGTCCAAATTTCCACCAGTGGCCAAAAGGACTCTTTGTGGCCTGGCTGCCTCTTCTCTCTCCATTCTCATCTGTTATGGATCCCTTTCACACTAGCCACTTTCCATTCCAAAAAGCCAGGGAAGGCAATCACTCTTCTTTCTTGCTGGACCCACCTCTCTGCACGCGTGTCACCAGGAAGGCATCTACTGATCCTTCGTGCCTCATGTCAGTCTTTCCCATCACCAGTGGGCTGTGTCCCCCTTTGTGTTCACCTGATCTGTGTACTTGTGTACCTCTCCCTTTCAGCGTTTATCACCATGTGCCACTATACACAGAATTGAATAACAATTCATGTCTCTCTCCCCAAACTGACTGTTAGCTCTACATAAGTAGATACAGTTCTTCTCCATGTTTTTATTTTGAGTCCTCAGTCACTGATGTGTAGTAGGTGTTCATTTTTATCTAATTGGATATTGATGTGTATAATATCAATTTATATAATTAATTGTATAAAATAAATTTACGGCAACTCCACTCCTTCACACTGAGTGAAATTCAGTCTTGAATTTACATGTCCCTTGGAACAAGTTAAAATTGAACTTACAATTCTTATGGAATGGGACCAGTAAAAATACATTCAATTTGTTGGTTTTCTGCACTCCCTAGGTAATATCAACAATAAGAAGTGAAAACATGCCTCCTCAAAGTGACTGGCAGCATCTCTTAGAATTTTACAATCTTTAATAAATTGCTAAATTATCAAAGATTTCAGGAGATCCTTGTTGCATTCATGTTTTATTGAGATTAATAATTATAATTATATCAGACTGTGATAAGGCACTCTCCACTGTTTTATGTGGCAAAGCAGACCATAGTTTTAAAAATAATCTTATTTGTATAAATAAAAATGAAAAGTCATATAAACAAAACTGTTTTGACATTGTCCTTTCCATCACAGGTTGTTCCTAAACACACTGGGATAAACTGGCACTTTTCAATAACGGCTACATGTTAGAATCGCAGGGGAACTTGCCCAAGACACACCCTCGACGAAAATAACAAAAACCCTCAGGGGATATAACCCGGGCATCTCTACTTTTAAAGCTTCTCAGATAAGTCCAATGTGCAGCCAAGGCTGAGAACCTTGGGTTCTTCTTGAAAGATCACTGTCTCTCAAACTTTAAGGTGCACACAAGTAATCTGGGCAACTTGTTAAACTGTGGATTGTTATTCTGGAGTAGAACCTGCAATTCTGTATCTTCACAGGCTCCTTGGTAAACCACGGAGCACGTGCTGAGTTGTGCAGAGTCAAATGACCTTAAAGGGGGAGAGAAGTCCTGATTCAGGGACATGTAAGGGTATTTAGAATTGAGTGCTCTCATTTGTTTTGGGCATTTATTATCTATGCCCAACCTAATTTAAGAAAGTATTCCACTTGCTTACATGACAAAAAATGTCTACTGTAAAACCATAACATGAAATGCAAGGGGGCATAATAGAAATGTGGCTGGCCAACAGGTAGATGACCTCTGAATATTCTCATCTTCTGATATTCATGCCCTTGAGTGTGGGTTTGGCCTGGTGACTTGATTCGAATGAATAAGATGTGGCAATGGTGATCGGATATGATTTCTGTGGTCAGGCTGTGAGACATTGTCACTTCCACCTTGCCAGCAGATGCTCTCTATTACATTCTAGGGCTTCAGCCGGTGATAAACTGGACTGCCATTCTGGAGGGCCCCACATGACTGCAGGCAGTGATAGAGGGGGCTGCCATGCTGGAGGGCCTCACGTGGCAAGGCACTGATGGCAACCTTCAGCCAACATTAGCATGGAAGTGAAGCTGATATCCCAACACCCTGGTAGAAATTGAATCCTACCAACAACCATATGTGCCTGGACACAGATCCTCCCCAGTCACGCCTTGACATGACTGTAGCTCTGGCAAACACCTTGATGGCTACCTGTGGGAGACCTTGAAACAAAGGACCCAATTACACCACACCCAGAATCCTGACCTGCAGAAAATGTGAGATAAAAATTAGGTGTTGTTTTAAGTCACTAAGTTGTGGGGTGATTTTTTATGCAGTCATTGATAACTAATACTATGAGTAATACAGGCAAGTAAATGAGATATTACAGCACAGGAATAAAGAATAAGAAGAGCTACAGTGGTCTCTTCTGAGCTTGGATAATGTTGATAGGCTAAACACACTCATCAACCCACTCTGCCAAAATAAAACAACAAAAAAGTTGAGCAGTTATTTTTTTTTTAAGAAAAAGCACTATCAGCTTTGAAAAAAACAGAGAGGTATCAAGAGATTAGACATTTTGAAAGATTAACGAAAGGTAAGAAAAATATTGAATCAAATATATGGAGAAATAAAGTGGGGAAAATAGTATAAAACACATGTTGCTTATGTCAGAGCTACCCAGGAGAATTATAAGGCCAGAAGCACATTCAAGAACCAAGAAGAGAGCCAACATCTACGCAATTTATCCTCGGTTTAATTTTGAGTCCATAAAAGGTGGTGGCATTACATAATCTGTGGTATATGTTACTAAATATTCAGGTTATAAAGTATCCTTCAAAGATTGTATTTAAAATTCATGTTATCTCTCTTAAAATGCATGAAACTTCAATATTATTTATGAGACACTGGTCACATCCAATTGTTCATTCTTGAATAGACAACACTTTGAAATTTTTAGCACCAAACTGAGACATCACACACAAAAATATTTCAGTAATCTACAATCATTGAGGGTGAAAATGATTTTAAGCCCACACACACGGTGTAGAATTATTCCTGTAATTTACTTGTGTATCGAGGTTAGGACCATGCCTCCAAATTATAAGTGGGTGATTTCTATTTACATAGCATACCTGTTGGGTTATGTTGTGCCTGTGTTTCCTGTATGTCTGAGTCTCTCTTGTTGACATCTTAGATGCCATCATTATTTCAGGATCTAAGCAAATCCTGGGCTCTGTCCAGCATCTGTGGTGCTGATCCTCCATGAGACAACCACCCCTTCTCATGCCTCTTGGATTTCAAGTGCTGTCTGTCCTCTTTGCTAGGAGGTTAGATGTGGGCTCATCTCTCCACAGTAAAAGCATAATTTCATTCTCATCTCTACCAAGACTGTGATGGTTAATACTGAGTGTCAACTTGATTGGATTGAAAGATGCAAAGTATCGATCCTGGGTGTGTCTGTGAGGGTGCTGCCAAAGGAGTTTAACATTTGAGCCAGTGGGCTGGGAAAGGCAGATCCACCCTTACTCTGGGTGGGTACCATCTAATCAGCTGCCAGCTCGGTCAGAATATAAAGCAGGCAGAAAAACATGAAAAGGCTAGACTGGCTTAGCCTCCCAACCTGCATCTTTCTCCCGTGCTGGATGTTTCCTGCTCTCAAACATTGGACTCCAAGTTCTTCAGCCTTGGGACTTAGACTGGCTTCGTTGCTTCTCAGCTTGCAGACAGCCTACTGTGGGACCTTGTGATCATGTGAGTTAATACTACTTAATAAACTCCCGTATGTATACATATCATATACATCTCAGATATATATATCTGAGATGTATCTCAGAGATATCTGATATATATGGGAGTTTATTATATATTAGTTCTGATATTAGTATATATATATTAGTTCTGATATATATATCCCTATATGGGATATATGCTATATATCTGATATATATATCATATATGATATATATATCCTATGTGTATATATCCCATATAGGGATATACATATATCAGAACTAATAGGATATATATAATCCCATATGGGATATATATATATTATTAGTTCTGTCCCTCTAGAGAACCTTGAATAATACAAAGACAAATGTCATGTCATTTGAATAAAAAAAAATTGTCTCTGGAATTGGAGAATGGTGCATAGCCCTTTGATGTTCTGTGGAGTGTGGAGACAAAAGAGATTCCATTTTTCTCTGTGGTAAAATCACTTCTCAGACAAAATGTTAACTTTTAATTGGTCATCCCACACTGGTTGTTCTATGGTCTGCAATTTTCCCTTCTCCGTTCTCACTTTCATGTTCCGTCAACCGACCACAGGCATCTAAGCATGGATTCCAGGGCATTCCCAAGCTGTTGAGCCAGCCCATCTCTGGGCATGAAGAAATCCTTCTCGATTTCACAATTTATCTGTGCTTTAGTTCTAGAAAACTGACACGGCCACTAGCTGGAGGCTACATTTGTGGTCTTAAAATTTACTTTGAAAAAATGTAGGCAAATACCCTTGCACACATCTTCCCCATTCGCACAAGTACAAAACTGTACTTCAATGTCATTTTCCCTTGGGCCAAGAAGAAAATGTGGAAGAAAGCATGGAAATTATTTCAACTTTGATGCTGGAATTTTATTCTAAAACCAAATTCATGATAACTAAGAAATACTGTGTAGTAGAATGTTTATAGTATCTAAAAATATCACTTTTATGCCATCATCTATGAATTACTTAGGGATTATAGGGAAAGTATTTATATTTAAATAATTTTCTTCTGGACCCATTCAATAAAATATTTAATGCATAAAAGGTAATTTAAGATGAGAAAAAACAATGTTACTTAATTTTAAAGTGTCATAATTCTGTCAATTGTACCATATTCTCATATTAAAAAGTGTGGAACATAAAGCTATATTTTATTTAAAAAATTTCCTAACTCCATTGTCTATATCTGCAAGGTTTATTTTCCCATAAGGAAAAATTCACACATCTAAGAAGTGTCTTGGGTTAACATAACTCTCTCTGTCTTGAAAGATTTTTATTTTCTAGTAAATTAAGTTTAAGTGCGTAAATAATGGTACTGTCATGATGAACAGGCATATTATTAATATCATATTAATAATTATTATCATATTAATTATTATTAATATCATAATAATTAATATAATTATTAATATGATATTATTAATAGCATACCTGAAATTTTATAACGTTTTGGGCTGATTTGAAACCAGGTAGTTGTATTGTTGCATCACAGTTGAAATTATTATAACCAGTAGTCACGTAAGCCGTAGCTTGCTATGAAATTCAGGGCCCCAGAAGAAATATATTGAGACTAAAGCTAGCCACGCTGTTCAAAAGAAGAACTATAGGATATTTCATATAACTCTGTAACAAAGAAAAGAACTGAAGCTTCTGTGAGGTTTTTTGAAAATTACAAGAAAATATAAACAATTAAATGATAAAATGTAGTCCTGCAATAGCAGAACATGGAGGGAGAGGAAGTGAGAAAGAGAAGCAGAGAGAGAATAAGAGTGAATTATAAACAAGGAATATCTGCTTTCTGATTTCACCCACGTCATTGGGGAGTCCCACTTGACTGTCCTGTAAGCTGCTTGCCAGATAGCATCTTTACGGTGTTGGCTCTAACATCATGCCTCACCTTTGCAATGTGGTGTTATACTATTAAAGAAACAACAATAGTGGCATGGAACAAATCCCACTAGAAATTCCATTTCCATTCAATATGAATTCCAGTTTTGACTCTCCAATTCCTTTTGCTTTTCTAAATATGGAGTCAAGTTGATTCTCCATCATAGAATTCAGTTCAACAATTTTTCTTAATGTAAGCAGCAAGAAAGTAAAAGTGACAAAATGAGGATTCAATGAAATGCAATGATTCTGCAGCACAATCAGCACAAACCCAGGCAGATGGAAGTAGGAAGTCTATGGATTTTAATCGAGCTCAAGGAGAGGGAGGATTCAATGATAACCAAAAAAGAGTTACAGTTTTACCCTTGCTACTTTTGTAAATTTGAAATGACTGTCTTTTTCATCTTGTAGCCATAAAGCAAACTCCGTAACTCTCAAGTTGTAGATCTAGCCAATTTTAAAATCTGCTACCGCATTTATAATTCTCTATTTTTATCATGTTATTGCCACTAAATTCACACACACGCGTTGCTGATGTGGTCTGAAGTTTTTGTTGGCATGACTTGAGTGCTGACAGATTCCTTCATATTTGAATATCTTCCAAGCCCCAAACAATCTCCACTCTGCACCACCTCACAGCATATGTGCTTATCCCACATTTTTCAAAGACAGAATTATTTTAAGACACTGATTTGCCGTCACCGCATCCCTTTTATTTATCTCCTCACCTGTGCATTTTCTTTGCCTTTGTTTCTTGAATTAAAATGTAAAAGGCAACCAACTACCAACTGAGTAGATGATGTGAAGGAGGAAGTGTCAGAAATGTTAGGTTACTCCTGAATTAGAGTAATTCCTTAAGAGATGCTGTGATAAGCAGAATCTGGAAAGTCCAACCCCACAATTCCTTGCCCTGATGTTCGGAAATATGAATATAAGATTTCACACCGTACTTATTTCCTCCTGTGATGGTGAATATTGAGTGTCAACTTGATTGGACTGAAGGATGCAAAGTATTGTTCCTGGGTGTGTCTGTGAGGATGTTGCGAAAGGAGATTAACATTTGAGTCGGTGGACTGGGAAAGGCAGATCCACCCTCAATCTGGGTGGGCACCAACTAATCAGCTGCCAGCACGGCCAGAATAAAAGCAGGCAGAAGAACGTGGAAATACTAGACTGGTTTAGTCTTCTGGCCTACATCTTTCTCCTGTGTGGGATGCTTCCTGCCCTTGAACATCAGACTCCAAGTTCTTCAGCTTTGGGACCCGGACTGGCTTCCTTGATCCTCAGCTTGCAGACGGCCTACTGAGGGGCCTCACCTTGTGATCTGTGAGTCAATACTCCTTAATAAATTCCCCTTTATATATACATCTATCCTATTAGTTCTGCCCCTCTAAAGAACCCTGACTAATACACTTTCCAGGGCAAAAGGGTTAATCTGAAGATGTAAATAAGGTTACCATTCATTTGATTTTGAGTTAGTAAAAAGGAAGATTATCCTAGTGGGTCTAAACCTGTTGCACGAGACCTTTAAAAACACGATGTTTTCTCTGGCTGATAAGAGAAGGGGAAGTCAGAAATATTAGAAGCAGGAGAAGGAGTCCATGCATCCTTGATGGCTTTGGAGATAGAGAGGTGGTAAGCAAGGACAAATGAGAGATCTGAGACTGGCCCCTGGTCAAACAGCAATAAAACAAAGACCTCCACCCTACAATTGCAAGAAACTAAAATCTTCCAACCACAGATTCTTCTCCAGAGTCCTGAAAAGAGCCTGGTTGTCTGTCATCCTGACTTTGGCCACATGAGACCTTAAGCAGAGAATTCAGCAATGTCTTACTGGATTTCTGTCCTACAGAAGTGTTTTAAGTCTTCACGTGTATGCTAATTTGTTACACAGAAATAGAAAAGTAATACTGATGCCTTCTACGACAACTTAGGATCTGCTATTTTGAGATTATTTGGGGCTATAAATGTCCATTTAGGGACTGATTCACTATACTTTCTCTCAGGGTAGCAAGTCAAACTGCTTCTGCCCGCTAAATACTTTTGAAATCCACCCCTCTCCTATTTTCAGCCTAGTGACTTTCATTTGAACTTCTGTTTAAGAGTCCTCATCTCCTTCTCCTGATCTCCAACCTCCCCACCCTTCCACATATTCTTTGAGCTCTTTCTTCCACTGTACGGCTAGATTCATCCCCCAAAAACACAGCTGAGACCATGTTATTCTGCTAACCAAAAGCTACAAATGACTCACCAGTATCTACTTCATGAAGTAAAAACCTTCCTGTTGGAATTCAAGTTCTCTAAGGCTTTCTCCAGTCTCTCCCTCTAGCGTTACTTCCCTTCTCTTGACATCACACACTGTTTTTTCCGTCAAACTGATTGCATTTGCCCTTTTTACAGCATGTTCTCACCTGTGCCTCTGCACGGGTATGTTTCTGGTATACATGCCAAGATGTGAGTCAATCTTCACAGCTTAGTTAGATGTTACCGACCATCTGAGGCCCTCTTGCACGGTATGAGTGTCTTTTTCTACTTTAAATTTCAATGGTGCAAGGATATGGCCCTTGGAAGTCTGTGTCTCCTGATTGAGCTAGTAAAACACATCTTTTGTAGCCCTTATGAGCTTCTACAAGATTACATCTGATTTATATTCATCATTGTATTCCTTAAAGCACTTGTTTCAATGTTTTATGCTTTGTGGATTTCCAAAAATGATGAATTTGTTCAAGCAGTAAAGAATAGCTAATGATACATATGTTCCTCAAAATACATAAACCATGTACATTTAAGTAAAAACATGCTAGATAACAAAAAAACGCACAAGATGATCTGAGTTGTTGTTGTTATGGTTGTTGTTTGTTCATTTGCTCATTTTTAGAAGAAAGGAGAAAAGAATAAAGGAAGATTGGACCCATGTGGTATAGAAATATCAAATACTAAATATGGATACTTCCTGTTAGTGGGAAGACACAAAATATAAAATACAGTCCACCCTTGAACAACACAAGTTTGAACTTCACAGGTCCACTCATACATGGATTTTCTTCTGCCTCTGCTACCCCTGAGACAGCAAGACCAAGCCCTGCTCTTCCTCCTCCTCCTCAGCCTCAACAGGAAGATGATGAGGATGAAGACCTTTCTGATGATCCACTTCCACTGAATGAATAGTAAATACATGTTCTCTTCCTTATAATTTTCTTAATGATATTTTTTCTCTACCTTATTTTATTGAAAAAATAAGTATATAATACATATAACATACAAAACATTGACTATGGTATTCATAAGGCTTCAAGTTAACAACAGGCTATTAGTAGTTAATTCTTTGGGGAGTCAAAAGTTACATGCAGATTTTTGACTATGTGGAGAGTTGGTACCTCTAATTCTCATGTTGTTCAAGGGTTAACTGTATCTTATTTTTATGTTGCACATATTTCATAATTAAGTCTTTCTTCTTATTTTACATATTAAGCCTATTTCTTTTAGCAATCCTAAGACTAATTTAATGACCTCTAAGTCAAAATGACTGGCTGACATTTTCTCTGCTGTTATTCTCAAACTTCCAAAAATGTGTTGTTCATTGCCACAGGCATCCTTTGCTCTTTAATTTCCAATCCAGTTTAGGCAAACAGTAGGGGTCAGATGTGAAACAAAGTTGATGAACATAGAGTGAATTCAAACTCCAAACTGTAAGAATCT
Organism: Homo sapiens; assembly: GCF_000001405.40. Lineage (NCBI taxonomy): Eukaryota > Metazoa > Chordata > Mammalia > Primates > Hominidae > Homo > Homo sapiens. Next base: position 8,239,502 of record NC_000023.11, on the reverse strand, counting down.
TTGTTTGGAAAGGGCTTTCTTTGCTTCTGCTTAAAAAGAGATATTATATAATTCCATGGTCTTGAATTTATTAGGCAGGATCTAACCTTCCGTGTAGATAATTACAGAAGACAGTAAAAACAATTGGCATTTAAAATAAAACTGTTGAGGCCAGGCATTGGTGGCTCACACCAGTAATCCCAGCACTTTGGGAGGCCGAGGCAGGCGGATCACCTGAGGTCAGGAGTTCGAGATCAGTCTGGCCAAGGTGGTGAAACCCCATCTCCACTAAAAATACAAAAACTAGTCGGGCGTGGTGGCACGTGCCTGTAATCCCAGCTACTTGAGAGGTCGAGGCAGGAGAATCGCTTGAACCCGGGAGGTGCAGGTTGCAGTGAGCCGAGATTGTGTCACTGTACTTCAGCCTGGGCAACAGAGCGAGACCCGTCTCAAAAAGAAAATAATAAATAAATAAATAAATAAATAAATAAATAAATAAATAAATAAAATAAAACTTGAAAAAGTAGTTGTTTGAGATGTGGTTTCACATTCATAAAATCAAAATATTTTTCTTAATGTCTATAAAAATATTTACTCTGTCCTTTCAGAAGCATTTTATATCTTTTATTTTTAAACTTATTTTCAACAAAATAAAGTCATAATATAAGTAACTAGTAAAAATGGTATGTAAAAATGGAAAAATTTCATAGGAATGGGCTAATTATACTTTATTATTTGTGAATAAAATTATAAAAATGACATGTATTTTATTGAATGTTTAAACTGTTTCCTTGTATTATAATATAGTAGAGTGGGAGGATACCAAATACTATAATAGAAGAAACATTACTAATCATTTATCCAATCTCTTCATTTTACAGAAGAATAAACAAAATTCAGTGAAATATGGGGTTATTGTGCAAATTGTGTTCTCTGCATCTTAGATTTGAATCACCAAACTCTGTTACATATATGCAAATATGCTGATGGAATCACAACACATTTAAGTTAAATGATTTACAATTATTCAAATTAAATAATTATTTTAATTCTTTAAACAATTATTTATTGTCTGGTTTAATATTGTAGATTAAAAAAATAAACCTTTCCTCCCTTCCAGATGCCCATTTAAAAAATTAAATAAATAGAAAGGAACTGTCATGGTAAGGAAATGTAGAAGGTCAACTCTCAACAACAGATTTTAATAAGTTTCTGGAAGGGATATTAATGTAAGAAACTGAACAATGCAAACCACCTTCCAGGATGTGTGTCCATTATCCAGTCATCACTCAGACTAACACCACGAGAGAAAGAAGGACAGTGGGTGGGTGAAAGGAGCTGGGTGATTATTAGATTTCCAGTTTAGCTTCTCTACCTGCCTTGTTCATGCCTGCAAAGAAAACAAAATAAAACAAAGAGACAAAAACAGAGGGCTTTTCTCCCTAAAAGCCATACAACAATCTAGAGAAAACTGGTAAGCGGACAAGTTTTGTTGTCCCAAAATAAAGGATACCTTTAATCCAACATTTGGGAAATACGAAGTGACCTAAACAGTGGCATGATAACTGAAGGAGACTAGAAAGCCACCAGGGGGACTTTAACTCTGATAAGGCTCTCTTTCTGGGCATGCTGCATTAGAACCATGGAGGATGTACTCTGAAGCATGAAGCTTTGTAGGTCTCTGTAGCTATGGTGGTATGAATGGCAGAGCTGATGGTCGGCACAGTGTTTGAAGCCTGCAGGACGCTCAGGGGCCCGTGAAAATGCGTGGATTTATTTAAAATCAGAAGAAAAAACCCACAACTTTAGAGTCAATAAAATGTTCTAATTGTTTTTTTCACATCAGTAAATACGACATTTTTAGGATGAATGAAATACATGATGGTGGGAGGCACTCAGCAGGGCAAGGGGCCGGGGTCCCAGCTAAGTCAGGCCATGCTCTGAGGAACGGTGCTCTTTTCCTTCTGCTTTTCCACATTTCAGAATCAAGTCATAGAAAAAGATTTAATGATATTTCCAGAAACAAATTTAAGTTTCATAAACAATGCAATATATATGATACATAATTATATAATACATATCTATATAATAGATAATAGATATATTATCTGTTACAATCATATATTATATATTGTATATTATCTATTACACAATTGTATATTATATATTAAAACTGACTATATGTTATATAATAAAATACATAACATATATGATTACATATGTTTATATATAATTATTGTAATGCATAGCTATGGTATGATTATATAATAATTGATATCATGAATATATTATATAGGATTATTATATATTATATTAATATGGATTATATTATTTATATGTGTGACAGATTATATATAATATTTACATATATATTCATTATATATAATTATGAAATATGATAGATAATATTTATCATATATTCAAGGGAGAAAAGATCAAAGGGAAAAAGTGATGTGAGGAAGGAAGCATATAATATTTATCATACATTATATTACATCTGATATATTATGTTATATATCATAATTATATATAATGAAATGCATAATATATACTATAATGTAACATAATTATATATCATATAATATATATTTATCATGTTATATATGATTATATATTGTATATTATATTGTTCTATAATATATAATATACAAATTATATACTGTATATTATATAATCATATAATGTATATAATATATGACATATATAATATACACAATATATATCATATATAAAATATGACAAATATTGTTATACTATCTATGAAGCAATATATATTACAATATATATCATGTATAATATTATATATTATATTATATCATAATCACATGTAATTAATATATATAATTAATATTTTATATTATATATTAATTATAATATATAAGCATATAATGTATACAATATAATTATATATATAAAATATATAATACTATAATTCTATTAAATATGTTAATGTAATGAACACATTCAATATAAATATATATATGGTGAAGAGGTTGAAGGTGAGATAAGATCTGGCAAAATCATAAGGGTGCTAAAATTCACCTTAGTGGACAATCAAAAAATTTTTCAAATGTAAACATATATTATTTTGAGTTCAAAAGTTAATCAGTAAAGCTTAATAAGTACCTTTAGAATACTGCAATAGACAAAACAATCCCCCTCTAAATATGTCCTTGTTCGAATCCCCCCAACATTGTGACTATATTAGCTTACATGGCAAAAGGGACTTTGAAGGTGTCTTAAGTCAAGGATTTTGAGGTGGAACTATCATCCCATGGGTCCCTATGAGAGAGAGAGGAGGTTTAGGGGGAAAAAGTGACATAAGGAAGGAAGCTTAGTTTGCAGTGGTGCATTTTGAAGGTAGAGGAAGGGGCCAGGAACAAAGGAATGCAGTTGTCATCTAGAAGCTGAAAAAGGGACGGAAAGAGACTTTCCTTTAGAACCTTCAGAAGGAATGCAGCTTTGACAACTGCATTTAGCCCAGTGAGATTCATTCCAAACTTCAGAACAGTAGAACAATAAGATAATACATTTGTGTTGATTTAAGCCACTAAGTATATGGTTATTTGTTATAGCAGGAATGGAAAACTAATAAAAATATATGCATGAATTAATGAATGGCTGAATAAATGAATGTGTGGATGCATACATAGAGCTGATTATGAAGGGTGTGTCCATAAACAAGGACTAGTACCACCAAGTTGCCAGGTTTCTGTAATGATGTGTTTTATACATCTATTGTTTTGTTCAATTGATAACTTGCTTCTTGCCCTCTTTTTCTGCATGTTAATGTACTTTAATCATCACCGTGTATAAGTGTACCTCACCTTATTATGCTTTGCTTTACTGTGCTTCACAGACACTGCCTTTTATCTATATTGAAGGATTGTGGCAACCCTGCATCCAGCAAGTCTATAGGTACCATTTTTCCAACAGCATGGGCTCACTTTGTGTCTCTGTGTCATATTTAGGTAATTCCTGCAATATTTCAAACTTTTTCATTATTATTCTATCTACTATGGTGATCTGTGATAAATGATCTTTTATGTTACTATTATAATTGTTTTGGGGCACCATGAACCATGTTCATATATGATGGCAAACTTAATCAATAAATGTTGTGTGTGTTCTGACTGATCCACCTACCAGCTGTTACCCTATCTCTCTTTCTCCTCAGTCTTCCCTATTCCCTGAGACACAACAATGTTGAAGCCAGGCCAGTTAATAACCCTGTAATGGCCTCTGAGTGTTCAAGTGAAAAAGAAGAGTCTCATGTTTCTCACTTTAAAAAAAAAGCTAGACATGATTAAGCTTAGTGACTAAGGCACATTGAAAGCCAAGATAGGCCAAAAGCTAGGCCTCTTGAGAAACACAGTTATCCAAGTTGTTAATGCAAATAAAAAGTTATTGAAGGAATTTAAAAGTGTGACTCCAGTGAACACATGAATGATAAGAAAGTGAAACAGCCTTATTGCTGAAATGAAAATAGTTCAAGAGGTAAGGATAGAAGATCAAACCCATACAACATTCCCTTAAACCAAGCCTAGTCCAGGGCAAAGTTCTAATTTTCTCCAATTCCATGAAGGCTGAGAGAGGTGAGGAAACTGCAGAAGAAAAGTTTGAAGCTAGAATATGTGGGTTCATGAGGTTTAAAAAAAGAAGCTGTCTCTACAACATAAACGTGCAAAGTGCAGCAGCAGGTGCTGATGAGAAGCTGCAGCACATTAGCCAGAAGACCTAGCTAAAATCACTCATGAAGGTGGCTACACTAAACAAAAGATTTTCAGTGTAGGAGAAACAGCCTTCTATTGGAAGAAGATGCACCTAGGACTTTTGCAGCTACAGAGAAGTCAATGTGTGGCTTCAAAGTTTCAAAGGACAGGCTGACTCTCTTGATAGGCAGCTGGTGACTTTAAGTTGAAGCCAATGCTCATTTACCATTCTGAAAATCTTGGGGTCCTTCAGAATTATGCTAAATCCACTCTACCTGTGCTCTGTAAATGGAAGAACAAAGCCTGGACAACAGTACATCTGTTTACAGCATGGTTTACTGAATATTTTAAGCCCTCTGTTGAGACACACCAATCAGAAAAAAAGAGATTTATTTCAAAATACTTCTGCTCATTGACAATTCACTTGGTAACCCCAGAGCTCTGATGGAGACGTACAAGATTTATGTTGTTTTCATGCCTACTAACACAACATCAATTCTGCAGTAATTACTTATGGAGTAATTTTGGCTTTTAATTCATATTATTTAAGAAATATATCTTATAAGGCTATAGCTACCATAGACAGTGATTCATCTGTTGGATCTGGTCAAAGTAAATTGAACACCTTCTGGAAGAGATTTACCATTCTAGATGCTATTAAGAACATTTGTGATTCATGGGAGGAGGTCAGCCTACCAACATCAACAGAAGTTTGGAAAAAATTGATTCCAACCCTCATGGGTGATTTTGGGGGGTTCAAAGCTTCAGTGGAGGAAGTAACAGTAGATGTGGCAGAAATAGCAAGAGAACTAGAATTAGAAGTGGAGCCTGAAGATGGGACTGAATTGCTGCAATCTCATATCAAACCTGAATGAAACAGGAGTTGCTTCTTATGGATGAGCAAAGAAAGTGATCTCTTCAGATGGTGAACATGCTGTGAACATTGTTGAAACAACAATAAAGGATTTAGAATATGACATGAATTTAGTTGATAAAGCAGAGGCAGAATTTGAGAGAACTGACTCCAATTGTGAAAGAAGTTCTACTGTGGGTAAAATAATATTAAGCAACAGAGAAATCTTTCCGGCAAAAAGATTACATGACTTGCTGAAGGCTCAGATAATCAGCATTTTAGGCAATAAAGTATTTTTAATTAAGGTGTGTACATTGTTATTTAGACCTAATGCTATTGTACAATAGGCTATGGTACATAAATTTTATATGTACCGAGAAACCAAAAAATTCATGTGACTTGCTTTAATTGCAATAGTCACTGTATTGTTGTGGTCTGGAACTGAACCTGCAATCTCTCCAAGGTATGCCTGAATACCTTGGTATACATGGTATACATTCACTTAAACTAGCTGAAGGCAACAAAGAGATGATTCTCCTCTTGGTACTTGTTTTAAAACATTTTATTAGATGATTTTTTGGATTTTGAGTATACATTCCTGGCCCGTTACATAGCAGGAGAATGTTTTCTTAATATTACCAGAATTTCCCCTAATCAGAGCTCCAAACCACATATTGGCCACTTTACAAGAAACAAGAGCCAGCCAGTTGACATCTCTAGCTGAAAGCCAATACCAGTTTTTTGGGCAGTTCCACAGCCACCTTTTATTAATTTAAAATGGGGGTGACCGAAACATTTTAAGACCATGACTGTGGGTCAATTCCCTGGGAAGATGCTCATTTAGAATGTACCAGATATGCTGTGATGTTAAACTTCAATATTCAAAGAAGTTTTTCAAGTATATTGTATAGTAGTTGCAGATTCTACCTTATAAACTGGGTGTTGCTAGTCTCATAAAAACTGAAATAGAAAAAGACACAAGTATCAAATACAGTTCTAGTTATGACCCACGATGGTAGTTTTAGCTGTAGATTCATACTGAAATCAACTGGGGAAGCTTTAAGAAATGGAGCCATCATCTTTCCCAAACTCTTCCACCCTCTGCCTGCATTGAATTAGAATCTCTGGGGATGGTGCTCCACCAATAGCATTTCTAAAAACAACTCCTTTCAGTTGATTCCAGTGGGGAACCCAGCTAAAGAAAAATTGTCCTCAGGCAGCTCAGCTATTGAGATCCTACACATGTGACATGTTATTCAATGAATACTGGACTATCTGGGCAAATGGTTCATGATATCTGAAATACTGTTGACGTTTGACTCACTCCAGTCAGCTGAGAACTGTCCCTTATTCTTAATATTTTGCCTTTAACTTGACACATGCTCCATCAGTGTTGTTATAGATATGACTAAATCCTACTCTAAAATTTACCCTTGGAAGTGATTCATAATCACATAATGAATATCTCTGGGCCTGTTTAAAATTGTTAAGATTGGACCACCCTAAAACCACAGCAAAGCTAAAATCAGGCATACACGTCAATGTTGTTAAAATTTCTTTGTAGTGCAAGGGTTTTCAAATATTCTGTTCAGTTAAAAACTCATGAAACTATCTGGATTCCTTTTAAATTTCATTTTCCAAATCAATTGGGCCTTCTCTTGAATCAATAGAATTGAACAAGTATTACAGAGAAGTAAAGTTTATTTTCAATGATAGGGACTTGTAAAAATGTGTTTCAACCTAATGTTTCCCCATTTTCATCTATCTTCTCCGAATAGGTAATTACTTTCTGGATTTTGGAATATTTTTCTCCATGATAAAATCATCTTGACAGTGCTGTATTTTGCAGACATTTCAGTGTGGGTTTCTTATTTAATTGGGTGACTTTCTCATGTCTTCCTAATCTCTCTCAGCACTGGCATAATTTCAGATTATTTAAATTCTAAAAAACTATTTATCCTTTAATTATTTATCCTTTAATTAAATACTACTTTATTACAAAAAAGTAATATTTACCATTACTTTTAATGGCAAAAACCACAATTGCTTTTGCACCAACCAAATAAAACTTGTTTGTATTGCATACAACATATTTTGAAACATGTATACATTATGGAATGGTTCAATTGGGGTAATTAACATATGTATTATTATGAATATATATTTTATTATATGAAATATAACTTATTCTTTGTTGCCAGAATATTTAAAATCTACTCTCTTAACAACTTTCAAGAACGCAATACCCTGTTATTAACTATAGTCACCCTGTTTTCCAATAGATCTCTTGAACTTATTCCTTCTAACTGAAGTTTCATATATTCTGACTTAACGGTACTATAACTAAACTGCACCTATAAGAATTGGGAACAAGAGCTAATCATATGTTTGAAAATTTTCAAGACCTAATTAGATGTTTTCAGAAAATTTCCAAACATTTGAACATGTAGATCTTGATCCTGGTTCTTATAGGTGCAGTTTGAATCATAGTTCCATTAAAGTGAGCATTCCACATTACTGGAAAAGATCAAAGGAGTCTTTTTTACGTGTATTTATTTTCTCCCCTCCATCCTTCTTTCTGGAAAGTATTAGCAAAGTATTACTTTTTTTTTTTGTAGCATCTAGTTAAACATTTTTAAGTTAGGGACAGATTTAATGGCAATATGTCCCATTTCGGTATTGTTATTTAAGGCTCTCTAGGGTTGATTCTTCTGAACTGTACCACCCAAAGTTACTTCAAATAATCCTAGATGGCTGGGTCCACTGTTATGCTATTCCCAAGGAGGGACTAAAGAAGGTAGAGATCACAAGGTTTAGCAACATTGTTCATCATAATCTGGTTCCAAATCTTCATTTGAAATTTATATGGCATTTTCTTCCTCTTCACTGGGTTTCCACTTTATATTTAATTCTTTCAGGAGATGACAGTAATGTGCTTCCACTCCAAAGCCATTGCCAAAAAGTAAAAAATGATTGTTTTCATGAGCATCATGAGGCAGAGTCTTTTATTTTCCTTATTTCGAATGAAAAGCATATATCTTCATGTATTTTGCATGCTTACATCCCAGGGAAAGAATATGTAATTATTTCTCCAATTGCTGCCTTAATTTTTCTACTTTTGTTTACTACAATATACTGAAGTCTGTGTATCTTTTTAAAATAAAATAAATCTGTGAAACGGCGACATTGCGTTAAATATATTAAAGTACAAAACACTCTCAGTAGACCAAGGGAAGGATTACAAATGACACTCAGATATCTGAAGAGTAGAATCAGCAACTATGTATGTGTCTTACTGCTGTATACACATCTCCAACTAAATATAGAGACACATTTTGCCTTATATTCTTATAAGAAAATATATAAAAAATAACAAAAAATAAACCAATTACAATACTTGGCATTGTATTCTCTCCACATCAGACATTATTTGCCTCAATGGTGGTTCCTGTAAATGCCCATCTTTTGCTGATCCAAGAAGTACAAATATCTATGATCACACAATGTAGAACAGGAGCCCATTTGGTAAAACCTATGCATATTTTAAAATAGAAGAGAAAGACATCTAAATGTTCACAAACCTTAATTATGGCAAGGCATGGATGATTTGCTGATTCCTCTCCTTATCTTTATTTAACTATCAGGGGTAACTTTTATTTTTGATTTTTTGAGGCAGTCTTGCTCTGTCACCCAGGCTGGAGAACAGCGACGTGATCTCGGCTCACTGCAACCTCTGCCTGCTGCGTTCAAGTGATTCTCTCACCTCAGCCTCCCGAGTAGCTGGGATTACAGGCACCTGCCACCACACCCGGCTAATTTTTGTATTTTTAGTAGAGATGGGGTTTCACGATGTTGGCCAGGCTGGTCTCGAACTCCCAAACTCAGGTGATCTGCCTGCCTCACTCAGCCTCCCAAAGTGCAGGAATTACACGTGTGAGCCACTGTGCCTGGCCAACAGTCATTTTTAATGAAATGAAATATTTTTGTAGAAAGCACCAGGAATGATGGCTATGTGTTTAAGTAGCATATGCTCAGCATGTGAGACATCAGCTTCATCTACTGCTCTTATAATTACCAGAATTGTCTAGTTCACAAAATTGAGCCATGACTTTTGAAATTGCCATTATACATAGGTGATCTAAATATCCCCACATGGATACAGTACACTATTGACCCATTATTTGATAGTATCTATAACTTTTTCCAAATGCAAGGGGAGAAAGTTCTATGATGTCTTCAGATTCTCTGGGTTTTTCAATTCCGGTTTTTGTTTTTCTTTTGTTTTTCTGAATTCCAAATGTCTAGGATCCAATATTATATGCGTATACTTCATATTACAGAAATATCAGCTAGAGATTATAATGGACCATTTAAGTTTCATAAATAAGAATAAAAATATTATTCTGGTGTTTTGATTAATTAATAGAATGGTCAATCTTCTTATGCATTACATTTTTAAAAAATAACATCACAGCTGGTCAATTTACTTTAAAAAGAATTCAAACAAAATTAGAGAAATCAAAAATCAAAGCAAACTGAAAGTATCATTTTAGATCCAATAAATGGTCCAAATATTTTAAAAAGAGATATATTTCAGGGGGATAGTGGGAGAGGAAAATGCCATAACAGTTTTGGAAAGAAATATTTTAAGAACCATAAAGAAAACATTGAACATAATCAATTGGGCACTTACCATATATTGACACTAAACCAAATATTTTATTTATAAACTGTCCTAATAACATTCCTATTAGAGAGTTGTGTCTGCACCCACTTTAATAAGAAGAACACTGAAGTTGAAAAAGCTAAATAATTAGTTGAGGTCACACGTTGGTGGAGAGACGAGATGAAGCTGAAAGGAGGGCCTTTCCTTATTGATGGGCTCCTCTGCCCTAAACCATGCTGTTCTAGCCATGGTTTTCAAACATTAATCACAGAAATCTCCTTTCTAAGCCTTTCTCAAAAAGAAATCATTTCAACTAACCAGAAGATATGTGTATGAATATATTTGTGACAGTAAAAATTACGAAGTGCATACAAAAGAGATGCATAGAAAAGGTTCTGGAAGGTTGATCAAAATACAAGGATTAATTATAATTTAACATTCTGAAGCCTATTTGTCATTATGGAAAATGATGCCAACATAGTGTTAAATAAAGATGCAGGCAAAAATATTTCATAAAGAATATAATTTCTAGTAGATAAAACATAATTCCAAGTTAATATTTAAAAAACATTAAAAAGTTATCTTAGGTTGTAAGAACAATGTTTTTAAATTTAAATATTCTGTAACTTTGACATTGAACTTACTACCGTTAATTGTGTGCAGTTTGAACTTAACGAAAATCTTCAAAGACTTTAATTTAGATGTGATTTAAAAACAACAGAGATCCATTCAGTCTGCAATCATATAATGGAAAAAATATAACGTCATTCATATACGATTTTTCCATTTGACATGGCCTAGAGAAAATGTGAGCTATCTTCTGCTATAAACAACCTTTACATTCTTGGAGCTGTCAGGGTAATATCTCTGAACGTAAGTTTCCTTACCTGAAAAATGATGAGTTTGGAGGACACAATCTCTTAACTTGTCTTCATAATAGTCCATGAATTTGTAAGTGCTAGGAAGAAAATAGAAAATAAGAAGCAAATTCATTGGCATGGCACTATGGGTGATAATACGAGGATAGTTTCAGAATGATAACTGACATCATCAAAAAAACATCAAAATTGGAAAATTTCAGCTATGGATAAATTAAGTATCTCTCTATAGATCTATATAGTAAAATGAAGTAGCCAAGCTATCAATTTTGTGATATATGCAGCATTTTAAACAGGTGATTATTAGGACTAAATTTTCAGCCCATTAGTGATGGATTAATGGCATAGCTTGCTTCCAAGGGGAACTCTTATGGACCCTATGAACTCTCACCTCCACAAAAAAGAGATGGGGCTTGCAGGTGGCCTGGTATGTGTGGAAAAGGTGATGTGCAGATAACTCCCATGAAGCACTGCTAACCTCTCCTCAATATGTGGCCAAATAAATTAAGAATGCTCTCGGCCGGGCGCGGTGGCTCACGCCTGTAATCCCAGCACTTTGGGAGGCCGAGGCGGGCGGATCACGAGGTCAGGAGATCGAGACCATCCTGGCTAACACGGTGAAACCCCGTCTCTACTAAAAATACAAAAAAATTAGCCGGGCGTGATGGTGGGCGCCTGTAGTCCCAGCTACTCGGGAGGCTGAGGCAGGAGAATGGCGTGAACCCGGGAGGCGGAGCTTGCAGTGAGCCGAGATTGCACCACTGCACTCCAGCCTGGGCCACAGAGCGAGATTCCGTCTCAAAAAAAAAAAAAAAAGAATGCTCTCAGTGGTCATCTTTTCAGCTCTCTTTCAATGCCTCCTTCTATTGCCCTTCACTTCCCCATCTCTCCCCTCCCTTCCATAGGATACACTCTTATTATAACATCCCATCCAGGACTCTAGGTGCTCAAGTTTTTCCTTTACCCACATAAGTTTTGCCCTACATAAGTTAGTCCTCAGAACGTATTTGGTCAGGAGATGCCTGCTGTCTGATTGAAACATATAAACCCTTTCTTCATGTTTCAAGTGACCTCTTGCTGAGGAGGTTTATCTTGAGTCAGGGTGCTTGACCTAAGTTATTATGAAGACAGAGAGAGAGAGAGAGAGGAAGAGGAAGAGGAAGAGAAGGAAGGAAGGAAGGAAGGAAGGAAGGAAGGAAGGAAGGAAGGGAAAGGAAGGAAGGAAGGAAAGGCGAGCAGGGGAAGGGAGAGATGAATGAAGGAGAGGAGGGAGGAAGGGGCAGAAGGAAAGAAGAGAGGAAGTAAAGAAAGTAGCATTGAAAAAAGATGCTTGCACAAGAATGTTTTTAGTAGCACAATTTGCAATTGCAAAAACGTGGAACCAGCCCAGAGCCCATCAATCAATGAATGGATAAATAAATTGTGATATATATATATATATATGTGTGTGTGTGTGTGTGTGTGTGTGTGTATGTGTATATATATGTGTGTGTGTGTGTGTGTGTGTGTGTATAATCAAATACTACTCAGCCATAAAAAGGAATGGATTAATGGCATTCACAGCAACCTGGATGGGATTGGATAGTATTATTCTAAGCGAAGTAACTCAGAAATGGAAAACCAAACATCGTATGTTCTCATAAGTGGGAGCTAAGTTTTGAAGATGCAAACGCAAAAGAATGATACAATGGACTTTGGGGATTCAGGGGGAAATGGTGGGAAGGGGGTGAGGGATAAAGGACTACTAATTGGGTTCAGTGTATACTGCTCGGATGATGGCTGCACCAAAATCTCACAGATCACCACTAAAGAACTTATTCATGTAACCAAATACCACCTGTTCTCCAAAAACCTATGGAAATTAAAAAAAAAAAAAAAGAAAAAAAGAAAAGAAAATCCTGCTTGGTTTCCAAGGAAAGGAAAAACAAATAAAACAAGCCAACAGAGGTATAAAAATAGCATTTGTAATTCCTAAAAATTGTTAATAGTCATTTTATAATTTTTATGAATTAATTGATAAGAGACCTTTCTATAAAGGTCAAATATTTACCTTGAAGATATCATAAAGGCATTAGTTAGGTCTTATAGGAAAGTCATTTCAGGTATTTATCCAGTTCTTTTTTTTTTTCTACTTAAAGCTCATGGTTAACCATTATTCACACATCCCTACCAAGCACCATTCCTTATTTCTACTCTTTTTCAGAAAATAATTGCTAGATTCTACTTTAAAATTTAACCAAATCTTCACTTACTTACTTAGCAGTATTTGATACTGTTGATTCTGTTCAAATTGTCTTATAGTTCCATTATAACTACAGTTTATACAGTAAATTATTGGAAAGTAATAAAATTTTTCAGAAAATTAAAAAGTTGTGTGGACTCACTATTTCCATTCTTTTCTTCCCACTCTTTTTTAAAACTATTTTTTTTCAGGCTTTCCACCAAATACTCCATCAAAACTGTCTTTTTCCAGGTCACTGACAACTTCCACATCATTAATTTTTTTGGTCACTTCTCAATCTTCACTTACTTACTTAGCAGTATTTGATACTGTTGATTCTGTTCAAATTGTCTTATAGTTCCATTATAACTACAGTAATAATTCAGCTGAAATTATAAGCATGTAAAATTACTTAGCTCCCCATTTAAAATGACAATCACAAAACTCTTTATATTCCAGAAGACAAATATCTTTAAGCACTATAAATTCCTATAAATATGAAAATTTCCTAATGGACATGTCAATTGCATGTCCACAATGAACTTCCACAGCTATTACAAAATCATCTTAATCTACGTCAATAGAAACTTTTACCAGTAGGTAGGTTCCCTGGCCCTTTGCAACTTAAAATCAGGCACTGAAAAGAATAGATGATAATGAGTTTTTGGTGCCCCGGGGGGTGAATTTTGTACATAGATTATACAGAAGTTACTTTGATTTTAAATATTAATATTCAATTTATTATGGTTATAAATTCAAAATACCGGTTTGCCTTAAGCACCCTTATGCTTTTAATTTGTATCACAAATATTATTTTAAATAGAAATCTAGGAAATTGTATAATTACCTTTAAAGGAGATTTTCAATTATGTCTACATTAACAAGTGTAATTATTTAGCATGCATTAAATGTTTTAAGCCTCACTTAATATGTTGTTTCCTTCAACTTTTGATTACTAAACATACTTTCTCAGACACTTAAACTATTCTTGCAAATTTAATAAATGCAATATATAGATGTATGCACATGCACACACAGTGACCAGAAAAGTGTGGTATGACATTACGGATGGAGATGTATCATCCAGGATGAATTTTTCCAAACCCCCTTTGCTGTGTTAAATCCCTTTTTTGTAGTCAGTTGTTATATATGCAAACACTAAAAAGGGAACAGTCCATAGCCTATGCACCTGTGTTCAAGTTGCACATTAAATAAATATGCAAGTCAAGTTCATGATATTCATGCCAAGCAGAAACACCAAGTGATAGATTTAACTTATCTATAAGCAGCATAATTCTCTTCTGAATACTTTTTTTAATGTTCATCCGTTACAACCACAGCTTATATAGATACTTAAGACATCTAATATGATTCTGTGTGGCCAAAGGGCGTGCCTGATGTTAACATCACAGCTTCTAAGGGTACCATTTTAGTGGCCACAATCCACATGTATCCTGCTGAATTAATCAACTCTTTTTGGTATTGGATGAGAGTTAAATTTTCCCTTCTTACCTTGATGGTTTACAAACTGTGCAGGCTAAGTTGGTGCCCATACCTCTCAGTGTAATATTGAGAGGTTCTAAATAATAGTAAAAAATAATTCTAATATCTTGCCCTACATGAAGGAATTACCTTGACACATTTTCAACAGAAGCCAAGAATAAGTGTTTTCAGCATTCTGAAAAGTAATTTCAGAATTCTGAGTTTGTGTAGTGGCCTAGATGTAAATTTATTTTTAAATGATTGAATTTCATCTTGTCTGAAGACTAAAATAAGAGGAAATAACTAAGAGGCTGAGAAATACATTTATAACAGGGTAACTTACATAAGTTTCACATTAACAGTTTGAAGAGCATGGTATGATTTTTAATATCCTCAATTATATTTGAAAACTAAATAGGTCTTCTATATTAGTAGCCTCAAGCTGTCTGACAGCAGATACCTTCAATTGCAAACTCTTACCTCAATTTGCCTTCTTAGGGACACTGATTATATTGCATGTAGGTCTTCTAACAAAGACCACTTTTAAAATATCAAACCATGACACTCAACCCTTTCGTTTCAGTTCAATATTTATTATATTATCTTCATTTTATCTACCTTGAGGTTGCCACCATGTAAATATCCATTTCATTCAATGTTTCAATAAATATTCTCTGAGTGTATAGTATGTGTCAGTCTCTGAGCTAAAATAAGTGTATTATGGTGGTGACATAGGCATAACATATTATTAAAATAACTGTAAAGATTTAATTTATTCTCAAGTTTTCAGACAAGAACATGCTTAAAGTATATGCATTCAAGACTTCCAAATCGTCCCTTATGGCCATCCCTAATAGCCTTCTATTACATAGTTTTATGCAAGAATTTATGTCCCATTCTCTTTGTAACTGATGGCCTCATGACTTTATCTTTGATATAACTTTAGTTTTTCTTATTTTCATCTTTAGAGACAGTATTCTGAGTGCAGTTTTCAACTGACTAGTCTACAAAGGATTTATTGTCCAAGTTATCAATCATTACACTGCTGGAGTATGAGTGGTTTCTTGAACTTTTTCAAATATCATGAAAATTTCACTATTAGTGTTGGATTAATACTGACTATCTTATTGTAGCCATTATGAATTTCAAATAAATGATTATGAAAACATAATTTGTGCTAATTTATATAAAGTTTGTGTAATTTATTTTCTGACATATTTGTCTCTGAAAACTGTGAGACAAGATGCTGGTTTTCCACTACCAGTTATATGTTGAAAAGTAATTCTATTCTTTAGCCACTTAAAGTTATAACTTTCCAGGAATTTGAAGGTCCTCATTCCTGGAACTGTTCAAAGTTGGATACATATATAACAGGGATATAACAGAAAATTTCCAAACAAGGGCATTGATTTAGTTTAGAAAATTTTTAACTTTTCTTCAAGTGTTCATATGTTCTAAAGTTCTGTGAGTCTAAGAATTTGTGTTTTTGCTTGATTTACGTTGTGAGTCTTCCTTGAGAACAAAAGTTCTCCCCTTTATCTTTAGGGATCCAATAAATACAAAACTGAGGACTTAGAGATTTTACTGATATTTTACTGATAGAATTACCTTCTGCAGAGTTAGTACACATCTATACAAACAGATTTATTTAAAAGGCTGATAATTTTCCACTTAATTATTTGTTTGTTTTTAACAATGATCCTGCTTATATGGAAAATGAAGGAATTTTGTTTTTACAAAGAGGCCAAAGGCAAGCAGATGATATTTAGTACCTCTCTTTGTAATTTCTCAAGATTTGTTACTGAAATATCTCAATGTTATGTAGTAGAGTAACTTTGTTAGTTCTTATAAATTTTTCTTATGAATTTCTTAAGAATAACTTTATCTCTTATGCAATACATTGCAGCTAGCCAGGGTGCAAGTCGAGGATAACAAATTAGTAGTCAGTACTCTGTCTTCAGAGCATGTAAGTTAAGAAAATGTATGGTTTCTCATATTCCAGAAAATCCAAACATCTTTGGAGAAACAAGTGAGTTTCAATGGTCAAAAATATATAGGAAGTGTAAATAAATAAACAAAAAATAGCAAGTTTCAAAGGAATCACAATTTAGACCTAAAATACTGGCCCCTTAGTAATATGGTAAAAACAGTTACCTATCGTATCTCTCTGATTGTCAAGATGAAAGAGGGTGTGGAGGGGGAGAAGTAGTAAGATGGAGAGAGAAGGAGAGAAACAGAGAAAGGGAATGAGAGATGAAAAGGAAAGATGGAGAGAGAGACACACAGAGACAGAGGGGCACACACACATACACAGACTGATTTTATCAGGGATCGAAACACCATAGGGAGAATGTTTTAAAGTTACCCTGTACGTAATAACACACATTTGATGGGAAGTGATTCTGTATGTCACTGTAAGATTTATTCAGATCACAGAAATGAACCAGCACCTCCTCAATGATGAATCATTAATTACTTAATTTAGTAACTTAAATCATTAATGACTTAATTTAATTTTAAATGTTTTATCCCCAAAAATAACGAAAATGGATGTTAAAAACTTAACTGACTTTAACAACTAAATTAAATGTTAAAGCTGGTTATACATCCGTGTCAAGTTCCTCACTGATTCCCACCTCCATTCATAGGCACCTCAAATGGATGTGAAACATATTTAATGAATGGGTAGCATACATTTAAACTATTTGTAACATATATTTGATAGCAAGTGATTCTATAATACAGGTTGCATGTTTCTTGTTACAAAATAAATCCACATGAAGGCTCTGAAAAATTCTAAAAACAAAGTTTGTTTATTTAATCACCAAAGGTTGTTGAGCAGTGGGGATAAAAAAGTTAAAAATGAGCACATCCGGACCTATAAACAGATCACTGCATTCTCAACAGAAAGATCTACTACTGATCCATCTTTCTCTATATCTCTATCATCTATCTATCTGTCTCTATCTATCTATCTAATCTATCATCTATATATCCTATCTATCCATCTAATCTATCCTATCATCTATCTATAACTCTATGTATTATGTATCCATCCATCTTTATCTATAAATCTATCATCTATCCATCCATTTTATCTATCAATCCATCCATCCATATCTATCTACCTATCCACCTACCTATCTGTCTAGCTACCTATATATATCAAGATTGTAAAGTCACAGAGGGGAGTCAGGTTAGGCTTCAGCATGCTAGTGACAAGCAGGCTTTTTCCATGCAGATAAAGATGGAAGTCGGCCGGGCGTGGTGGCTCATGCCTGTAATCCCAGCACTTTGGAAGGCCAAGACAGGCGGATCACGAGGTCAGGAGATCGAGATTATCCTGGCTAACACACGGTGAAACCCCATCTCTACTAAAAATACAAAAAAATTAGCTGAGCGTGGTGGCGTGTGCCTGTAGTCCCAGCTACTCGGGAGGCTGAGGCAGGAGAATGGCGTGAACCCAGGAGGCGGAGCTTGCAGTGAGCCGAGATCGCGCCACTGCACTCCAGCCTGGGCGACAGAGTGAGACTCCGTCTCAGAACCAAACCAAACCAAACAAACAAACAAACAAAACAAAAAAAAAACGATGGAAGTATATTTCCAGCAGAAGAAACAGCACCTGCAAAGCTACTTAGATACTGTCTTGCTTGAGGTTAGGCATGCATAATTTGGTAGTGAAGACAACCAAGATAAGTTTTGCTTGCTAACTGTGGTGTTGCAACTCAGCCCAACACTTGGTGTTTATTATTTTCTAAGTTTCTTCCTTCTTTTTTAAAAATTATTTTTTTCTAACTGACAAATAAAAATTGCATATATTTGTGGTGTACAACATGTTGCTTTGAAATGTGTGTACATTGTGGGATGGCTAAATTACATATGTGTTATCTCACATACCTATCAAATTCTTGTGGTGAAAACATTTAAGATCTACTCTCTTAGCATTTTTTAATGATATGATACATTTTTATTAACTATAGTGGCATTCTATTAAAACAATAATTTTATTATTTCATGATTTTATGGGTTAACTGAGCTTAACTAGGCAGTTCATGTATGGTATTGGCTAAAGCGGCAGCTAGTGGTAGGGGCTAGATTGGATTAAATTTGCTAGGACAGAAAATCAAAACATAATTGACTCCGGAGGTAAATTTTTAAATATAGGTTTTCTCATTAGTTCTTTATTTTGTGAGCTCAAAAACAATATACTCTCTTTTTCATATATAAAATTTATATAAAATACACTTCATATATAAAATGTATAAAATAAAATTTCTGGTTCCATCTACCCAATGTTCAGACTGTTTTGCTTGATTAAGCAGTACAGGAAAGGTAGGCATGGTGACTCATGCCTGTAATCCCAGCACTTTGGGAGGCCGAGGCAGGTGGATCACTTGAGGTCAGGAGTTTGAGACCAGCCTGGCCAACATGGTGAAACCCCATGTCTACTAAAAATATAAAAATTAGCTGGGCATGGTGATGCGCACCTGTAGTCCCAGGTACCTGGGAGGCTGAGGCAGGAGAATCACTTGAGCCCAAGAGGGGGAGGTTACAGTGAGCTCAGATGGTGCCACTGCACTCCAGCCTGGGAGACAGACTCTCTCAAAAACAAAACAAAACAAAACAAAACAACAACAACAATAACAACAAAACAAAGCATAGAGGGCTACTGTGCTTTAATGTGCTTTTTAAAAAGGAGTGGAATAAAACTAGGAAAAGAAATAATTTTCATTAAGAGAACTATTATACATAATCGTTAAATATAGGTTTACGTAATTGGGATAAAAATTACTTGAAAAAATATCAGTTGGCTGAAACCACTAAAACATTCAGGCTCAACCCATGTAGAATTATACCTCGAGAATATTAGGAAAATGGGTTGATAGAAGGAACCAGGAGTTCTGAGCACTGCAACTGGACTTTGATGTTGAGTGTCTCAAAGTTCTACGACCTAGGAGTGTGCTTGTTTTCACCTGCCAGATGAAATGGGTCGCTCTTTCTCCTGTCATCTGAGTAGAAGATTGCTTTCATTACAGTCTGAGTTGAGTGAAGATCAGAAGAGCCCAGGGATAGGTCAGAGACACCACAAGTCAATAAGTCTAGAAACGCGAGGCAGCGTGTGGAGACGGCCCTGCATGGCTGCTCTGGTCTAAATGTCTGAGTTTCCCACCAAATCCAAACGTGGAAATCCTAACCTCCAAGGTGATGGTATTAGAAGGTGGGGCCTTTGGGAGGTGATGAGGTCATCAGGGTGGAGTCCCATGAAAGGGATGAGTGCCTTAAAAAGTAATATGAAATGGTTTGCTTTCTGCTTTCTACTCTCTGCCACATGAGAACGCAGTAAGAAGAGCACAATGTGCAAACAAAGTGGGTCTTCACCAGGCACTGCATCTGGTGGGGCCTTGATCTTGGACTTTCCAGCTCCAGAACTGCGAGAAATAAATGTCTAGCATTTGAGCCACCCAGTCCATGGCAGTTTGTTACAGCAGCGTGTACTGACTACATCAATGGCACACATAAATTTCTCTGAAGATGATTTTCAATGGAAAAGGGAAAACAGGCCTTGCCTGTTCTCCTTCATTAACTTCTCTTCATGAGGGCCCAGGCTTTCTTTGTATTTAGTGAAGGCAGGTAGGCCTGTCCAAGCCAGCACTGTAGAACCGTCACATGTCAGGAGCCAGTGAAACTCATTCATGTGTGGAGCACATCAGCAGATTCCCATGGCCAAGAATATCAGTATGAGGAACATCATGGGCAAAGCTAAAAAGGCTTTACCAAGCCAGCGGCTATCCCTGCCAAGAATGGCCAAATAAGCAACATGCCTACCTTTGTGTTATGTACTATGGTTCTATTATATATTGATGCTTTGGAAACCATGGAATAAGATTCACCAGTAGGAAAACAAAAGCATCACCAAAAGTCCTTTTGTAATGTGGTGAAGGGTAAGGTGATGGATACTAAAGCCCCTACAAGAATCTTGTATCTCAGGAAAGGAGGTTTTGATGGCCGATGTGATGCCTTGGTTCTTCTTAGTTTGAAAGAATTTAAACAAGAGACACTCAACAAAGGAGGTGTAGCATAGAGTAATTTATTGTAAAAGAAAAATAATATGTTGAAAGTTAGGTGCAGAATGGACAGTGCACCCTGAGAGAGAGAGGATTCAGGGTGGGCTGCTCGAAGGATGAGACAGCAAAGACTGGGACTGGGGCGACTCGCTGTAAGGGAGTCTTCCATGATTACTCATCAGGAGTTGGGAGAGGTGTTACGAATAAGCATGTTCTGGATAGTCCTCTGGGTCCACATGCGCAGTAACTGTGCGTGCTTGTTCATACATTGCATGTCTCATTAGCATCTTATATCTCCACCCAGGGGTATGCTTTTTACTATTAAAATGAACAAAGGATCAGTTTGAGGACAGGTAAAGTCAAAATGCACATGCTCTCTAGAAGGGAAAGTCCCTATTGAAGATGGCTTAGCTTGAATGAACTCAATGACAATGAGAATACTGAAGTTTATTGTGTTGATTGTATGGTCACCACAGTCACTGTGTCCCGAGAACATGGACACTTCCTTGACTACCTATCCTGTCTCAGAAGCCTGGTACTTAACAATGGATGATCACATAAGCATCCTTGCTGTCGGTAGCACCATTCTGAGCTAGCCTGACTGTCAGCTAACACTTGGGTGGGAAGTCATGTGCAGCGTGCAGGGCGCCTTCTATTTGGCCGTCCTGGTGGTCTGCTTCTCTCCACGCAGCTCTTCACAAACACAAGCTTTCATTCTGCCCTTTGGTTCTCCAAGGAACACTTGGACAGTTATTTAATTTAATCTTTCTTGTTGGTCTGCATTCGACTGGGCCAGCTTATCAACAGAGCTCCTTTAAGAGAGTCAATACCTCCTGTTTGTTCCAAAAAAGAGTCTTCTTTACACAATTCAGTGTAGAGAAATAAATGGATGCATTTGACACTAAGAAGGCACGTTTATCTGACTGTTAATGTATCTGCTACATCAATAGAAACAGTGCTATTTTATTTGATGAATTATAATAGTAGGGTGGCAATTCTTTGAAAAGTAAGAAGTGAATTGTTGCTTTCGTTTGAGATAATAAGGATCAATACAATGGATGGATTTCACCCTCCTATCCACGAAGCACAGTTGCTTCTTCCTGCAGCTCTTTGGATGTATTGGTCTGTGTGACTCGCTCACAGCCTTATTTGACTTAGAAATCTTTGTGAGTAGCTAAGGAGTGTGGCCATGTGCTAGGAACAGTGGCTCACACCTGTAATCCCAGCACTCTGGGAGGATAAATCAGGAAGATTGAGTCCAGGAAATTCTAGACAAACTGGGGAAACATAGTGAGACCTCCTCTCTATGAAATATAAACAAAAATTAGCTAGGTGTGGTGGCACACACTTATAGTCCCAGGTACTCAGGGGGCTGGTACAGGAGAATTGCTTGAGCCCCAGAGGTTGAGGCTGCAGTGAGCTACGACTGCACCAGTGTACTCCAGCCTGGGAGACAGCAAGACCCTGTCTCAAGAAAAAATAAAATATAAAAAAGTAAAAAAGTAAAGAAAAGCCAATGTCATCATAAAAATGAATTTCTTTTTTGGACGAGAATGGGAAATGGTGGGGGTCAAAGGGACAGAATCACGAAACTACACCAGATGTCATTCTGGGTTCTTTCTGTTCTGTTTTCTTGGAATAATCTTGGTGGAAGCCAAACTGCTCATCAATCCTGTGGTGATCGGGGAGCTCAAAGGATCCCATTCATGCAAACAGAGTCTTAAGTTGGGCTAAGAATTAAAGGTTGGTTTTGTAAAGGACGTTTCCAGGTTACAGCACACTTGCACAAATACATCTACATAGTAGGCAGCCACTAATTGTGATGATAATCGTATTGATGTAAGAAGAAGAAAGTGGATGCTGAGGGGAGGAGGAGGAGGTGATGGTGAAGATGTAGGACTTGCTCAGGAGAAGAGAGAGAGCAGTGTAATTGTGGACATCTACGGACTGTTTCTTACTCATGATTAGGTTAAAGGTGAACAATAATCATTGCAGCAGGCATTGCTCGCCATCCCCTAAGAGTGTCAAGCTATTTTTATACCCTATAAGAGAATCCTGCTTGATCACAGGTTTGCCCAGTTAGTTTCAAGAATGAACTGATGCTCAGAAACACAAATACTTAAAATTCAGACAACGTATCACAGTTCACTAAATTGCAGGTCATTGGATCTCCTCAAGTGAAAATGACTGCTTTACATCAACCTCATTCAGGCTTTGGCCTGCTTTCTGCACCTATGGATGAGACAACATTTTGTTATCAGGCAAAACTATGAAACCACATCCCTGCCAGACGGGGAGGTCAGGATGTCAGCATCACTCCGAATCCTGGTTATCAAAGGCCATGTCAATCTGCACTTTTCTTTCTCTCTCTTTCTCCAAGCCCTTAGAAGAAAAAAGGAATCCTTTATCCTGGAGGGAGATGGCACTACACTAAGATGACAGATTTGGTTTTGCTTTACCTTTGAGACTCTAAATAAGAAACCACTTAATTAACTTTGGTTCCAGGGATCTTTCAATAATTTTAAGATGGGAGCTAATGGATGGAGCTGTTGTTCTCTCCAGCAAGTTATGTCTTCCTGCATGAAGCTATATCTTCATGCATATTTACAGAATCATATTTTCGTATATGGAGATGTATATGCATATATGTTGATGGATGAATATAAATCTGTGTGTTTATTTATGGAGGCATATCTCAATGTGCAGTGATATAACTATAATGTATCTCTATTTATGGAGACGTATTTTCATGTATGGAGATAAATTTCCTTGTGTCTTGATAAACTTAAATATGCTTTCATGTGTAGCTATATATCCTCACATAGGTAAATGTGTTTCCATGTATCTTTACGTATGGAGAGTCTACATTGCAGCAAATAAAATCCCAACCAATTAGTCACTGTCTGATGAATAATCACTTCACTTAGATGACAACTTTAATCATTTTAATAAATGCACAGATACAACAAACCCTTTACTTAATAACTCATTGTGTCTAACACTAAATTTTATATTTTCAAATAAAGCTCTTTTTCATTTTCATCTGTAGAATTAATATGTAAATTATTTCTTTTTTTTTTTTTTTTGAGATGGAGTCTCACTGTCACCCAGGCTGGAGTGTAGTGGCACAATCTCAGCTCACTGAAACCTCCACCTCCCGAGTTGAAGCGATTCTCCTGCCTCAGCCTCCCAAGTAGCTGGGATTACAGGCACCCACCACCATGCCTGGCTAATTTTTTGTATCTTTAGTAGAGATAGGGTTTTGCCATGTTGGCCAGGCTGGTCTTGAACTCCTGACCTCGGGTGATCTGCCCACCTTGGCCTCCCAAAGTGCTGGGATTACAGGCGTCAGCTGTTGTGCCTGACCCCTTTTTTCTAATTTATTTAATATTAAACATTCATACTGGTTTCTAATTATATGCAGAGTTCAAGATTGAGAGTTAATTTAATTAGATTTGTTTTACTTTTGCTGAATGTGTCTAACATCATAACATATTTTATCTCATCAATTTATTTTTATAAAATGTAATCAACTTAGAAGTATATGTAGGGGCTTTACAAAAGATTTCTCGTTTGTTTCTACATGTTTTGTAACAAAATTAGAAAACACAGATATGCAAAACCAAAAGTGAAAACGTAAAGGGCCACAGTTTCTTCTTTGAGAGTAAACCACTTCTTAAGATTTTACACATTTTTCTGTGAATCCAAACTATTGCCTGGGTAGTTACATATCTATAAACATGTACAACTCAAAAACTGGATCATAGTTACATGTACTAATGGATAAACTTCCTTTTTACTACTTAGTATGATATTAGAAACATATATTCATGACAATAATAATGCATCGAGATCACTGTAATGACTACAGAGTAGTTTGTATATCTAGTCTTTAAATTCGAAAGTTCTGGTCCTCAACTTTGAGGCAATAAAGGATTTTTTTTTTTCTAAAATGTTATGTCAGATATTTTTCCTTTAATCTACCTAGTTGTCTGAAATGTTTCAATAGAAGATCCTAGAATTAGAATTTCTTGTACATTAGTTATACTCTTTAATGATGAAGTGGCATCATTTGTCTGGGGTAATACCCGAGTTTTGTTGCCTCACACCAAGGAAATTGAGGATGTGGGCACACAAGGAGTGAGTTTAAGAGTGGGAGTTTAATAGAAAAGCTCTTTTGTGCAGAGGGAATGGGTTCCGGATGGATCTCCCCTCTTGCAGCCAGACGTTGGTTTTATAGATAAGCTTGAGGAGGCAGTATCTGATTTACATAGGGCACAGAGGATTGGTTGGACCAGGTGTGCCATTTACGTAGTGTGAGAAGAAGCTGGCCATCCCACCCTAATCTTTTATTATGCAAATTGGGTCTCTACCTGGTCGAAGCCATGTTGTCTGCTTCTTTTACAGCACACGTGGCACACAAAGAAAAGGGAAGAGGGAACGTCTATGTTGAGTATACCTGGCTTCCAGGTATCCCTTTTCTATTGGCACAGCTGCTGGCATTCATCTATGCAAGCTTCCAGCTTGCTTATCTATGCTTGCAGCTTGATTCTTCAGGCTGCTGTTTTTTTGGAAAAGCAATGATTTGGGGCTGCTTTTTATTAAAAGGAAAATCTTACCAAGGGCTCTGTTACCCTCACTATCTGCCTCATAATTTCTTTTTAGCTCCTATATCAATAATAACTTGAATTTACTTTTTGAGATGCAAAAGCACAATGAAGAAAATAAAAAAAGATTTTTAATATCCCCATCCAGATAACATTGATACTTAAAAAAATAGACATATGTTTACAAAATTCATAAAGCATTAGAAAATACAAAATGACAAATTATAACTGTCTTGTTTTCTGTTTCACAAACTACACAGATTGAAGAGTTGGCCATATTGTAGCAGGACGAGCCGCAGACAAGAACTCCTCAGACACCGAATTGCAGAAGGAAAGGGCTTTATTCAGCTGGGAGCATCGGCAGACTCACGTCTCCAAAAACTGAGCTCCCTGAGTGAGCAATTCCTGTCCCTTTTAAGGGCTTACAACTCTAAGGGTGTCCGTGTGACAGGGTTGTGATCTATTGAGCAAGCAGGGGGTACGTGTGACTGGGGGCTGCATGCACCTGCACTGGTAATTAGAACGGAACAGAACAGGACAGGGATTTTCACAGTGCTTTTCCATACAATGTCTGTAATTTATAGATAACATAACCGATTAGGTCAGGGGTCGATCTTTAACTACTAGACCCAGGGTGTGGCGCCAGGCTGTCTGCCTGTGGGTTTCATTTCTGCCTTTTAGTTTTTACTTCTTTTTTTCTTTGGAGGTAGAAATTGGGCATAAGACAACATGAAGGGTGGTCTCCTCCATTAATATGAGCCTATGAAAATTCAACTCATTACTCAGATGACTGTGAATACTGCAAGCACCACTCTAGGGGTGGGAGCTATCCCTAGATTAAGTCAGTTTCCTGGGAGTGACTTCCCAGTCTATTGTTCTTGAAGGGTCTTGGCTCCACTTTCCAAGCTATCATCTCTTTCCACCATTCTCTTTAGCTGCTCAATAAGAAGAAAACACGCCCTTCAAACAGATTTCTCAGTCTGCTTCTTGTCCACACTTAATTGGAAACTCAAGATAATCACATTTCCAGTTTGAACTAACACTTCTGTCATATAACTGTCTCAAAATTACCAAGGGTCTTCTATGAATTTAATTCTGTGTTAGTCTTAGAATCAAATTATTAATAGCACTTCTTTTTGAGACACACCTTCATCTGTAGACTTGGTCACTGCTTCTTTGGGTGTGTAAGGTGTGCTAGAATAATGCCTTAGCATTCAGCAGAGAAGTTCTACCAGGCTCTATCTTTTTTTTTTTTTTTTTTTTTTTGAGACGGAGTCTCGCTCTGTCGCCCAGGCTGGAGTGCAGTGGCGGGATCTCGGCTCACTGCAAGCTCCGCCTCCCGGGTTCACGCCATTCTCCTGCCTCAGCCTCCCAAGTAGCTGGGACTACAGGCGCCCGCCACTACGCCCGCAGGCTCTATCTTAACTATTTCAGAAGTCTTAATATAAGGCATTACTGCAACCCCCTTGCTTTGATCTTTACCCATATACTTCTGGTAGTGAACTAGATCTGATCTTTTCCCCAAGATTTTAACTTATTTTGCAAATCATCTTTAAAGAGCCTGGGGTTAAGATACATGCTCGTTTTCCAAACCTCCCATTCTCAGAATTTCTATGTTTCTTCTAAGTTCAGTCTGCAAATTGACTGACCCTTCCTGCATTCACTCCTTTTATTGCAGTGCCTTCTCTCTCTCTCTCTCTTTTTTTTTTTTTTTTGTTCTTGTTTTGAGACAGAATCTCGCCCTGTATCCCAGGCTGGAGTGCAGTAGTGCGATGCTGGCTTGCTGCAACCTCTGCCTCCCACGTTCCAGGGACTCTTCTGCCTCAGCCTCCCGAATAGCTAGGACTACAGGCGCCTGCCACCACGCCTGGCTAATTTTTGTAGTTGTACTGGACATGAGGTTTCACCATGTTGGCCAGGCTGGTCTCGGACTCCTGACCTCAAGTGATCCTTCCACCTCGGCCTCCCAAAGTGCTGGGATTACAGGCGTGAACCCCACGCCCGGCCTTATTGCAGCACCTTCTCATGTACATGTGTCATGGGTGGGACAACGCCTGAAGTATTTTACATGAATATCTCTTTGTCCTAGTGCAGCAATTTGTTAGGTACCTTTTCTATTTTCCAAAGTTATCACAGGCCACAGTTTTACCAAGTATGTTGTGACTACATAACATGGGTCACAAATTTTCTTTCACCCTCACAGAAGTTTCCTTAATACTCCTTTATGTAGCCTCCTACATTTTCACAGATTCCAGGTTTACTGTTCTATCTATGGTGCAGTAAAAGTAAAACCTCCAGAGAGCCTTGTCCGGAGATTTCACTTTCACTGATATGACATATACAAATTTTTCTAGACATCTTTCCCCTTGGACTTGCTACGGATGTGGCTGAAACACTAAATTTTCTTGAGCTTTTGGATTTTAGAAAGGCTGGTTTGTGCTCTCCAGAGCACGTCATTTTGGAGGGTAGCAGAATTCTGCTCTTTCCCCTTTTCCGTAGATGTTTTCTACCCCACAGCAATGCTTCTCTTGGGCATCTGGTTGTTCTCAGAATTCAGATGAAAACCTTAGCAGCTTTACTTGCATCACAGAGCCAGCTTGGTTTTTTTGGGAGACTCAATTGCTTCACCTAAGCCATTTCCACACACTTAAGCAGAAAACGAAAAGGCACGTAATAATTGCTATCTGGTCCCAGCTTTAAGTTTCCAAGGATGGGGAAGTGGGCCCTCGTGAAAGATCTTGAAGGATTTGATTTCTCTTTAGTCTTTCTTTTCTCTAAATTCACGATATTTAGAAAAGGAAGGAAAATGAAAGAAATGTAGTTACATTCCTCTCCCATTTTCTCCTCTTCCTGTGTACTCTTCTGGCCTTTTTTCATGGCTTCCATATCACCTGGATCTTCAGAAAGGGGCTTGTCTTCTTGGAAAATTTTCCTCACTCCATCCTGGGCCAAATCCATTGTCTATCCTAAGGCCACTCTTAAACGTTGCAGGTAACTGCTGATCATTGAGAATATTTATATTTACTAATATCTCCCATAGAGATTCCAAAAAGAAAGGAATAACAAGCTAGAAGAAACTGCATCAAGCTAAGCTCTGCAGACACTTGGAAATGTCAGGATAAATAACATGCTGATCATAAGTCTCTTTCTTTGTTTGAATGCTGCTGGTGTTCAGGAGTCAGACGGTTAGTGTTTGGTTTGTGTGTCTTATAATTTCAGTCTTACATGTTCTATTCCCTTTTCCAATTACAATGTATCTGTTGAAGAACCTGTGTTGTTTAAATTGTAGTGTTTCCCACAGTCTGCATATTACTTATTGCACATTTATATTGTGGTTAAATAGGTTGCTGTGTTTTCTGCATTTCCTGATAATCAGCAGCTGAATTCATTGGCCTGATCAAAATCAGATATGATTCATTTGGCATGACCACAGCTGGAGTTGAAATTTCTCATCAAAAGACACATATTTTCTGGCTTTCACTCTCACTCTTGTTTATGTCATCAGTCTCTGGTGCTCAATGACTGTATTTTTTAATTTATTGAGGGCTGCAAAATGGTAATGTTCTAATTTGATCATTTTGTTTATTCATTTATTTAAGTTTAATAACTTTATAACTCTCATCTAGTATTCTGTGGCTTATACAGAAAAATGAAGTGTAAGTTCTCAAGGTAATAAATTGATTATCTCTCATCTTCACAACGGAAACAATTCGTGTTACTTCAAAATATCTTTGCAATTCATAGATCTTAACATATTTGATAGTTTAAATCCATTTCAAATCTTATCCATACTGAAGCTCAAGCTGGCACAGCTTTGACCAGTGTGAATTCCTTCAAGCTGGCTCCATGACTCTAGAAGCCTTTGATATTTTTCTTCTTTCAATTTGTCCGGTTGTATTAGTCTCATCTTGTACATCCCTGCTCCTGACCAAGAATCAGTCATTTTTCCAAGAAACCTTGTTTTTTTAAAGTAGAAAATGTGTATCAAGATCAAAATCTGGGAGCTAGGAATGTCATTTCTACTGCATTGGTCATTATTTCAACAGCTTTTGGTGTAGTTGAAAACAACATATAAAACGTTGAGGGTTCATATTAATGTTTCCAATGCAAATTTAGGAGTGCAAGGTTTTTACTTAACCTCTTGAATCACATCCTTGCTCCACACTGAAAATCTACATTAAAAGTCAAGGATACAGGGGATGAGAGAATTTAAATGTCTCATAATTACTCACATACTTTATCCTATATTACAAACAAAACAGTATCAGTAAGACAGTATTAAGACCAACTACCATAGCAAAAAAAAAGTTAACTTTTTTGGCATAAGCTATTGCCATTCTCTCACACTTTAATCATTATACTACATCTATAGTGTAAGATTATATGACAATTACATCTATTCTCTCCCTTTTAAACCCATATTTTGTCTTAGTTCTACCAGTCACTTGGTACTTAATGTATTAATAGCATTATTCTTAAGCTGACATATTTTGTAATTTGTGTTCTTTAAAGGTTGTTTGTTAGTACATTGGTTAGGAAAGACTAATGGGAACAATGTTGCTTGAGTTCTTGAATGTTGCTAACAGTTTGTGCTATTATAAATGAAATTTTTAATTCTGTTATAAATTCAATGTGGTTTGACTATTGGAGAAATACATGTGTATGCTGATTTTGTAACTGGCTACTTTAGTAAACATTTCCATGTTTTCTACTAGTTTATTGTTATTACTAATTCTTTTGGCTTTACCATCTTACAAAATGTTAATTTTGCCTTTCAAAGTTTGAGTCACTTCAAAATTTTAATAATTGTATTAAATAGCACTTCCACATTGATGTTTGTAAGAAAAAATGATAGCAGGCACCCCTTTCTTCTTATTGATGCCATCAGAACTTCTCTTGATGGCATCATTCTCAAGACATATTTGGCCATTTGGCTGAAATTATTTTAATTACTTTTGTTTCTTTGTTACTTCGAAGTTTTATCAGAAATAATGGCTGAATTTTATAAAATTCTTTTTTGGCACTTATTGAAATAATAAAGTTGTTTCTTTTTCATTTAACCTAATCATTTCACAAATTACATTAATATATTTCCTAGTATTGAATCATTCTGATATTCCTGAAATAGATACCATTTCATCATGGGGTATTAGTTTTTAATATACTTTTGGTTTAAATGTTCACTTAAATAAAGACCTTGCATCAATATTTATATAGTTGAGATGACACCTATGTATGCATATAACTTTTTTACTTCCTGATCTCT
The DNA here is from genome assembly GCF_000001405.40 of Homo sapiens. Taxonomy (NCBI): domain Eukaryota; kingdom Metazoa; phylum Chordata; class Mammalia; order Primates; family Hominidae; genus Homo; species Homo sapiens. The sequence goes on along the minus strand of NC_000023.11, from coordinate 8,208,773 downwards.
CTCAGATTTTAATATCAAAGTTAATCTACCTTTATAATATGTAATACAAGTATCTCTTTTTTTATATTACCTTCATCAGTTTAATACCACTGGGATTAATAGTTCCTTTAAAGTTAAATAGCATAGAAATTTCACTTTGCTTATATGATGGAAAAAATCACCTAAGAAATAACCTTCATCTTTCACTTTGTGGATAGTCAGGGAGTGGGGAGGGTCTTTTGCAAGTTTTTGTTTGTTTGTTTGTTTGTTTTGAGACAGAGTTTTGCTCTTGTTGCCCAGGCTGGAGTGCAATGGCACGATCTTGGCTCACTGCAACCTCTGCCTCCTGGGTTTAAACAATTCTCCTGACTCAGCCTCCTAAGTAGCTGGGATTACCGGCGCCCGCTACCACGCTCAGCTAACTTTTTGTGTTTTTAGTAGAGACAGGGTTTCACCATGTTGGCCAAGCTGGTCTCGAACTCCTGACTTCAGGTGATCCGCCCGCCTCGGCCTCCCAAAGTGCTGGGATTACAGGCGTGAGCCAACGTGCCCAGTTGGCAATTTTTTTTAAATTGAGAAGATGACTATCAGTCTATTTATAGTTTCTTAAAATTTTACCAAGAAAAAGATGCACCTCATACTCACTTATCAACATTCTGTTGTTTTTCCTATCTACAGCAATTCTATATTTCCACTTATGCTTATCAAATATAAATTTATTGTCTCTGTCTCCCTCCCTCCCTTCTCCCATGTTCTCCCATTCCCCCTGTCATTTCCCCTTGCTTAGACTAGTGTGCACAGAACTTTCTCTAAGTTCTGTGGTAAGCACCCTGGCTAAGGAAATAAGAGCCTCAGAGTAAGCACTAAGTTTGTTTCCAGTTCTAAAACAGCCAAAATAAATCTTGTCCTCATTCGAAACTGCCTGCTATGCTTGGTTTATTGTAAATTTATTGGAACCAATGTGAAGCAATCACTAAATCTAATGCGGCAACTTCATCATGGAATAAGCCAGGGAGAAGCAACTTCTCACACCTAATGGCAAGAACCAAGAAAACAAACAAGCAAACACGGAGCTCTTTGCAGAACGAAGCCTCCTGCAATGCTTTTTGGCTTGTTTAGATGATTATTTGAGACCTGACTGCTCTCAGAATTTCCATGAATATGGGTCTGAAGTTAGTGCCCAGCTACAGCCCAAGAGAAAACATCACATCTGCACCCATCGTCAGGCACACCCATGCCAAACAGAACCCCAGGATCAGGAGGGTGCCCAGCACTGGGTTTAAGAGTGAGAGGTTAGGATTCAGGTCCATTTGCTCCTCCTCTTTTCTGTGTACCTATTTACATTTACAGTCATGAGATAGTGAGATTAAATTGTGCCATCTTGTGTGTTGTGAGTTATTGTTTCATTTTGTAGAGTTTGGTGTATGTCTGTGTTTTTCCTTCTGATTTTTGTTTCCTTAGTAATAAGGAGAAAATTCAGTAAGTTTTCTTAACAGTGTAAATTCAGGACAGTTCTTTGACTCTCGGGGCATGCTATTTTCTGACTTGTAAATTGGTCTAATCATATCTACCCAATAGAGTTGATGGGAGGCTACATCTTTATAATATCTGATTTTCATACAGTCTTTCACCCAGAGATATAGAGTGTGAATAGGTGAAATCTCATTATCTTGTTATTCTCCTTGTCAAGTTAGTGATATTTTCTGTCTCATCATGGGGATGTCCTTCCCAAATAAGATAAGCCCTGCTTTTGTGATAGAATTAAGGTAAAGAAAAAGTGGACAAGGTCAGTCTTGGTCTTTAGTGATGAGCTTTCCTTTCACCAGCAGAGCTTCCTCTTCTGCCACTGTCCCCAGAAAAGACAATTGTTGATGATCCTACTGTTGCTAAAAAGTGTCTCATCACAGATGTGATGGAAAAATAAATGCCTTATAAAAGATTACATTATGCCTTTTACATTTCCGTGCTTCCCCCATGAATAACTTGTTTTACTCTGCATCTCATTACCACAATTTGATAACCCATATGGGTTGCATTAGACGTCAAGGCCACAGACTGAGTTTCAATGCACATGGCAATATATTTTCAATTTGCTGTTTATTACCTTTGTAAGAATCTATTACAGTTAAAATTGTTTCTGTAAAAACAGGAATGTAATCTAAAATTTAGTTCAATTTAATCTAAACTTTTTCTAAGAGCTAGAAATAAATAATTGAAAACAGAAGAGGGAAAAGCAAATCAATGAATAAAAAAACAAATAATCTACTACTTCTATCCATTTTATTATATATATAAAAAACATATATATTTTACTTTGTGATATATATATATTTCCTACTTTGTGAGATATATATATATCTCTCTCACATATGTTTATTGAAATATCTGTATCTACATTTATATTACATATTTAATCATCACCCTTCTCTTGTTAGCTTTATTCACTAATTGATTGTTGAGACCTTACAATGTAAAAAGCAAAAAAGCACTTTACAAGTTCCTCAGACCCAAAAACCTAACCTCAAGTTACTCACAGTAGAGGAGCAAAACAAAAACAAAAACAAAAACAAAATATATACCCAAAAAACCCCTTCAAAATATACCAACTACATTATGATTAGTCAGGATAGAATAGACTGACATGGCTACCAATACGCTTACACATTTCAATGACTTTACCTAAGAAAGATTAATTTCTCACCTATACCAGAGTCAGGGTGTCCTCCTGTATCCACCAGCTGTGGGGTGTAGAACAGGTTGACCTCCCACGTCATCCAGCAGGGGATAAGAGACCTAATGCATTCTGTGGGACAAGGTTATGGGGCAGGCCTGGAAGCAGCTATATCCTTCTTTCTATTCCATGGATCAGAATGTAGTCATGTGCTCCGATGTAACAGCAAAGGGAGGATGGGGAATCTGTGCCCTGGAGTCAGAACTGGTGTGGTGGACACTGTGCACAGCCTTTTCCAAACTACACATGGGTGCTCCATGCCAAGGTGGAAGTGAGCACAGGGGCCCACCCATGGGTACTATATTGGAGGATGGGAAGGGAAGGCTGCTGAGTGCAATACTGACATTGTTATGTACTTAAAAATCTAACATACAAGGAAAGGCTAATTCTCATGATACACGATATGCATTGCACACACACACACACACACACACACATACACACACACAAACATATACACTCTCCTGAATCACTGAAAAAAATAAAACGCTTCCCACTCTGGGCCAGCATTTTGTGTTCCATCATGATGACCTCATGGCCACACTTAATAGGTGCAGGGGGTGGTAAGTGACCCAAGTAGAGTGGATCACACTGCTTCTCCAGATAATATCAGACTGACCTGGAGGAACACCAAGCCTGAAAGGTGCCCTGGTTGCATGAATGCCTCTCCTGGCACTCTCTGGCTGCACCACTCCTCCTCTTCTGTAGAATGTATTCCATCCTACTCTGCAATTCAGTAGATAAGGATGCAGAATGAAGCTTCTGGAGAAGCCCAGTGGTGTTCCAGAGCCAACTCATGCCCTCTTCTGCCTAAAGTTTTCCATTTGAGAACCACTCCCTGGCTCACTACAGCAAGCGAGCATGAAACGCAAACGGTTCATCATGAACTGTGTGCCATCTGACTCCCATATGTTAACTGTGCCTTTAATTCTGTATCGTGAGGCCTTGACATCTGGGGCCTTACTGATTTTTGTTGGACTGCCCCTCCCAAGATTAGCAAATTCCTGGATATATCATATGGCTCCCCAGGGAGCATGTCTTTCATAGGCAAACTCACCAGTTGGGCTCTTACACTCTGCACCATTATTCCCCCACCATCCCCCACCCCCTGCTCCCCACTAATCACCTCAGAGTCAGGAATCAGAAAACTATGGGGAGTCTATATTCCCCAGGGCTCGCTGAAATTATTCAAACTAGTCCATTGTAAACCTGCCTAGCCTGCTTTCCCTGTCTTGTCCATTCCTTCCAAGGAAAACCATAGTAAAGGCTCTTATCCACATTTTCCTGTGGCTCCCTCTGCCTCCTGACTGGCCCCAGTGCTTCCTTGTGTGGCTCTGCATGGCCGGGCTTGCTCTGCCCTCTGGGAACTGTGAGTAACAAGCTATCTTTTCAATGGAAATAATCTCCTGAGACTTGTTAGCCTCACCATACCTGAATAATGATCAAACCTGTATTTTAAAACACCCCATCCCACAAATCTTGACATTGGACATGCATAGCAGGCTTTCCCTATGAAATGGGAATAGTGAAATAGGAAGGTGAAGAGAAACTTCCAAGTGAGCAGGACTTGAAGCAATACATTCAGTTATCCCTTTTTCTTTGAAGGAAAGATGGCCTGAGGCATGGACCAGAAGTGGCCCATGGGAAGTGCCTGCTGGTTTGACTAGCTGCTCACTGTCTTCAAAAGAACAAGATTGGAAGATTGTGATAAGGATGTCTGGGGAAGAAGATGACTTCACTCCCAACGAGCCAACTGTGAGACTTAGTCACCCGTCTTCAGCCCATACCTATGGCCTCCGGAAAGGCAAGAGTATATAAATATTTACCTTTTAAATTTTTATTTTTAAATTATTTATTTATTTTTCTTCTTTGAGACAGAGGCTCGCTCTTTCACCCAGACTGGAGTGCAATGGTGTGATCATAGCTCACTGCAGCTTTGACCTCCTGGGCTCAAGTGATCCTACCACCTCAGCCAGCCGAATAGCTGGGACTACACAGGCATACACAACCATGCTCAGATAATTTTTAAAATTTTCTGCAGAAATGGGGGTCTCACTATGTTTCCCAGGCTGGTCTCAAACACCTGGGCTCAGGTGTTTGGTACGCTCCCACCTCAGCATACCAAAGTGTTGAGATTACAGGTGTCAGCCACCATACCTGGCCAATATTTACTTTTAAAAGTAATGATACATTTTGTGAGTCAATTGTAAGTGCCCGAATATAATTTTTTTAAAAATTTCAGGTAGATTAGAATTGTGTGTTTTACACTTATATGACAGTTTATACAGATAATTCAAATCATACTTCATCGAAGTGCTTTGGAATATATTTCTTTAAATTTAAATCACAACCCTATAACATATATTTTATTTCTAGAATACTCGTTACATATTTCTTTTCATTTTGTCCAGGGATATTTAATAATTTTTGTTATTAATACAAAAGCAAAGAAGTCCATTAACATTTGATGAAATTGAATTTTTTTAAAAAAAACTATGTAAAATATGACAATATTTGAATCTAAAACTACTGCCACAATCTCTTGGCATTGGCCAATTTCAGGAGAAAAATAGAGATTTGAAAAAAGAAGATATTCAGAGGCAAAATGTACAGTAGTCCCTCGGCATAAGTAGGGGGTTGGTTTCGGGTCCCCTGCCTATACCCAAATCCATGTGGATTCATCCCTCCATGTGCCAGGTTTCACATCTGCAAATACTGTATTTTCATCCTGAATTTGGTTGAAAAAAACACAGATCAAACCCATGCTGTTCAAGGGCCAATTGTATAATATTTAAAAATTTAAAAAGCATAGCGACACTAAAAATCAGTGGTCTCCAGAGATTGGGGAAAGATGAGGAGGGATGAATAGACGGATCTCAGAGGATTTCTAGAGCAGTGAAACTATTCTGTAAGACATTGTAATAATTAATTCAAGATATTATGTACTTAAAAATACTCTTAGAAAATGACAATAAAAAAGTGAATCTTCATATAAACTGTAAACTTTAGTTAATAATAATGCATCAAAATTGGTTCATCAATTGTGACAAATGGACAATACTTCCGCAAGATGTTAATAATAGTGGAAACTGGTGTTGGGAAGAGGTAGTGGGGATGGAGAGTATATGGGAACTCTGTACTTCCTGTTCCATTTTTCTGTAAACTGAAAACCTCTCTAAGAAATAAAGTCTACTAATTTAAAATATTCAATCTGTAGAATTCAGAAAATGAAATGTTCATGATGTTAGAAAAATGTAATTTATGCCTTATTCAACAGATTGCTGAGCTATTCTACATTAGTGACAGAGTATTTCATGGTGTGTAAAATATAACTTTGAGTTGAACAATCAGAAGGTTCAAAAGCATGTAGTTTTTTTAAAATGTGAAGACAAAGTGGGTGTTATACATGCTCTGCATAAACACCTCCCAGAAGTGCTTTTAAGATATTTGGAAGGGCACCTTGTCCTCAATTTTGCTGTCTGGGTTCCCCCTTAAGCTTCAAATCCCTTGTGTAAAGAAGGCATCATCCTCATAATCTACTCTTGATTTGCAAAGAGCACGTGACTTGCAAATAACTTAGACTTAGTAAATTTATTGGCATGTGTTTGGTCTGTGGTAAGGGGGAAAACCTGGCCAGTATGACCCCAGTTTGAGGGCAGTACAAAGCCCCAGCCACACAATCCCTGATGTTATTTTCATGTCCAATCTGTGCATCTTACAGGGGAGTGTTCAGAATAGTCTGTATGAAGATGCATGGAGTTTTCCCCATTTCACAGCTGCCAGAGCTGTCTGCAAGGCTCCTGAGTCAGCCCCGAGCATCGTAATTACACCGGGAGCTGCTGATAACTGGGCAGGCTGGGCTCGGCTCCCAGGCCTTCAAATAGGCTCCGAAATGCTCCTTCAAGCCCATTAACTTTGAATGTGGTCTCCACCAACAAGGCTTCCTATTGTTAGCCACAGCTGAATTCCGTGAAATGCTGGTTTTGAATGTTTTGAGTAAAAATTCTTCCCAAGCTGTAAAGATTTAGCAAAAGCCTGATTAATGGGACTGGCGCTGAAACAATGCACTGTGGGGCCAAGTAGTCAGGGAAGGCTGGAAAACGAAGAAGAGCTTGAAATGCAGGCATTAGCCAAGGCCAGTGACTCCAACCAAACCAAAGAAAATAGTGCTATCATCCAGGCAAATAAATGCACAAAGCTGCAAAGCACTCTGGGTTGGTTTAACGATAAAAGTATGCAGCCATGTCTTCAAATAAAAACCAAATAGGAAAAAGAAAAGAAAAACAACTTAGAGTTATCTTTCTCCTGGGCCGAAATCCATTCACAGAATTGGAACAGTTGTCTCATTGGTTTTACCGAAATAGGAACAGGTTTCCTGGCTCTCCTTGAGTTAAGCCTGTAGCTACTTGCGGATCTCTCTACAATTCCTCAAACATGCATATTTCCTGAAGGGATTTAGTGGATATCCCTCGGACTTTTCTTTTCCAGTTGCCCCAATCTGTTTTGTCCCTGTATCCTATCCCTTTCTGAGACTCTTGGAATCCTTTTGAATGATTTGTCTTTAACACTCCTTAAAACCTATTTTCAAATGAAGTCCTCGCCTCTTACTTCAGTTGGAACATATGAAGCCACCAGCCTGGGGCTCCTTCCTGTTCCTACTATAAGCATCATTAACATGATCTGTATCCAGACGCAATCCTGAATACTCTATTTGTAACCCTAAAGGTACCTGCTGGATTTGAGCCTGAGCTCTCCATTTTCGCTCACACATATCATGGTTCTCCTCACTTCTAGAACATTTCCCCAAGATTACAAACAAACTCCTTTATCTCCCGTATTAAGTCACCACACACACACACACACACACACACACACACACACACAACCTGAACCCACATCACCCCACATCCCCCTCAAACTTCCCCAGCATCTCCCTAACCAATTCATAGTAATCCTTCTCAAAAGAGTTATCAACTTATTCCTGAATTGTTCTCCCATGCAATTTGGCCCTAAACACTATCACAAAGTACTTTCATTACGGAAAAGTCCAGGAAAATAATAGAATAAACGCCTACGCTGGTCACTTCCAAGGAGATAGCATCTCATGCCAGTCAGAATGGTGATTATTTATAAGTCAAAAAACAACAGATGCTGGCAAGGTTGTGGAAAAAAAGAACGCTTTTACACTGTTGGTGGGAGTGTAAACTAGGTTAACCATTGTGTAAGACAGTGTGGCAATTCCTCAATGATCTAGAGGCAGAAATACCATTTGACCCAGCAATCCTATTACTGGGTATATACCCAAAGGAATATAAATCATTCTATTATAAAGATACATGCACACATATGTTCATTGTAGCACTATGCACAATAGCAAAGACATGGAATCAACCCAAATGCCCATCAATGACAGACTGGATAAAGAAAATGTGGTACATATAAACCATGGAATACTCTGCAGCTACAAAAGGGAATTAGACCATGTCCTTTGCAGAGACATGGATGGAGCTGGAAGCTGTCATCCTCAGCAAACTAATGCAGGAACAGAAAACCAGACACTACATGTTCTCACTTAGAAGTGAGAGGTGAATGATGAGAACACATGGACACATAGTGGGGAACAATGCACACTGGGGTCTTCGGTGTAATGGGGGGAGGGAGAGCATCAGGAAGAATAGCTAATGCATGCTGGGCTTAATACCTAGGTGATGGGTTGATAGGTGATGCAAACCACCATGGCACACGTTTACCTACTTAACAAACCTGCACATCTTGTACACATACCCCAGAACTTAAAAGTTGAAGAAAAAAATAAAAAAGAAATGTAGCTAGTTCAATTTAAAGACTTAGTAATAAAAAAGTAAAATAACCCATTTAATGTTATTATATCCACATTCATTACACACTGAAATAATATATTTTCATGTTTTGAATGAAAGAAAATATATTATTTAATTTTTTTAAAAATGCTGTCCATTTCGATATTCTTAGAATTGTGTCCCTTTGATAAGTTTCCAGTGTAAGACGCATAGGTGTAAAATCCAATTCAAATAGGAAAAAAAAAAAACCAACAAAACTAGAGTATATAAAACTTCACAATCACAACATTCCAATGTCCCCTGTCCCTAGTGTTAACAAAAAATTAAATATATGCTGTAATATGTCTTGCGTATTTTATTAGTTTTTAAAGATGTGTCTCAAGGGAGCCCACTATTTGTTTTATTGGGTAGGTTAAAGAAAAAATTGGCCAGGTGCAGTGGCTTCAGACCTGTAATCCCAGCACTTTGGGAGGCCAAGGCAGGAGGATTGCTTGAGCCTAGGAGTTTGAGACCAGCCTGGGTAACATACTGAGACCCCATCTCTACAAAAAATCAAAACATTAGCTGGGCATGGTGGTGCACACCTGAAGTCTCAGCTACCAGAAGGCTGAGGTGGGAGGATAGCTTGAGCCTGGGAGGTCAAGGAAGCTGCATTGAGCTATAACTGTGCCACTGAACTCCACTCCAGCCTGGGTGACAGAGCCAGACCCTATTTCTAAAAAAAAAAAAAAAAACCCCACAAAGCAAAAACACAAACCTTAACTGACAAATTAGTCTTGAATTTCAATAACACGAGGCCTTCCCTGCCATCTCCATGGACACTTTTATTGGGCTCTGCCAAGCTTTCCTTGCTCAGTTCTCACTCTGTCCCTGTTGTTCTTCCAGCAGGCACTGCCAGTTTAGGACCCACTTCCTAACAGTGGGTGTTTCCTTGCTAGTGACCAGAATGTGTTCCGGTTCTTCCCATCTCCAGGTCCTGGTTCAAAACTTAATCACCAAGAAAGCTTTTCCTGAGCCTCCTGAACTGGGGCAGGCCTTCTCCTCTTCCAAATAAAATCTATTTTCTCAACAAGTCTTCAAACACATAACTTCCCATCTTGCTCTCTTATGCTTCATGGGAGAGCTAGAACAATAAGAAATGTACCTGTCCATAGTCAACTGTAGTTTTCTCTGAGAGGCACTGTTTGGGAAAAGAAAGGCACAAAGACATGAGGACTATAACCCTTCCTTCATCTGGACTGCAGAAAATGATATGCAAATGGCTAATAATGTAATAGCTTGGGAAGAGTAGTTTCCGTGTGGTTATTAGGAATCCCTTTAGTATGATGGTCCAAGCATTTGGAGAATTTTAGACTGGGGAAAATTAAGTAGCGTGTCAGTAGACTTGAGAATTTGGAAATTTATAACAATCTACACTTTCCTGAGTGCTATTTTCTTATTCGTTACAGCGGCCCAATCTCTTTCCTATCATAAAATGTCTCTATCATTTTACATATAATGATGAAAAATTCTATTGTTACATTAGGTTATTAAATAAATGCTTTATGCTAGCATAAAAAAGAAACAAAAAACAAGTATTAATATATGTGCAAACTGCTTGCTAATGTTTCTACAATGCCTCATATTTTTTCTGCTTCCTTAGCTGTTGCTGAATCACTGCCATTTTATTGATCCAGGAGTGTGACCTATCTTTTCCCAGGACTATTAATAAGGAAAACTCCTTCACCTAACTATGTGACAAGATACTCTATAGAGATGTTAAAGTGTGAGCCCTCTCTATTTCCTGCCCGCCTCCTGCCATTCTCAGGAGGTTGCTGGGTCTTTTTTGACTCAAAGATTTTGCAGAGGAGAAACCAGGTGTTGCTTGAGGTGGGAGTGCTCTGTATGTCCAGTGTCAAAGTGTGAGCTCCAAGAGAAGACAATCTGAATTGCTCCAAATTGTAGGAAGAGAGGAGTGTTGAGTGTGTCAAGAGGACCCTGAAGGTCACCCCACGATGAGGAATGGACAGGTAAAAGATCAGAGAACCCCAGTGTAGGGGAACAGGGGACCCCTCCGTGGCCACCAGTGTGACTCATGGCATCAAGAGCCACCCCTATGTGCTGATGCTGGGTAAAGCCATTGGACCCTGGCACAGTCCTGGAGATGATAGTGTCCCAGTTATGACTAAATAGGATCTTTTATTTCTATGGGGGGGGTGAAGGTTGAGTCAATGGTGGTGGGAAGGAAGTGAGTATCTCAGAGACAGAGTTCAATAATCATTTTTTTTTTTTTTGAGACGAGCCTCGCCCTGTTGCCCAGGCTGGAGTGCAACAGTGCAATCTTGGCTCACTGCAACCTCCACTTCCCGGGTTCAAGCGATTCTCCTGCCTCAGCCTCCCGAGTAGCCAAGATTACAGGCACACGCCACCACGCCCAGCTAATTTTTTGTATCTTTAGTAGAGACAGAGTTTCACCATGTTGGCCAAGCTGGTCTCAAACTCCTGACCTCATGATCTGCCCACCTCGGCCTCCCAAAGTGCTGGGATTACAGGCATGAGCCACCGCGCCCGGCCCAGAGTTCAATAATCTTAAAGAAACTTGCAATGCAGAATTCCGCACGCACAGATATTTCTATGCAGAGATTAATACCTGTTGTGTCCATATTAGTGAACAACAGGCTATATAATTTATATGTCCTACAGTATCCACTGTCCCTTCAAAAATTCTGGCTATTTTTCTGGTATGCTATGCAACTTCTGGGTGGTAACAGACACATGGAATCAGAGAATATACCACCTTAGTCTGCTGCTACCTGTTTATTCAACCTCTTTCTCACAGCAAGCCTGGGAAGCCTCTTATGCATACATCTTGACTAATTTGGGTGGGCAGTACAAGTCCCCAAGATGGGAATCCTACACAGCCTACATGTTGTCACCCCAGAATCCCCGAACTCTGCTGGGAGAAACATACTCCATCATCCCTCTGGTAGAGGATTCTACATCCGTATTGACAGAGACCCACAGCCTCCCATGGAGTTACCACACAGGCTCAAGAACTCACATCACAAAGCTACCGCCAGGATCGATATTGTCATGATGAGGCCTGATATGTTATCATTTCAGTTCTATTATATTATTAAACATGAGCCTGGTAAAAGGAAGAGTTTACAGGCTGAGCTCACAAAAGGATCTCTGTTTATCATAAAGCAAGCAGAAAGACATTTCAGCCCACAGATGTCTGGCTGATGGAGTGTAAGGCCGGCCACCCGCCGAGGATGCTGTGATATGATTGACAAATGGCCAGTGCTCTCTGCCACGGGGTCCTAGGATGTCAGCATGTGAGAGCCAGTGAGTGCTACCCCGCTGGAGCCAACATTTGTAAAATGTGTCAAAGACTTGGGACCAAGGAGTAAATGAATATATTTGGACTTCAACAAGCCGCAAGTCTGACTCCATAGGAGGCCTCGTGTAATAGATACAATGTGCTTTAAACCCATTTATAAAGGAATGGCATAATTTTTTTTGGTCTACATGGAATTTTTGAATTTTGCTACTACCGAGGAAAACAAAATCAAGAATGGTCAATGGTTTAGTGCTGATGACATTCATAGTTCCCCTTTACTTGGGGACATAACATTTTACATAAGCAAGAATTTAAAAATACAGGCAAGAGATACAAAACAAAATTCTAAATGTTGCAAATTTTGAGATATGTTTAATATTTTTGGCCATCTTTCTGCTTCCACACTCAGTGCTAGGACATTTTATTTGGTTTATTTTATTTAATTCTGATGACAAAGTTGTAAGGTAGATGTGGTAGGTAGATTCTAAAGCTGGCCCCCAAAAGCTTTCACCCAAATCTCTGGAGCCCGTGAATGTGATGTGATACCACTCCCATGATTGCGTTGTGTTATATGGCACAGCTGATTCTGAAATAGGGAGATTACCTGGGTGGGCTGACCTAATCACATGAGCCCTTGTTAGAAGACAACTTTCTCTGGCAAGTGACGTAAGAAGTCATGGAGATTTGTGGGCCGGGCAAAGTGGCTCACTCTTGTAATCCCAGCACTTTGGGAGGCTGAGGAAGGCGGATCCAAGGTCAGGAGTTTGAGACCAGCTTGACCAACATGGTGAAACCCCGTCTCTACTAAAAATACAAAAATTAGCTGGGCATGGTGGCACGTGCCTGTAATCCCAGCTACTCAGGAGGCTGAGGCCGGAGAATTGCTTTAACCGGGGAGGTGGAGTTTGCAGTGAGCCGAGATCGTGCCACTACATTCCAGCCTGGGTGACAGAGAAAGACTCCATCCCCACTTCAACCAAAAAAAAAAAAAAAAAAAAGAAGTCATGGAAATTTGTAGCCTGAGAAGGATTCAACTCTCTGTTGGTAGCTTGAACACGTAAGAAACCACATGAGAAGTAATGTAGCAACCTTAATGTGTTGAGAAATGCCCTGGAATGACAGCCAGCAAAGAAACAAGGACCTGGGCCCTGCAACTACAAGGAAATGGAGTCTACCAACAACCTGAATGAGCCTAGAAGCGGATTTTTTTCCCGGAGCCTTCAGCTAAGAGGCCAGCCAGCTAGCACCTTGATTTCACCCTTGAGACCCTACCTAGAACAACTAGGTGAGCCCACCTGATTTCTGACCTACTGAACTATGTGACCTATTAGACAGGTATTGTTTCAAACTGCAAACTTTGTAGTATCCGTGAAGCAGCAACAAAAAATGAATACCATAGAAATCAGGTGATATAGTTTGGATGTTGTCCCCTCTAAATCTGGTGTTGAAATGTAATCTCCAATGTTGGAGATGGGGCCTGGGGGGAGGTGTTTGGGTCAAGGGGGCGGATACCTCATGAATGCCTTGGTGCTGTCCTGATAATGAGTGAGTTCTTGCTCTGAGTTCATGCAAGATCTGGTGGTTTAAGAGTGTGGCACCTCCCACCCCTCCCACTCCCGTTCTTGCCATGTGACATTGCCTGCTCTCCTTTGCCTTCCGCCATAACTGTAAGTGTCCTGAGGCCTCACCAGCAGCAAAAGCTGGAGCCATGCTTGTACAGCCTGCAGCACCCTGACCCAATTAATCCTCTTTTCTTAATAAATTATCCAGCCTCAGGTACTTATTTATAGTGACACAGAATGGACTGACACATCACGAAAATGAGATGTGGGCAATAATTGTCTTTTTCTCTTTCAATTTATTTTTCAATCTGTCATTTTTTTTCTTTCTTTCCCTATTTGAACCAGAAAGACGTATTCTTTTTTAGCATTCTTGTCTCTATATCAGAGGTTGGCTTATGGATCCACTGCCTGTTTTTGTAAATAAAGTTTTATTAGAACACACCCACACCCACTCATTTGCATATTGCCCAGGCTGCTTTCACACTACATCTGTAGAGTTGAGTGGCTGACACAGAGGCGATGTGGTTCACAAAGCTCAAAATGTTTACTCCATGGCCTTTTACAGAAAAACTTCACTGAGCCTGCTCTATCTTAGAGTGGAGTGGCTTCCCCAGAAGACATCACTCTGGGGATGTAGAGTGGACCAAACTGAGTTTTTACCTCTCACCAGGGGAAGCACAGAGCTAAGACACTCCATAAACACGTTCCAATGATGCATGATTATAGAAAGGTGAGGTTTCTGATCTTCCTCTCCCCAATACTTTTTTTATATTTACTTTTGTACTCTTAGATTTCTTTATTATAAATTTTGTTAACCATATATTCTGCCTTACCATCTTTCTTTTCTCCTTTACCTATTTCATTAACTCAGAGGGTAAGTGCCTGTGGCATTGAGAAGAGGTGCCTCAGGCTATTTAGTGAGTCAGTATCAATGGTGTGTGTACAAACAGTAGATGTCAGCATTATCATTGGTTGGGATGCCAATCACACGGGACACTGAAGGGAAAGTGAAAATGCCATTCTTCCGGTGACAGGTTTGTTTTTTAGAAACAGCTTGGAACAAACTCATGCTTGAAACATAATAAACCTCCCTGGACATCAGCTAGGGTGACAGCCATCACTTATGCATGGGAAGAAAATGGTTGAGAAATTCCTGGAAGCATCACCAAAAAGTTTAACTTAACTGCCATGTTTTGAGATAATCTTTCCACTATTATGACTAAAAATATTTGAAGAAAAAGACCACACAGGAGGAAAAACTTTGTTTTTATGTGGTGATATTTATGTCGGTTTTCCATTAGAGAAAATTGATGAGTTGCTGCTAAACAATTAAAAAGAGAGTCACATTTTAAAAATGGCACTTCACATCTGGGGTCTTCCTCCCTAAAACTCATAACCCCACCCTAGTCATGAGAAAAACATCAACTCTTTAAAATACCCATGCAGTACTTCTCAAAACTGTCAAGGTCATCCAAAATAAGGAAAATCTCGGAAACAATCACAAGTCTAGAGAATCCTAAGAAGACATGATGCTTACATCTAATGTGTTATCCTGGACCAGATAAAATACATTAGAAAAAAAGTAGGAAAATCTAAAACAAATTTGGACTTCAGTAAATAAGAACGTATGCATATTGGTTTATTATTGGTGGAAAATATACTATATTAATGTAAGATATTAAGAATAGTGAAATTCAAAATAGCAAAGACAGAGATTCAACCTAAATGCCCGATAGAATGGATAAAGAAAATGTGGTACATACACACCATGGAATACTATGCAGCCATAAAAAAGAACAATATCATGTCCTTTGTAGGGACATGGATGGAGCTGGAGGCCATTATCCTTAGCAAACGAATGCAGGAACAGGAAACCAAATGCTGCATATTCTCACTTCTTAGTGGGAGCTAAATGATGAGAACAGTTGGACATATAGAGGAGAACAACACACACTGGAACCTACTACAGGGTGCAGGGTGGGAGTAGGGAGAAGATCAGGAAAAATAGCTAATGGGTACTGGGCTTAATACCTAGGAGGCAAAATAATCTGTACAACAACCCCCCATGACACAAGTTTACCTATGTAACAAACCTGCACACACACCCCTGAACCTAAAATAAAAGTTAAAACAAAAAGAATAGTGGAAATGGGGTAGGAAATAGGTGGCAATTCTCTGTGTTATCTTCACATCTGCCTTGTAAATCTAAAACTCTCCTAATATAAAATACTTATTTAAAATAAGTGTTATGTGTGTATGAATTTAAGAAAAACATCATAGGTTATATATCAAACTGGGAATGTTTGCCTTTGGAAAGGGAAACAGGACTTGGGCCAGGAAGGATGGCGGGTGAGAGGAAATTCATCCATTTCACTCTGTATGTTTCTGCAGTATTTGGATATTTTAGACGGACAAAGTGATCATATATGAATTCTGTACCTGACAAAACAGCACGAGTACATGTAGTTTGGTCCTATCCAAAATTTGTAATCAACCTGTTTATAGGCATGAAGTGAAAAGTCTGAATTTTGGAATGTCTCATACAAATCTAAGGAGATCTGAAAAGATGGAGGAAAGCATGATAGTGGTAAACTTTGAAGTCCTTACTTTATTTATGCATTTTGCCTCATCTTATCACAATGAATATTTCTAATGATGAGAAGACCTTGTTTTATTTAAAAATGTTTTTTTCAAAGTCCTAGGTGACTTGAGTACATTTCCCAAACCTCGGTTTTTTTCATCTATAAGAAGACGAGGATTTGTTACATAATATATTAGGTCCCTGCCAACTCTATTTGCAAGGAGGCTGGCACCAAAGTTTGGATTAAAAGCTTCCTTGTGGTTTGTCCTTAGCTGACCTGAAGTCATGCTGAAGAAGACTGACTTCAAGTCAACTCATCCTAAACCACAGCCTTTGTCTTTGAGGTTAAATTCATTCAGTGTACACATTTGTTTATTGAAAACTTTGACTTCCCAAGTAGTTCTGAGAAATGATCAAGGTGACTGGGGATTTGGGGTGAAGATCTTGTGGTCTCTAGTTAAGGTTAGTTTAGGTAAGTACCTGCTATTCCAGACCAGCACTATATCTGTGGTATAAAATCCTAAGATTTTAGAGAGAATCAAATCTATTAATGGTGATATTCGGTGGATGCGGAGGCCCAGGAAATCTCATTCTGTCAACGTTGCTTAACCACACCAACTGTAAGTAGAGCTACACTGTCTGTATACAGTAGCCAGTAGCCACATGTGGCTATTCAAATTTGAAGTGTGGCACTTCCAAATGTGCTGCAAATGTAAAATGCACACTGATCTCAAAGACTCAACATTTAAAAAGTGGAATGTAAAGTATCTCATTAGTATTTCTGTATTGACTGCATGTTGAAATTATAATATTGGGGATATATTGGGTTCAATAAAATATACTATAAAAATAATTTCATTAGTTTCTTTTTCCTATTTCAATGTGGCTACTAGACATTTTAAAATTATACAGATACATCCAATTTTGACTTATGTTGTAATTCTATTACACGAAGATGACTTAGAAGAACCATAGAAAATTTTCAAGCACCATTTCAAGTACTGGTTCTAATTTTCACAGAAAACTTTCAGATACAATTCAGGAAATTTTTTAGGATTCTGGGTATGCCTATATAAACATTAGGATACTTTAGCTAATCTTTACGTATTTCTTCTAAATATCCCAGCATGTTAATGGAGGAGGAGGGGGCGACAAGCAAAACCACTTCTCATTTAAAAGGAAGGTAGCATTTGAAAGAAAGACAAATTTGTTTGAATTCCAGTTTTTCTAGGAGTCTCCAGTTTTACAGCTGGCTGTAAAAAAATACACATGCATTCTCTTTCAAGGGAGTGTCTGGTCTTTATATTCAAATGAGTATCGGTCTGCCTTGCAGAGTACTAGACTTTCCTGACCAATAACCTAAAACCCAGGGTAGTAGCCCCCAGGGCTTCCCAGGGATCATAGCATAGGTCCCAGAAGCTAAGAGCACGCATGGACTTGAGGTGTGGCCCAGACAGGGCATTCTAGCTTTCTTGCCGGCAAGGAGAGTGAGTTTCCGCGCAGTCTCGCAAACATTCCAGGATCCTGTACAAAACTGTCCTGCCATTGGATGAGTATTTCTACTGCACCCTTGCCCCCGCCCTGCAGTCGTACCACCTGTTTGCTCTGTGACTCACCTCCCTCAGGCATTCCCTGCTCTTCAGCCTCCCCATGCTCCAGTGCCTGCAATGAACTCAGAAGTCTACGAGAGATAAAAACACCTAACAGCCCTCTGCTCACAAACATGTGGCCTCCATGGCAAAAATGGCAGAGCTATGACAAATATGAGACATGTTATAATATTAGCAGCAGTAGTGGTATTTTTTGCCTAAAGGTTACTCCAGTGTTCTATTTCTTAACTTCAGCGCATGATGTAGAGCTTTCAACCTAGCTCCTAATTGGAAGACTTATTAGTTATGGCACTTGCCCATTTAACCAATTTTAAATAAGTGAGTTATTCCTGGCTTCAGTATTTATTTATCCCAGCAAATAATGAGAAAAATGCTGCTATGATGAAGCAATTGGCTTTTGCAGAAGTTATGACTTGTCTGTCTTCTGTATGCTTTTACAACATGTTCTCATTTCTATAATGGTTCAAATTATCTGGTAAGTGCCAAGGTCACACTGAGTTCATAGTTTGGAAATACCTGTAAAAATTCAGTCTCGTGAAATGGCCTTCTTTTCCCTTGCGGGGATGAGGAACTGTGGGCAGATTGCGGCTGATTCATGCCTCAGTGCACCATTTTATCAAATGAACTAGAGTGTCCGCTTCAACTGACTGACCTCAAGCTATGCCTCAGAATCTTAATTGAGAAGATAGATGAAGACCTGATAAAAGATGGGTTAAAAGATTACTTTTATAAATACCAAAAATTCACAATGCAAAAAACCTCATTCTGAATATGGCCCCCAGATCCTATTAGCATACTCTGTAGACAAAGGGCATATTTCATTGTTGGTCTTAGGTGTCCCTGTAACGAGTCCTATTTTCCTTCGGTTCTTGCCATTTTAATCAGTAGTACTAAGGCACGCCCTGTTGCACGAAGCAGCTCCATAAACCAAAGTCTTATTATCACTTACTGGGTCAAATGGTCAACTACTGAGTCTCAACATTTCCGAAATCCCAATACTCTTTTTTTTTATTGGTAATTTGAGTAAGCATCTTCATCTGAAAATCTATTACAAATATATTTAAAACCAATTCAATTTTGTTCATAATTAGTCTCCTCCCCCTCTAGCCTTTGAGTTGTCTGGAAGCCCAGAGATATTATCAGTTTAGGAAACTATTCTCACAGGGAAAGATTCCACAGAGCTACTTGTTGCAGTGTGCAAAGGTGAACTAATATGCAAAAGACCATTTTTCCAAGGGTAGGGAATACCACTTAAAATACCTGTCAAACCCTTGCTTTATACCTTTATTTATTTAGAAGTCAGGGTAGAAAACCTACTTTGGTAAAACGTTAGTTTAATTATCATGGAAACCACTCATAAAAAGAAAAGGTATTGACGACTTTCTCTTCTCCAATTTCTATCTCAAAATAAAATATCATTAAATTCTCCTCCCAGGCCATGACTCACTAATTCCTCCACCTGCCTTGGGGTCCTTTGAGTTCTCACTTTCCCTTCAGCTCCCAGGAAGTCTTAATTACCCCCTCCAACTTGTGCCTGCTTGCTCTGAATTACATGATACTTCGGGCACCCCCCATCTGTCAAGTATTACATGCAACCTGATATCGCCACCTCATTTTCATATGAATATTCTGTCTCTGTTCTCACTTGCATTCTCCTTAAGAGCACAGAATGTGTTTTATTCATATTTTATCACCCATGCCCAGGACTATGTACACGAATGTGCCCAATTCAACTCAAAAGGAAAAATAATTCGAATCCTTTATTATAAGATGCATGCTTAGAGGTTACTGAGAAGACTGTGCCATTAAAGTCATTTGAAACACTCATGGAGGAACACTTGAACTCCCCCGGCTAATACCTCATGGGATTTTCAACATCTTGTGTTGTAACTACATTCTTTGCTGTAAAGGACACTGGTTATGTTTGTGCAGTTGTTTATGATGTGTGCCAATTTTTCACATTAATGGGGCTGCTTAGTTATGCCTGAGACATGCATTGCAGTGTAGACACCTGATGGATTAACCTTAATATTTTATGGCTTATACTTCATAAAGTGATGTCTGGAGGAGCAACTGTCCACCTCAACTTCAATTATCCCATTGCCTATTTCTGACTTTCTAGCTGTAAGACAAATAGAAATATGCCTTTTCACCCAGAATGGTCATCTCAGAAAAATATATGGGGAATTTTCGGGGAACATGAGGTAAGCATTAAAACTTTATTCTCAAGATAACTAAACATAAGCAGAGTAGTCATGCTTTGAGAATGATTAGAAAATACATCTAGTGACATTTTACCTTTAAGTTCAACTTTTTTCCCCTAAGTAGCTGTAAGATTAAATCTAGAACAAATAACTCTCTAAGCACACGAGTAGCCATTTTTACTAGATTTCAAGAGTTTGAAGTAAGGCAATTTTGGTCCCTGCTGATTAAAGTAGGGGCACTGAAGTTCATCTCAAACCTTTTTGTGTTTCTAGAAAATGATCTGTTTATAACATGTGCTGATATAATCCAGTATCCAGGTAGAACAATTATGTTGTTATCTACTGTTGCATAAGAAAACATTCAGTATGTTTTAATACACATGTTAATGATGATATTACTTAAGAACATTGGGGTATTATGTTTCCTTATAAACTAAGAAGAATTCTGTTACATTTCAGGCAGAGTTAGGTATCAGGCTCCCTAAAGAAGTAAAACATTCTCAATTCCAAGACATTGTGGTCACCAGGCACTTTCATAGTAGGACAATAATGCATTTGAACAAAGTAGAAATCCTCAAATGTTTTGCAGTCGTAAATGACTCAAATAACTGAAAGTGTCTTACAGGATAGCAACTCACAAGCACTATCCTTTCCAATATGTCTTTAAATATTAAATGTCCTATGGTTTATAGATAATGTTAGTGAATGTTTGTCAACCAAATTCCCAAAGATAGCAGCACTTTCACTCGCCATCTTCCTACTCCTTCTCCTTCCTCACTCCCTTCTTTATAGATGCCAGCCACATTATGTACAAAATGATGTTGTTTTAGCTGGATGCATTTTAGTAAGATATAGACAGTAGCTAATATTGCAAAGGAAATTATATTTGCATAATTATATTTTGTGTGAAAAAAGATAATATTTGGACTGTGGGAGAAAAAAGAAATCAGGGAGTCCCTAAGGAAAACCATTTAATGGATACTCTGTCACCTACCCTTCACTTCCCTGCTGTTCTCCCACTGACCCCATTTCTTCTGTGTGTTCAGTGATATCTACCCTTGCTCCATTCAGCCCTGGACTTCAGGGGAAGTGCATGAGATCCTGGGCTTACCCATGAGTCTAATCAGAAAAAGGACTGGTGCGGGCCAGGATTTCAGCTGGGAGGGGCAATGGGTAGCCAGATGCTCCGGGTTTTTTGGCTAGAGGTTGGGAACTATCTCTGGAGATTGCCACAGTGGGCCACACAGATGTCATTCTCCACATGCACTAGACATCTAAAAAGTCTTAAAAGCAACTGAAGAAGTCTGGGTCTACTGCCTTTGAAAGCAATTGGTTCCAGAATGTCATGAGACCCATTCAGGCTAACGAGAATAAGACGTTGCATGATGTATTCTAAGGAAAGTGTCTTAGCTGCTTAAGCAGAACCACACAATGAGACAGCCTTTCTTTTTTCTGACACAGTGTGTGCATTAAGTCTTGAAATGTTCCTGTTATCTCTCTAGCAGGCAATGCAACCGACGACTATATTCTCAGAATTTCATCAACAAAAGTCAACATTTTAAAAAAGTTTCCAAAGGAAAAAATAATAATCTTTTTTTCTGAGTACCACAAAGCACCAAGACTAAATGAGTGGAAATAGCAAAATTATATTTTCATTTAAAGTACACTGAAACATTCCGAGTGTTCCTTTTTCTTAATATGCTTCTGGGAGAAGGAGCTGTTATATAACTAACTGAAGCTCTAAGATTAATATAGAACTGAATTCACAATTTGTTCCTGTCAAAGCTCTTCCATTAGCTTAAACACATATCCCAAATATAAACCCCATATATCAGAGTTCAGTTCCCATTTGTGATAGAATTAAATTAGAATTAGAAATGGATGGGTTGTTCTTTGTTTGTAGTGTTCTCTGTTTGGGAGATATTTAAATTTTTGTTGATATAGCAAAGTAGTTTTGGCAAAAAATTCTCATTCTCATTTGATCTATAAGAGCTTAATTCCTTTTATTTTTTTCACCTGGAAATCAAATGCCAACCTAACCCAAACACGTCTCAAACTGCAATTGGATACTTTTGGGTTTTCATCCACAAACCACGTTGCCGGGTTTTTGTTGTTGCATGTTTGTTTGTTTTACCATCTTCAAGTGGCCTTTGTCAGTTCCTTCTCTATTTTGGGTAACTGTGATGAGAATAGGAATTGTTGTATTATTCCACCATAGCATTGAGGCCATTTAATCTAATTTAAGGCACACTTTTTTTTTCAACTCTGTTTTCTCTAGACCTTGGGCTTCATTAAGGTGCCTCAAAGCCAATAAAGAGTGGAATTTGGAGACAAAAGGAGTCAAATCCATCTCTGGATCCATTAGCCATCACTTTCACTCTCATCTCAAAGACTATTAATAATAGTTCAGTTCACTGCTATGAGCATAATTTTGAAAGACTTCACTTAGCTATTAAGAATTTCTTGATCTGATCCAATTTTCCTTGAAAAGTACTTCTGTTTTTTTCTGTTCTTGTCTACAGTATTTCAAGGAAGATATTTCCTCTCATTTACAGTAATGACTTCTGTTTGTGCATGTGTTTTCTCACCTTGACTGTTTTGCCCAACACCTAAATCAATTATAGCTGCACGAATCTCCGAGCACGAAATGAGTCTTTGGAGTTGCTTTTCTCTCAGCCACCAAAAGAAATCCACCCTCAAAAATGAGCTGCCACTGAGCAAAGCGTTTTAAAAGGTTGAAGGTATTTGATAAACACTACACGAGAACATTCAATTAAAATCGGTCAAGTGACTGTAACAGACAGGAAAACAGAAACTGGGGATTTGTTAAATTAGATTAGACCTTAGACTCTTGGTCCATAATACCCTTTAGGGTATCCTTGACAATGTTCTAAACATCCAGTTTCATAATGAGGCAGAAATTTTCTGATAATTAACCTGATAGTGTATTGGAAATGGAAATAGGAGAAAGTTCTGGACCTCAATGGACCAAAATCTTATATTATTTAACATGTTTTACAAGCTTTTTTCTTTTCATGCTACATCCTTATATAGCTGTATCTTCTGTCTAATACAGTAATCAGTAGCAGCAACCTAAGGTGTTTATATTTATATTTAAATACGTTAAAATTAGATAAAATTAAAATTAATTTCTCAGTCTCACTGGCCCCATGTGAAGTGGTCAGTAATCCCATTTGGCCACCATATTGGACAGTACAGATACGCAGATTCTTGATCATCACAGAAAGTTCTGTTGGGCAGTGCTGCTACATAGGATGGAATCACACCTGAGGATAAGTCTCAAAACTTGGTTTCTGCTGTGTGGGGTGAGCCTTTGATCACCTTCTACCAAGTTAGTAACAATCTCTGTAATGTGTATGCAAACATATTTCTGCAATGCATTGCAACATTCTTCTTCAGTTCTAACCATTCAGCAGCTCCCCTGACCCACTGAATACCTGAACATTCCTCCAACTGGCATTGTGAGTCTTCCTCAGATGTTTGCAATCCCCAGCATTAGTCTTCCATCCTCATTCTGCATTCACCCTTGCTCTAGTCACATGGGATTGTTCACTCTTTTCCAGACATGGCCCATGTCTGGCTTTTAGTCCTTGCTCCTACTAGGCCAATAGAAATTTTGCTTCCTTTCCTATCTTCTTCAGCTTTCTCTTCTTAACAGAGTATTTACCTGTTTCTTTAGAGTCAAGTGTGATTTTCCCAATTTCAACCCCTGAATCATTGAATGAATTCATTTAAGTGCATGTGGCTTATTCTCCTTTGCATTTCAATGATTAGTAAACCTGCCTTATAGGTCCAATTACCTTAGTTTCATAGATCCCCCTGGGTCTTACACTTCAGCATCTCTCTGTGCCTTGCACATTTCAGGCATTCAATCAACACATTTGGAATTACATTTCATTTAAGCACCAAAATAACTCCTTGAAACTCGCTTTAATTTTAAATTAATAAAATAACAAAAAACTATTAACTTTATGCACTCTTACAATTGCTATAGGATAATACCACAGAAGAAAAATTAAAAATTAAAAATTACTGCTATTATAATTTTATAATCAGATGCCACTCACTGTTTATATGATGGATAGTATCACTGTAGGACTTTCAACTTTTTAATATCTCCCAATGAAGACTTGAGTGTTGGGATTAAGAATATTTTGGTGCATGGCTGACATAAACCCCTTCTTTTTGTCTCTGTCTCTATTTCTCTCTCTCCTTACACACACATACACAAGCGTATCTTTTTCTTTCTCTGCCTTTGCATGTGTGCATAGCTGCATCTTCTCTCTCTGTCTGCTTCTCCCTCACTTTCTCTTGCACTGTTTCCTTGTTATTTTTTTTTACTGTTTTACTCTCCTCAGCAAATCCTTGTAATTCTCATCACAGTTCTTCACTGAAGCTGTCTGCTCTGTATGCTTCACTGTCTCCCTATTTTTTTTTCTCTAATTCCCTTCTACGTGGTTGAATGCCTGGACTCTGAAGGTCTGTCCTGGTCTGCTCTCTCCCAGTAAAGCAGTACACCCTCACAGCATGGCCCCATACAGCCCAGGTTCTCCTGGCCATCCAGGGGTAGTTTGGCCCTCCCTGAGGTCTGCTTCCAGGCCTTGCCTGGGCTAGGCAGACTGAGCCCTTCCCAGCTGGGTTCCAGAACAAAGACTCAAGGTACACCCAAATATGAATTCAGGATCAGCCAGAGCCTTCCAGGATAAAATTCTGGGAAATTTGGGAAAGACAACAGGTAAACCTCACAGGACTAAAACACGTCAATTGGCATGGCTGCTTAGTACAGCACTTCAAAATTCCAGGCTCACTGCAAACTACAGCTCTCCAGGCTTTAAGCTGTGCCTTGATCATTGTCAAGTGCATTTCAATAAATTTTATTTCATTCTTTAAAATACTTGACGATGATGATATAAAAGGAAAGCTGACAGTTCTAAAACATGCATTTTATAAATGTATATGTATAGTGATAAACGGCCTGTCACACAGATGATCCTCATTTCTCTACACATACCCTCTGCAGAATCGATTTAGGTGTAATCTAAACAACTTTGCACTTCTGGTTTTCAAAGGGATATGCAGCAGAAGTAATAGTCAGTCACTAGTGTGACCCTCCCTGATAAAGATCATCCTTCCTACTGTGCCAATGGGTTTTTATTTCAATTCACGGAGACACTGTTGTAAAGAAATACATGAATTAATTTGTCATTAGAATTTATTTCTGGGTGTAAAATGCCTTAGCTCTGCTTCAACAGAAACAAACCCTGAGAACAGACACTAGAATGGTCTGCCTTTTGAAATAGTGCAATTGCCCCTGTGGTGTTATGACCTAAGAAAGGAGAGACATTCTTGGGATCTTTACTTTTGATTCATTGTGTAGCAATGAAATATAGAATAGGAGTCTGTAGAAACCATCTGATGAGGTTACTTCTCAGTTGGAAGCCCCAAACACATTTACAATAACTCAGTGGAGTGAAAGTCTTTCACTCCTCAGTGGATGACTTCATTGTGGCTGGACACTTAGAATTCCAAAAGAAGAAAATAATTGGTATATTTGCTTGCAAGACCACGAGTGAGATACACATATCCCATAACATTCTTCTGTAAACCTCAAATATACATAATAAATTTTTAAAGGCCACTAGGCAGGGACAATAGTTTTTAGCACATGGATACAAGATTTTACCTAAAGACATTTCTTGAAAACAAACTTTATGTGACAAATTGCATAGTAAGGCTATAATTATTTTGGGAGAAAAATACACAACCAGGAAATTGGATAAGTAAAAATAATATATTTATAAATTGGTGTTGGCCTTCATACCCACCCACCCTGCTGGTGAGGGTAAATGAGATGTGAACTCTGCCACAGTCATTAAAGTAATGACTTTTCTTTTTTTGTCAGGGGGGAGGGGGTTGCGGAATTTCACTCCTGTTGCCCAGGCTGGAGTGCAATGGCGTGATCTCGGCTCACTGCAACCTCTGTCTCCTGGGTTCAAGTGATTCTCCTGCCTCAACCTCCCAAGTAGCTGGGATGATAGGCATGTGCAACCATACCCGGCTGATTTTATACTTTTAGTAGAGATGGGGTTTCACTAAGTTGGTCAGGCTGGTCTCGAACTCTTGACTTCAGGTTATCCACCCACCTTGGCCTCCCAAAGTACTGGGATTACAGGCATGAGCCACCACACCCAGCCTTATCTTTCAATAACTGATGATTCCACATGTATTCTAGGTTTGTACATAGTCTATATTTAGCCTGAGTTTGTTCCTATTAGAGAGATAATTATTTCAATTCAAGGTTCAATGAAATGCCCTTGCTGAACTCAAATAATTCAGAAGACCTTTCAATGACTTGAGAGGTCCTCAGTATCAGGTTGTATATTTTGTTCTTTCCAGGAAGAAAATCATATTGTCTATTTGGATCATATTGGACAGCTGAACCCATCAAACGTTACCAGAATGGTGGAGTCCAGGAAGAAAATAGAAGACGACAAGAAAACTACACGTGTAAGTCCATTTCCAAGCAGATATGTGTGTGCAGGAGTAATGTTCTACAATGAAGGGAGAGGAGTAGGAGTGCTAAGTAAACCCAATACTAAACCTTTGCTATATGAGCTTTTATGTGCTGGAATTTCTCAAAGGTCCTTCCTTGACCTCCTGTCTTCTCACTGTATACTCTACCTAAGCAATTTAATTATACCCATGACATCAATAACTCAATTGTCATCTGTATTAGTCAGTGTTCTCCAGAGAAACAGAACCAACTTGAGTATTAGAATACATATATATATACACATATTATATATATACATATTATATATATACACATATTATATATACATATTATATATATACACATATTATATATACATATTATATATATACACATATTATATATATACATATTATATATATTATATATATACATATTATATATACATATTATATATATACATATTATATATACATATTATATATATACATATTATATATACATATTATATATATACATATTATATATACATATTATATATACATATTATATATACATATTATATATACATATTATATATATACATATTATATATACATATTATATATATACATATTATATATATATACACACACACACATCTCTCATTTTATCTGTTTTTCTCCATCTTCACCAACACCACCGTTACGCAAGCTATCATCGTCTCTACTCTGGGTAACTGTGACAGTCTTCTAACTGCTCTTATGCTCTCCAGTGTGAGCTCTCAAGGAATGGCCAAGGTTCTCAGTGTATCTTTAAAAAATCGTGCAAGATAGCCCTTCCTTCCTTTTCTCTCCTGATGCATCATGTGTTATGTCTCTATCCTGCAATGCCCAGAACCCCACCCTCATCCTTTAAGTTCTAACTGCAGTAACATTCTCTCAGTCCCTCAACCATCCATGCACCTTCCACTCAAGAGTGCTACCTGGACAACTGACGTCATCCTCGCCCCAAGCCCCATTCCCATTGGCCTGATTGCCAAACATCAATCCAGCAGAGAAACCTTTTCTGAACCCCAACACCTAGCAGGTCGTCTCACAGAATGTGATGTGTTTTAAAGGCATATTTTTGTGATAGTTTGATTATTACTGGAGTCCCCCACTAGCTTGCAGGCTCACTAAGGACAGGGTCTTTGTTGTTCAGTTTCATTAAAACAGCAAGTACTTAAAAAATATTTAATGAGTTTTAAACATATTTTTATTTGTTTTAATCTCATTTTTAAAAAATTCCATTGCAAGTTCTTACCAGGCAGAGTATCTTTTGATTCTGACATTGTTCATTTACTCTTTTGTCACCATCTCTGTGAATAAAATTGAACATGGATTTGATATAACTGGGCACTTCCTCTGTTTTTATAATTTAAATGAAAAATCCTTTCATTCAAATAAACACAGGCCTTCAATTAACTAATAGTTTTTGCTAACCCCTGCTGCTGCATTTTTCTCAGTAATTCTTAAGTGAGAATCATGGTAACTTCACCAATCCCTTTATGTTAAAAGCAAGGATGTTCTTATGACTAGTAAGAGGTTGGTGCAAAAGTAATTGAGGTCTGAAAGTAATGGCAAAAACCACAATTATTTTTGCACCAGTTTAATAAAAAGCAATTTATTAAATGGCCATAACAATATATGCCAAAATTGTCATTTAAAGATGTAGTGTTATATATTGAAACATAACTTGGATATTTTCCAGATTCAGTTTCAAAAACAACAAAAATAAAATATAACTGTCCCATGAACCCATTTTCATCTTTCCAACTCTTGCCCTCTACAGATTCAATCACATGGCTTAAATATTGACCTCTAAACTAGTCAGCCACTTTATCAGATTCACCTTTACAACTTAGGCAATAACTAGTCTTCAAAATAAATATAAAGAAAAGAAAATAAAAGAAAGTTTCCAATGATGTTCTTAGAGCAACTAAGTCTTCTCATTCTGTCTGCACAGGTCTTTTCTCCAAGTTCAGCAGCATTTGTGTTGTAGAACAGGCACAACTGTTTTGAATTGCCACAACCACTCACTTCCATCGAACTTGGCAGAGTGGAGCATATTCATAGAGAAAAAACATAGGTATCTGGTTCTGATTAGTGGTGCAGTTTTAGAATACATCTGCCATCATATATGCACACACAAGGCATGGGTAAAAGCAGTTGGACACTAAGACACAATAATTATATCTAGGGCTAACTTCTCTACAATGGAAATTCTGTATAACCAAGAGTTCTTCCAAAAATGTACGCAGGCACACACATCAATACACTGTACAAATTCTTCAGATTTAACCTGGATACAATAAAACTTGAAGATGACCGACAGAATTGTGTATTCCTTTGTTATTTAAATATCTGAACATCTAATATTTCTTGGTCAGTTTCAGGTAAAAAGCTACACTAATAATGTGGTTTAAATATGACATAATAATCTGAGAAAAAACTGTGGCATATTTTAATAAAACTTTCTATTGACAATGCTAATCCGTGTAACACTGAAGTGTTCCTCCCCAAAAATTCAGGATCTTTTATTGCTGAAGAGTTAATCATTACAGGGGAAAATCATGACACCCAGTGGCCAAAGACTTTCAATGCTGCATAAATTCTTGTGTCCTCTGTTCTTTATCACACTCATAAATTAATTTATTGATAAACTAAATCATTTATGTATTAAAATATGTATTACTAAAATAGGTAATGTGTTCATGAATGCTTTTGCATTTTTACATGTAGGCATGAAAATTATTTCTGAAATTGGAAAACTGCAGATGCTAATGTGGTTTGTGTGGATATGTGGCATCTGCCTCAACATAACCATATGAATATATTTCTTAAACACATATACTCATTTACAAAGAATCTCCTATTCTGGCCGGGTGCAATGGCTCATGCCTGTAATCCCAGCACTTTGGGAGGCCGAGGCGGGCGGACCACGAGGTCAGGAGATTGAGACCATCCTGGCTAACATGGTGAAACCCTGTCTCTACTAAAAATACAAAAATATTAGCCGGGCGTGGTGGCGGGCGCCTGTAGTCCCAGGTACTCAGGCAGCTGAGGCAGGAGAATGGTGTGAACCTGGGAGGCAGAGCTTGCAGTGAGCCGAGATCGCGCCACTGCACTCCAGCCTGGGCGACAGAGCGAGATGCCGTCTCAAAAAAACTAAAACAAAGAATCTCCGATTCTATACTCATGATTAGAACACATTCTGTGCTAGCCCACTTTTTTTCCTTTTGAAAAAACCCTCAAAGGAAAATAAAATGAATCATTTTACTTGTTGAGCTAATAATGGACATGGATCTTATTTATGTCTACATATTAAGCAGGACATTGCATGATAAGAAGGAGGTCTTTATGACGGGTAAGTTTATTTATACCTGTGCTGCTTCCCTTTCATTGGCCAATTTTACTTATTTCCCTCCTCGATTTAATTACTATTATAAACCTGGGAAGCTATACAGTAGTAGTGGTGAAAGATAAGTTCAGATTCCAACCTTGTCACATAATTAATTTGTAACTTTCAGCAAGTTCTTTCAGCTCCTGAAATTCAAGTATCTTTATGTGAAATGAGATTATTCTTTATTTGAAATAAAAAAAATTCCTACCTACTCCCTTTGTTGTGAAGATTATCTACCCTATGCATATACATTTATATATCCGTAAAGTGGCTAGCACAGGGCTTGAAGGTTTTTGTTTGTTTGTTTGTTTTGACACAAGGTCTCACTCTGCCATCCAGGCTGGAGTGCAGTAGCATGGTCATAGCTCACTGCAGCTTCTACTTCCTGGGCCCAAGCGACATTCCTGCCTTAGCCTGCCAAGAAGCTGGGACCAAAGGTGTGTGCATCCACCCGCAGCTTATAATACTTTTTTTGTAGTGAAGGGGTCTCACTAGGTTGTCCAGGCTGGTCTCAAACTCCTAGCTTCAAGCAGTCCTTCAATATGTTGATAACCGCTTATTTGCAATCCAACCAAAAATGCCTCAGACCTAAATACTATTACAACTCTTTGGACATTGGCTCCTTGTGGTTATAAAGTGTCTCCTTCCAAAGCTCAAATCTTCTCTCAGGAGGTTTGATTCTTGAGACTAACATTCATCCCAGGGCCCAAGGATCTCTCAGACCACCGCAAAAATCTTATGCTAAACGTGGACATTCCATCCACTAAACATCAGTTGTAGTCCTTTCTTCGAATGGTAGGTTTCTGTCACATTTGGGCAACCCGGTTAGGACTTATAGCAAAACCTCTTTATGGGGCACTGCAAGGATCGGGGGGGAGCTCTTAAATTGGAGCCTTGAAATGGACAGTGTTCTAAAAACCCTCAAACGAGCCCGCGCCCTGGCCTTGCCAGATCTTACAAAGCATCTTTACTTGTTCATAGTTGAGAGAAGGGATACAGCCCTTGGAGTCCTCACTCAGCCACTGGGACCCTCCCAGTGGCCAGCTAGTTACTTGTCAAAAAAAAGGCATGGGGATGGCTGCCATGCCTCTGAGTGCTAGTGTGTGTGGCTCTCCTGGCTGTGGAGGCCTCCGAGCTAACTCTGGGCCAAGGAATAACTGTCTACACCCCACATCAAGTAATGAATGTCCTAAACTCAAAGGCCTTTCACTGGATCTCACAGAGCCATATAAGCAAATTTCCAACACTCTTTCTACAGGTACCAGAATTGAGTATTAGGCTCTGCCAACCCTTAATCCTGGCATGCTGTTACCAAACCCAAATGTGGAGGGACCACTTAAACATTCTTGCTTGGAAACCATAGATCTAACCTGTAATGTTAGACCAGACCTCCAGGATACTCCCCTTATAGATTCAGAGGCCACACGGTACACAGATGGCAGTAGCTTTATGATAGGTGGAACCCAACTGTCAGGGTATGCTACTGTTAACCTAACTGAAATCACGGAATCTGGACCTCTGCCCCTTAGCCCAAAAGGCTGAGCTCATTGCTCTTACCTGTGCCTTACAATTAGGGGCAGGCATGAGGCTTAATATTTACACAGACTCAGCCTATGTCTTTCATGCAGTGCATGCCCATGCAGCCATTTGGCAGGAAAGAGGACTTTTAATGGCCTGAAATACTTCAATTAAACGTGTTCCTGAAATCATGGCCCTGTTGGAGGCAGTTATGCTTCCTCCACAGGTCACTATCATTCACTGCAAAGCCCATCAGAGAAGCAATGATGAAATCTCTATCAGGAACACCTGGGATGACAAATAAGTAAAAGTGGCTGCCAGGTCACCCTTTCAAGCTGTCTTCGTTCCTAGCGTAACTTCCCTGTCTCCACACTATACACAGGGGGAAGCCCAAAAAGCTCTAGAAAGAGATTTCTCCCATACCTCAAAGGGTTGGCTAAAAAGTCCTAATGGCAAACTCTTGCTCCCAGGAGCCTCACAAAGGAAGTTTCTAAATAGCGTGCACCAATCGACTCATCTGGGGGCTAAGGCCATCCAAGATCTAATAAAGTCACTGTTCACCAGCACGGGGATAGCCCAAGCTCTATGGGCCATCTCACAGGCATGTCCCACCTGCTGCCAAATAAACCCAGAGGGAGCACACAAACCTCCCCAAATCCTTCAACCCATTCTAAGATGAGGAACCCTACCAGGAGAAGACTGGCAAATATATTTTACACACATGCATCATGCAATGTGTGTATTTGTTAGTCAGGTATCTGTTAGTCTTTGCAGACACCTTCACTGGATGGATAAAGGCCCTTCCCACTAAAACTGAACGGGCCTCAGAAGTCACCTCAGCCCTTTTAGACCACATTCTTCCTTGTTTTAGACTCCCTCATGCCCTACAGTCAGACAATGGCCCCACTTTCATTTCTTAAATAATGCAGAGAATCAGTGAAGCTCTCCATTATTTAAGAAATGAAATGCAGTGAAGACACATGTGTCTTGGCGTCCACAATCTTCTAGGAAGGTGGAGAGAGCCAACCAAACCAGAAAAAGCACTTCACAAAGTTAATACATGAAACCCAACAGTTATGGTCAACTTTGCTCCCCATTGTACTCTTAAGAGCCTGTATCACCCCAAAATCTGAAACCCATCTAGCCCTTTTGAGATTCTCTGCGGAAGATCTTTCTTCCAAACAGACCTTTTGTTAGACCCAAAGAGACATTATCTCATGCAATATGTTATGTCCCTGGGACAAACCATCAAGGCCATCAATCATTATCAAAGTCTTCATAGTCCAACACCTGGCCCCTCTTTTTCAGGAAACACTCACCCTAACCTTATGCTTGAAGACTAGGTATATCTTAAAACTCTCCCACAGGACCAAAAGCCACTGGAGCCAGTTTGGACTGGACCACACCAAATTCTCCTTATGACCCCGACAGCTGTTCAACTCAAAAGCCTCTCCATGTGGATTTACTGCTCCAGGGTAAAGGTGGCACCAGCACTCGACAAAGAACGCACCGCCTACACCTGCGAACCAGTTGGAGACGTTTGTCTATTGTTCAGGAGGGACTCAAACTCAGGCAATATCCACCTTAATACTTAGAAGCAGCAAAAGCAGAAACCCCTGATAAACCCATCAGATCTCGTGAGACTTATTCACTATCATGAGATTAGCACAGGAAAGACCGGCCCCCATGATTCAATTACCTCCCCCTAGGTCCCTCCCATAACATGTCGGAATTCTGGGAGATACAAGTCAAGTTGAGATTTCGGTGGGGACACAGCCAAACCATATCAAGCTATATGAAGTTAAAACCAGGTACTATGGGTGTTCACTTGATTTTTGGTTCTCATGAAGATGTTTTTCTCTGTGTAGATAGTTGTTAAATTGGTGTCCTTAGTGGGGGGTCAGGGGGACAATCAGTGAAGCATTCTATTCTGCCATCTTTCTCCTCCTGTAGATCTGTAGTATATTTTGAAATATACCTTTGTAGTATATTTTGAAGTCAGGTAGTGCGATGCCTCCTTGTGTGTTCTTATATGGGCCCAGTTTCTGGAGTCCTAAAGCAATTACAATAATAACATCAAAGATCACTGATCAGAAATCATCATAACAGATATAATAATGATGGAAAAGTTGGAAATATTGTGAGAATTACCAAAATGTGACACAGGGACATGAAGTGGGCACATGCTGTTGGAAAAATGACACTGACATGCTTGACAGTTGCCAGAAACCTTCAGTTTATAAAAAACACACAATATCTATAAACACAATAACGTACATCACAATAAAACGAGGTCGACCTGTACCTGCCAGTACCCAGGTAATTAGTTTACTAGGAATAAGTAATAATAGCTAAAAAAACTAAATACAGAAATTTAAAAAACACTGTCTTCTCAGGACACAAAAACATGGAAAGATAGTCCAGGCTCATAGATTGACAGGATTAATATTGTATAAATCACAATACTCACCAAAGCGATTAACAGATTAAATGCAAGTCCTATCAAAATACCAATGACATTCTTCACAGAAATAGGAAAAAACTTATAATATTCATAGGAAACCATAAAATACCTCAAATAGCCAAAGCAATCCTGAGCAAAAAGTGAAAAGCTGGAAGCATCACACTACCTGACTTCAAAATTTACTACAAAGCTATAGTAAACCAAGCAGCATGGTACTGGCTTAAAAACAGACACAGAGACAAATGGAGCAGAATAGAGAACCCATATATAAAGCCACATGCTTACAACCAACTCAACTGAAACAAAGACAAAAAGAACATATGATGCTGAAAAGACCGACATGTCAATAAATAGTACTAGAAAGCTGGATAAGTATATGCAGAAGAATGAAACTAGATTCCTATCTTTCACCACACACAAAAAGCAAATCAAAAATGGGTTAAAGACTTGAATCTGGCTGGGAGTGGTGGCTCACGCCTGTAATCCTAGCACTTTGGGAGGTCGAGGTGAGTGGGTCACTTGAGGTCAGGGGTTTGAGACCAGCCTGGCCAGTATGGTGAAACCCCGTCTCTACAAAAACTACAAAACTTAGCCAGGTGTGGTGGTGCACACCTGTAATCCCAGCTACTCTGGAGGCTGGGGCACGAGAATCACTTGAACCGAGGAGGTGGATGTTATAGTGAACTGAGATGGTGACACTGCACTCCAGCCTAGGCCTGAACAACAGAGTGAGATGAGACTCTGTTGAAAAAAAAAAAGAAAAAAAGACTTGAATTTATGACCTGTAACTGAAACCACCAAGAAACATTGGGGAAATGCTCCAGGACATTGGTCTGGGCAAAGACTTCTTGAGTACGACCTCAAAAGCACAAGAACCAAAGCAAAAATAAACTACTGGGATTACATCAAGTTAAAAAGCTTCTGCATAGCAAAGGAAATTATCAACCAAGTGAAGAGACAACCCACAGAATGGCAGAAAATATTTGCAAAGTATCCATCTGATAAGGGATTCATAATCAGAATACATAAGGAGCTCAAAAAATTTAATAACAAACAATCTGACTTAAAAATGGACAAATAATCTGAATAGATATTTCTCAAAAGAAGACACAAAAATGACCAGCAGGCATATGAAAATATGCTTATTATGAATCATCAGAGAAATACAAATCAAAACAATGCAATATCATCTCACCCCAGTTAAAATGGCTTTTATCAAAAGACAGGCATGAACAGATGCTAGCAAGGAGGTGGAGAAAGGGGAACCTGTGTACACTGTTGGTGGGAATGTAATTTACTACAGCCCCTATGGAGAACAGTATGGGGTTCCTCAAAATCCTAAAAATAGAACTAGTATATGATCCAAGTATTCCACTGCTGGGGAAAGAGAGAGAGAGAGAGAGAGATGGATAGATAGATAAATAAATTTATCTGTACATCAAAGAGATATATCTGCATACTCATGTGTATTGCAAGTCACGATAGCCAAAATATGGATTTAGCCTAAGTGCCCATCGACGGATGAATGGATTAGGCAAATGTGGCATATGTACACAATGGAATATTATCCAGGCATAAAAAGAATGACTGGATATTATGTTAAAGGAAATAAGCCAGGCACAGAAAAACAAAGATTGCATGTTTTCACTCATATATGGGAGCTAAAAAAGTGGTTCTCATGAAGATGGTGACTATAGTGATGGTTACCAGAGGCCAGAAGGGGAAGCGGGGGATGAAGGGGAAATAAAAGAATATAAATACAAGAATATAAATATTACCACTGAACTGCACACTTACAAGTGGTAAAGAGGGTGCATTACATGTGTATATTTTACCTCAGTAAAAATAAATTTTAAAAATAAAATCACGTTCTTCTCACCACTTACTGCTGAGTTATTGTTGGAATAATGAATTACTACTACAGATGAGTCATATACCTAAGTAAGTAGTAAAATAGAGACAACAACAATAGTTCAGTGGAATGTAGAACATAGGGAATCTAGTCAGGTCAGATAAAATTTTGTTGGTGTTGAGTTAATATATGAGTTCTACTTAACTGGGCTTTCCCATAAAACACGTTACATAGAAAGAGCTAACAGTCATTGCAATACTAAGTGAACCTGATCCTGAAAATCGTGTTCTTTGCAAGTCTCAATTATTCATTTTAGTTGGTATAAGAACTTATAAGGATAGGTGCTGAGTGCTACCCAGGAAAAAAAGGTCCAAAGGATAACAGGAGATAATTTGAATATCTATGTGATGCCTGGAAAAAGCAAAATCCTTCCTAATCATTCTACTATTTTTTGTTGGAATAATAAATTACCACAGACATCTGGTGGTAAACATGTAATTAGCAACCTAAAGATAGCTAGAATTAGCCAGACCAGGTAATTGATTGCAGGAAGCTGAAGATAACTGGCCTATGCCAGGGAGTTCAATAACCATTTTCCTCAATGCAAAATTCCAACCTCATGTTAGAAATATTACCTAATATAGTAGATATCTACTTTATCCAAGTGAGTAATTAACTAGAGATAACTACATGAAGCCAGTACCTGGAATAAACAAATTCTTCTCAGTACTAGTTGAACAAACAACTAGCAATTACTAGGAAAACTGGTTGAACATAGAAAGTTTAGTAACCATTCGAGTCAATTCTGTATTCTTACTTTTTTAGGATTGTTGACTAGGTACTATGGATTTGGTAACTAGAGTTACCTGAGTAAGAGTTAAATACAGAATCCTCCATAAAACTGGAATAACTGGTTGAAGACAGAAGTATCACATTGCATTCTCCTCAGTATTTCTCATTTCTTGTTGGAATAATAAGTTGGTTCTGTCAATGGGTAGTGAGTACCTAGGTTATTACAAAGCAAGAAATAAGAAGAGATGACTAGAATAAATATTTGATACCAGAATGGTGAAAAAAACATTCTTTTCAAATAGAAACTCTAATTTCCTGTGTAATTAATGAGTTACAATTAGTTAGTACTGGAGATATCTATATGAGATGTGGACTTCATTTTTGGGGGGTGGTACATACTTAACAGATGAACTGCTGGGTCACATGGTAGATCTATTTTGATTTTCCAAGGAACCATTACACTGTTTTTTATAACGGCTGTACCAATTACACGTCTGTCAACAGCGTGTAACAGTGAGGTGATAGTTCATTGTGGTTTTCATTTGCATTCTCTGATTATTAACGATGTTGAGCACATTTTCATATACCTGTTGGCCAGTTGTGTGTTTTCCTTCTAGAAATGCCTATTCAAGTCCTTTGCCTATTTGTTAACCAGACTATTTATTTATTTGCTATTGAGCTGTGTGAGTTCTTTATATATTTTGGATATTAACTCATTATTAGATACATGGTTCGCAAATAGCTTCTCCCAAACCATAGCCTGCCTTTTCATTTTGTTGACTGTTGGCTGTGCAGAAGCTTTTAGTTTCCAGCCTGCTCACTTGCCCTATATATTTCAGCTTCCTAGACCCCCACATTGAGTCAATGTGTGAGCCAATTACTTAGAATAAACTGTATCATATATATAATTCATAAATACTACATGATAGTAAATATATATTTATGATATATAATATTACACACACACACACACACACACAATATCCTGTTGGTTTAGTTTCTCCTTCTCTGAGGAACCCAGCCTGATACCGAAACCCAGCCTGATACCGATACCCAGCTGAGCGAGTGTGTTTGCTGATCTTGACCTCTGGAAGCCAGTGCTTTAAACCATGAGAATGAAAAATTGTGAGGCACTATGTGGATGCTGGGAGAAGTATGTGAGATGGAAAAGTTGTTTCATGGCATCCAAGAAGTGAATGATCCTCAAGGTGTAGCAGAGGAATTTGTAGGAGAGAGGGATGATTGACGTCTTCGTATAGCCCTCCATCCATCCCAGTTAGCATGGAGGGATTTTAGATAGGTCATACAGAAACTGGGTAATGATGGCAGGTGTGGAGGAACAGAATGTACCACTGAATGGGAGGTCCGGGGGAAACATGTGGCGGAAATATCCTCCCGTGCCACGTGATCTGCCAAAATTGAACATGGGGAGTTTAGGAGGGGTGACATGTCAGTTTGGGAACTATCTTTAGGGGTGCTAACCCAAATCTCCCTTTCTCCAATTAGAGCACCCTGCCTTCCTCATTAGATGTCACCCCCCCCCCCCGCCCCCGACTTCATCCGCCATGTCCTGATGGTGCTTTGTGA
Organism: Homo sapiens; assembly: GCF_000001405.40. Taxonomy (NCBI): domain Eukaryota; kingdom Metazoa; phylum Chordata; class Mammalia; order Primates; family Hominidae; genus Homo; species Homo sapiens. Next base: position 8,170,815 of record NC_000023.11, on the reverse strand, counting down.
CGTATAAGGCCTTCCTTCCCGCCCAGGGCTACCATTGGCTGGGTAGTGGAGTGTTGACCAATCACAGCTCAGGGGCGTGATTGTCTCGTCCTGGGATCGCGAGAGGGGTATATACAGGGAGGCCAGGCAGCCTGGAGTTAGTCGACCGTTGCGAGACGTTGAGCTGCGGAAGATGAGTCCAAAGCCGAGAGCCTCGGGACCTCCGGCCAAGGCCACGGAGGCAGGAAAGAGGAAGTCCTCCTCTCAGCCGAGCCCCAGTGACCCGAAGAAGAAGGTGAGTGACCCTCCCAAGCTCCTCCTCGTCTTCCCCTCGCCTCCTTCCTCACAAGAAGCCTCTCCTGTCGTCACTTGGCAGAACCCCCCAACCCGGCCCCCACCGCTTCTGAGGACACGTCCCTGTTCCCAGCCTCCTCCATCCTCGTCCCTAAACCAGAGCCCTTCTGTGATCTCCCTGTTGTCCTTCCAGACTACCAAGGTGGCCAAGAAGGGAAAAGCAGTTCGTAGAGGGAGACGCGGGAAGAAAGGGGCTGCGACAAAGATGGCGGCCGTGACGGCACCTGAGGCGGAGAGCGCGCCAGCGGCACCCGGCCCCAGCGACCAGCCCAGCCAGGAGCTCCCTCAGCACGAGCTGCCGCCGGAGGAGCCAGTGAGCGAGGGGACCCAGCACGACCCCCTGAGTCAGGAGAGCGAGGTGGAAGAACCACTGAGTCAGGAGAGCGAGGTGGAAGAACCACTGACTGTGTGGATGGCCAGCTTTTCCCCTGTCTCCGAGAGCACCGACTAAGTTCAGGCCCAGCCGCCAGACCTCAGAGATCTCACCAGCGGGGTGCTTGCCATTCTGAAGATAATAAAATGAATGTGTTGCAAATTGATCTGAGTGACTCCGTGTTCTCTGATGGTGGGGAGGGAGGGAGGGAGGGGGGAAGAGGTGGTGTGTGGTGAGGGAGGGAGGGAGGAAGAGGTGGTGTGTGGGGAGGGAGGGAGGGAGGGAGGAAGAGGTGGTGTGTGGGGAGGGAGGGAGGGAGGAAGAGGTGGTGTGTGGGGAGGGAGGGAGGGAGGAAGAGGTGGTGTGTGGGGAGGGAGGGAGGGAGGGAGGAAGAGGTGGTGTGTGGGGAGGGAGGGAGGGAGGAAGAGGTGGTGTGTGGGGAGGGAGGGAGGAAGAGGTGGTGTGTGGGGAGGGAGGGAGGGAGGAAGAGGTGGTGTGTGGGGAGGGAGGGAGGAAGAGGTGGTGTGTGGGGAGGGAGGGAGGGAGGAAGAGGTGGTGTGTGGGGAGGGAGGGAGGGAGGAAGAGGTGGTGTGTGGGGAGGGAGGGAGGGAGGAAGAGGTGGTGTGTGGGGAGGGAGGGAGGAAGAGGTGGTGTGTGGGGAGGGAGGGAGGGAGGAAGAGGTGGTGTGTGGGGAGGGAGGGAGGGAGGAAGAGGTGGTGTGTGGGGAGGGAGGGAGGGAGGAAGAGGTGGTGTGTGGGGAGGGAGGGAGGGAGGAAGAGGTGGTGTGTGGGGAGGGAGGGAGGGAGGAAGAGGTGGTGTGTGGGGAGGGAGGGAGGGAGGAAGAGGTGGTGTGTGGGGAGGGAGGGAGGGAGGAAGAGGTGGTGTGTGGGGAGGGAGGGAGGGGGGAAGAGGAGGTGTGTGGGGAGGGAGGGAGGGAGGAAGAGGAGGTGTGTGGGGAGGGAGGGAGGAAGAGGTGGTGTGTGGGGAGGGAGAAAGGAAAGAAGGAAGGAATAGGTGGTGTGTGGGGAGGGAGGGAAGTGGGGTCCCGTGGGGTTAAGGTCACAGGGACAGGTCACAGTTAGCCAGACAGGAGGATAAGGATTGCGTCATGGCTGAACACTGGAGACAAATTTCCCCTTCACAGGATGACTCCGCTTCTTACACGGTTTGTTTCTTCATGCAATCTTGCTAGCACATACACCAAGTACCAAGAACTGGATTCTACCTACTTAGGTTTCATTGTTAAAATACCTTTTCGGTTATAGAAACCGATGAAAGAATCGTTTCCATCTCTTTCCTTTCAGCGTCCCCTCCCTACAACCTAATATATTTAAGAAGAAAAATTCAAAGTAGAGAAAAATCTATCTACTTGAAAAAAGCCTTTTTATATTCGCAACTGAGGAGACAAAAAGTACATTTCATATTTCCATGCGTTAGAAATACACAGGTCCTTTCTATATATAGAATTTACTGTATACAAATATATAGAAGCATATGTAAATAAAATGTAATATACAACTATATTTACTATATACAAACCTATATAGATTATATACATTTATATATAAAATATATAAATACAAATATAGAAATATGGATTATATATTTATATATAATATAAATATAAATATATAGATATAGATTATATATATATCTTAGAAATACACAGGTCTTTTCTAGATATACTAGAACCTACTATATATGTATAAATTAATATATGTATTTTTATATAATTCGTAGATTATATATAGAAATATTTACAAATATATTTTATGTATAAATACACATATAAAACATATTTATATATTATATATAATCATTTATTTTAGAGGGTAAGACGTTAATATTGTTCAAGCATGGGTCTCAGGCAAAAGGAGAAAGGAAATTATTTTAAGAAGAAAAGAGTACAAAATTATCACGATTTAATTTTCAATTGTTAATAATTACACAGGCAGAATAACTCATGCCCTTTAATCTTATAATGAATAGCACGTTAAACTTTTATGTGATTCTGAAAATATGAATTTCCATATAATAAGGGTTTGAGATGTAAAGCAGTAATTTTATAGGCAGTTTTCACTTGTTACATAGATTGTTCTTATAGCTTTAAAGACGTTAAAATTAATGGTGGCTTTGAAGAGATGGTAGCATCATTTGAGAAACAATAAATGGGTTCTGTTTCATCCTTTCCTTGGTGCAGTCAGGGCTTCACTTCATTAGCTTAGGAAGAGATTTCAGAGCTTTGCAAGTTGAACTTGTAGCTGCCTCCTATGGAATCCTACGAAACCTAGGACGCTATACCACAGAAACAGGGCGTTGCCCTATGTCCTGAACACCATCATTTTGTGGTATATTTCTTTTGTATTTCTTATATGGAAATACCATATAAGAATGAGCATGCTTGGTATAACTCAAAGCCTGTTTATTTGCAAGGCTGTATTGACCCTGGACAATAAATATTTGTATGTTATGGATGGGAAACAAGTCCGCATGAAAAGCTCCTGCTGTCTTTTAGGAAAGCCTATTGGCTGTGGTTGTATATCTCTTTCCAAAGGGAAATTGGTGAACTTTCTGCTATAGTGTTTTCCATAATGACAGCATAAAAACTGAAATAAACTCATCTTGTCAGTGGTCACTTTTGGGTTTGGTGTATATTAGGGAGCAATTTTGCAATGTGTTTAAAAATTACATTCAAGAATTAATTTTGTGCACCTTATTTTAATGCCATATTTCCATTCAAGCTCTGCATGTCACAACAGTCTGTGATGATTCTTTTGGCATTGAAATAATTATCCATGGCACTTAAACCGTGTTTCTTTCATCATTTCATGGCAGTAAGAGCTTCAACTGCTATTTGTTGGGAACCCATCCTGACTAGCTCGTTCACTAGGGCTTCATGTTTTATTGTGATGATTGGCAGTCTTGTGTTTCAGGCATTTTCAGATTTGGAAAGTTACTATGATTCTCAAATTATAAATGCAAAAGTATCAATGAATTTATTTTCACAAACTATTTTAATTCATTATGGACAATAAGTCGTTTAATTAGAAATCAATAATTTAAATAATATTTTATTTGTTGGAGCATTCATAAATACTACATCTTCAAGTCTTGCTTTATTCTACATGTTACATACACAGTAAAATATTTAATAACAGTGTTACATATTTTCCCTCCTTCTCCAACTATCCACAAGCTGAGGCTTAAAATAAACAGTGGAATGAGTAAAGACCCAAAGTAATATAGCAGCAAAGCTGTAGTTGATTTTTATAATAAAATAATAGATATCAAAGCTTCCTGACGTTTTTAGGCAAATCTTCCTGTGTCCCTAAAAGGAGGATCCCCTTGACAGCAGTCATGAACAACAGGTGATCTGAAATTCTCAGCTGTCAAAGACGGTGGGAGAATTTGAAAACACCTTGTACATATTAAAGAGCTAAGCATGAGCTGATGCATACATACATATGTCTCTGTCTCATTAGACCGCAGGAAATGGGACACACGGCAGGAAGGCTCACGTCGATTCCCCTTGACCATGCAGCTTCCTCTGCTCCTGACTCCTAAGAACTTTCTGACCTATTGGTCATTCCCAGCTTCAGATCCCCACGCATACCGATTGTTTTTGGCCCCACGTCAGTGATACACACGACACAGAATTGCTCTCAAAAAACACTCTGGAATTGAAAAATGACAGGAGAAGCTCAACGCGATGGCTGGGTACCAGAGGGAAGGCCTTCCGCTATTTTGAACATTGATGCTAAGCTCTAGAATAACTGTAGCTGCAGCCTGTTGGACCTGGGCATGTGTCAGGCAGGGTGTGAAATGCTCTCCATGCATGACCTCATTTCTCCCTCACATTACCCCTATGGATTAATCGGGGCTCTAGAGAGACGCTACCAACAGGTTATCAGCAAAGACAGATGAGAGGGGATTTATTAGGGGAATTAGAGGCTGAAAAGTCTCAGGGCAGACTGTTTGCAAGGTGGAGCCCCAGGGATGCCAGGAGTGTGACTCAGGTCACAACCAAAAACCTCAGAACCAGGGAAGTGGATAGTATAACTCTTAGTATAAAAAGAGCCTGAAGTTCTGATGTCCAAGGGCAGGAAAAGAAGAGTCTCAGCTCCAGGAGAGAAAGGGAGGAAAGTGCCTTTCCTCTGCCCTGTTTCTTCTATCTGGGCGCTCAGAGAATTGGATGGGGCCTGTTTCTATTGAAGACATCTTCCCCACTCCGTCCAGCAGCTCACACCAATCTTCATGGGAGTATCTGCACAGGCTCACCTAGAAACAATGCTTTATCAACTCCTGACGTATTCCTTAAGGCAGTCACGTTGACACCTGAAATTAACCATCACACCCTGTAAAATGAGGAGTGTCCCCACTGGACAAATGAGACAGACAGTTTGAGTAACTTTCTTATACTGCTTATAGGTTATAGAGTCAGGATTAAAACTCAGGTCTGCAAAGAACAAACTCTAAACCCCACCCTCTTAAGGACTGCTGCTCAACACTGTGGAAGCAGTACTGCATTAGACACTGTACAAGGATTGAAGAGGCATTCGAGACACATCCCCTGCTGTAGGGACCACATCCTAGCTTGCATTCATGACAGGAGTCATGTTTCTGTGACTCTACTATAGACCCCGGAACCAAGTGTGAATTGGTACGCTTTAGGTGTGCATACGCTCTGCAGAAATCCTAAGAAAGAGCCAGATAATTATAGGCTCGATTCATATAGGGAAGTTTTTATGAAAACAGCTTTTAGCCAATTCCTGAAAGAAAATATTTTTACTGGCAGAAAAATGTTCTGCTAGAGAATAACTAGTTGAAGGGCTTTGGGGGAAGGGGCACTGGACACATGTCCACGGAAGTGGGGGAAAAAGACACACAGAATAGAAACAGAATTGGGGACCCTTCAGGGAGAGAAGTAAGGAAAAGTGCTAGCCCAGCAAGCCGATAAAAATATATCTGCCCTGTATTTAAAGTTAATTCCATCTCTTGATGTTTTTTTCATATTATTCATATTATTATATTTGTTAGTATAGTATTATTCACCTTATTGTCCCATATATTATGGCATTTCCCCCTATATGTGAATATATTACCACATAGAAGGAAATGACCTCATTTTCCTAATACATAATTAGACACATGAGTTTATTCGTTTACAAGCAAAAATGTGTCTCCTCCATTAAGTATTAAAACAAAGAAAACCATAAAATATTCCAGAGTTGAATCTTGGAGCTCAATACTCAGAAATGTTGCTAATTTGCACATTTTATATGGTACTGAAGACTCCCACATTAAGGAGTGCTTTTGTGTCTGTTTGGTTGGAGACCTCAATGTTTTGATGAAAGTTCATTCTTAGGAGGCCACTGTCATCAAATCAACTTTGCATAAGAAAACTTATGAAAACACAAACCATTCTGTCCTCACAACTTTAGTCCACAACACTGGCAAATGGAGTCAAAACTGCATGCTCATAGTTTATCACCACAAACTATGAAGCTACTAGAAGAAAACTATGGGGAAATGCTTGAGGACACTGGTCTGGACAAAGACTTTTTGAGTAAGATGTCCAAAGCACAGGCAGTAAAAGCAAAGCAGACAAATGGAATAACATGAAGCTCAAAAGCTTCTGCATGGTATAATAAACTTTCAATGAAGAGACAACCTAAAGAATGGAAGAAAATAATTGCAAACTATACATTTAATGAGAGATTAATAACCAGAATATATATATGTTTGTGTGTGTGTGTATATATATATATATATAGAGAGAGAGAGAGAGAGAGAGCTCAAGCAACTCAGAATAATAATAATAATCATCATTATTATTATTATTATTATTGTGTGTAGACAAATGAATCAGGCTCTGTGGCTCCGGGGAACTGGAAATCTTCACACAAAGGCAGAGAAAGCCCTTCCAGAATATTTCTACACTATTTCCTACACTAATCACTCAAGAACCATTTCCAAAAGCAATAAAGTATATCTGGCCAACCCATGATCAGCACCAAAACTTGCAGAATTTTGACTTTGCCTTTTTGGTACTGGCCTTTCATTTTTAAAAATAATTGTTTTGTCCTTTTGCTTCAGAAATGTATAAAACAAACAGAAAACATTATTTAGGAATGACTGACACTATATTACTGAATCAATTATTAAATTTTGCTGAATGATTGATCTTGGCAAATAGAGATGTAACTACTTCTTGATGCCAACTGTAATTCAAATCTCTTCTCAGTAAAGAATTAATGAAATGCTTAGCCGGGCATGGCCAATGGAATTAGAATTAGCCCAGTCTTGCCGTAACTTTCTGCTTCCTTACTGTCCTGAGTTTCGGTGGGCAATAGATTCATTTTTGTAGATTTCTACAGAAACATCTGCAACACTGTGTTTTTGCATTCATAACTTAAGGCTTTCATAATTATTGCAGAAGTTTCTCAGTCTCTCCATGTGAAATTTCTCTTAGCTATTGGATTTTAGATATTTCACAGTTCCTTTTGTGCCTCTAAACACAACAGGCCCAATTCTGCTACTTAAAGTGGTTTCATGTTCCAGTTGCCTGCTCAGAATATGTCTGTTTAATCCCCCTTCTATGGTGATTGATCTGTTTACACTATACTCTCCTAGACTGGGGAAGTTTCAAAGTTGAATCTAGCTTTTTAGAATGTAGACAGCTGCCAAATTCATGGCAAAAATGACATGCTACCTTAAAATGTCTATTCAGGCTGGGCACGGTGGCTCACGCCTGCAATCCCAGCACTTTGGGAGGCCGAGGCAGGTGGATCACCTGAGGTCAGGAGTTCAAGACCAGGCTGGCCAACATGGCAAAACCCCATCTCTACTAATACAAAAATTAGCTGGGCATGGTGGTGCGTGCCTGTAGTCCCAGCTACTTGGGAGGCTGAGGCAGGAGAATCCCTTGAACCCGGCAGGCAGAGGTTATAGTGAGCCAAGATCGCACCACTGTACTCCAGCCTGGTGACAGAGCGAGACTCTGTCTCAAAAAAAAAAAAAAAAAAAGTCTATCCAAAGGTACCAAAGGTACTTGCTGTATGAGGCATCATAACTTCCTGTGAAAATGAAAGCTATGCACTTTTTGAATTAAAAACAATGGTGCACAGATATACATACACTCCTGAGCATGCATCAGGTGTGCCGCACACATTCACACACACGCCTCCTCCCCCCCAACACACATTATCTTAGAGTGTGCCTTGGCATCCTTCTTCACGTAGACATACGACATTGTTGAAGAGACCCAGCTCTGTGTGGTCAGTCTGTGTGCCCAGCATCACCTTTGTCCCTCCACAGCTATGTGCCCACTTTGTGTGGTCTTTATATTTTTCTGAAGAAGACTCAGGTTACTCATTCACTTTATTTGTGTACACACTTCAAAAAATATATATTATAACATTTCTATAATATCCAATAAAAGGATGAAATTAGAGGATGTGACTTCTGACCCAATAAAGGACAAAATAAAATGGTAATAAGCTAAAATAAAACAAACACAAACAAGGTAGACAGAATAAAAGTGATATGAACAGCAAGTATACTAACAGAAAGTACAATATAAGATGACAGAAATGAGTCCACAAACACAATGGATACAAACAGATTAAACTCTATAATGAAAAGATAAAGACACAAAAGGTTTGAAAAGAAGATGATGGAAAACCAAAGACCAAATATATGTTAACCCAAGGAAAAGAGGCTTAACTGTATCAACATCAGATGAATTAAATATTAATGCTAAAGTCATCCTTATGGATAAAACAGTCATCCATTTGAGAAAATCTGTTAAGTTCTCAGATAGCTATAAGAATTTAAATCTATATGCATCTAATTAAATGGCATTTATATATAATATACATAAAAGAAAAATTAACAGAATGAAAATAGAAATGAACAAATCCGCCATTATACTGGGATAATTCAGCATATTCTCACCAGCTGTGAGAATGGTCTATGACTGGCATAGAGATCAAACTAATATAAATATAAAAGATTTAATAGTTTAATAAGCTCCTTGTAATGGACATATATAGAAAACTACATGAAATAATTGGAGAACACGTTCTTTTCAAGCGTTCCAGAAAATTTTCTAAAACTTGGTTACCCACTTGACATAAAGTATGTCTTCTCAAATTTCAAAGAATCTGAAATTTTCTAACTATAATACAAAAATTAAAAAGTTAATGCCTAAAGAAAACCTTCAATGGCCCTGTATATTTAAAAATGTAAAAAGACACACAAAGATCACCATGAGTTAAAAGAAAAATCATAATAAAAATAAAACTGTGTCTAGGAGAGTTTGATACTAATAACAAACTCCCTTTACTCTATTCATAATTTAAGGCTTTTATAATTATTGCAGAAGTTTGACAAAGTACATATTTAAAATAAAAATTTTACCTTTAATTTTTATGCATGGATCTTATTTGGGCCATAAGCCAAGCACATGAATGTGTGTGTGTGTGTGTGTGTGTGTGTGTGTGTGTGTGTGTGTGTGCGCGCACATCTGTATATATACAAGATATTCTACTCTGGGGCAGGCAGAAATGTCTAGGAGTTGGGATGAAATGGAATTGGCCATGAGTTGATGACTGCGGAAGCTTGGAGAAGGTCTGTAGCTGTTTCTTGGACCATTCTCTCCCTCTCATTCTTCACCCCAACGAGTCCTGTATCTAGTCCCATATAACAACACCACACACTGAGACAAATATTTTTGTCAGCTTCTTACCTACACGTTGAGATGACTTTATACATTTACAAGAAACAAGTAAAGGCATATATGTATTTTCCCTTGTTCACATAATATATAGTATATCATACACATCCATTTACAAACCACTTTTTTCACCTAACATCATATCTCAGAAAGCCTTCCTTATCATTTGATTGTAGTGGCATTCCCACCATTTGGACACACAGTGTTTTATTGAATCCTTCCTCTCCTGAGGAACATCTAGGGTGTTTGTAACTCTGTGCGAAGGCTAGGGCTGCCGTGAACAAAACTGTGCATCCGCCACGTCATCCATGGGCAAGTGTCTCTGCAGGAAACATTCTCAAAAATGGAACAGCTGGGAGAGCTGGGTCCCATATCTGATCATTAATACATTTTATTACTGGTAGATGTTACCAAATATTTCTCCTCGGGGATTGTACCAATTTGTACTTGTACCAGAAGTGTGCAGGAGTTATTTGCAATACTTTAATAACCCAGTGCCTTTGCCTCCTTTGCCTGGAATATGCATCCTACCCTCATCAGATGCCATCCTCTGGGAGATGATTTAAGAGGGATGCCTTCCAAGACAATACCTCCTGGGCTGCACTAGGAGACAGACACGTGCCCCTAGGGGTCCTGCAAATGCATGTCTCATAACACTTCTCACACTGCATTGTGATTGCCAGGGTTCTTCATTTTCTCAAGCTCCAGAATACCAGTTCTGTCTTATTTGCCTTATTTCACCTGTACTTCCTACCACGCCAAACCCACAGGAAGCTATTGGAGTGTTAGTAACATGAATCTTTAAAAATGGGCTGAGGTCTCTATGGATTATATATACTTCCTAAATCAATTTCAAAATACAAAAAAATACAAGCAAGAAATAAAAAGCACATATTTTAAAAGAACATTACAGTGTGGAGATTCCTTGAAGAACTAAAAGTAGAACTATCATTTGATCGAGCAATCCCACTACTGGGTATCTACCCAGAGGAAAAGAAATCATTATACGAAAAAGATACTTGCATACGCATGTTTATAGCAGCACAATTCGCAATTGCAAAAACATGGAACCAACCCTAATGCCCATCAATCAACGAGTAGATAAAGAAACTGTGGTATATATACACAATGGAAAACTACTCAGCTATAAAAAGGAATGAATTAATGGCATTTGCAACAACCTGGATGAGACTGCAGACTATTATTCTGAGTGAAGTAACTCAGGAATGGAAAACCAAACATCACATGTTCCCACTCGTAAGTGGGAGCTAAGCTATGAGGATGCATAAGCATAAGAATGACAAAATGGACTTTGGGGACTCGGGGAAAGAGTGAAAAGGGGGTGAGAGATAAAAGACTACAAATTGGGTTCAGTGTATACTTCTTGGGTGATGAGTGCACCAAAATTTCACAAATCACCACTAAAGAACTTTCTTGTGTAACCAAATACCATGTGACTAAATGCCACCTGCTCCCCAATAACCTATAGAAATAAAAAAATTAAAATAAATTAAAATAAATTAAAAAATAAGAAAGCATTACAAAGTCAAATTTAGAAAAAGAGATATGAACATGGTTAAAAATGACCCAAAAATAACAACTTTCAAATTCTGACCACAAATAGCAATGGGGCTATTTGTTTGTTTTAGTGCCTATAGAAATTGTATTATAACCAAACAGGCTTTTAAAGTCATTCATAGAAAAAAATAAAAGTACAACTTAAGTGAATACACTAATCAAGAAAGTTACATGTATGTTATAATAAATATATGCATCAACATCACTAATGATCAGGAACATGTAAATCAAAACCACAATGCGATAAGGAGTAAGGTGGTAACCTTACTCCTGCAAGAATGGCCATAATCAAAAAAATCAAACAGTAGATGTTGACCTGGATGCAGTGATCAGGGAACACTTCTGCACTGCTGGTGGGAATGTAAGTAGTACAGCCATTATGGAAAACAGTGTGGAGATTCCTTAAATAATTAAAAGTAGAACTACTATTTGATCCAGCAATCCCACTACTGGGCATCTACTCAGAGGAAAAGAAGTCATTATACAAAAAAGATACTTGCACAGGCATGTTTATAGTGGCATGATTTGCAATTGTAAGAATGTGGAACCAACTCAAATACCCACCAATCAACGAGTGGATAAAGAAACTGTGAGATATATATATATATATATATTTGAGGAAATACTACTCAGCCATAAAAAGGAATGAATTAATGGCATTTGCAAGAACCTGGATGAAACTGCAGACTATTATTCTAAGTGAAGTAATCCAGGAATGGAAAACCAAACATCGTATTTTCTCACTCGTAAGTGGGAGCTAAGCTACACAGATGCAAAGGCATAAGAATGATGCAATGAACTTAGGGGACTTGGGGAAAGGGTCAGAAGGGGGTGAGGGATAAAAGACTACAAGTTGAGTGATGTATATACTGCTCGGTGATGGGTGCCCCAAAATCTCACAAATCACCACTAAAGAACTTACTCATGTAACCAAACACCACCTGTTCCCCAATAACCTATGGAAATAAAAAAAAAATTAAAAATAAATTAAAAAATAAAAAAGTATTACAAAGTCAAATTCAGAAAAAGAGATATCAACGTGGTTAAAAATGACCCAAAAATAACACCTTTCAAATATTCAACACTAATAGGGATGGGACTATTAGTTTGTTTGTTTTAGTGCTTATAGAAATTGTATCATAACCAAACAGGCTTTTACAGTCATCTGTAGAAAAAAACATACAACATAAAGTGAATACACTAATCAAGGAAGCTATATATATATGCTATAAATAAATATATACATTTTTCATGTATGTCCATAGGGCAATGTCCATCATTCTGGAGAAGTTGCATGGAGCTGTTAAATACATTTTAAATAATGTTCCTGAAAAAAAAAAAGAATTTCTCCTAAATTCAGAAATTCAGACACTGCTTCATTAGTTAATTCATTTGTTAGTCCATCCATTCACTCAGTATCTCAGCAAATATTTATAGTGGCTTTTTTTTTTTTTTTAGTAAAGGGCTATGCTAGGCCAGCACGGTGGCTCATTGCTTGTAATCCCAGCACTTTGGGAGGCCGAGGTGGGAGAATCACTTGAGCCCAGGGAGTTGGAAACTAGCCTGGCCAACATAGTAAGACTCTGTCTCTACTGAAAATAAAAGCTAAATTTAAAAAATATATTTAAAAAAACGTACTACGCAAGTGCTAGAAGGTATCCAAGATTTATTTGATAAAAATCTCAGGCTCTGTGAAGTTTATAGAAGAGTGGGAAAAAATTTTCTTTGATCAGTAAATTATATGATTGTACTTAAAATGTTTTTCATTGGCTTTAAGAAATACAAGGAAATATAAAATGGTTTACGTTTACTATATATTGTGCATATGCATATGCAAATATTTACAAAATGTATTACAATGTATATGTGTTATATTATTAAATCTTGTTTGTAGATTTAGAAAAAAAGAGATTTACACATTTTAAGAAAACTTCCTTGTATGAAAAAAATTTCTGAAACCGTAAGTGTGAGCTATCTACATTAGTGTTTCTGTGTTTGGCAAAACAGTATTACAGCCGAAAGGTTGAGAACAGATAACTTGGCCAAATCGCCTTGGCTAGAAAAGTGAGGAGATTGCATCAAACTCACTCCAAAAGCCAATCAAAGAATAACTTGAAAAGACTTTCAGTCACTTAGGTTTTGCTTCCTGGTCCTCAGTGTCAAGTGATGAGGTTTAGAAATAAGCACATGTATGTGTCTATACTGAAGGGAAGAAAATAAATCTACTATGGCACCAGTTCAAAACACTGCATGAGCAGTCGAGAGAAACAATTTACCAGAACATCCTTAATGGTAAATCAGAAATGACATGTATGAGAACATTGGGCTACAACTTGAAAATATTAGAAAACGAGTCATCTAAATTTGCAGAACCAATCAGATCTTGGACTGATAACACTTTCTAAGTTGCAATTGCTGGATACCATGTATCTATGTGATCAGGATCATCTGTAATGATGAATGGTTCATGTTCACACAGCTTCAACTGCCCGAATTCTGAAATGAACAACTATTTATTAGCTGTAAGGTAAGGGTGATGACATATATGATCTCCTGTGCTTAGAGGAAATGTTAAAATTTGTTTATTATACTACAAAGATTATGACATGCAATAAAAGTTCTAAACTATGTAATAAAATCCAAGGTAAGATTTTGTTGATTATGTGTTAGTAATGATATTTAAAGAGAATATTAACATTTTGTTATGTGAATCTTAATATATTATGTGATAATTTTAATTTTAATTATGATTAACTTTATCATAAGCATCTCCTTTTCTATTTACCCATGAAACTTACAAATTCAGATAATTAAAAATGATGTTTTTAATGTGTACTCAGGAATAGACAGACATACGTTTTATATAAAGAGAATCTATTTTTAAAAATAACATACATAGATGAATGCTTTCAATCCACTCATATAAAACAAGCCCCACTGGTCTAAAATTAGTAAGAAGTATTTTAGAGTAGGGGTCAGCAAATTATGTCTCATTGACCAAATCCAGCTGCTTTTTTCATAAAGTTTTGCTGGAACACAGCCAAACCCAATTAACTTACGTCCTGTCTATAGCTGTTTTCAGGCTAAAACAGCAGAGTTGAGTAGTTGAGGTGAAGACCATACTGCCTGCAAAGCCGACAGTATTTACCATCTAGCCTTTTACAGAAAAAGTTTGCTGACCTCTGGATTAGAGTCATGAATCTCAAACTTGACTATGCATCATCAGTCTTGGAGGTTTGTCCATGCAGATAGCTGGACTCCACCAGTAGAGTTTCTATTCAATAGGTCTTGGGTGGGGCCTAAGAATTTGCAGTTCTAGGCCAGGCGTGGTGGCTCATGCCTATAATCCCAGCACTTCGGGAGGCCAAGGCAGGCGGATCACAAGGTCAGGAGATCGAGACCATCCTGGCTAACATGGTGAAACCCTGTCTCTACTAAAAATACAAAAAATTAGCCGGGCATGGTGGCGGGCATCTGTAGTCCCAGCTACTCTGGAGGCTGAGGCAGGAGAATGGCGTGAACCCGGAAGGCGGAGGTTGCAGTGAGCAGAGATCGCACCACTGCACTCCAGCCTGGGCGACAGAGCAAGACTTGTCTCAAAAAAAAAAAAAAAAAAAAAGAATTTGCAGTTCTATCCAGTTTCCAAGAGATGCTGATGTTGCTGGTTCAAACACCACACTTTGAGAATCCCTAGTTTAGACTATCACGGATGTGGTACAAGTAGAAACATTATTCACCTTAGGTATATCGATTTTCTCTGCCTAATGATACCATAAAACGGCTTATATGTTGCTGAATTAGCAATTTCCATTGCATCTTTACTAAGCATTATCTATCACAATTCATCTTTTTATATTTTTTTTTTTTTGAGACGGAGTCTCGCTTTGTCACCCAGGCTGGAGTGCAGTGGCGTGATCTTGGCTCACAGCAACCTCCACTTCCTGTGTTCAAGCAATTCTTCTGCCTCAGGCTCCCAAGTAGCTGGGATTACAAGTGTCCACCACCACGCCCGGCTAATTTTCGTATTTTTAGTAGAGACAGGGTTTCACCATGTTGGCCAGGCTGGTCTAGAACTCCTGGCCGCAAGTGATCTGCCTGCCTCAGCCTCCCAAAGTGCTGGGATTACAGGTGTGAGCCACCACACCTGGCCACAAATTATGCTTATAGTTAGCTCTGAAGTTTAGGTAATCATTACCCACCTCCTTTTCTTTGCCAGTGAGGAGAGTATTCATAATAGAGGCTAAATGCCTAGTTCTGGAATAGACTGGAGTCAAAAGTAGGAGATGATTGAAAGCCCAGATTTCTTCAGCAACTACTGGGGTCTCCAGGTCAACTGTTTTCATAGAAATTCCAGAATCATTGATGGAAAACGAATTGAGGTTAACTTGATTCTAACCAGTTGCCTGGGCACTAAGCACCTGGCACATGTAGAATAAGTATCTCCCAGACACTCCAGGGCTCTGTCTTCCATTCTTTGACTTAGGAAGAAACAGAGGCTTTTTATGCACGCTTGCAAAGTTGGAGCTCTCGGCAAAATCTAGATGTTATTTGCTTACAATTTTAAGAGTATTCGGTAAGTGTCACATGACCTTGAAAAATAAACTATCTCTCTAGCACTAAAGTAGGGATTCTGTTTTCTGTTACTATATTCCATCATTTGGAAAAGGATTTTCTTTTTTATCTTTTTTGAGACAGAGTCTTGCTCTGTCGCCCAGGCTGGAGTGCAGTGGCGCGATCTCGGCTCACTACAAGCTCTGCCTCCCGGGTTCATGTCATTCTCCTGCCTCAGCCTCCCCAGTAGCTGGGACTACAGGAGCCCACCACCACACCCAGCTAATTTTTGTTGTATTTTTTAGTAGAGACAGGGTTTCACCATGTTAGCCAGGCTCAATCTCCTGACCTCGTGATCCGCCCGCCTTGGCCTCCCAAAGTGCTGGGACTACAGGCGTGAGCCACTGCGCCCAGCCGGAAAAGGATTTTCAATTCCAGTGTTATAAAGATTATTCTATTAGTAGGAAGGGGTTACATTTTCAAATAACTGATCTTGAATCAATTACAGTCATATGCTGCATAGCAAAATTTTGGTTAATGGCAGACTGCATATATGGAGGTGTATTGAGGGATCTGGCCAGCAGCCCGCAATGCAATGGGGCTCTCTTTGTTCCCAGGTGGATCGGCAGGTTGAGAAATAATAGACACACACAAGACAGTGAAAGCTGGGTCCAGGTGGGTCACTGCCTTCTGGTCCCGCGGTGCCAACAATGCACTGGATATACCAGCATTTATTATTACGTTTAGTGAGGGTGGGGGTAGGTTAGTGAGGGATTTAGGGTCATTTGATTATGAGGTGAGATGGTCACATGGGGATGAAGTAATTCTTTAACATAACATTTGTATGTAGAAGTACAGTACATTTGTATGTAGAAGTACAGTATACAGAGATAAGAATTTACAATATAGTGTGTGCATCAGTAATTTCTAACAGAGCCTTAAAACAGAAACACAATCTTTCCGTAACCTATGATTAGCAAGATATTAATCAGCAGTAACGATTGCAACAAAAGCTAGTTACAAACAATCCATGGAAACAGGATGTGAAGCTAGACAACCAGTTAGACCAGAAATTCTCAGAAGGGAGTATGCCTTAACCCTAAAGAGGGCTAGAAGAGCCGTGGCAAGATGAGGGCGTTTATAGCCCTATCTTATCCATATGGACAAGTGCCCCCCGTGCATCCGTTTATAGGCTTTCCACAAGGGTCGCATTCCATTCCCAGAGCTATGAACATCTGCTTTTCTGGGATAGGAATCTTGGTGATGTGAAACCTCCCTGACTGCATGTCCATTCATAGGCTCTCTGCAGGGGGAAGCACATCACGTGCTGTTGGCTCGTTCTGGCAGTCCAACCTGGCATTGTCTTTACACAATCCTGCATGCAATTTTGTATTTACAATAATCAGGAGCATTTCATCTTTTATTCCATAGCCATAGTTTCAGGGGGTCTCCCTACAGAGGTGGTCCCATAAGATTATAATGGAGCTGAAAAATGACTGTTGCCTAATGATATCATAGCCTTTGTAATGTGACAGCACAAGGCATTACTAATATATTTATGGTGATGGGGGTGTAAAAAAGTCGACTGCAACCGGACGTAGAGGCTCATGCCTGTAATCTCAGCACTTTGGGAGGCCAAGGCGGGCGGATCACTTGAGCGCAGGAGTTCGAGACCAGCCTGACCAACATGGGGAAACCCTGCCTTTACTAAAAACACAAAAATTATCCAGGCATGGTGACACGTGCCCATAATCCCAGCTACTCGGGAGGCTGAGGCAGGAGAATCACTTGAACCTGGGAGGTGGAGGTTGCAGTGAGCCGAGATCGTGCCAGTGCACTCCAGCCTGGTGAAAGAGTGAGACTCCATCTCAAAAAATAAAATAAAATAAAATTGACTGTGCTGCCAGTGTTAGAAAACAATGCATACAATTATGTGTAGCACATAATACTTGATAATAAACAACCACATTACTAGTTTATATATTTATGATACTATATATTTTACTAATATTTTAGTGTTTTGCTTCTACATATATACATATATATATACATATGTGTGTGTGTGTGTGTGTGTGTATACACACTATATATATGTATATAACTGTAAAACAGCGGCAGGCAGGTCCTTCAGAAGGTGTTGTAGAAAAAGGCAATGTTATTGGAGGTCACACCTCCATGCATGTTATTGTCCCTGAAGACCTTCCAGTGGGACCATATGTGAAGGTGGAAGGCAGTGATATTGATGATCCTGACTCTAGTGTAGGCCTAGGCTACTGAGTATATTTGTGTCTTCATTTTTTCACAAAAAATTTTAAAAAGTAAAAAAATAAATTTAAAAGTAGAAAAAAACTTGGATGATAGACTAGGGATATAAAGAAAAAAACATTTTTGTACAACCATACCATGTATGCTTTAAGCTAAGTGCTATTACAAGAGTCAAAAAGTTTTCAAAAATCTAAAAGCTTATAAAGTAAAAAAAGTTACAGTAAGCTGAGGTTAATTTATTAAATAAATACATTTAAAAATAAATTTAGTGGGGCCTAAGTGTACAGTGTTTATAAAGCCTGCAGTAGTGTACAGTAATGGCCTTCACATTCACTCACCACTCACTCACTAACTCACCCAGAGCAACTCCCACGTCTGCAAGCTCCATTCATGGTTTCATGGTCAGTGCCCTATACAAGTATACCATTTTTTATCTTTTATACTGTATTTTTATTGTACCATTTCCCTGTTTAAATTTACTTAGATATATAAATACTTATGTTGAGTTAGTATTCAGTACTTCCTATAGTATTCAGTACAATATCATGCTGTAGAAGTTTACAGCTTTGTTACAACAGGCTATATACCATGTAGCCTAGATGTGTGGTAGGTTATACCATCTAGATTTGTTTACCTACAACCTATGATATTTGAATAACAATGCAACCACCTAAGGAAATATTTCTCAGAACTTATCCCATCATTAAGTGACACATGACTGTATACTGTGTAATGGCTTTGGAACTGTAACAAGTTATAAGATCTTTTCCTGAAAGTCACATCCAGCAAAAATACATGCTGGATTTTAATTCCAGTGCCATCCAAATTACTTACTGTAGCATCCTTCAAAACTCTTGACATATATGTCCCTTAAAAGACAAGCACATTTGGTTGCTGTCTTTAAAAAAAAAAAAAGAAAGGAGTTAAAGGAAAAATAGTAGTTCTAGGGTCAAGTTCAGTTAGCTAAAAGTAAAAACTGAAAATACAACGAAATATTTAAAATGTCATATGACCTGTGCATGTTGAAGCCATCACTTAACAAAGAATTCAGATTTTATCACATCAACACAAAATGGTACAACTCAAGTTACAGGAGAAAGAATCACAATTCAATTAAAATCACTTTGCTTTAGCAACTACATCATGTCTCTATAACACATGCTCTTATTCCGAGGGTTGGCATTTTCCCCGATGGAAATGCAGTGCAGCTGAGAAAGAACCTTCTGAATTACAATAACATTCCAATGTATGCATCCAAGGGGAAATGAGCACACTGACCTTCAGATGCAGTACGCCAGTTTCCAGAAATCACAATTATCGTTCGCATTACTTGTCAGCCAAAATGTATCTGACAAACATATGATCCACACAATGATACGTTATCCCTTAATACCCATAAGTAGATTTATGTTTTACTTCAATAAGAATCTGGAACCAAACCAGTTCAGAAAAAGTATTTCGTTTGATATGGTGCTATATTAAGTAAATTTCATTTATTTTCAACACTATTGAAATACAATAATGCCATATTGATTATACTTCTCATATCTAATTGGTATCACTTCTCCTCTCCAGCCACCAGCTGACCTCTTGCCCTTCCTTAACCTCCCCTGTTTGTTCATCAGTTCCTGGCCCTCGGTCATGCTCCTCTTTCCATCTTCCCACTTCTTCTAACATTTTCCTTTACATAATAAATAACCTATGATGACTTTATTGCTTTGACCATTGGCATCTCCAAACATTGACTGCTCCACACATTTCCTACCTTCGTTTTTGTCATCACTTGGGATGCCTTCATCTCACACACCATCTTAACATCAAATGTTCCTGTCTCTGGCCATGAGTGCTCCTTTTGCTCTAGTTCATGTCCTCATGCACCATCTTCATCTTTTTTTGTTTGTTTGTTTTTGAAACATTGTCTCACTCTTTTGCCCAGACTGGAGTGCAATGGCACAATCACGGCTCACTGCAGCCTTGACCTCCCCTGGCTGAGGTGATTCTCCCATCTCAGCCTTCCCAGTAGCTGGGACTACGGGTATGCACCACCACAGCTAGTCTCCAGCTCCTTAACCCCATATCTTCTGCCTTACATATCATCTATCTCCTATCTCCATTTCTTCAGGTATCCAGCTAATGTGTTCAAATAGTGAGGTCCAGTGTTTACCATACCAACTTCCCATTGAAAGTCCATTCCTGGGTCATACTTAATAAAATTTTTATTATAAATAGTTCTGGATTTACAAAAAAAGTTGCAAGAACATTACAGAAAGTCCTATACCACATAACCAGACTTCCCTATTGTTAACATCTTACATTAGTCTGGTACATTTGCCACAAATAATGAACTGATAGTGATACATTATCATTAACTAAAGGCTATCATTTACTTGAATTTACATACTTTTTTCCTAATATCCCTTGATTGAGGATTTCATCCAGGATATCACATTACATTCATTTTTTTCATCTTTTGTTTTCAATGTTCTGCTGAACATTATATTTGACAGTCATGTTTTCTAAGTCTCCTTTAGACCATGACGGTTTCTCAGACCTTCTGTTTTTGATGACCTCAAGGGCTTTGAGGAATACTGGTCGGTAGACTGTCCTTCCATTTGGGTTTTTCCAGTGTTTTCCTCATGACTAGACTGGGGTTATGGCTATTTGGGAAGAAGACCACAGAGGTGGTGTTTCCTTCTCATCACATCATGCCATGGGTACATACTGTCAATATGACTTGTCACTTTTGATGTTGACCTGATCATCTGGTTGATCGAGTGTTTGTCAAGTTTCTCTACTATAAACATTACTCTTTTTCTTTTATTTTTGAAGGACATTTTTTAACAGTAAGTAAGTATTGATTTTAGGTTATCTGAATAACCTGTGAAATTTTCTACATCTACACATGTGTTGTATGAGTTCTCATTTGGGCAAATGAGGGAGCACACCTTCAAGTTTATATTGGGATTGTGTAGAACAGTGAGAGGATAAACACAGAGAAATCAAGCATTCCCAAGGAGGAGGAACTTGGAATGACCAAGAAAATAGAAGCATCTATTTTGGGATTGAAGAAGTATCCTGAGCTCAATGTGGAATAGTGCATTAAGTGGACAGAGAGTTACACGCTGTATTAGTTGGGAAACATGTTAAGCTGCTGTAACAAAAAGACCTTAAAATATAATGGTTCAAATAGGAGAGAAGTTTTCTTCTCTTTCGTGCAACAGATGGAAGTAGATGGCCAAGGATGGAAAGGATAGCCTTGTTATCTTTAATACATGGCTTAAGACCACTGGGTTTAAGTCAATTGTTCCACTTAGCCAACATGAAGGAAGAAATAATGGAATGCATTTGCCTTTATTTCTCAAGGATGAGAGACAGAACTTGTTCATGTCATCACCATTGGTCATGATTACTTTGCAGCTGTATGTGGTCATGTGACCAAGTCCTCTGGCCTGGACTTGGTCACATGACCACGTACAGCTACAAAGTAGTCAGGGAAGTGCAGGGACTAACCGGATGTCCATATGCTTGCTAAAACCTGGCACAGCTTATGTGAATAAAAGTATCTAGAAGAGAGTGGATACTGGGAGAATAAATACTGGTCAAAATCGACCAAACCTTTAACTGAATGTCTGGTGGTAGGCTGTGTGTTATTCATTCCAATAAAAAGATGGCATCTGAACCAAAGCTGCAAAGAGATCCAGCATCTTGTTGAGTTTACTAAACTACATCATTCTTCAAGTGTCTTCTATCAACTACACATCTCGAACGGGGAAGTCCAGTGGAGTTGTGATGGAAAACAACACACTTGAAATTTTCAAGTTTTAATGGTAACACTGATCTCTGCAATTCTCCCCAGGAATGCAATATTAAATTTGTTCAAGTATCTTAGTAGGGAAGCCAGGTCTTTAGACTTCTACTTAATTATTTCTATTATAAAAATCTTTACTGCATGGGTGATAGGGTCAAATGGGTAGGATATTCCCAGTTGCTGACTGTATCAGCTATGTTCCAACTGTGCCCTCAGGTCTTTGGAAAATAACGACAGGGTGCGTTTTCAGATATGCCCAATGGACTGACCCCTAAACTCCATTTTTTAATCTGATTCTTAGAATCCATGACTGACTGCATTCTGGGGCCCAATAGTTAGAATCGACCCAGAAGGAACTGAAAATTCAGTATATTCTCCTCTTGTAGTTCTCAGACACCCAGGTCAGTACTGCCAGCCCTTTGGTGTAAAGCTAGGAGGAGGATTTGTAATTCAGGCATGCAATGTCATTTCAGATACCTGGTTTGGGTCACCTGGTTTCCCCTTCATGCAAAGGGTGTTGGAGATGTGAACAGGCTTAGGTCTTTAGATAAACAGAGAGAGTAAGGCTACATTTGTGCTGACCCAGATCTTTTATTCATGATACCTAATTTGCTTCATGGGCACAGAACAAGTAGGCTAGTCATAAGATTTCCAAACTCTTCAACACAAAGTAAAAAGAGGGAGAAATGGCAGGTAAGTGATGAGTTGATCTAATGTGGTGCCTAACACCAATTAGAAACACAGAAAATCAATAGATCTTTCCTTTACACAATGCTTAAGTTTGCACCATTTTTAGCTAACCATGTAGATTCTTTGTACTCAGCAAAGGCAATCCTTTGAAATTGTGCTGACATGATTGAATTCAAGAGTCTACTGTTGATGTTAGCCTTAAAAATATGCCATTGATAAATCATAGTTATTCCTGAGTCTGCTGCATTCAATATGAACAGAAGACACTGTTTCATGAAGAAGAATACTCATTAAGAATTCTGAATTCTCTGAAAATTATGAAATGTTTTATTAAAGGGATTAGAGATAAATTACATAAATTCAGTGTGTTTTTATCATTTGCTCATCCAATGACAAATATGGAAGTATATACAGGAAAACATATACGTAATTTTCTGAGATCAGGACAAAATGCAACTAATGATAAACACTTCCATTTTCCAAATTGACTTCTGAATTTCAAAACTAAACTGACAGTTAAACTGAATTTTATAGAATAATAAATTAAAATTGTCTTAACTTTTAAAAAGTCTGAAATAAATATATGGATCTTGACAATTTGCTCACTTTATTAAAATAGTGTTTTGGATATGTTGAATACATTTCACCTTATATTTAGTCTAATTAGAAATAAACAACTTGATTGGGAAAAAAATAGGGAGGGCTTTTTTCTGTTATATAAGAAAAATTAACTCTTATTTAACAAACATCAAAATCATGTTTCCTGTATCTATGTGTAGCAAAATATTTAAATGCAAGCAGTGCTTCTCACAACCTAAGTGCCATGAGGCCAGATTCAATTTAGTTTTAAGATTCTCTGCAGCATTAACAGCATGCTAAGCATTTCATTGCTATAGGTTTGCACCATTTTAATGTTTCTATTTTTTCTCGCTAATAATTAAGTTCCAATAAAATTGCTAGCCAAGTAAATGCCATGTGAGTGTTGCAAGGCTGATGAATGACATTAAGTAATTCTGGCTAACGAGGCACTAAAGGATGACCAACCACAAAGGAATTGGGGGTCATTAGTTTGGAAGGGCTTATCCTTTCTCAGGGGGATAAACGCAGGGCAAAGCGTTCAGGAATAAATAGTGTAAACAGCACTGTGTAAACAGCAAGGGCTTTAACATATGAAGCCAACATGGCTGACTTAAAAGCTGGAGAGGAAACCTTTCCTTAGGACATCCTGAGGATTCCTGCTGCCACCTGTGCCTCTCCCAACCATGGAAATCAAGGGCTTCCTTTTCTTTCTTCCATGACTGGAGTTGGGTTCACTCACCTGAAACAACCTTTCCTATCTTATTACTATGGTGTTTAATTAGCCCTCTACAGAGAGCATGTTTTCTTTTATGGTTAAATGTTTGTTATCTATAAAAACTGACCTGGGCGAGAAGAAATCTTTTTCTCCCTATATTGGTATAATCAGGGAGTGTTATGCCTGAATTTAATTGTGGTTAAGATCATGCAACTGACAGCTTTGGTACCTGCTGATATAAAACTCCAGAATGGTTTTAATTATTAATCCTAAGGTTTTTATCTCTTGCAGAAATATACATGCAAGCAGTAAGTCAACACATATAATTTTTCTGTTTAAATCTCAACTAGGAAAAATGTTCCAATGTATTATTTTACAAACATGAACCATAAGACTTCTTTTAACTTCTTGGTTTGCTTTATTTTCATATCAAGTTGTATGTAATTGTCCCTGTGTCTATATAAGACTCATATAAAGGCCATTTGAGAAATTAGTAGATATCGCCTTTTTAATTGAACTTCTCATAAAGTTTAAATCTATAGCCTGAGGATAGCATCGAAAATAGTAGGAAAAATCACTGACTTTGTTATTACCGTCTAAATAAGCATTCCTCCAGGTGCAAGTGTCAGTGGTGCTGTATCTCATTCCACCACATAGACAATTCTGTCCACTGGGCGCCTATTTGATACCCTCAACATTAAATTTTCCTGTCTTCTCAAATCTATTGATTAAATAAATTCTGTATAACTTTATTTTTCTTTCACTTAAGTTATTCTGTCAGAGTCTGCATTTTAAATTATTCAATTTTAATAGCATTGGAAACTAAAACGCAAAGATTTTCCTTGTAACGTTTTGCAAAGTTGTAAGTTTGCAAAGTTAGATAAATGATGTTTTGCAAAGTTAAAAATAATGAATCGAATTACACATGCTCACAATTTCTATTTGGAATTTTATCAATTACCATTCATCCTGTGGCTTAGAGAAATAATTATCCTCTGCCCACCTTGTTAAAACATTACTTGAGCATAACCCTCCAAGGGTTTCAAGGGCATACTGATCAGTAGTTCAACCTTGCCACATCCTATTTGCTTTTGTCAAGAGACTTGATAGATAGTCCCCACTGGAAAAGGCGCTCACTAGCATTGCTGGGAGAATTATGGGAACCATGGCTTTTCTTTACCAGAATATCTGCTGTTCTCTATTGTCTTTGTCTGTTGTACATCCAAACTAAAACAGCCTTTGTCTTTTACTGAGTATGGTAGGCAGAATAAAGACCCCTAAATATGTCCCCAGTTTAATCCCTACATCCTGCAAATATGTTTTCTTACATGACAAAAGGGAGTATGCAGATGTGATTAAGTTAAGGATCCTGAAATAGGAGATGATCTTATATTAGCTCATTGTGCCAATGTAATCACAAGGTCCTTGTAAGTGAATGAAGGAGGCAGGAAAGGGTGAAAGTCAGAGACAGATATGAAGATGCTACTCTGCTTACTTTGATAGAGGAAGGAGCCACAAGCCAGGGGATGCGAATGGCTATAGAAGCTGGAAAAAGCAAGGAAACGAAATCTCCCTTTGAGCCTCCAGAAGAAATTATACCCAGCAGACACCTTGATTTTAGCACAGTGAGAGTTTTCACCTCCAGCAACATAAGATAGTGACTTTGTGTTATTTTAAGCCACTAAGCTTGTGATATTTTGTTACAGCAGTGATGATGAGAGGCGACAGCGTGCTGGCAGCCCTCACAGCCTTCCCTGGCTCTCAGCGCCTCCTCTGCCTGGGCTCCCACTTTGGTGGCACTTGAGGAGCCCTTCAGCCCACCGCTGCACTGTGGGAGCCCCTTTCTGGGCTGGCCAAGGCTGAAGCTGGCTCCCTCAGCTTGCAGGGAGGTGTGGAGGGAGAGGCGCCGGTGGGAACTGGGGCTGCGCGCGGTGTTTGCTGGGACCAGCGCGAATTCCAGGTGGCCGTGGGTTCAGCCGGCCCCGCCAGCCCGGGGCAGTGAGGGGCTTAACACCTGGGTCAACAGCTGCTGTGCTCAATTTTTCGCCGGGCCTTAGCTGCCTTCCCGTGGGGCAGGGCTCGGGACCTGCAGCCCGCAATGCCTGATCCTCCCCCCACCCTCAGTGGGCTCCTGTGTGGCCCAAGCCTCCCGGATGAGCATCGACCCCCTGCTCCACGGCACTGAGTCCCATTGACCACCCAAGGGCTGAGGAGTGCCGGCGCACCGCGTGGGACTGGCAGGCAGCTCCACCTGCGGCCCCAGTGCAGGATCCACCGGGTGAAGCCAGCTGGGCTCCTGACTCTGGTGGGGGACTTGGAGAACCTTTATGTCTAGCTAAGGGATTGTAAATACACCAATCGGCACCCTGTCAAAACAGACCACTCGGCTCTCTGTAAAATGGACCAATCAGCAGGATGTGGGCGGGGTCAGATAAGAGAATAAAAGCAGGCTGCCAGAGCCAGCACTGGCAACCCACTCGGGTCCCCTTCCACACTGTGGAAGCTTTGTTCTTTCACTGTTTGCAATAAATCTTGCTGCTGCTCACTCTTTGGGTCCACACTGCCTTTATGAGCTGTAACACTCACTGCGAAGGTCTGCAGCTTCACTCCTGAAGCCAGCAAGACCACGAACCCACCAGGAGGAATGAACAACTCCAGATGCGCCACCTTAAGAGCTGTAACACTCGCCGCAAAGGTCCGCAGCTTCACTCCTGAGCCAGCGAGACCACGAACCCCACCAGAAGGAAGAAACTCCAAACACATCCGAACATCAGAAGGAACAAACTCCGGACACGCCGTCTTTAAGAACTGTAACACTCACCGCGAGGGTCCGCGGCTTCATTCTTGAAGTCAGTGAGACCAAGAACCCACCAATTCCGGACACAGTGAGACACTGATACACTGGGCGCTGCCAGCTATAGAGTTGAACATGTTGCTTTTCCTATAAATTTCCTTAGACTTGCAATTGATGAATTGATTGATTTAATTAGTTTTTGTCTAAGTTCTCATTAAAAATGAAATTTCTCTGAACAAGAAGGCACATACAATTTGAGAAGAGATACATGAGATCCACTAATATAAACTCTATAATACAGATTTTAGAGTCAGATCCAAAAGTTTTTTTTAACTCAACCAATTCTCAAGTGCAAAACTCACCACCATTTCTGCTTTTATTTTAGTAATTACCTCCATATTACCAAATGATACCTTTCTACTGATACTTTTTAAAATTTCATCAACTCCATATAATGATCTGCTGTTATGATACATGAAAGTACTCACAGTACCTCCCTCTCTTCTTATCCCATTTTTTAAAATAATTATATCACTATTTAGACTTTCACTATTGGTTGCTGTTATGAGTTAAACTGTGCACATCAAAAATCCATATGTTGGAGTCCTAATTCCTATCAGCTCAGAATGTAACCTTATTTGGAGACAGGGTCATGACAGAGGCAATCAGGTTAAAAAGAGGTCATTAGGGTGAGCCCTAATCCACCGGGACTGATGTCCTTCTAAGAGGGGGAGATCTCGTCACTGAGACAGACATGCATGAGGCAAGAGGATGTGAAGGGATAGGAAGAACGCCATGTGCAGATGAAGACAGACATGCATGAGGCAAGAGGATGTGAAGGGATAGGAAGAACGCCATGTGCAGATGAAGACAGACATGAAGTTGATGCATGTACCAGCCAAGGAATGTCAAACGTTGCAAGCAAACCATGAGATGCTAGGAGAGAGTCGGGAAACATATTCATTCTCATCCCCCTCAGAAGGAACCAGCCCCCGCTAACACTGGAGATTTCAAGCCTCAAGAACTGTGAGACAATACATTTCTGTTGTGTTACTTGGTTAAGGCAGCCCTAGTAAATGAATACAGTAACCTTTATAACTCAGAATAACCTACATTACAAGACCAGCTTTCTTGTTTTGTTGTATCAGAGCAAAAAGGACACAGGAGTCTGGGAAGAGAAGAGGAGTTTGGATTTATCATCCTATCCATTGTCTGCTCATTTAGTCTGGAACATGGAGAGGACACCATTTGGCTGACACAGACACCTACGAGGGCTCCCCTCTGCCCCACAGGCCTTTACTCACCTCATTCAACTGGGAGAAAAGACAAGAAAAAAACAAGCCAGGAGCAGAAAGAGAAGAGCAAAGGCTGAGGGCACCCTTGCCTTCCAGCTCCCCCCTACCCCTGCCATAGCCTTGCCTGTGACCCCGTCCTATCCAGGTCCTCCATCCTAGGGAAGGAGTCAGGGAGCTGGCAGAGGGGACAGAAGAGTCCACCTTGGAGCATCTATTAAGAGGTCAATATACAGCTCTCCTTTGACTCCTGCCCTACTATTCTGAATGTCTTAACACTCTTACAATTTAAAATACATTCCCTTACGGAGAACACATTATTTTTATAACCCTAGTTTCTAACACAGATACACAAATGGTGAAGCACAAAGCAGGTCCTTAATCAGCATTTCCTAAATTAATGGAACATGTTTCCGTTACTAACTCTAATCACTTGAATAAATACTGGTAGCATGTTAAAACAGTTAAACATATAGTATCTATTGCAGTTGTCTGTTTTTACTATTCTCACTTCTCCATCTGTTGAAAATGGTAGCATCTCTGAATTTCTTAGTCCTTTGATTATAAATTCCTTCTGGAATATTGATAGAGAAATACATTGGGGGTTCCTGTGAATGTCCTTAACCCTTACTCATAATTTCCTTATGGCCCTTCAGAAATCATTTTTATTTTTTATTTTTATTTTTTATTTGCCTGGATAATTTTTGAATTTTTAGTAGAGACAGGGTTTCACCATGTTGGCCAGGCTGGTCTCAAACTCCTGGCCTCAAGTGATCTGCCGGCCTCAGGCTCCCAAAGTGCTGGGATTACAAGTGTGAGCCACTGCACTCGGCCAGAAATCATTTTTATTTGTCATTCAGATCAAATACATTGCAAATTTAGAGTGGGAGAGTTGCCATGCTAAATATTTCATGCACATGATTTAGTAAGGCCCACAGGGTAACAACAGTCACTGTCCCCATTTACATGTGCCCTCTAGAGCAGAGATGCTAAAGCACAGAGCCTTGGAGGGGAGGCCTGAGGATTCCCACCCAGTCAGCCTCCAGACCCTATAATCCTAACCACCACTCTATGCTGTGCCTCCACCCTTGTGCATGAATAAATGCCATTAGTTTTAGGTGGTTATTACTATCCCTGTTGTACAGCGAGCACACTGAAATCCTGTGAGGTCAAGCGAGTTGGGATAGATCCCTCTAAGCAGAAACTGACACCATCAGGATTCAGATTCTGCTTGCATAGGGAGCCCATGACCTCCAATTGACGACTCACAATTCCCACCTATGTCTCTCCTGCATTTGTTTGTGCAGGTCTTTTCCTCCTCTTGAAGGTAACCTCTTGCAGGCTAAGCAGTGTGGAAAAGTTGATGGACCTGAGACAGGAATGATACAGGGTGGTGGCAGGAGAAAAGGAAATTTCAGGCAGCAGTCCCACATGATTAGCAAAAGGAAACCGCTGAAATAGCTGCATAAGCTAGGGGCTGATAAGAACCTACAAAATAGGATGTGGACCAAGCTGGCTAAAACCAACTAGGCCCAACATGATGCTGGATTTGACCTCGTTTCACATAAGGCCTCATTATACACTCATTAACATACTACATCATACACCCACAAGCACCATGACAGATCTGGGAACACCCATATTTGGTGTAAAACTGGGTGGCACCACAGTTCCGAGAAATCTCACCTTTTTCCAGAAATCTTCGTTAATATTCCACCTCTTGGTTTAAGAAAACCATAAAGGTAGCAGCCCCAAACTCTGTTGTGCGTGACTCATTTTCTTGAGTACACCTGCACTCACCTTTCTTCGGTGTGTACTTTTGGTATGCAATAAATGTCCACACTTAACACTATTTTTTTGACTCTTCCTTGAATTTCTTCTCCTGATGGTATCAAGAGCCTGGACACCGGCCAGGATTGAGGTCCCACCTGGTTTTGGGGACCTCCCATAGCCTACGGGTATCAGACTCAGCACCCAGGCATTTTCTTCCAGTTCATCAACTTGCAAAAAGTGCAGCCACATGATACTATGGTTGTGAAGGAAATCAAAATATTTCACCGAAAAATAGGGCTCCCTGATATAATGAGTATTTTGAACGAAAAGCCCTTAGAGATCAACAAGTGCTGCAAAAAACTTTTTTCCTATCTACATAAGGCTAGGACTCACCCACCAAGGAGAACAATTGTTCTTGTTCCTCTCCTATTATCTCCTTACCCATTGCTGGAAAGATGACCAACATATTACCACACCTGAACAGACCCTTTTTCCAGATGACTGTCTCTAAGAATCAGTTAAATTCCAAAGAAAACTATTTACAAGTTAATCCCTGTTTCCCATGTATTCATTCTCCCTAGTAATCACTTACTGCCCCACAATAGAATTCTTCTTCTCCCCCTCCAGTCACCTATTTCACAAGGCTCCAAGGCCCCCACTCTTTCTGTAACCTCAGGATAGTGCATAAGCTTCAAACCTCATTGAGAGGTTGAGTCTTCATTGTGAAGACTCTTGTCTGTACACATTAAATATATTTGTATGCCTTTTCTCCTACTAATCAATTTGCCTCATGGTAGTGATTTTTCAGCAGACCTCTGGGGTCAAGGATCTTGGCCTTCACAGTTCAAAGGCATGAGATTGCTTTGCCAAATGCCTTCTGGGGAGGTTGTATTGTCATGGATAATACTGTCGTGGAAAGTGAACCTCATTGCTCTCTGATAACTGGGCAACTTGGCCCAAAAACACCTGGAAAAAAATCTTTTTAAAAAGGCCTATTCTGTCCTAATCTTTTGCCCGACATGATGTTTTCACCCAGAACGGGAGCAGCATTTATTTGTATACTTGACTAAAGCACTTCAGACATGACTTGAATACTGTCTAAAACATACATTTTCACTCTCATCCCCAACTGGGTTTTTAGGAAAGACTAACACCTTTGAAAAGTATCAGTGATAGCTATTTGCAAGTAGGAGATGCATCAGATGAAACATTTTTTGATGAATTTTTTTTTCTTCTTAACATCTGAGATGCTAATACCTCAGAGAGCTCTCCTAAGCATTTGGTTTTGAACATATGATTTGCTTTGCCC
This sequence comes from Homo sapiens, assembly GCF_000001405.40. NCBI lineage: Eukaryota > Metazoa > Chordata > Mammalia > Primates > Hominidae > Homo > Homo sapiens. Next base: position 8,140,018 of record NC_000023.11, on the reverse strand, counting down.
GGAAGATTTCATTTGATGTTTGGTACTCATTGGTAAAGCACTTTAAACTTCAAAAGCACTTCAAAATCGGTTGACTTGAGTCTGAAATCTTTTGCATTTACACAGTATGACTCACGGCACCCGGAGGAGTTGGTTGGAATCTTTCTCAATCCCTTTCACAAGGAAAGTTTGTGCAGCAACTCTCCTTAAGTCCTTGAGAATTTTTGCTGAAGTTTTAAAAATGGCTTTTAAACAAATGTCATTCAGCCTTCCATTAACTTTAACTTTTAAAAATTATTATTTTCTTAGCTTATCTATGGTTGAGCCAAACTTCAAACATAATTACAGTGTTATATGTCACTCTAATTTGTCTGAAACAGAAGTCAAGAAAATGGTTTTGTATTTTTAGAGACAACTACAGTTACTGAAATCCAATGGACTTTAGGATTCATTCCTGCTTTTCTAAATACAATTTTAAAATTATGAATATTTGACTGATATTTAAAATCCCATCAAGTACTTTTAAGGAGAAATATCTGGGAATGCCAACTGTCCTATGGGATTATAAGAGTTTATGAATAAAAATGTGGTGGTAACTTGGGAGTGTAGAACAGAGGTAGAATGCATTAAATTTTGCATTCTGGGGCTCCCCTGTTTAATTAACGGCTAATGCCCTTGTCTCTTTGCCAGGTTTAATTGGTTGGCGTGAAATGAAATGCATTAGGAATAAAGAACTGTTTTTCTTGGATAAAGCTAAATCTTTGATCACAATTTCAACTTGCATTAAAATTAATTTAAAACAAATACCAGGCAGTGGCACCACAACCCTCTTTTTGGATCTTTCAATCAACCAGAAAACCAAACAATTACGATCACTTTTTTTAAAATGAAAAACGAATTTCATTTTTTTTACTATCAGTAAGAGGAAAGGTCTCCCTGTATCACCAGGCCCAATGCATTCTTTGTTTAATCATATGACTAAAAAGCTAATTGTAGAGTCCTGCCTGTTTTCACTGCCTTAAAGACAGACTTGAAAAATGGGGAAACCAGTCTAGCATAAATTGTTCTGTTACAGCCTATGGAATTAGTCAGTATTTACAAATGATGGTGTCCTCATTCTTAAGTTCACTTTGTTAACAACTTGAAAAAAATCTAAGAAATACAAAAACATTACAGCCGGGTGTGGTGGTTCATGTCTTTAGTCCCAGCTACTCAGGAGGCTGAGGCAGGAGAATCACTTGAACCCGGGAGGCAGAGGTTGCAGTAAGCCTAGATGGTGCCACTGCACTACAGCCTGGGCAACAGAGCAAGACTCTGTCTCAAAAACAACAACAACAACAACAACGAAATATATTTCAAACACCAACACTACTCAGTAAATCTTCACTGTAGTGTTTTCTGTCCCTTACAATATAAATCACTTCCTATTTTTTCCCTTTTGACCATAAATAATTTGAGAACATATCCACTTGGTTTTCAGAATATTGTGAAAAGAAAGACCTAAGAGGTTTCAGTTTATAAACACGTGTTTATGGAACTGAAAATATTATCCTGGGTCACAGTGTTACGAAACAGTGACTTTGTATTGCCACGGTAGTAGGCGTAGGTCAGAGGCTTTGAGGTATCTGTCTTAGTCGGCTAGGGCTGCTATAAAAAAAAACCAAACTAACAAAAAAAAGAACAACTAAAACAACAACAACAACAATAACAAATCTACTATAGACTGGGTGGCATAAACAACAGACATTTGAAAGTCCAAAATCAAGATTTCAGCTAAATCAGTTCCCAGTGAGTGCTCTCTTCCCAGTTTGCAGACAGCCACTTCTCTATGTGTTCTCAAATGGTTAGTGTGGGGTGGGGAAAGAGACAGACAGAGAGAGAGAGAGAGAGAGAGAGAAATCTTCTTCCTCTTCTTATCAGCCACTAATCCCATCATGAAGCTTGGGCCCTGTGATGGTTAATATTGAGTGTCAACTTGATTGTCTTGAAGGATGCAAAGTATTGATCCTGGGTGTGTCTGTGAGGGTGTTGCCAAAGGAGATTAACATTTGAGTCAGTGGGCTGGGGAAGGCAGACCCACCCTTAATCTAGTGGGCACAATCTAATCAGCTGCCAGCACGGCTAGAATATAAAGCAGGCCAAAAAAAAAAAAAAAAAAAACACCATGAAAAGACTACACTGGCCTAGCCTCCCAGCCTACAACTTTCTCCCATGCTGAATGCTTCCTGCCATCGAATATCAGACTCCAAGTTCTTCAGTTTTGAGACTGGACTGGCTCTCCTTGCTCTTCAGCTTGCAGACGGCCTGTTGTGGAACCTTGTGATCATGTGAGTTAATACTTAATGAACTGCCATATATATATATATATATATCTCCTATTAGTTCTGTTCCTCTAGGGAACCCCAAGTAATACAGATTTTGGTACCAGAAGTGGTTCTAGAGGAATAGAATATTAAGGATGGAGTTCTTTAGTTAGTTTTGGGGTTTCTGGAGTTGGTTGCTTAACATGATTAGACCCCAAAATGTTAAGGACTTTATTTCTAATAGTATGGAGAACACTGATAGTCTTTGGTGTGAAATGTTTAGAGAGTTATGCAAAATAAATGCATTTGACACTCCTGATTCACTACTTGTGAAAGGCAAGGAGTTTAGTGACTCTATAGATAATACCTTTGACCATATGTGGAGAACCAAGGAACATAATGAAGTTGGTTGGTTGCTCCTAAGTTCAGTGGACAAAGTGATGAAAGAAAATGATGAACTCAGGGATTGTCTCCCAGCTTCAGAAGCAGATACTGAGCCTCAAATTTGCTAAGACTGCCCTGAGTGAAAGTCTTATCAGATAAATTCTAAATGTAAATTAAGTTTAGTTTTTAAATTGGTTACACTGTAGGCCCAGTTTGCTGTTTAAAGGTCTCTTTGACCCATGGCCTTGCCTAGAGGAATATCACTTATCTTTAAAATCTGATTGAATTGTAAACTCAGTTTAGAAACCTTTTAATCTTATATTTATATTTGGATAATATTTTCATGATAGAAAGTATCTAAATAGAAATATGCCTGTACCCATAGCATATGTATTTTTAAAAAATTTTTTTCCTTCAATTTTCAATTTTTAAAAATGTATTAACATTAGCTCCTTTATGAGGCTACTTATACAACTCTGTGCTGGGAATACTTCCTGAGAAATGCATCTTTAGGTTGTTTGGTCCTTGTGCAATCATCTTAGAGTGAACACACTCAAACCCAGAAGGCACAGCCCACACTGCTCACCTGGGCTGTATATTGTAGCCCATTGCTCCTGGGCTACACACCTGTGCACCCTGAAACCACACTGAATAATGTAGACAACTGTAACACATGTTACACATGGTATTTGTGTACCTAAACCTATCCACACTTAGGTAAAGTATGCTACAAATACGGTGTAATCTCATGGGACCACCATCAAATATGTGGTCTGTCACTGACTGAAATATTCTTATGTGGTGCAGGTGTATATTTCTCATGACTTTTTAATTGCATTTTTTGCCCAGCAAATTTTTAGAAAATTACATATTCAAATGTTATATATATTTGATTGCATTTGATTTTGAGTGATACTTAGCCCTTTCCCCACACTGAGATTATAGAAGAATTAATTCATTTTTCTTCTAGCACTTACATGGCTGTATTATGTAGGTATGCATACATCTAAGCATGTGTATGTGCATGTATGTTTAGATACTGGATTCATTTGGAGTTTACTCCTGTGTACAAATGAAGTATGGATCTAAATTTATCATTTTCCAGCTTGTCCCAACATTTGCTTAAAAATCCATTATTCTTGACACTGTGGTGCACACCTGTAGTCCTAGCTACTCAGGAGGCTGTGGCAGAAGAATGGCTTGACCCCAGGAGTTCAAGACCCATCTAAGCAACATATTGAGACCCTGTCTCTAAATTAAGAATAAACATAATACAGTAGCCAGGCATGGTGGTGCAAGCCCATAGTCCCAGATACTTGGGAGGCTGAGCCAGGACGATTGTTTGAGCCTGGAGGCTGAGGCTGCAGTGAGCCTTCATTGAGCCACTGCACTCCAGCCTGGGCAACAGCGTGTGACCCTGTCTCAAGAAAAAAATTTATTATTGCCCAGTGGTTTGAGATACCATCCTTATTAAATACGAAACTGCCTTCTTCTGTACTTCTACCGGTTTCTAGATGTTCTCTTCTATTCCTCTAGTCTTTCTGTCTTCTCATGTACCTGTAACAAATTATTTTCATTAAAGATGCTTAATAATGTGTTGAAATTCTGAAAGGGCTTGACCCTACTAAGGGTTTTTCTGGCTATTCTTGCCTGCTGGTTATTCCACATGAACTTCCGTGTCAACTAATCTTACTCCATAAGACAATTCGTAGTTTTCAAAAATTGTGACATTAATTTTATAAATTCACCCATTTAGAATTGACTTCATTATGTTTTTGAGCCATCTTGTTCAAGGATGTTTGGCCTTTTGTTTAATCTACGTTTTTTTCTTTCAGATTTTAAAGGTTTTTTAAATTATACACTTGGCACATTTCTTTTTGTCTTTATTTCTAAGGGGTATGTCATCTTGCTGTAATTGTACATAGAGTTTTCTCTAATACTGAATACTCTATAAATTTTTGTTTTGGGTGTATACTAATGACTTCTGTATGTTATTTTTATTGCTAATTTACTGAATTATTGTACTTTGTGAATTAGTTTGATCATTAATTATCTAAAGCTTTCCAGGTATCATCTAAAAAATAATAGGAATTAGTATTTTTCCTAGTCCTTATGCCTCTAACTGGTTTACTTATTTTTCTTGTTTAGAAAAACACCTTTAGCATCATATTCAATAGCAGTGGAGATACTCTGCATTCTTTTTTTAACTTTTAAGTTTAGAGGTACATGTACAGGTGTGTTACATATGCAAACTTTTGTCATGGGGCTTTGTTGTACAGGTTGTTTCATCACCCAGGTACTAAGCCTAGTACCCATTAGTTATTTTTCCTGATCCCCTTCCTCCTCCAACACTCCACCCTCTGAGAAGCCCCAGCGTCTGTTGTTCCCCTCTTTGTGTCCATATGTTCTCATCATTTAGCTCCCACTTACAAGTGAGAGCATGTGGAATTTGTTTTCTGTTCCTGCATTAGTTTGCTAAGGGTAATGGCCTCCAGCTCCGTCCATGTTACTGCAAAGGACATGATCTTGTTCTTTTTTATGGCTGCATAATATTCCATCATGTACATGTACCACATTTTCATTATCCAGTCTATCATTGATGGGCATTTAGGTTGATTCTACATCTTTGTTATTGTGAATAGTGCTGCAATGCACATACATGTGCATGTGTCTTTATAACAGAACAATTTATATTCCTTTGCATATATACCCAGTAATGGGATTCCTGGGGCAAATGGTATTTCTGTCTTTGTCTTTGAGGAGTCACCACACTGTCTTCCACAACGATTGAAGTAACTTACACTGCCATTGTGATGGTTAATACTGAGTGTCAACTGGACTGGATTGAAGGATGCAAAGTATTGATCCTGGGTGTGTTTGTGAGGGTGTTGCCAAAGGAGAATAACATTTGAGTCAGTGGGCTGGGAGAGGCAGACCCATCCTTAATCTGAGTGGGCACCATTTAACCAGCTGCCACCATGTCTAGAATATAAAGCAGGCAGAAAAACATGAAAAGACTACACTGACCTAGCCTCCCAGCCTACATCTTTCTCCCATGATGGATGCTTCCTGCCCTCAAGCATCGGACTACAAGTTCTTTAGTTTTGGGATTTGGATTGGCTTTCCTTTCTCCTCGGCTTGCAGATGGCCTCGCAATCATGTAAGGGACCTTGTGATTGTGTAAGTTAATATGTAATGTAATGAACTCCCCTTTATGTATATATCTATCCTATTAGTTCTGTTCCTCTAGAGAACCCTAACTAATACAGGTCCTCATGAACTCATCTAACCCTTATCACCTCTCAATGGCCCATCTCCAATACCATCATATTGGAGGTTAGGGCTTCAACATATGGACTTTTTGGTGGTGGGGGTGGCACAATTCAGTCCTCAGCTTTCCTGGTGTCTGGTTGGAAATCAGGGAATTGTGCCTGGATAAGGAAGGCAGTCCTTATTCAGGACCCCTGATAATTCCGTAAACAAAACTTCAGATGGTCCTTCACCTTGGAGAGAAGAGTCCCAGTGACAGGGGAGGGAGACAGAGCTGCCATTTTCAGCTGAGCACCCGCCAATGGGAAGGAACTGGAATCAAGTATGCCCAATGTGGTCACCTAGACGTGGAAAGTGGAGAAAGTGTAAAGGAATAAAAAACCTTCCTGGGGGGATAACAAACAATTTGATGTAAAGTATAATATGGAGAAAGGGCTTCCATGGAGTTAGCACACACAGAGGACAGAGAGAGGAATCTTCAGCAGGACATGCAAAGCAGAAAGAGACATGTAGAAGAAAAATCACATTCTGGAGAAAAAGTAGGATAAAAAGAAAGGAAATTGTAGGAATGAAAAGGGGCTGGGGTCAAAAGGCAAGCAAATACAAGAAACCAGAAGGATGTGGCTTTGAAAATGCAGGCTGAAAAAATAAAATGGTTATGAAGAGAAAGAAAATGGGGAAGTGGTCAGTCAAGAATCAAGTGTGAGCATGGCGGTGGGGAAGGGACAATGAATGGAAAGATGGAATAAAGGGCATTAATTGTTGAGAAAACATTCTAAAATGTTTCAGATTCAAGAAAGTCAACACTAGATTTAAACACCTGAGAAATAATTTATATTATCAATGATGTTATCAGCACTTGGAGATAACTGATATTCTGAAGTCACAGGAATTGAATACCTGGTGTTCTCTATAACCTCTTGGTCTTATTGATCAGCCAATGGCATCGAAAAAATGATTTTAGTTTACTGAAAACTGCATAAGCAATGCCAAATGTATGGCATCATCAAACTCAACCCACTTTCATGTTCAAGGTCTTTCATTCCTCATTTACTTGTCTTTCTCCTTGACTGCCTCTTTGTTCTCCTGATTTAAGAGGCACTACATGCTCATTATATGAAGCAGCTCTCAAGAGCACCTTGGGTTCTTTAGAGAAAAGGAACCAGTAAAGCTAATGAATATAAACCAATATGCTTTTTGGAGTCTGAAATGAAGCAAATGCATCAGCCACACCCACCCAGGTGGAACACTGAAGATGAGGTTAAGTTCTTTCTACATCTATAAAATGTATAACACTCTTAATAGAAGGATTCTATTGAGACAGAAAATGAGGTTATTGTTTTAATGATTTGAGTAAGAACAAGCTAACTTAGGATAGCAATGTGCATTATAGTTTCTGCTGCATTCTTGCAAACATCAGCTCTCCTGCCTGCTGGTTCACTGACAGATACTTCATGCTCCCCCAGAGTCTTTGGTGGAATGTTTTCTAATTGCCTTACATGTGATCCTTGATGTTTTCAATGTCTCACACTTCTAATCATTCAAAAAAGAGAAAATACTGTCAAAAGCTTTTGGATTAGAGTTTTTAAATATTTTCTGTCCCTAGCACAGTCTATTTATGTTAAGTTCACCCTTCACATGTATTATTTTTATTTTTGAGACAGGGCCTTGTTCTGTCACCCAGGCTGGAGTGCAGTGGCATGATCAAGGCTCATTCCCTGCAGCCTTGGCCAACCAGGCTCAAGTAATCCTCCCACCTCAGCCTCCCAAGTAGCTGGGATGACAAGCATGTGCCCCCACATCCAGCTAAATTTTGTGTTTTTTGTAAAAATGAGGTTTCGCCACGTTGCTCATGCTGGTCTTGAACTTCTGAGATTAAGCGATCCGCCCACTTCGGCCTCCAAAAGTGCTGCGATTACAGGCATGAGCCACCATGCCCAGCCCCTTCACATGTACGTACTGAGATCTGTACCAGTTTAGAAGTTAAATCATTTCAGAGAAACATATTAATGATACAGAACTTTCAGGAAACAATGGTTCCACAGTGGCCTGACGCTATGAACTCTATTGCAGCCATACCACCAAACATAAAGACAACCCAATACTAAAAAGGACTCTGACCTATTTTATCTTGGAAATAACTTTACCAAGAAGAAGAGCCTTTTTGTTCCTGTTCTTTAATTTTTGCATCATTCCCTTAATTGCTAGACCTCTAGCTACATTAAATCAGTTGAACATTTATCAATTTTAGGGAAGAATAGGAAACTTGAAGTTTTGACTCACTGTTTAGCCTGGCTGGGGAGGCCTCAGGAAACTTACAATCAGGGCAGTAGGTGAAGGGGAAGCAGACACCTTCTTCACAAGGCTGCAGGAAGGAGAAGTGCCAAGTGAAGGGTAAAGAGCCCCTTATAAAATCATGAGATCTCCTGAGAACTCACTCACCATCACGAGAATAGCATGAGGAAAACTGCCCCCATGATCTGATTACCCCCACATGGTCTCTCCCTTGACACATGGAGATTATGGGGATTACAATTAAAAATGAGATTTGGGTGGGGACACAAAGCCTAATTATATCAGGCATGAACCTCTCCAGATTTTAATAATTATTTTAATATATATGAGTTCTTACAAGCATAACATGAATTCATTTGGTCAAGAAACAATGTATAACAATGTATAGTATAGCATAAGACTTCTTTTTTCCCCCAGTAATGGATAAAGTATTCATGGATCTGATTTATTCAAGGAGTGCAGTGGAGCCATCACAGCTCACTATAGCCTCAACCTTCCAGGCTCAACTGATCCTCCTGCCTCCGCCTCCCAAGTAGCTGGGACTACAAGTGCATGCCACCACGCCCCGTTAATTTTTTGATGATCCATACAGGTGGAGTCTTCCTATGTTGCCCAGGCTGGTCTTGAACTCATGGACTCAAGCAATTCTCCCTCCTCAACCTCCCAAAGTGCTAGGATTACAGGCATGAGCCACTGCACTTGGCCTAATTTATTCTTAAAAGGCAGAACATCTATAAGAGGCCATCAGAGGGCAGATGGGTGAGACAAAATGCTTAAATTGGCACATTCTTTACATAAAGATTGAGTTTCCTCTCAAATTGTTAAAATGCACAAGGCACTAAGAGGGACAATTATGATTCTTCTCTATGGAAGTGGGGATGTGGCCTGTCTGTCATAACTTCATTGACGTTTGACATGTTAAAAGATAAAATATTTGTGCAGTAGACAGGCAAGCAAAAGATAGTCAAAATATTCAGCTAGGAAACTAACAGGTTAATAGAAAACATTTTCTATTTATTTTACATTAAGTTGTAATTTTCAGAAAACATGTGAGATTATTTTTTCCCCTAAATCAACCCCAACACCTTAATACAAGGTTTATTTTTGAAAAAAAAAATGTAACTGGAAAAAAATAAACAGAAAGTAGCTCACAGCAGCTTGGCTGTGAGATGAGTCTGGAAGGATGTTCTACAATATAAATATTTTACCTCCAACTTGGTCAGAATGGATGTACAAATAAAGACATGTGTAGACTTTTAGGTAGTAAGTCAGGAATTTTTTAAAAATGCACATTTCTAGATATGTATCTCAGTTAAAAGATACACTTAGATATATCCTCTCATGCTGTTCATAGATCCATCTGCTCAAAACAAATTTCTGAGCATGTCAGTTTCCCACTCCATGCTTTCTCACTTCATAAAGATAAAATGCTGACTCCCTTTCTGTTGCATTCAGCGTTGTTCCAAGTTGGACTTTAGTCTTTGTTGCAGCTTCATAACTCACTCCCTGTTCCAAACCTACACCCCTTCCTTCCAACAACTCATCCCTGTTCATGGAGCTTATGGCTTTAATCATACCTGTTCTCTCTCTCTAAAATGCCCTTCCATCTTCTCCTCTGTCAACATCACCCTTCTCCTTCAAGGCTTAGCTCAAATATTATCTCTTTTATTAAGCCTACCTCAAATCCTTCCTCACAGTCAGAATTAATGAGCTCTGCCTCTGTGGTTGAAAGAAGAGCAATTTTACTTCTATTATGTGTAGTGTCCCACTTTGTGGTATGTCCCTTCTTGGAACCTAAGTCTTCAACGCAATTATGACCTCTGAGGACAGAAATAGTTTTTGAGATTATTATTGAGACCATGTCTTAGTCCCTGTTCTGTTGCTGATAACAGAATACTGGAAACTAGGTAATTTATAAAGAAAATGAACTTATTTCTTACACTTATGGAGGTTGAGAAGTCCAAGGCCAACAGGCTGTATCTGGTGAGGGCCTTCTTGCTAGTTGGGGGTTGCAGGAGACCTCTCTGCAGCCTGCAGCATTCTCAGGAGGCACAGAGCATCGCATGGTGAGGAAGCTGAGTGTGTTAGCTCAGGTCTCTCTTGCTCTTCATATAAAGCCATCAGTCCCACTCTTGTTACAACCCATCAATACATTAATTCATAAACTGATTAATCCATTAATTAATAAGTGGATAATCCATTCTTGACAGCAGAGTCTTTATGACCCAGGCTCCGCTTAAAGGCCCCACCTCTCAACATCAGGGATTAAGTTTCAACATGAATTTTGGAAGGGACAAACACTCAAATCATAGCAGACCATGATTGCACAACAGTGTAATATCAGTATGGTAGGCTAGAGTTAGGTCAGATTTGACTTACACCAGCGCTGACAGTCTTTTATAAGTTATGGGGCCTTTTATATGAATAGTAATATCTATTCTGAAAGGAAAATAAAAACTTGGGGCCCCAACTCACTATGCCAGAAGAAAACAAACTAAGCTGAAAATTGAGTCGTGCAAGAAACTGCCTTTCCTCTTGTTCCTCTACAGACAGCTAAGATAAAAGGTTAAATGTCTCCATAGGTAGCTACTCTGTGTTCACCTTATCTTATGTAAAGTGCTGATTTATGGAGCAAGAGATAAATATATTATTGACTATTCCCCAACCTGCTTCCTTTCACTTGCAGCATGTGGATTCAGTAATGTGACCATACCCTCCCTTTTTCCCCTCCAGACAGCTATTCCTCTTCAAATGCTGAAGTCCTCAACATTATCTTTGGAGAAAGGCACAAACCTCCTTCACGATTATTTCCTTCTCAGTGGCAAAATAAACTTCTAAATTGATTGAGACCTGTCTCAGATACCTTTTGGTTTATACTATCTTGCAGAACTCTTAAGGCAAATGGAAATAGCGTATGTAAAATCCTTTGCAGAATTCCTGACATATAACAGGAACTTAATAAATACTAAATATTGGTAGATATTGGTATGCTTTTTCTAACGTCAAAGAAGGTTTATAGCAGCTATAACTAAATAAAGAAGATTGAAGGCAGCCTTAGCTCTAAAATAAAGTCCCTCTCCCAAGGGAATTTAGGGTCTCTCAGGAGAGATTAGATAAGGACATTCATGAAAACAATCCAGAGCCGTATGGATATGATTGGAATAAAGGGCTTGAAGAAAGAGTTGTATGTAATCTTAGGATGCAGACTTCACTTCTGGCTGGTGCAATCAATGAATGAATGCTTTGTGGAGGATGGAGCATTTGAGCAGGGCCATGAAGAAAGGTTGCTATAGACAGAGGTATCAGGTACTTGCAACTAGAAGGAAAAGAACCAGTACCAGAAAGTGGAAACTATAATGTATTTAAAAAACAATGCAAGACAGTGACTGGTTGGGGATTCCAGTTGATGTAAGGCCATGTCTGGGAAAGAATGCACAGGACAGTATTGTGTCCTCAAAGACCAGCTAAGGGCCGGGCACAGTGGCTAACACCTGTAATCCCAGCACTTTGGGAGGCCGAGGCAGAAAGATCACTTGAGATCAGGAGTTTGAGACCAGCCTGGCCAACATGGTGAAATCCTGTCTCTACTAAAAATACAAAAATTAGTTGGGCATGGTGGCACACACCTATAGTCCTGTGGTCCCAGCTACTCGAGAGGCTGAGGCAGAAGATCACTTGAACCCGGGAGGCGGAGGTTGCAGTGAGCCGAGATTGTGCCACTGCACTCCAGAATGGGCAACAGAGCGAGATCCTTTCTTAAAAAAAAAAAAAAGGAAAAAAAATTGGCTAAGAATTTAGGACTTTCTTAAGGAGATAAAGGGAAGATATTTAAGACTCTCATAGAACACAATTTAGACGGCTAAAAAGCTAAAGATGAATGCAATGTATCATAGCATCATCTTACATGAGTAGGTCTTGGGGCTTGGTTTGGTTTGTTTTGCATTTCACAGTCCTTTACCAGAGAGTTGCAGGTTGTTATCAACATTTTCTGCAGACTTTTGGAGATAAACTGTTTTATCTTAGAGTGATTCCTCCTGATACAATATAATGAGAGGAATACAAACCCCTTTATAGAAAAGGCACACATTTCAGCATACAGCCTAGGTAAAAAGTAAGGGTTAACTGGCTTAGTTGAGATTAATTATATAGATGTTTATTTCCCAGTTGTTATGTGTCTGTAACATAAAAGTGGTTATTGACTAAAAGTAGATGTGCTTCATTAATATCAGTGTGAGGAGAAGAGCAACAGGGAAATGCAGGCACCCATGCCGTGTGGGCTGGAATCTGGAAGACGTGGCCCCTGGCCAGGTATGCGCTGATGACAGGTGACATTCACCTTGCAATCTGCCATAAAATGGGAATCATAATACCTGCTCAGTCCTCCAGATGAAATATTGACTGGAAGTCATATATAAAATCGTCAAGCAAAATGCACAATAAAATTAAAATTGCTACTTTTCAAGACATAGGAAGTGTATTAATTGTTTTTTCCTGCTTCTTTTCTGTCAGGATCAACGTTGAATAAAGTTTTGTCAAACACATCTCACTTGATGCATCTCATATCACTTAAAAAATAACATTGGGAAAGTCTTTCCTTTCACTTTATTCATCCTGACTCTTCTTTGCTAAATATTCTGTATACAAATTTCCACATAACATTATGTTTAGAGTTGTACTATCCACACAAAATGGTTCATATATGGATCTCTTGAAGGTTGCATGTCAGAAACACATTAAACTGTCATTGCCTTTTAGGATACACTTTCCTTTTGCATTTTTATTTGAACAAAAGTCAAGCTTATCCTAAAAAGCAGTGATAGATTTCTGTAGATCTAGGGAATTGTTAATACATTTTGTTATCTGTATCATACATTTGTACACAGCTGCTGAGTAATTCAACTGTTTAGAGTTGAACTAATGTTTTTGAACAATAAGTCAAATTCCACGATTTAATCTACATCACAAGAATTTCACTTCCATGGCATTATGGAAAAATGCGCAATCTGTTGTCAAGGTTGAATTTCATTTCTGCTTTCACAAATAAATTATGCCTGTCATTTCCATTAGACACAGTCCTTACCTAGATCGTTACAAAACATCTTTGAGAAGCTTAGGGCATCTCCTATGTTCCACTTCAGATAGAGATATAATTTACTGAGGGGTTAGAAAGAATGGTCAATAAAGCTGACAAAATATTTTAGCATTTGGAAAAAAATTTAAATGCCTTAGTGCAATAATTCCTGGGGAAACTATGGTCGCTAAAATGACTATAATTCTTATTCATGTTCATTCCCGGTTTAGGGGCCTTCCTTAAAGAAACTAATTTCAGAATTTATTTAAGTCATAATAAAGGGTCTTAAAACCACCTGATTTCCTGAAGTTTTCTTTACCACTCTGATTTCCTGGTGCCTTCCTCTCTTCCCTGTGTCTAGGTGGAGAGTGGGAGGTGCACATATGAGGTAATGATGTGTGTGATGATGTAATGACGTGTCTGATTATGCAATGATGTGTTTGGTGATGAAATGATGAATGTAATGATGCATGAGAGGCTCTTGTTGATTGCAGATGATAAGAATAAAAGACTTAGCTCACTACTTCTGGCAGGGTCTGGTAAGAAGGCATTACCACCCTATGCATTCCAACAGAAGGAATCTATTGAAAATGAATCATTTAGAAAGGGGCAGGAGATCCAGAAGAAGGTAGAAAGGGAAGGTAAGATGGCCAAGAGATTAAGAACTGCAGAAAGCTCCTACCACTTCTGTGCTGAAGGAGTGAAAGAGAAAATGGTTTCACCAAGAGCCCGTAATCCCCCACCACTGAGGCTCTGAGAGTATTCATGGCAGCCTTAGAACCAAGACCACCACCTTGCAGGAATGCAGGAGCCCAGGGCCCTGATGCTGTCTCAGGACTCTGGGAGCCTGAAGCTGCCAGCCCGTCACCACCATGGCTTGAGCCAGAGCCTGCACCTGCCGTGCCCCACAGGCTGCTGCATTTGTGCTCGACACTGCTGCCTCACTGCGACCACACTGCCTGGGGACCACGTGGGAGCCAGTCTTTCCCTTATGGAGGCTCTGGACAAAGGGAGGGAACCCAAAAGCCTTCCAGTTCCTGTCTGTGCTTCCCATTGGAAGAGCCCCATATTCCAATCTCACACAGTTCACCCCCACCCCGACCCTTTCAAAACTCATGCAAGTTCTTCTCTTTGGTAATCACTAATCCAACACCCATACTCAGAGGCTCCAGACTGAGAAATGTATTTGTAGGATCCCAGCACCCCGCGACACAGGGGATAGCAGCAGAGAGTAGGAAGGAAGCTGGAAGCAAGAAGATAAATGACTGGTGCTCTTGGCAATCAGTCACAATGCTCCTGGGATAGGGCTGCCTGACTTAGTAAAATGACAGGTTACCCAGTTAAATTTGAATGCCAAATAAATAACAAATCACTTTTAGTTTAAGCATATCCCAAATATTGCATGGGACATGCTTATACTTAAAAAAAAAAACACATTTATTGCTTTTCTGAAATACAAATTCAATGGGTTAACATGTATCCTATCAGGCAACTTGTCCCAGGGGCTATCTGACTTACTCCTTACAGCACTGTTAGACTAAATGGGGCTAAGTTTGCCAGCCACCTCTGCAACTTTAGTCCAGTAAGGTAGACAAAGGGCATACATGTAAACCAACAAATAAATGTATACCATTGTGCATTTGAGGGTGAGGGTGGTTACTAAAGAATTTGAGAACTAAGAATGCTATTTAGGGAGGGGTTTTGCTCTTCTGTTTGTCTTTCTGAGGGAGAAGGTTCATGAGCTTTGAGGCCACAGTTTGGCTGACTGTGACTGAGTTAACCGTCAGAGCTTTGTGAGCATGTGGATGAATCTGGGTTCAAACCAGAAAGGAAAATCACTAAAAGTGTGGCAGCATTTGGGGTTTCATCACAACCATGACGTGGAAGATGGGGTAGAGCTCTTTGAAATAGCTGCTTCCAGTAGCCTGGGCCTCTGGAAAATAACGGCTTCCACTTCATTCCACGTCCCACATCCCACGCAAACCTTCTCATTTTTCTCAAAACCCATTCTCAGAAGGGATTATGCACATTGGGAAAGGACATTAATTGCCAGTTTTCCCAATAGTAAAATGGCAGCAGGAATAATAACAGCAGTGGTTAGCACTAATGAGTTATCTTTCAGCCTGAAGGATGTTATAGTTCTAATATTCCTCATCGTGTGTTGTACTTGAGAATATGAGGTGGGGCACAACTTCTCATACATCACAGAGAAAGAGGGAAACATTCTGAACGATATGATGAAACAAACGCTGGAAATGCTACAGTGAAAATTAAGATGCTGGCCAGGCACGGTGGCTCATGCCTGTAATCCCAGCACTTTGGGAGGCCAAGGTGGGCGGATTGCTTGAGCCCAGGAGTTCAAGACCAGCCCGGGCGACATGGGAAAATCCCGTCTCTATAAAAAATACAAAAATTAGCTGGGCATGGTGGTACACACCTGTCATCCCAGCTACTGGGGAGGCTGAGGTGGGAGAATTGCTGGATCCTGGGAGACAGAGGCTGCAGTGAGCCGTGATTGTGCCACTGCACTCCAGCCTGGGCAACAGAGTGAGACCTTGTCTCAAAAAAAAAAAAAAAAAAAAAAAAAGAAAAGAAAGAAAGAAAAAGAAAGTTAAGATGAGAAAAATACATACATACACACACACATACACACACACTTTTTTTTGGATAAGAGGCATTTGTTTTTGTGTGTTTTGCAGAAGCCTCAGTATCACCCAGGAGATGGTGGCAATGGGGTTTTTGATGAGTATTGAGAAGAAGGGTGGTGGGGATTTGGGTAGGTCACAAGTCTGATTTCTGCTTGTACACAACAGGATGGTATGCTAGCCACACCGACAGTGTCCTTAGTAAAAATTTCTGCAAATCCTGGCCAAGGAATTGGGGCAGAAAGAGGCACTAAGCTAAAATGAATACAGTATCACTCTTTGGTCTTTAACATACCAGTCAGCACACACAAGAATGTTATAACAACATTCAATATCTTAATTGTACCTTTTCAAATAAACTGTGATTGTTATTTGGATGATTCACAGCCGTTTAAATGTTCTGAATGTTTTGAAGAAAAAAAATCCTTGTTTTTTTAAAAATGCTGAAGCCCTTAAAGATGTTGAAGTGAGAACTACACACACATGCCAGATAAGACCCAGACAAATGGTTAGGGGACTGGCTGGGAGTGGACAGAGGCCGAGGAATGCCTCAGAAGAGAGACTTTGAAGATATATCTGAACTAGAAATGCATTCATGGAAAACACTGGGGTCTTCGGTTCAAATTTTAGCCACGGATGCCAGGTTAAAACCATTGACCTACACATATGGAACATGGCTCTGTCACACTGATTGAACTGGACAGTGTGAAAGCATTTCTGGTTTTCAACGTGTCTGATATCCTGGCCACTTAGCACACAGGCAGCTTCATGAGCAAAGAGCTCCCAGTCTGGAAAATCTGGTGGAATCTAAAACCAAACCAATCAATTTAGATCTGTCTGCTTGAATCATTGTTGGTTGAGAGTTTGTTTCCAAATGAAGGACGTGTTTGAAAATTGGTGACTTTTATAATGCTTTTTGTTCTCTTTCTTTGTCAAACTTGGATTTTATTTTTCACCCTGAATTTAAAACAGATGAATTCAAATCAAACTAAAGTACATGCTTAAAGCCCTTATTTACACACACACACACACACACACACACACACACACACTTCTCCTCCTACCAACACACACATACACACAAAATACACTGGGATGCTTTAAATGAAAATTATGTTTCTTAAGAACAGGGATAGGATGCATAAGTGGTTTTATGGCAGTCACCAAAAAATAAAGTTAATCAAATTCAAATGTAAAATATACTTAAGATTAGTGAGTAATCTTAGTCTTCTCTTCTATGGTAATCTTAGCTAAATGATTCATATTTTCTTGAAACTACCCAAATGCATAAAAGGGAGGGCAGTCATAAACATGAGGCTGTTTATGGATTCAACAAAGACTCACTGACCTTCCAATATTGGAGATTAAGGGTGTGTCCGGAATTGGTGGGTTCTTGGTCTCACTGACTTCAAGAATGAAGCCGCCCACCCTCTTACAATTCTTAAAGGTGGCGTGTCCAGAGTTTGTTCCTTCTGATGTTCAGATGTGTTCGGAGTTTCTTCCTTCTGTTAGATTCGTGGTCTCGCTGGCTCAGGAGTGAAGCTGCAGACCTTCGCAGTGAGTGTTACAGCTCATAAAGGCAGTGCAGACCCAAAGAGTGAGCAGCAGCAAGATTTATTGCAAAGAGTGAAAGAACAAAGCTTCCACAGCGTGGAAAGGGAGCTGAGGGTGTTGCCACTGCTGACCAGGGCAGCCTGCTTTTATTCTCTTATCTGGCCCCACCTACATCCTGCTGATTGGTCCATTTTACAGAGAGCCGATTGTCTTGACAGGGTGCTGATTGGTGCATTTACAATCCCTGAGCTAGACACAAAAGTTCTCCATGTCCCCACTAGATTAGCTAGATACAGAGTGAGGACTGGTGCACTCACAAACCCTGAGCTAGACACAGGGTGCTGATTGGTGTGTTTACAAACCTTGAGCTAGATACAGAGTGCTGATTGGTGTATTTACAATCCCTTAGCTAGACATAAAGGTTCTCCAAGTCCCCACCAGACTCAGGAGCCCAGCTGGCTTCACCCAGTGGATCTGGCACTGGGCCGCAGGTGGAGCTGCCTGCCAGTCCCGTGCCCTGTGCCCACACTCCTCAGCCCTTGGGCGGTTGATGGGACTGGGCGTTGTGGAGCAGGGAGCAGCGCTCATCGTCGTTTGGGAGGCTCCAGCTGTGCAGGAGCCGATGGCTGAGGGGGATGGGGGAGGGGGGAGGGGATGGGGGAGGGGGAGGGGGGAGGGGAGGCGGGTGTGGGGGAGGCCCAGGCATGGCGGGCTGCAGGTCCTGAGCCCTGCCCTGTGGGGAGGCAGCTAAGGCCCAGTGAGAAATCGAGCACGGCAGCTGCTGGCCCAGGTGCTAAGCCCCTCACTGCCAGGGGCTTGCGGGCCGGCCAGCCTCTCCGAGTGCGGGGCCCGCTGACCCCACGCCCACCCGGAACTCGCGCTGGCCTGCAAGCCCTGCGTGCAGCCCCGGTTTCTGCCGGCGCCTCTCCCTCCACACCTCCCCGCAAGCTGAGGGAGCCGGCTCCGGCCTTGGCCAGCCCAGAAAGGGGCTCCCACAGTGCAGCAGTGGGCTGAAGAGCTCCTCAGGTGCGGCCAGAGTGGGCACCAAGGCCAAGGAGGCACCGAAAGCGAGCGAGGGCTGCCAGCACGCTGTCACCTCTCAAGGGAACCTATTAACATCAGCTTTCCCTTACCTGAATTTGGAAACAATCGAGAGATAGGGAGAGAAGTCAAGCAGCTGGAAATCAAAATTTACAATTTGTGCCTGGCAAATTGGGATTGAAAGATACAGATTCAATGTGCAGAAAAATGGACATCCTCATAGCCCCCCACCCCCATGAGACCTCTGCTTCCAGCTTCTCTGGGTGGGGAACGCCTCCCGATACGATGGTGAGGAAGAGGAGTCCACAATGCCTGCTCTCTTGGAAAAAGGCTGCATCCAAAAATGGAGGAAAGGAAAACTCTAAACAGACCCAATTTTCTACTTCAAAGTAATCAGCATGCACATTACTCTTCTTCTCAGACTCCGTGCCACAACAACTGTGTGACCACTCATCAGATACGGATGCTGTATCACAGCAGGGACAAGGAGATGTCAGAGAGAAGTGGCAGGGAAGAGACAATATGTCTGGCCTCCTCAGAGATCCCAAGGAGGCTGAGAGACTATTGTCTCTTTCCCATGATCAGTATGCCTAATAGTGACAGCATCAAGAGTTTAATTTGGGGTGAGGGTGGTGGCTCACACCAGTAATCTCAAAGCTTTGGGAGGCTGAGGCAGGAGGATGCTTTGAGCTTGGGAGGTCGAAGCTGCAGTGAGCTATGATCACACCACTGCACTGCAGCCTGGGTGACAGAGCGAGAACCAATGTCTAAAAAAACAAACAACAAAAAATGTTTAACTTGGCCCTTAAGGATGTGCCACATGTGCTATGTATGAGTGGGTGTTTCATAAGATCCAGGAATCCAAACATGGGTGCAGGAACACACACTGATGTACAAATGCAAGAATCTCTAATCATATTCAAAATCTTGATGTGCTTTTTCTCTCAAGGGTACATATCTTAGGAGATCTGTTTTCTAAAACTTGCAAATTGATGGAGATGTCAAGGCAGGTATGAGGCCCTTCCATGTGAACACGTTCACTACCTTTCCATTTTCACTTTGCCCTCTGAGCCCTGTGTTTCTGGAACGACATGGCTGCCTTTGGGATGGGTTCTGTATTGTGATGGGACCCCGCGTTGTGTGGCGAGTCCACCAGTTGAATCTTTTGTTGTTGCCTCTCACTATGCCGAGGCCTCAAAACCTGCCTGTTATGGACAGATTCTGCTTTCTTCCCATATTTCTTCAACTGGTGCACAGGCAGATTTATGGTACAGCTAAGCAAACCTGAAGCTCTGGTTTCACTTCTATAGTTGGGGCAAAACTGAACTAAAGGAGGCACTTGTTTGAGCACAAAATTTAAGAGCATGCCCAAAAGGAAAGTAACCTGAATAAGTATTATTTTAATGCATTATTTTAACAATCTGGCTGGGCACAGTGGCTCACGCCTGTAATCCCAGCACTTTGGGAGGCCGAGGTGGGCATATCTGAGGTCAGGAGTTCGAGACCAGCCTGGCCAACATGGTGAAACCCCGTCTCTACTAGAAATACAAAAATTAACTGGGCATGGTGGTGGGCACCTGTAATCCCAGCTACTCGGGAGGCTGAGGCAAGAAAATCTCTTGAACCCTGGAGATGGAGGTTGCAGTGAGCCAAGATCGTGCCACTGCACTCCAGCAGGGGCAACAGCCAGACTCTGTCTCAGAAAAAAATAAAAATAAAATAAAATAAAATCTAAATTAATGCAAGAAAGTCCCACAATGAACAAAATATTAAAATGTTAGGTAAGGACAGGAACCTTGCACTTGAGTGAATCACTTCACATGCCTAACTGGAATCCTGGCCAGGAGCGCTAATAATTGGTCCAGTTCACCTGGCCAATATTACTGCAATAATTACAAAAGTAAGAGACTTTCACTGCAATCAATTAAGACCTCTATGTGTCTTTGCTGTCAAAATCTCTCCCATTGTATTACCCTTCAAATTAGGTTGGGGAGGACTATCCAAGTACATTTTGAGAATCATGTTAAGAGTTGAATGAGTTGGGATAATATTTAATTTCCATTTAGTAGAACGTTTTTCTTGGATCTCAACATTTTTTCTATACTTAAGGTAATGCTAGTCAGCTATATAAGTTTCCTATTAAGGCTTGATATGGTTTGGCTCTGTATCCCCACCCAAATCTCATGTTGAATTGTAATCCCCAGTGTTGGAGGTGGGGCCTGGTGGGAGCTATTTGGATTGTGGGGGTGGTTTCTAATGGTTTAGCTCCATCCCCCCAGTGCTGTCTCATGAGTGAGTTCTCACGAGATCTGCTTGTTTAAAAGTATATAGCACCTCTCCTTTACTCTCTCTCTTCCTGCTTCCACCATGTAAGACATGTTGGCTTCCCCTTCACCTTCTGCCATGATTGAAAGTTTCCTGAGGACTCCCAGTCACGCTCCCTATACAACCTGTGGAACTGTGAGCCAATTAAACCTCTTTTCCTCATAAATTACCCGGTCTCAGGTAGTTATTTATAGCAACATGAGAACGAACTAATACACTGCTGTAACAAATGAACACAAATGTAGTGACTCCAAATAACACAAATTTCTTATCTTACAGTTCTGGATGTCAGAAGTCCAAATTGGGTTATCAAGGCTGACCTTCCTTCTAGAGGCTCTAGGGGAGAATCTGTTTCCTTGCCTTTTTCACCATCTAGTGACTTCCTGCATTCCTTGGCTTGTGCACCCATATCATTGCAATCTCATCTTTCACCCTTATGTCTCCTTCTCTGACCCTCTTATAAGGACCTTATGATTATATTGGACCCACCTGGATAATCCAGACTAGCCTCCCCATTTCAAGATTCCTAATCACATCTGCAAAGGCCCTTTTGCTGTGGAAGTTAGCATATTTGCAGGTTCTGAGGCCTAGGACAGGTGAACATATGGGGGGATGAACACTATTCTATCCACAGCAACATTCTAGAATAGGAGAGGCTTCCAGGAATCCTCTTGTCACCCACTGTGCTGACTTTCTTGGGGACATGACATGAAAGTGTGCTGCATCAACTCTACATGAAAATGTTCTATGGTTTCCAGCAAGTAGGTTTGAAATACAAAAGAAACAAGACTTGAAATGGATAAAACAAGAACCTAATCTGTGGAAGTTTCTTCTACTCTTATAGCACAGTTGAAAAAGAAATTTGCAACATGTTTTCCTAAATTTGACACAATCTCTGAAATTTAAATAACTTTACTCATAATGACTTTTGAAGATAAAATAAACTATTTAAAGCTATAAATAATTTTTTTTGGGGGGGGACAGAGTCTCACTCCGACACCCAGGCTGGAGTGCAATGGCGTGATCTTGGCTCACTGCAACCTCTGCCTCCTGTGTTCAAGCAATTCTCCTGCCTCAGCCTCCTGAGTAGCTGGGATTATAGGCACGCACCACCATACCCAACTTTTTTTTTTTTTTTTTTTTGTATTTTTAGTAGAGATGAGATTTTGCCATGTTGGCCAGCCTGGTCTCAAACTCCTGACGTCAGGTGATCCACCAGCCTCAGTCTCCCAAAGTGCTGGGATTACAGGCGTGAGCCACCACACCCAGCCATAAATTATTAAATGCTAGCAGCAAGAATTTTTGTTCAAGTCTCTTTATGAACAGTGGTACTATAAATGTTATTCTGTCATATGAAGAAGCAATAAAATGAAAAAGTATTACACAAGGAAGTTTAGCAGTTAATTAAGACATTATTGTCTCTTTTTTTCTGGATATTTGATGTTTCTGATATTTGTCAGATTTCTAAAATTTGCATTTTGTTGTGATTTCTTTTCCGAGTCTACATAGCTGTGCAATTTTCTTACTTCATTTTCTATATTTAAATTTGTAATATTTTCTGGCCGGGCGCAGTGGCTTATGCCTGTAATCCTAGCACTTTGGGAGGTTGAGGCAGGTGGATCACTTGAGATCAGGACTTAGAAACCAGGCTGGCCAACATGGTGAAACCCCGTATCTAGTAAAAATACAAAAATTAGCTGGGAGTGGTGGCGCATGCCTGTAATCCCAGTTACTAGGGAGGCTGACGCAGCAGAATCACTTGAATCCAGGAGGTGGAGGCTTCAGTGAGCCGAGATCCTGCCACTGCATTCCAGCCTGGGTGACACAGCGAGACTCCGTCTCAAAAAAAAAAAAAAATTAAAAATAAATTTGTAATAATTACATATTGTGGGCTCCAAAAGTTTTAGAGTTCAGCCCACCCAAACCTGGACTCAGGTTTCTTGTACTGCATACTGGAGAATCACCCTCAGCAGAAATCTAAATAAGCTCCAGTGATAATCATTTTTGAGCTATTTTGCTAGCAGTCTGTGGACAACTGCATCCTCTGTCTTGTTCTACTCATAACTGACTTTTTTCTGCATTTGAATGTTCTAAACCATGAGTAGCAATTCTTTGGGCTTTACCTTTTTCTCCATTAGTGGGATGAGATTCTAATGTTTTATTCTCCTCTACTCTTTCTATGTCCTTTCTGAAAAGTTGGCTGAGTTTTTAAAAGCTCAGCTTGCATGGAAATCAATCTTCCTTCAAGAAGGAACTATTATTAAGTGCTGAACTGGAGTTCCTTTATTCTCTTGTGCTTTCTGACCCAGCTTCCACCTGTCTAAGGTGTTCTAGAATGTATTTTTGAGGAGTTTTCCAGAGTTTCCACAGAAGCATGCATTCTGGAACTCTCCAGTTACTCCCTGGTTTCCTGAGCAAATCTGATTCCCAGAGAACTGTTCAGACAAAGACCTTTAATTTGCCTTATTCTGGTTTGCAATGACCAAGTTGACTAATTTCTCTTATTTCCTTCAATCAAGATGATAACATAGTCATTTTATAGAAATGACATGTCATTTCATTTCAATTCATGCATTCACTTATTAAAATCTACCACT
Organism: Homo sapiens; assembly: GCF_000001405.40. NCBI lineage: Eukaryota > Metazoa > Chordata > Mammalia > Primates > Hominidae > Homo > Homo sapiens. Next base: position 8,116,554 of record NC_000023.11, on the reverse strand, counting down.
CTGCCACAGGTCATGCTACAATTGGGTTTTGACACCTAGAGACATTTTATAAGCTGAAATAATATTCAAACCTAAAACTAACTTAGTCCATATGGTGCTGAGAGGCTTTTAATAACCTGAAGAAATAATTCAAGAGACTTTCCCTCCATACTTTACTTGGGTAACTGCAGTTAACAACTTCAAATGCAGTAGAGTTGATCAGCTATTTTTTATTCTTCTGCTAATGACCGCTTGTTATTAATAGTTTCTAAAAATAGCCAGGAGGAGGACATTGAATGTTCCCAACGCAACAAAAATGATAAATGTTTGAGATGATGGATATGCTAATTACTCCGATCTGATCACTATACATATGTACATAACATATATATCACTACGTACCCCATAAATATGTACAATTATCATATATCAATTAAAAAAATTAAGAAATCAAGACAAAAAAATAAATTTCAGGAAACCTTAAAGTTCACATATTTACGTGGTTCCAAACACAGACAGTCCCACAATTGAACTCAATGCAATTTCAAGTCCTGACAGGAGATCCTGACTATAAAACACCTTATTTTTTTAAAGAAAAAAAGGCAAAAGAGGCCAGATACAGGGGCTCACACCTATAATCCCAGTATTTTGGGAGGTCAAGGTGGGAAAATTGCTTGACACCAGCCTTGGCAACATAGGGAAACTCCATCTGTACAAGAAAAAAAAAAATCACTGAGCATGGCGGTGTGCATCTGTAGTCCCAGCTACTCAGGAAGCTGAGGCAGGAGGATCACTTGAGCCTGGGTGGTTGAGGTTGCAGTGGGCCTTGATCATGCCACTGCACTCCAGCCTGGGTAACAGAGCAAGATCCTGCCTCAATAAAAACAAACAAACAAGATTGCCAATTTTCACCCCGTAAGATCTGAGAATTCAGCATATTAAAAATATATATAATTTATTGGAATCAAGTCCTTTCTTCATATATGATGTCTTAGAAGTCTTCAAGCCTCCCAGTAGCTGTGGAGACATTTGTATGTTTAAGGCCTGTGTGATCCAATGTGAAGCTGCCTCCTCCTGCAACCCAAGACTCGCATCTTTGCTGAATCCCATACATGCATGCTCAGGCTAGTCTCTTTCTTCTTTTTCTCTGGAAGGTCTGCCTAAGGTAACCTGTCACTGTGAAAACATTTGTCTACGATCAGTATGACCAAAACTGGAGTGGCCCACCAAAGGGAAAAAAGTTCAACTCTAGCCAAGCCACTTGGTCATCCCAAGGCCTGAAGCCATGAGCCCAACCCCTACTCAAAACCTCCCTCAATTCTTCATGGTGTGGTCTCAAATTCCAATCCATGTCTATTCCTCAAGGCTCACAGATAAAGTGCTAGAATTTAGTATTTGAGCCTTCTCAAATCACACTTCTTTGTCTTCTGCAAAGCAGTTGGGGAAATGACTAAGAAACTATATATCTAAACTATATCTTCTAATCTAGCCTTCATCGGCAATAAAGGTTAACTATCACCTTTATGGCCGATGAAGGCTAGATTAGAAGATATGCATGGGATGCTTATCAATGATGGGCTAAAACCAAATCTGAGAAGGAGATTTCATTTCCCCACCCAAATAAGGGCAGTGCTATGTGATCCCACCCACCCCACATTATATGGGGATATGACCGTGTAAAACATAGATCACAGAGGATCAGATGAGAACACATGCTCTTGCTGGGTAGCCTGCATCCCGGAAGTGAAGGTTAAGAGGGAAGAAAGAGCTATGTACTCCAAACTGCTTGTCCCAAGCTCACAGTAGGTACGAGGAGTCTGTCCACCTGGGGGGCTAGTGAGTGCAAAGCAGAGTGACCAGGAGTTTTGTGCTAATAGGTGTTCTTGTGGAAATGCAAAGAGAGTGCACAGGAGACTCCATATTCCCACCAATGTCTCCTTGGTGCCTGGAATTATTCTTGGTGGTCACAAATGGGTTATATTTTCTACTGTTTACACATGTAAATTATTAAAATCCATCTCCAAATGTCAAGACAGGATGGGAAATTTCCAAAACCAAAATGCACAGTTAAAAATAAGTTTGAATTACCATTGTTAAAAAAAACTGTCCAAAACCATATAAATAAGTCATAAATTCACATCATAGAATCAAATTCACATCATAGACTCAACTGGGAATATACAAGAAACAAGAGATGCCAAATTGGCTAGACAACCACCATAATGACCTTTGAAATAAATACTACAGTCAACTTCTGAGACTTTTAGACACCAAAGAAGAAAAAATAAATCAGCCTAATATCAAAATTTAAAAACAAGAAAAGCAGTATCTTTGCTTATTGTATAAATAAATTATTCCCATTGGGCAAAATGAATGGATGCATTTTTCATTTAGCTAATGTTTGCTTGTTGTTAGATCACGCCAGTTACCAGAAAGTAACAAAATTCCTTTTATGACTCATCTTTAAAATTATTTGAAATTCACATTGGAAATCGTATGCCCATGATTACTTTCTATTTCAACAACCAGAAGTAAACAATGTACACAGCATCTCCACTAAAGAAAGTTTAACAAATCTGAAACTTATGCAGGGAGAAGCCCTCTTCCCACACCCTTTTACAGAAGAAGAAACTCAAAAAAATTACCCGTTTTCCCCAAAGGAACCTAAGGATCTCAGTAGATTTCAGTGGGAACTAGTTATTTCTACATAGACATTTTATTGCTATTGTGTCTTATCAATGACAGAATAAATCCAAATCCCAGAAGAATTTATTTTCCCACCCAATCAAGAGCGATGTTAAACCATCCCAGTCCCCGCATATTAAGTGGGAATGTGACCCTGTAAAACTTAGAGCATAGAGGGTCAGACTAGAACACATGCTCTCGCTAGGCACGCTGCCTCCAATAAGTGAAAGGAAAGAGGAAAAAAAAAAACCGGAGCATTGTACCCCCAATTCCTTGTGCCTGAAAAAATTGTGCCTCTGCCTCATACCTCAATTAAACCATTCCTCAGAGCAAGAACATGACACTCTGGCCATCATTCTACAACTTTGGTAGCGCTGTTGCCGAGCATTTGGAATTAACTCTTAGGCCTTTCATTCTGTTTCTGCTACACTAGTGGTTTCTGATTCTTTGGCCAAATGTATTGGCCTCCTTCAGCAAACTTTCAGCTATGCTGGCAGGATATGATTTCAAATCTAAAGTGAACCAGCTATTTGCTAAAGGTCAACAGTATTTGGTGGAATCAGCAGGATTTTCCCAACTTTTCCCAACAATTAGTCCAGTATTTTACAATAACTTTCTCAAAAATGTGTAGATTTCATGGTGTTGATTGAAATCACAGCATGCAACTCTGTAAGAAGTTAGTAAAACCAAGAGAAAGCATCATCATCTTCAAAAAATAAATATGGGTTATCATTATGGCATTTCATGCTGCTGTACACACTAAAATATTCCATTGCAAAGGTGTGATACTGGTCTTCCCAACACCATAGCGGACACCTCTGACTCAGGCACTACCATGCAGCATGTTCAAGTGAGCACTTGCACCACACGCTGAGGCTTCGAAATGGGGTGCCTAGCTTCACTCTGCCCTGAAATGGAACGAGGATCCTTGTTCTTTCCATACTAGACCCCACTGCGTACCAAGCCTGCCTAAAGGGTCTGAAAGCCAATGGGAATCTGGCTTAGAGTCATATAGGAAACCACCAAATGCCACACACACAAAATAAAACATGCCACACAAAATGCTAGGCTTTGCTTTACTTTGCTGCTGTTTTGTTTAGACTTGTATTCTTTCTCTTCCATAGAAACAAGTTCATGGGCCAGGCACAATGGCTCATGCCTGTAATCTCAGCACTTTGGGAGGCCAAGGCAAAAGGATCACTTGAGGCTAGAAGCTCGAGACCAGCCTGGCTGGCATAGTTTCTACAAAAAAAATTTAAAAATTATCCAGGCATGGTGGTGCACACAGGTAGTCTCAGCTACTTGGGAGGCTGAGGTGGGAGGATTGCTAGAGCTCTGAAGTTAGAGGCTGCAGTGAGCTATAGGGGCCCCATTGCACTCCAGGCTGGGCAACAAGTGAGACCCAACCTCTAAAAAAAATAAGAAAAGAAATAATTAAAATTAAAAGTAAAAATCAAAGAAATAAGTCCAAGTTCCCTGGATTGGAGACAGATTTGAATCAGGAAACATTAATTTACTGAGGACTACCCTCTCTTGAAAGACTATGGCTTTGAATTGGTCCCAATTTCTTTCTGATTTTTCCATTCTCTGAGGTTCCTATAGATCAGTCCATCATGCAACCTTGTTCCTGGAAAAGACCCCACTGCGTACCAAGCCTGCCTAAAGGGTCTGAAAGCCAATGGGAATCTGGCTTAGAGTCATATAGGAAACCACCAAATGCCACACACACAAAATAAAACACGCCACACAAAATACGAAAAGCTTTTTCAGCTGATGCATGCCGTAATTCGCTTGCACTTCTCCATTTTCCACTAGATATACATGGAAAATTTATGATCTCCAACAAACCTACTGGTTCTCAAAAACGTATGATGCATTCAGGTAAAATAGCTGTTACAAATTTAGAAAGGAATGCTCACCATTCAAGGACTTCCATCAGTGTGTGTCTTCTAATTATGACTGCTGAGCATTTTCCGTAATGGCATGCATTGATATTATACAGGCAACTATAAGAGATAATAAACTGGGTAGAAAGGAGAACTAAGCAGGGAGGTCAGAAAAATGGGCAGTGTTGAAAACTGAGAAGTGATGTTCTGCCAGTTAAAAAACAGAGGGAAAAAAAAATAAAACTCAGCCATCTCATTGCCATTTTGTGTGGGAACAAAAAGAAATTCGCCTCCTTATGACTCTGAATGTAAGCCTGTAATGGTATAGCTATCTGTCTGCCTATACGAAGACACACAGCAGAAGGGAAGAGCTGAAGTTCACAACATTGGCAGTCAAGCAAAGGGCTCCATAATAATCATTATACCCTGAAGGAGGGGATATACATCACTCTTGTTAAAAGATTTCCCATGACAACCAGTCTAACAGCTCATTTATTTGATCAATGAAAAAGTTACACTGGAGTTTAAGTTACCTGGAGAATTCAGTTGTGTGCCATCTCCTTACTCCTTGATGGAATGTAATAAATGCAATGCACTGAAAAACACCAATCTCAATCGATCATCCTGTCTAACTAAATACGAACTCATAATTCAAATTAATAAGAAATGCTGGAGTAGAAAACATGAACCCTGAAAGGTTTCTAAGTAGCATATTGGTAATCACTATTAGTCACTGCATATACCTCCCACTGTGCAGGTTAGTGTGATATGGAGGTCAGAGTATGCACTTGGAGATTACACAGAAATCTGCTGTAATGCAATCTCTGCCATTAACTAGTTGTGTGATTTTCTTGACATGTTAATAAGGCTTTACTGGGGCATAATTTGAATCCAACAAAATACAGGACTCTTACAGTAGAACTCAATCAATTCTGGCAAATGCTTCTACCAGGGCAGCCAACACTCAGATACAAATATTGGACATTTCAATTCCTTAAGATATTCCTTTACGCCCCTATCTATCCCATTCCTATACGTGAAGACATTTATTATGAGGAATTAGCTCATGGAATTATGGAGGCTAGAAGTTCCAAGATCTGCAGTCAGCAAGCTTGAGGCTCAGGAGAGCCCAGTTCAAGTTCAAGTCCAGGGAATTGAGAAAGCCAATGGTGTAATTTCTAGTCCACAAGGTGACAGGTTCAAGACCCCAAACAGCCAATATTTCACTGTGAGTCTGAACTCCAGAAACCAATGTTCCAGATCCACGTTCCAGCTCAGGTAGTGAGTCAGAAGGAGTTCCCTCTTACTCAGCCCTTGTGTTCTACTCAGGTCTTCAACTGACCAGATGAGGCCATACCTATAGCAAGGAGGACAATCTGCTTTACTCACTCTGTGGATCCAAATGAGAATCTCATCCAGAAACACCCTCACAGACATATGCAGAATCATGTTAGGCCAAATGTCTGGATGCCCTGTGGCTCAGTCAAGTTGACACATAAAATTAACCATCACAGTTACTTAACTTTGCTAAGTCACCATTTTTCCTTTTGTCTTTCATATCTGGAGCAGATTAAATAACAGGTCACATCTAAAATGGTGCATAATTGATGCTCCTTACACCATATGTAGAAATAAGAAAAATTAAAATTATTTGTTAGGATGTGTACTCTGTTCCTGTTTAGCTTAAATTTTTATACATTATGGCCTCAGTGCCCCAGTGAGTTCAATGTTTAAAGTTACCTTATGTCAGAGAAATAATGCACTTCACATTATTTACACCCCCCTCACCTGACTTCCAGAGAGCTCCTTGGAAATCACCCCTTAAAAATTAGGCAAATAAGAAGCAGAAACACAAATTTCATCTTTGGTAAAACGAAGGGAAAAATGTGTAACATCAAAATGCAATGTGTAATGAAAGGCTATCAGAGTAACTGTCAATAGGTGGTAGGAAGGTGCCTAGAGAAGGTATCTGCATCTGCAGGTCTCAGCTAAGTCAGCACAGGTCAGCTCCCCAAAACTGAAGGTCCTCCATGAAGGGCTAAAACAATGAGCTCTTGTTGAAATCAGTGCAGGCAGGATATGTCAAGTTGGATGCAAAAGTCTCCCTGGATGGGGACAAGCACCAACAAATACTAGGTGAGATGAGGCTGAATGAGAAATAAAATACCCACTCTGCAGCAGGCAGCCTATTGGTGAGGAAGAGAACAAGCCAAAAAACCCTATCTCTCGATGGCTTCCTAGAACAAAGCCTAACTATATACAGAGTTGGGGCTGAATTGGGTCAGAAAGAAATAAATTCTTATCTTGTTTGCACTACCATGTTTTTGGATCTCAGTTTTACAGCAATTTAGCTTATGTCCTAACCTCTATGGAAAATGATAACAGAAGTATGGTGCTAAATAACAATAACAATTACAACAAAAATGTGGCATTGCTTATATTAGGAGCAGGCAGCAAAGACACTGATATTTTAGGCTAGATACCTGATGACCTTAAAAACATTTGGTAAATTTGTCACATGTAGTAGACAAAAAATGTGGAGTATGTAATTTTTGCCATACATGAGCAGAAAAAGCCTGAAGGTTCTTGTGTTTACAAGTGGGCTGTAGACAGAATTGTTGCATGAAACTTCTGGGAGGCTGCTTTTACCAAGGCATTGCAAGAAATAGAATCCATGAATTCTCTACAGAAAGGACATTTCATTTGCAAATGGAAAGATAAAAAGGCAGCAGCCATGAAGCCATGTGAAGAGGTTTAGAGAAGCGTTTGCCAGAAGAGGGAACACTGTCTACAAAGGATGCTGAGCAGTGAGAGGCTTAGTGTATTCAGATACAAAGGAAGATAGTGTTGTTGGTGCATAGAGAATGAGGGGTAAGATTGAAAAGGAAGGAAAGGAGGAAGGAGGGAGGCAGGGAGGACTGCTTCACACAGAGCTTTGAGGTTCTATGAATCAGCAGACAATATATGTACATAAGATGACAGTTTGGCTATGAGAGGTTTGAAGTAGAAAAATCACGTAAGTGTGTTCTCGTGGCAAGTAACAGAAATTCTCATAATGGCCACATTTTATAGGGCCTTAAATATTACCTGTTACAATATCTGACCAACAGAAGTTTTGAGCAGAGTTGAATCTAGGAAGATAACCCCATTCGTTGTATAATGAGGGGGGTGAAGGTGGAACACAATATGAGCTAGGAAGCTACTGCCAAAGTCTAATGAAAAGATTAGCCTATGGGTAAGGAGAAGGAAAAGAGTGATCACTACAAGATGCACTTAGCGGGAAGACTCTTTTGGACTTGGTGAATAAGTGGAGAAGAGAGGTCAAGGAGAAAAATGGTCAGAAGTTACTCCAAAATATTATATGTGCATCAATGGGAAATAAATGATGGGTCTCACAGTGCTCAAAGCAAAATCAGCTTAGAGCAGAAAAAAAAAATTGCAACGAAGAAGAGACTTTTTATTCCCCCTAATATGGTTTGGCTGTGTCCCCACCTACATCTCAACTTGAATTGTAACTCCCACAGTTCCCATGTGTTGTGGGAGGAACTTGGTGGGAGGTAATTGAATCATGGGGACAGGTCTTTCCCATGCTGTACTCATGATAGTGAGTAAGTGTCATGAGATCTGATGGTTTTAAAAATGGGAGTTTCCCTGCACAAGCTCTCTCTTTTTGCCTGCTGCCATCCATGTAAGACATGATTTGCTCCTCCTTGCCTTCCACCATGATTGTGAGGCTTCCCAGCCATGTGGAACTGTAAGTCCATTAAACCTTTTTCCTATATAAATTACCCAGTCTTAGGTATGTCTTTATTAGCAGCATGAAAACAGACTAATACACCCCCTTCTTAATTAAGGTTTATAGAAGTAATAACAGCTTATGCAAGGTCCATCATGATCAATCAGTACCTGGCCATTACCAGTGTTTACAATGGCCCTGACACCAAGTAGTTTCTTTCAATTGTCTCAAGGCAACCAGAAAAGAAGAGAGGCAATCCGAGTATATAGGTGCTGTGTTTATACTGGTGAACAATACATGACCCAATCACATGTTGTTTGAATGAACTCTAATAGTCTAAAAAGAGGAAACCATGCTTCTGTGGCTGGAGGAATCAATCCACATGTATTATTTCTTCTAGAAAATATCAACCACTATTGTAGGCACCACCATCATTATTATCATATGTAATAAAAGGTCAGCAGAAATGAGAGTCTAGAACATTATGGGACATCGTGCCCTGGAAGCATTCACCACTGTCTCTCAGCAGGACAGCCCTGGCAGCACATCACACCAAGATTCTATAAGGAGCCCAGGCTACAACACAAGGGAGCCTGCTCATTTTTGGCAGCTGGAGTAGACAGTCTGCCTGCAACTGAGCTTCCAGAGCCAAACCCAACTAAAGGCTTATAGAACAAAGAGACACATGACACAAATATGAAATCTGACCTGATAGCCCACCCTGAGAGGGGCTAAATTTCAGCAGCCCCACCTCTCCTGCTAAATTAAGTAAAAACAGCAAGGCAGGGCTACTTCAGTTGATGTGTCCCCACAAATTGCTAGGCTATGGAAATACTCCCACTATTTACAGCCAGCGTGATCTGCAATCCACCTCCTCAGGCAGTCACACATTCCTGTGCATGTGTGACAAAAGTTAACTTAGAAGAGCCAGGTGTAAATGCTTTATAGGAGACCACAGACTTTCTCAAACATGTGCATTGCTTTGATGTCCTGCAAAGGGAAAGGCATGCTAAGAAAAATAAACCTGTCAGAAAAGGACAAATGCTGTACTTGTATGATTCCACTCATATTAGGTACTTCAAGACATTAAATTCACAGAGTCAGAAAGCAGAATGATATTTGCCAGGGCTGGAGAGAGGGGAGAATCAGAAGGTAGTATTTAATGGGTATAGAGTTTCAATTTGGGAAGATGAAAAAAGTTCTAGAGATGGATGCTAGTGATAGTTGCACAGTAATATGAATGTACTTAATACCACTGAACTGTACACTTAAAAATAGTTATAATGGTAGATTTTATGTCATGTATATGTTCTACAATTTTGTAAAATAAATCAAACATCAAAAAATGATAAAAGAAACAGTCTCCTTGACTTCTAGTGTTGACTTAAATTACCTTCTTGATATGTACATATGTATAAATATATATATCTACATCTATCTATATATAATGTGTATATATTTGTATCTCTATATAATGTATATATATTTGTATTTCTATATAATGTATATGTAGATACATTTATATACATAATGTATATATGTAGATGCATTTACATACATAATGTATATATGTAGATACATTTATATACATAATATATATAGATACAAATACAAATGATTAACTCATAGATCTTTAGCTTTTATAAGACAATGAAATCAAAGCAATTTTGTCAGTTAAAAGCAAACAAAACTACAGAGCAATAAAATCTAAATTAGCAGTAATTGAACGTGATGGAAGCTGCTGCTTTGCTGAGACTAAATGGTTGCTCAGAACATAATTGTGGAAGCAGCTACCGCATGCAAGTGTTCTGATTCTGGCATAGCCAACAGCAGAGTGATGCACAAAACCATCAGGGCCACCTCTGCTCATCATACACGCAGTGAAGTTCACCCAAGCAACCTGGGTTGAGGCCATTTGGTGTTCACAAAAATAAATGCATCATTTATGTACCTGGACAGGGTAGGGGAGAAAATAATACCTTCTTTCTCTACTCATCTTAGGAACTCTGGGTGGGGCCCTGTAAAATGAACTGGCAAAAGACAGATTAACAAGAGAAAAACAAAAGTTCATTACCACATGCCTTGTGCATGCGTTAACAGAAAAAGAAAACACTAATATGTTTTAAAGATGTTTATTCTGCACCAATGAGTGAATTCAGTCCAAGGAAACACAGTCTCAAGGAATCCTGAGAAAAACCCGGGAGGCAGGGTAACAGTTTGGTTTTATATTAGGTTGATGCAAAAGTAATCATGATTTTTGCAGTTACCTTCAATGGCGAAAAGTACAATTACTTTTGCACCAACCTAACACTTCAGGGAGACATAAATTAAAGGGAAAAATATAAATCAGTACATAGAAGGTATACATTGTTCCAGCCCCAAAAGGTGAGATAGCTTACAGAGGGGGCTTACAGATCATAGGTGGATTCAGAGATTCTTTAATTTGTAATTGGTTAAAGAGCAAGGCTCTGTCTCAAACTTGGAGTCAGCAGAAAGGCATCTTTAAGATAAGGATGCTGTGTAGCAAGGTTGATGCCCTACAGGCATGACTTAACCATTGTCTGGCCTGGCCATAGGTCTTATTTATAATTTGGTATCTTACTGCCACAATGAGTCTGCTTTGTCAGTCTTATGATGTCTATTTTAATATCAGTCCTGGTCAGTTGCTGTGCCTAAACTCCAAAATGGAGGGGTTATGATGAGGTGTGTTGACTCCCCTTCCTGTCATGGCCAGTAATTCAGTTTTTAAGGTTTTGCTGGGGTCCTCTTGGCCAAAAGGGGTTCATTCAATTGGTGGCGCATTTAGGATTGTATTTCTAGTTTACACATGTATACATGGGAGCAGACAAGGATGATTAACTCTAAGGTGTGGTCGGATTTGGGCTGATATAACATCTTAGGCTAAACAAAACAAACAGGACTTTGGGTTTCCCAGTGGGGGAGGCAAGTTGTGGAAAGATGACCAGGTAAAGTGTAGTAAGCAAGGGTTGATTAGTAAGGCTTCTCATGCAGATTTAAATCATTTAAATAACAGTTGTTTAGAATTATTCTCTTGCTGGCCGGGAGCAGCGGCTCATACCTGTAATCCCAGCACTCTGGGAGACTGAGGCTGGGCAGATCGCGAGGTTAAAAGATCGAGACCATCCTGACCAACATGGTGGAACCCTATCTCTACTAAAAATACAAAAATTAGCTGGGCATGGTGGCACGCGCCTGTACTCCCAGCTACTCAGGAGACTGAGGCAGGAGAATAGCTTGAACCTGAGAGGCAGAAGTTGCATTGAGCCAAGATCGTGCGACACTGCACTCCAGCCTGGCTACGGAGTGAGACTCCATCTCAAAAAAAAAAAAGAATTATTCTCTTGCTGATAGTTGGAGAAGGAGATATCTTTGACAAATGGATATTTTCTTTACCCATGTAAATTTACATATGAAACAAAATCTTGTGCCCTGTTTCTAAAGGTTTTCCTGTGTCTGCTGATTCTCAATGATCTTTAGCTCAAAATAATCCATATATCAAAGAGGCATATTTTGAGGTGGCATATTCTGGCACCCCTCATCCATGGTTCTTTTTTTTACTACCTTCAACAATTAAAGGGCATTATTTGGCACCAAACAATTGGAAACACAGACAAAGGTAGCAGACCTCATAATGGGTCACATGGAAAGTTAGCCATCTTGATGATGCAGGGCATGCTTCATTATTTATTAGATTACCACCAAATGAAGAAGAAAAATAACAAGGAAAAATATAGTAGGCAATCAGTCAAATACCAAAAAATTGCCTGTAGACCCTCAGGTTGGGTTCAATGACACTGGGTCCAATATTGAACTACTTTCATATTTCTTTCAAGAATATGTTCAGGCGGGTTCAGAGGTAAAGTGATATTCAATCACGGTATGGTCATTAGAAAAAATCTTAATTTCTATAGTATGATTTTCCCTCTTGAAAAAAGAATCCAATTATGTCTAAGATCCATTCTATCTTTAAAACTCTATTTTTAGTAGAGTAGGTTTTTTGGCTGGCACAACCATCCATTAAGTATAATAGAATTATAATTGCAATAAAATGATTTTTATAAAACAACTTTAGCACCACACACTGTTACAGCATAAATTAAACCATTGTGAAACGGACATTGATATGTATTGCATAAAAATGTTTTACTTTGAGTCTTCTTCACAGCCAACCATAAATATACTTTTTGTACTTTCTTTAGCACAACTTAAAACAAAGCTACAGTATCCCTGTTAGGGCAGTCCTGAACTTAACAAACCAGCTGTACTTCTGCTACACATTTCCTGTGGGTGCTGAAGGTTTTCTAAAAATTATAAATGCCAGGGATCTGTAAATATTTTCCGTAAAGAGTCAGATAGTAAACGTATTTGGCTTTGCAAGCCACGTGGTCACGGTCGGAGCTACTCAACTTGCCACTAGCACAAAAGCAGCCACAGATGATACACAAATCAATAACCTGGGATATGATCCAATAAAACTTTATTTACAAAAACAGGAATCAAACTGAATTTGGCAACGGGCTGCCAATTGCTGACATCTGGCATATTCAAAAGACTGAACATGATAGCATAAATATGAGAGTGAATAATTACTGTATTGTTATTTCAACATGAGAACAAATTCAAAATGTGTAGACAAAGAGATGAAACTGACAATTTTTTTCTCCAATGGAGCAAGTGTCTTTTGCATTTCCATTTCTCTTACCAGTGGACTCTTGTAAGATGCAGTGATTTTGTGTGAATCTATCTTTTTTTTTTTTTGTCACATCCTTTGCAATAAGAAACTACTGTAGGGGCAAAAGGAATTTTCCCTTCCCTCTAAAGTGCTAAACAACTGACAATATACAGATTAATAAGAGAAAAGGCATACACATGTATTAATGTATATAAGCATGGGAGCCATATAAAATATAAGACTCAAAGAAGGGCCAGATGGTTGAGGCTTAAATATCCTATTTATGAGGAGACAGAAATGGGAGGTGTAGGCAATTTTGAGGAGTAGTAAATAATAATTTTGGGGAATTGAATGAGCCCAAAGAGCAGAAAATAGTTTGTAAATGATTGTCTTTGGAAGCTAAATGGGACCTATAAGTTATGACAGAAGGTGTGGGGTAGAAATCCACTGTGAACAAAGATTGTTTTATTATGCAGATAAAGTTTCTTAGGTAATCTCTACGAGCTGCCCTCTGAAAAACAGAGGAAAAGTCTGTCTGGGCATGGTGACTACATTTAGTTTTTTCTCTTCTCCAGTATTAAACTTTCCCAGTTAGTTGATGAGATTCCTAGGGAAGGCATCTTAAGACAACTGCATTTCTTTCAGAAGAAGTTTTCCTCAGTCAGAGGAAGGAACTTCCAGAGAGAACCCCTCCCTGCGCTTGAGGATGTGGGGAGAAACAAGGGAGGGTTAGAAAGTCCTTGGTTCTAAGGCAGCTTCTAAGGCCTTCCAATTTCCTTTATTTCAAAAATGTTCAGCATGCCAAAGCACCTCATACTTTGGGGTATTATTCTCTGCACCCCAACACTACCTTTGACTTATGAAGCAATTAGCTCAGTAATTATCAAGGAAATTGTGTTGAATCTCTAGATCAATTTTGGAAGAACTGACATTGAGTCATTCTATCCATGAATATGGAATATCATTCCATTTATTTAGACTTTTTATTTTCATTAGAGTTTTGTATTTTTCTTGTGTAGCTCTTATACATATTTTGTTAGGTTTTTTTCCTAAATATTTCACTTTTGTGGTGCTAATTAGGTTTTTAATTCCAAATTTCAATAATTCCAATAATTATTGTTGGCCTATAGGAAACTGACTGGCTTTTGCATTTTAACCTTGTAGTCTGTGGCCTTGCCGTAACTTATTAGTTACAAGATTACATTGATTTTGAGATTTTATACATAAATAATCATATCATTTGTGAAGAAAGACAGTTTTATTTCTTCCCCCTTAATCTGTACATGTTATATTTCCTCTCCTTGTATTATTGCATTAACTAGAACTTCCATTACATTGTTGAATAGAAGAGGAGGCATCTTGCTTGCTTCTTGATCTTAAGAGTAAATATATTTTCTCGCCATTAAGCATGATGTTAGCTAAAGGTTTTTCTTTAAGATACCCTTTATCAACTTGAGAAAGTTCCCTTCTATTCCTAGTTTGCTGAGGATATTTATCCCAAATGGGTTTTGGATTTTGTCAATTTTTGTGCATATATTGATATAATCATATGATATTTTTCTTTTCATTAATGAATTTTTAAATGTTGAGCCACTCTTGTATACCTGGAATAAGTTCCATTTGGTAATCACGATGTATAATTCTGTTAATACATTATTGGATTCAATTTCCTAATACTGGATTCAATTTTCTAATATTTTGTTTAGAAATTTCTGTATCTATGTCTTTGAAAAATATAGGCATCTGTTTTTCTTTTCTTGTAATGTCTTTACTTGGTTTTGGTGTCAGGATAATGGTGGCCTCAGAGAATGAGTTAAGAAGATTTCTTCTGTTTGCCTTTTTTTAAACAGACTGTAGAAAATTGAAATATTTCTTCTTTAAATGTTGAGTAGAATTCAACTGTGAACACTTGGAAACCAGTAATTTTGGGGAAGTTATTATTGATTCAACTACTTTTATATATATATAAGCCTATTCAAATTATCTATTTCTCTTTGTACAGGTTTTGGTAGATTTTGCCTTTCAAGGAGTTGGCCTATTTTATCCAAATTACCAAATTTGTGGGCATAGAGTTGTTCATAATATTCCTTCATTATCCTTTTAATGTCTGTGGAGTTAGTAGTAATTCTTTCCTTTCATTTCTGACATTGATAATTTGTGTCTTCTTTGTGTTTTCGTTGGTTAGACTAGCTAGAAGCTTATCAATTGTATTGATCCATTCAAAGAACCAGCTTTTGCCTTCATTTGGTTTTCTCTATTTTTCTTAAATTTTAATTTCATTGTGTTCTGCTCTCATTTTTTATGATCTTTTTTCTTCTGCTTTTTTTTTAAGTTTCGTAAAATAGAGCTTCAGCTACTCGAGTCTTTCTTCTTTTCTAATATATGTTTTTTTTTTGTTTTTTTTTTTTTTTTGAGACAGAGTCTTGCTCTGTCGCCCAGGCTGGAGTGCAGTGGCGCGATCGCGGCTCACCGCAACCTCCACCTCCAGGGTTCAAGTGATTCTCCTGCCTCAGCCTCCCGAGTAGCTGGGATTATAGGCACGCACCACTGTGCCCAGCTAATTTTTGTATTTTTAGTAGAGACGAGGTTTCACCATATTGACCAGGCTGGTCTCAAACTCCTGGCCTTGTGATCTGTCTGCTTCAGCCTCCCAAAGCGCTGGGATTACAGGCATGAGTCACCACGCCTGGTCTAATATATGTATTTCAATGCTATGATTTTTCCCTATAAATAGTGCTTTTGCTATATATCAAAAATTTTGATGTTTTACTTTCACTTTCGTATACTTAAAAGTATTTTTAAATTTCTCTTCAGACTTCTTTTTTGAGCCATGTGTTATTTACCAGTGTGGTGTTTAATCTGCAAATATTTTGATATTTTTCAGCTTTCAGATTTTGTCTCATGTATTGTGAGTCAGGTCCACATACATTAAACATGTTATGCCTCCTTGACGAATTGGCCACTTTATCTTAATGTAACATTCTTCTTCATCACTGATAATTTTTCTTTCTCTGAAATCTGTTCTGTCTGTAATTAATGTATAGCTAGCTACTCCTGCTTTCTTTTGATTAGTATTAGCATATCATTCTCTGTCCCTTTATTTTCAATCTGTCTCTATATTTAAAATGGGTTTTGTAGACACCATATGGTTGGATCTTCTTTTTTTAAAACCCATTCTGACAGTGTCTGAATTTAATTGCTGTATCTAGACCATTTGCATTTAAAACAACTAAGGATATAGTGAGATTAAAATCTACCAAGTTCGTAACTGTTTTGCATCTGTAGTACTTGTTTTTTGTTGTTGTTTCTAATCCTCCCTCATTTTCTCTCTTCTCTGGTTTAAACTGAGCATTTTATATATGTCCATTTTTCTCTCCTCTCTGAACATATCAATTTTTCTTTTTCTTTTTTCTTTTTTTTTTTTTTGAGAGGGAGTTTTGCTCTTGTTGTCCAGGCTGGAGAGCAATGGTGTGATCTCGGCTCACCACAACCTCTGCCTGCCGGGTTCAAGGGATTCTATTGACTCAGCCTCCTGAGTAGCTGGGATTACAGGCATGTGCCCCCACGCCCGGCTAATTTTGTATTTTCAGTAGAGACAGGGTTTCCCCATGTTGGTCAGGCTGGTCTTGATCTCCCGACCTCAGGTGATCCACCTGCCTTGGCCTTCCAAAGTGCTGGGATTACAGGCGTGAGCCACTGCACCCAGCCCAATTATTCTTCTTTTTAAACAACTGCAGTGGTTGACCATGAATTTATACCAGAGTTACACTAATCTAAATATACCTGAAAATCATATTATCCCATTTCATGGGTAGTTCAGAAGAGGATTTGCAATTCCTTCCTCCCTTCCTTTATAATATTGCTATCATTTGTTTCACTTACCCATAAGCTATGATAATCTAATATACTGTTGATATTATTATTTTGAACAGTTATCTATTGAATCAATTAAGAGTAATTTCAAAGTTAATTTTACCTTCAATTATTTCTCCTCTAATGTTCTTTCTTTTTATATTAATAGATCCATAATTTCAGTTGTATATTAAATTATATTAGGTGTATATTGTAACCTTTTAGGTGTATATTACACGCATATATAAGCAAACACAGAAAAATAAAACACATATGTGAAACTTCAAAATCCATTCCAACAATCTATATTTTTCTATATAAAGAACATATTTCATTATATATGTATTTATTCCTGGGAATGAGTAAAATTGCACTATAATGCAGTCAGAATTTTAAAAATCAAGTATACGAATTGGGTGTGGTAGGAGCATGTTATTCAGAGCTTAAATGAGGTAAGCTCATTTGTCCCAGGCAAGCATGAGTGAACTAGACTTCGGTAAAAGCATCTATGACTTCAACTCCTGTGAGTTGCAATTACCAGATGGTACTTATCTACTGCAGATTAATTAACAGTGCTGGAATTTCTGGATCAAGTGACTGGCTGACATAGTAGCATTGATTCCAGGAGGCACACAATAGATTGGTCCCCAATTGATTAGTAAAACAATAGATGATTGGACCATGAGAATATTGGGTATTTAGAGGCCTATGCAGTTTCCTGTTATTTTCCTGTCCCCAATTTTCCACCATAAAAATGTATGTCTCAGGACATATTTATTATGTATATAGTTATGTTTTTACTAAGTATAATTTAAAAATATATAATTCTAAATAAGTCACAGGAAAACGTTAACATATAAGAACATGTTGTTTTAGGAATTAGAAAAAATTTAATTTTCGGTTTATATCCATATATGATTTCAGAGGGATATTGATATCATAAAAACATTTTCAAAATATTTATTATATTAAAATGAACATTCTTCGACAAAAGTAAAAGGAAATATTAATTCAAGAAGGAAAGAATAATAATGTCAAATGGCCAAATGCTAAAGGAGACTTTGGTCATCTACATGGATAACAGTTTCAAGTTACTATCATATGAAGGTATAATTGAATACATCTATAGGCGTATGAAATAATTTAGATGCCAACTAAAAAGTATGCCAGTGAATAATAAAATAATTTTTCAGACCAATATCAGCTATAAATATTGGTGATTAAATACTAAATAAAATACTATCAAACGTAATCCAACGCCACATTAAGAAAATAATATGCCATGGCCAAGTAGGATTCATTCCATAAATGCAAGCATGGATGCAAAATATCTCCACTGCTATTTAATCTTAAACTAGAAGTGTTTGCTATTGAAAGCAGAACAAATAAGCCAACTATAGGTATAAAAATTAAAAAGAGAAATAACATTTCCATTATTTTGTAGAAGAAATCTGAAAAACCTTAGAGAAACAATAATCCTTAGCAAATAACACAATTACTTAAAACAATAAAATAATTCAATAAAGGAGCTGGAAGAAATTAACATACAATTGGCCAGGCACAGTGGCTCACGCCTGTAATCCCAGCACTTTGGGAGGCCGAGGCAGGCAGATCACTTGAGGTCAGGAGTTCGAGACCAGCCTGGCCAACATGACGAAACCCCGTCTCTATTAAAAATACAAAAATAAAATAAAATAAAATAAAATAAAATAAAATAACATACAGAACATACAGAAATCAAGAGCCTTAATATATCCTTAAAGAAATAATTTAGTGTATATAATGTTAGAAAAAGTGCCACATACAATAACACCAAAGAAGATAACATACTTAAGAATAAATGTAACAAGAAATGTGCAAAACCTAGAATGGGTCTACTTAAAAATCCTCCTGAAAGACACAAACACAGATTTAAGAAATGAAAAAGTATCCCCTTTCTTGAGTAGGATGGCTCAACAAAACCTTTTTTTTTTTTTTTTTTTTTGAGACGGAGTCTTGCTCTGTCGCCCAGACTGGAGTGCAGTGGCATGATCTCTCGGCTCACTGCAACCTCTGCCTCCTGGGTTCAAGCAATTCTTTGGCTTCAGCCTCCTGAGTAGCTGGAACTATAGGCACATGCCACCATGCCTGGCTAATTTTTGTATTTTTAGTAGAGACGGGGTTTTACCATATTGGCCAGGCTGGTCTCGAACTCCTGACTCTGCCCACCTTGGCCTCCCAAAGTGCCAGGATTGCAGGTGTGAGCCGCTGCAGCCGGCTAACAGAATATTTTAGGGAGTTAGTTTAGCTGACTGAAGTTCATATGGAGTAATCAATGTTCAAGAAGAGCAATAAAAACCCCTGGCAGAAAGTGTGTGGACAGCTAGAAGGGGCTGTGAAGGAAGAAATCAACCTCATCCTCAGACAGTTCTGGCTCCTGGGACATAAACTCTAAACACTTGGAATTTCTCAAGTGATAAGAGTGTCTTTGTTTTTAATAGTGGACCCTTCATATCATGTGTAATCGGCCTGATCTCTAAGGTGAGGAGAAGGGGAAACTGAGTTCAACCAGTTGGCCAATTAATCAATAAGCTCCAGTACAAACTTTGGACATCCAGGAACTTGATACTAGCCTGTACATCATGGCAAAACCCAATCTCAACAAAAAAGCAAAAATTAGCTGAGTGGTGGCAAGCACCTGTAATCCCAGCTACTCAGGAGGCTGAGGTTGAAGGACTGATGGAGCCTGGGAGGTCGAGATGGCGGTGAGCTGTGATTGCACCACTGCCCTGAAGTTTGGGTGACAGATAAGACCCTGTCTCAAAAAAAAATATATATACACACACACACACACACACACACACACACACACACACACACACACACACCTGGACTGCGAAGTTCCTGTGGGCTTCCCTGGATGGCAGTATTCTATATGTGTTGTCACACATTGTGGCCAAGAGGAGATAACAAGGTGGATGATTCCACAGGGAAAGGATTACCAGGATCTCTGTTTGCATACCTCAGACTTTGCCCCACATGTCTCTTCCTTTGGCTGGCTCTAATTTGTATCCTTAACATGCTACATGTAACCATGATTATAAAAGGTCTCAGAGAATTCTGTGACTTTTTCTAGCAAACATCAAACCTGAGGATGATTTCAGGAAACCCTCACACTCGCAGCTGGTGTCAGAAATATTGGGAAGACTTGGCATTCTCAAGGTCTGTGCCCTTAACCTCAGAGTTTGGGTAACTCAGGTAGGGGTCAAGCTGTTTTAGATTTTAAATACACAGTAAAGCATTGATGAAGAACCTAATGCATTATGGGTGCATGAAAACACAGTAAAACTAGTGAAATAGAATTGAACATCTAGAAATAGATTCAAACACATAAGAAAATTTAGTATATGATAAAAGTGACAACTGAAATCGTTGGATGTTTTAATGAATGGTGTAAATGGGTAGCTATCTGGAAAAATGATGAATTTAGATCCATACTTCAAACCATACATGAGAATAAACCCCAAATGAATCAGATATATAAACATATATTCACATATACATAAACACATATCTATATGCATACAATCATACTAAAAAGGAAATTAATTCTTCTCTAAACTTGGTGTGGGGAAATGGTTTCTAAGTATGACTCAATATACAAATGCAATGAAAAGTCAATAAACTTGACAGTACATTTTTTGATAAGAAATATTTTTCAGGGTAAAAGAATATCCGTAAGTAAAGTCAAGAAAAAACAGACTGAGTGAAATTATTTGCAACATGAAAGATAAAGGGTTAATATTCTTCACATGTTAAAAAAAAACTCTATAGGGGAAAGAACACTGAAAACAGAGAAAACAAGTTGCAAATAAATGAATTTTTGAAATGAGCAAAATACATGAACTGCATTTAGACACCATTTCTTATCTATCATATTGGCAAAAATCTTTAGAAGTTTAGCAACACGTATACTTAACTGGTACACTCTCACACTGTCCTGGTTGGACCTCAAACTGGTAGAACTCCTGGGAATGAATTTGGGCTATCTATGAATATAAATGTGAGCACACACACACACACACACACACACACACACACACACACATTTCTAGCAACCCTGTTTCTAAGAATTGAGATGCTGAGAAAGCACACAGAGACACTCTGTGTGTTATTTATCAGAGTGGCTCTCTCATAAATATTTTAGCACTAAATAATTATAAATGGTCCCGACTTATGATGATTGAACTTACGAATTTTTGACTTTACAATGTGACACAAAATCAGTAGAAACCCTTTGCATACTCATATGACCATTCTGTTTTTCACTTTCAGTATTCAGTAAATTACATGAGATTTTCAATATTCAACACTTTAATAAAATAGGCACTGTGTCAGATGACTTCGCCCAACCGTAACCGTAGGCTACTGTAAGTGTTCTGAGCATGTTTAAGGAAGGCTAGACAAAGCTATGATGTTCTGTAGGTGAAGTGTATTATATATTCTTTCAGCTTAAGACATTATCAACTTATAATGAGTTTATTGGGACATAACCTCATCTTAAGTCAAGGAGCATCTGTAATTTAAAGTACAAATACACGAGAAATACTTCTAGACTTTATGTTATAGTGAGTAAAAATACCCCCAACTGTGACTTTTTTAATTTGGAAAAAATAATTTGGCTGTCTGGAGAACTGGCCTGCCTCCTCTTAACCCCTCCAGCACTTTGGAAACTCTTTTAAGCCTAAACTTGAAGCTAATACCATTTTTCTTAGCAAAACTGAGATCACGAAATAAATTTTTATTTTAATTTTACATTTCTTGTCAATATATTTCCCCCAAAAATTATAAAAAATGCTTTCAAGCATTTGTTGTTGCTCCTTTGTAGCACTATAAAACTTACATATGACAGACTTTGGGCTCAGATTTATGTTAGAAATGACAACCGACCATAGTCTGTCTTATCAAATGTTGACTACCATCCACCAATTATTCAGATATACTGACAGCAGCATTCAAATATCTCTAAACCAATAAAATACAGTAATACTATATATATCAACTTTTAAAATTATTTATTTTACTACTAAAAATGTTCAACACTGTGTATCAATGAGATATCTACCTGATAATAATGTCTAGATTAAATGTAAAACAAAAAATGCACCTGACCAACATGGAGAAACCCCATCTCTACTAAAAATACAAAATTAGCCGGGTGTGGTGGCGCATGCCTGTAATCCCAGCTACTCCGGAGGCTGAGGCAGGAGAATGGCTTAAACCCAGGAGGCGGAGGTTGCTGTGAGCTGAAATCGCGCCATTGCACTCCAGCCTGGGCAACAAGAGCGAAACTCCGTCTCAAAAAAAAAAAAAAAATGCAATCTTAATGTTTCCAACAATTTCATAAAATTCTGCATTTTAATTTCTGTAGATATTTTCTCCAAAAATACATGTTGTTTATTCCTAATGCTTTTTAGCTAAATGCAGATAAAAGTAAACAACTTCATCAACTCTTCTTTTCCCACATTTTACAAGTTAGTTTAGGGTTTCTAAATATATATTTACAATTTTAGAACAGGAAAAAAATTAAGGATTTACTAATTCACTTTGCTCATTCATGTATTGACCACAACAATCCATTGACCCTCATTAACTCCTAAGTCTACTGTAATCTGATATCACTGTCACAAATATATAGGCTTTCATGTCTCTCCATGCATTGCTGTATCTGACCCAGAGCCCTCCTTGTACAAGTCCTCCCCGGCACTTGCCTGGCTGTGGCGGTCACTGCTTAACTGCATCGTGTCTGTGCAGCTTCAACCTTTCACTGTACTCCCACACTCAACTTTCAATGGCATCTCTCATTGTGAAACCTCCTAAGGTGTCCTCCTGAGGGACTAAGTTCATGCTCCTCAGCAAAGGATTTAAGGAATGTTCTGGTGTAGACCTGTAAGCATACCTGGATCTGTCCACCCTACATCACATCATACTGTAGAATCAATGAACGCCGCACCACAGCAAACTGCAGGCTCCTCTCTGAAGGTGAAATGCTTTTCAACAATCCCTTCCTGTCCAAGTGGAGTCCTGTTAGCTTAACCAGTTTTCCTCCTAGTGTGATCTCTGTACCCTCACCCAACCTTTGTGACATCTCCAAGCAGATTCAGGCATCCTGCCTTGAGTTCTGATTTTTATGATAGGAGGTAAGGTTCCTGAGCAATTAAAAACATGACTTGTAAATCAGACAGGCCTGGATTTGAATTCCGGCATTTCTGTTGTTTTGCTGTGTGAGTATAAAAGCAAGTTCTCTCTTTTATGAAACGTGATAAAAACTGAAAGCAATCAGACCTATTGTGTAGGGCTGTTTTAAGGATAAAAACATTCAGCACGTAAAGAATGACACACAGTGCCTGGAACAGAATCAGTGCCCTGTCTTTCTCTTTCTCTCCCTTTTTTTTCCTCCCTTTTTCTCTTTTGTATCTGTCAGCTAATATTATATCTATCCTAATCCTCACCAAGATGTATCACTTTTGTGCTTTTGTTTATATGTGTCTTAATTTCTCATAAACAGTGAGTTTTTTGAGGGCATGGAAGATATTACTATGTCTTTTTGTCTTTATATCAATCATAGTCACTGGCAGGCACTAGATGCATAGTAATTGATTGTTAATTATGTGATGTAAAAAAGGAGAGGGAAACAGACAACAAAAGAAAGAAATGCACTGCTTCTTTGCATCGTGAGGTGCCAGGCATTCATGGGAGCATCCTGGTGGCCAATTTATCTGTTATCATAACCTCTTTGGAAATCTGCTTCCGCTGTCCAACATAAATAAAAACATAGCAGTAAAATTCCAGAAATCGGTAGCTCTACCTTTAGCAGTGAGATGTGGCAGTGTGATAGCAAGAAACGCTCTAAAATGAATCCTTAATTTGAGCATGCTATGAGAAATAGAATTACAAAACTACTGCATTACCAGATGGTCTCTATAAGTAAATTTAGTTTCTCCCAGTTTTTATATAACAAAACATTTTGTAAATGAATTATTAGCAAATGTGTAGGGTGTACACATGATCTTCGTTGGACGATGTAGGCCAATGTGGGGTGACTGTGGGTGGTGTGGGAAACCTAAATACTGATGGCAAAACCTAAACGACAGTCTTGACGAGCGTAGGAGAAATTCTCATCTGAGATCTTTTAGAATGTAGGCAAAGAGGAAATATAGCAGATGAACAGCTAAACCTAGGTTAAATCAAAAGCCCTATGCAGGCTGGGTAGAGCCTGGCTACCCCATTTTGGTTACAAAATTACTACCATCAGCACATTTGAGAGTTGCCAAGAAATGTAGCAGACTGCTGGAATCAGAGTCTACATTTGAAGATGTCTACATGATCTTAATACACATAAAGATGGAGATGAGCAACATGAGCACTGACGTGCCCTGTGACTAAGACTGTGGCAGGGAAATCAGTGCTTAAAGCCACAAGGAGAGATGTCCCACGTGTGGGCTTTGCTTAAAAAACCACTTCACACAAATGTATGCTTCTGTATCATGCTTAGGAGAATGGCCCCAGCTGCTGTATATCAATAACATGCAGTGCAACTAGGCATGCTGGTGAGGCCACCAAGCCTTATAGACAGTCAAAGCTTCAAAAATCTTGGTGTGCCCATTGACAATTCAAAGTCCAAATGTACATAGGTTTGAGGAGCTTTGGCTACATGATCTCCAATTTCTATTTATTTGACTGCCCTCTTTTTTCTTGCCTTTATTCATGGTACTTTCAACTCCAAAGGATGCACACAAATTTGGTAATCCAAGGTGCTGATGATTAGATAAAGTCTTCAATCTGGATTCAGTCCTTAACCCTCAGCAGTTGATTTTCTCCCAAAACTCTCTTTGATACTCACAAGCAACTAAAAATATACGGTGATGTCAAAAAAAAAAAAAAAAAAAAGTTGGTATGCACCCGGCTCCTTTCAGATAATCTGGTTCCACGTTTTCTGGTTTGCTTTACTTTGGCTCTCACTCCATCTGAGAAGTAGTGGGATTTATCTCACTTCTAAAAGGCAGGGATAAACCACACCCTGAGACTTCCAGAGGCTTAATTCTTTCTGACCTTTTCCTAAAGTTGGAAGACAATTTCCTTAGATAAATTCCAAAATAGCTGTAGGAATTAGGCATGAAAAGATCTCATCCACATAGTTTTGTCTAACGAATTCCCAAACGGTGCAGCGTTCATGAGTTGTAATTACCCTACCACCCACAGTCACCGCACATTAACCTACATGATCCAATGAAGATCATCTATCGTTTCTCTAAAACTAATGAACACAGGAGTGATGGCGCTCAGCCGAAACTTTTATTTTTTTTTAAGTATAATATATCTAGAAGAACAGTGACAGCAAAACCACAACCTGAACAGTAGACTGCCTTACTTTGTTGGTAGGTCAGGTTAACACTGTTGTGTGTGTGTATGTGTGTGTGTGTGTGTGTTTGTGTGTATTTATATATATGGGTATATAACACAGGGAAAACATTAGTCAAGTTTAGGCTAGTTCACAAAAATCAGCAACAGAAAGGAAATGTAAAGCCACCTCCTCGATAAATATGTATCTGCATACCTATTGTATTAGTCTGTTCTCACGCTGCTAATAAAGACATACCCAATACTGGGTAATTTATAAAAGAAAGACGTTTAATTGACTCACAGTTCCACAGGCTGGGGAGGCCTCATAAGCATGCTAGAAGGCAAAGGAGGAACAAAGTCACATCCTACATGGCCACAGGAAAGAGAGCTTGTGTAAGGGAACTCCCCTTTATATAACCATTAGATCTCATGAGACTTATTCACTATCATGAGAACAGCACAGGAAAGACCCACCCCCATGATTCAATTACCTCCACTGGGTGCCTCCTACAACATGTGGGAATTATGGGAGCTACAATTCAGGATGAGATTTGGGTGGGGACACAGCCAAACCTTATCACCTATATATGCCTCTATCTACAGAATTCCACTTTGCCGCATATAAAGCAATGCACTGAGCTAACCAGTGGTATTCTCATCACTTATGAGTCAATGCCATGGAAATGTTTCAACTTGTTAATTACTCATGTCTTGGGTAACGATATTAGCTATAAGACTGGCTAATGGCTGAAATTATTCTACGGATTTAACAGAGGTTTAGTAGTCAAAGAGAAGAAACCATGAAAAGTCCAGAAGCATCAATTTATACCAATGGAGGCCTAAATAATTAAATCATGGACTAAGTCCTCTACTCACAAGTAGTACTTTAATACTCCTGACAGTGACTGCTCTAAGCAAGAACTGGGTTCTGCCTAAATCTGTACTTGGAATTTACAAATCACAAAGTAGTTGCGTTTTGTTTAGCTCTCATAGAAAAGAAATCCCAAATCAAACACTCTAGCCCATTTATTTGAATGGGTGACCCTTGTAAGGCATGCCTCTGTTTCCAGGAGAACTACTGGTTAGATGTTCCTGGTTCACATATATATATATATATATATATATATACACACACACACATACATCTTGGATCAACTGGGATAAGTCACCTACATGCTGTTTGAATAATAACTGATTCTCCATCCATCCCCTGGTACGTGTGAACCTGTTCATTCTCCAAGCCCATTCATTCTCAATCACTTGCACCAGATAAATAGATCGAAGCTGCTGAACTCCATTTCTGAAAGCAAAACAATTACTTCAAATTAACCTGTTGGTTTAGGGATTTATACTGAACACTACATTCCAAGGTGATAGCGACCATGTTTTTTTGGTTGTTGTTGTTTTTTGCTTATTTTAGTGGTGTTATTGCTGAACTCCCCTCAACCTTTGTAAGCTAACTCACAATCCTCAAATACATATGTTCATCAAAGAGAAAAACTATGAGGATGACAATATTTCTGCACAGGTTTAATTTTAATGTACAACACAAATGAAAAAGAAATGAAATCTATTTTGCTTATAAATCTAGAGAATAAATGGAGAATACAAGTTGTATTTCAGTGTTTAAAGGCGAGCTAATTGGAACATTGATATAAAGCTTATATTATCTACATTCACCACCAGACATAAAAATGCATTACACAAAGAAAGTCCTACTAAACAATCATTTTATAAAATATGGAGCAGGCTTGGGCAACTCACAATAAAATATTTTGTTGGAAATAAACATTGAACATAATCTGCTAAATACTAAATACGTTTTTAATTTACAATTTAGTCTGTATCAGGGTTCCCCCCATTGGTAGTACTGGTATTTTGCACCAAATAATTCTTTGTTGGGAGTGTCCTGTGCATTGCAAAATGTTTAGCAGCATCCTTGGCCTCTACACAGAAGATGACAGTAGCGTGCCTCCTCCCAGACATGACAGCCCAAAACGTTTCCAGATATTGCCAAATATCTCTAGGGGGGGTGCAAAATCGCCTCCAGCTGAAAACTACTGGCCTATTTGAATAAACAAACAACTGGAAGATCAAAGTTGGAAATCTATCAGCTAGGCAAATAATTAGTTAGTAGTTCATTAATTTATTCAACTTTTCCTGAGCCCATTTCATGGGCCAGGCACTGTGCAAAGAACAGATGGTATAAAAGTGAACAAGACATTTTCCCTCCCCTGCCCATAAAAGGCATACAGTTTACTGGAATAGGAAAGACAGCAAATGTTGCACACCCAGGCTTCCACTGCAGAAGGGCCAGGCTGGCATTTGGAGATTTGGATGTCTTTGGGGTTCTCATGGGAAGCTGCTGAGGGCTCTTAAACTGGGGATCTTATGATCTGTCTAACCTGTATTTCAGAAAGCCTTGCCTGTCTCTGCTTCTGAATGAATGGGAAGAGGATAAGTCCGTAGTCATAGCCTGGTTATCAGGCTGTAATTATATCCCAGGGAACGAGTAAAGGAATAAAGAGATGGGACTAGATCCCTGAGAAATTACTGTGGGACAATGAAGGATAATTAATGGGTGTGTGTTGGGAAAGGCTGAAGGGGAAGAAAGAACCAGGCAAGAATGCATCTTCCTGTCCTGGCTTTGGCAAGATGCAGATGGTGACCTCGGATAACCTTCAAAAGAAAAAGGGTCTGGATGGGGATTGTTGATGTGAATCTGAGGACTCAGGGGCCAGCTTTCTCTGAACCAAAAAAAAAAAACAAAAACCTCCAAAATATTTTCAACATTTACAAAATTAATATTTGAATCATTCAAATTACTGATATCCTTACGAACAAAAAACTCTTAAAAGTTAAACGTCTTAATAAATTAAATAGAATTTATAAACCTATGAAGTGTCAGGTTTGCCCTCATTACAATTTTTTTAATGAACTTGGTAAAATACTTTTATATCTTTCATGTTAAATCCATTACCCAGTTGTATTAGGTTGGTGCAAAAGTCATTTTGCCATTAATGACAAAAACCACAATGACTTTTGCACCAACCTAATACAATTAATACAACCTAATACAACATTAGAAGTAATCGCAAAAACTGCAATTACTTTTGCATCAACCTAATACAACTAATACAACCTAATGCAACATTAAGTAATGGCAAAAACTGCAATTACTTTTGCAGCAACCTAATATATTTTACATTGGAATGACAGAGCCAATGTGCTAAGCTTTTAATCATGCATCATTCTCTTAAACATTGCTTGATTAGCAAAATTAACACAATCAATCTGAGTACCATGGGTTCTTATAATTCATCATCTATATTCTTGATATTCAGCTTTGCTGGGTAAGGGACACCCACTGTAAAAGGAATCATGCTTACTCAAACAATGGACTGATCTTCCTAAGCAAGTCAGTGTAGCTTCTCGGCAAGCAGGTGTTTTATCTGAGACCTGGTGTACAGATATACAAAGCAATTATTCTCTTTTTAATCCTTCCTGGAATTAAAGACCAAGTACATATTCTCCACATCTTGGGATCACACAGTCTGCAAATTACTTTATCCGAGTTACAAATTAGCAAATCTCCCAACTCTGACTTGAATTTACGGCTCCCCTTTCTGGTTGATTCACTAGGATAATCTGACTCATGGATTTACTGTTTAATTTTATTCTCAAATCTTTGCAGATAGTTTCTGTTAGAGAAACTACCACTCTTAGAACCAAATAAATGACCTTGGATTGGACTCTATGTATCTCTCAAGGCTGTGTTTCAACCTATTTCATAACCCAAACAACAGGCAAGGCCATACAGAATTAAGTATTTTACAGGTAAATATGAAGTACCTAAGTAATTTAAAATGGTACTCTTTGAAGGACATTGCCCATAAATTGCTCTGCATTCATTCTGTTTTACATATCATATGTGGATATAAATAAGATATATAGGTAGAAGTAGGTATAGATACAAATATGGATATAGATATGAAAGATAAATAGGTAGATACATGATAGATGATTCATAGACAGGTAGGTAGATAGGTAGATACATAGGTAGGTACGTAGATAGATAATTGATAGATACATGGGCAAATAGATGAATTTCTTTTTCCCTAGAAACTTGAAAGTGCACGTTCAGAAATGACAGAATATTCTTGGTTAAATTATTCCACTAATACTTGTGTAAATTGAGTCCAATGTTCAACAGTCATTATTCATTCATTTGCTCTTTTATTCAACAATTATTTCTTGAGTGCCCACTGTGTACAAGTCACTATGATTGTAAAGGGGGCATAGCAAAGGGACAAAACAAAGAACCTCATGAATTGGACTTAGTCTTGTGAGGGAAATCTACAACCACACAGCGACAAATGCTCTGAAGAAGAAAAATATAAAACAAGGTAAGGCAAGATGGGTTGCTATACTGAAGTGTATCAGACAGGCAGGTGCTGAGGGGTAGATGCTGTAAATGAAATGTTGGGTGGACTAAACTGAGACTGTTGACAACCCCTTCTGATATGATTAGGCTTTGTGTCCCCACCCAAATCTCATCTTGAATTGTAATCCCCATACTACCCATAATTCCCATGTGTCAAGGGAGAGACTAGGTAGAGGTAATTGAATCACGAGGGTGGTTCCCCCATGCTGTTTTCCTGATAGTGAGTTCTCATGAGATCTGATAGTTTTACAAGAGGCTCTTCCCCCTTCTCTTGGCACTTCTCTCTCTCCTGCTGCCATGTGAGCAGGTCCAAGTTTGCTTCTCCTTCACCTTCCGCCATGATTATAAGTTTCCCGAGGCCTCCTCAGCCATGTGGAACTGTGAGTCAATTAAACCTCTTTCCTTTATAAATTACCCAGTCTCAGGTAGTACCTTTATAGCAGTATGAAAATGGACTAATACACCTTCTCATAAGGGTTTCTGAAAATGAAAGCTTACATGGAGGCAAGATTGTTTCTTGGCACAATCACATAGAAAATGTCTGTCCTCAGGGGTCTTCACATTTCCTTTCCTTATCCTTGGATGATATTATCATCCGTCCTCCCTCTTCTAAACTCCATGCCTTCCACAACTTGTACTTGAGAGAATACAGGACAAAGGCATTCTTTGGAAGAATTCTACCTTTGATGTCAAAGCACAGCATATTTTTACATCACCTCATTTAATTCTTGGAGCAACCCTTGGAAAAAATGCCTCAGTTCCCAAAGTGCTGTTCCCACAGAGTGTTTGAATTGCTACAGCTCCAACTGCAGCAGCAACATCACAAGCAAAAATAAAGTAGTAATTAGCAACACAATAATAATGATACTGTCTTTTTATTAAGGCTAAATGCTTTACATGTATTTTTTTCACTGAACCCTCACAGAAGCCTCTGAGAAGAGGTATCATTATTATATACAGCTCATTCACAGATGAGCTGAAGGGTTAGAGCAATCTTATATGTTGCTCAAGGTCACATAGCAAACACATGTCAAAACCAAATTGTGAATGTAGGTCAGAATCAGAATTCAAATCCTTAACTACTATAGCATCAAAAATGAAACCAGACAGGATACGCTCAGAATTGTTGAACTTCAAACCCCACTGAAGAAGTAGAGAAAGCTATTTGAGCAAACTTATTTACAACATCTTGGAATTATACAGCACATATACAGGTGTAGATGATAATACCAAAAAGTCTAAGGCACTAGTGAAATTGCAAGGTTGAGCTGAGTCTTCAAGTTGACACTTTCTTGCTATTTTGAATCACCTTCAAGGTTGCCTAATTTATCAATAGTAATATTTCTCACTGTAGATATTGTGCATGATCTTCAGTAAAGGTCCAATATTTACCAGTAAAATATTTTAAAATAATATTGTTATTTTGCATGAGTCCTGAGAATAACTCAAAAGGTAGATGAAATAATTCCTTCCCTTTCACCAATAATAAATGCTAAGATATTTCAGAAGACACTTGGTTAAATAGAAATAAAATGCAGTATTTTTCAATGCTATGCTGAAATTAACTGTGCAGAAATTATAATCTTCAAATTCATATTTCCTAATATTTCCTAGAGGTATATTATGTACACACACACAGACACACAGAAGAAGTACTGTTCACCCTCTCCCAAATGAACTTGGTTCTCTAGTTTCTAGCAAAATAGTGTTATACAATTCTGGGCTAAAGACAGCTTATTAAAGTTTTCCCAGTGTAGGGATTCTTAAGAGATTTTAATATACTAAGTTGAATTTGGAATCATCAAGGACAGAATAAAGTATACACGGTTTCCCAACCTTATATGATGTTTTTTTTTTTCTCCCAAACATTACATCGTACTGTTTTCTGGCATGTTGGGCAGTTGATAGGCTGTGCTATCATTCAACTTCCTTTGTTTTTATTGACCAAAAAGCTTCATATACGTATAAATATGCAACACTTCCAGAGTTACCAGATTTCACAAGTAAAAACAGAGAATGTCACAGTAATTTAAAATTCAGGTAAATGACAGATCTCTCTTTGGTAAATGTGTGTCCAGTTTATCTGGAGTTCAAATTTCACTGGGCATCCTGCATTGTATGTGGTAATCCTAAACATTTTCGAAGAAAAGATGAAAGAGCCATGTCATTCAGTGCATGATAATAGAAACTTAACATCTTGAGTTGGTGTAGACAGATCCCCACACATCAGCAACATTTTGAAAATTTACCTACCTATTCTTAGCCCCTAGTTTAATTCCACTGTGCCCTTTATGTACACATTACTTTAAAATATATAATTTTGCCAGTTTTTAAATTCTTTTTATTGATTTCCCTGAGTTGTATCCCTACATGATAAGGAATCAACCATAAAGGTATTTACTGGCTAACAGTGAACTAGGCACTAGGTACTCAAGAAAGCTTTTTTTTTTTTTTTTTTTTTTTTGTCCACTGTAAAATTGTTCCTTAGAGGAACAAGCAATAACTGATAAAGGCCAAAAAAATTCGTCACTGGATATTCTCAGATGCATATGATGGTTTCCACTGTAGGCATTATTAACATTTTCTCAGAGTTTTCTTTTTCTCACAGTGACTAACACATCATTATTTTTCTTAAGTAACGAAAAGCTGGGAACCCTGCCAAAAGTTATCTTAACAGATGCTATATTATCATTTCAGTGAATTCTATCATTTTTCACATCCTGGTAATTATATTTCAGAGGTGGAATGCATGCTGAGTATGGCGGGCTGCTGTTACAAAAATAGACCCGAGAAACACATTAACCTGGTAACTCCTCCCATCCTGGGGATGTGGGATGCTGCTGTGTGCCTTGCCTGTGGTGGGATTTTCTGGGAATCCACTGTTTTCTATTTTGTGCTTCATTTCAACTCACCTTTTCACTCATGCCCCATGCCGAATTACCTGTAAGGAATCATTAAACTTTTGGTTTCCTGTAGGGAAGATTAACTAATTGCAAATATTCGGGAACTGGGGCGGGGGTTGGGGTGCGGAGAACTACAGGGTCTCATTAGTTGCTCCTTCCTGAATTGAACCATTATAGCATTCCCAAAGAACCCCAACAGCCTAAAGGGGCACACTTATTTTTAAACGTTTGCTGAAAAAAACAACAATACTGTAGTTGATACTTGTCTAATCTTTCTTCAAATAAATTGAGACCTGAATCCAACCCTCCTGGATATATGATGTCTTTAGTTCTATTACTTTGTTTCTTTGACATACCAGAAAATTTCCAACAAAAGGAAAATCTTGGCTTTTCATAGTTCAGTGCTCATGAGTCCAAATGAATTATCTTTCTCAATAGCAGGGGATTAATAAAATATGCAAAGCATCCCAAATTGGCCTAGACACTGGGAATAATGTTATTTATCCTACACCCACGTTCCTTCCAGTGAGGAAGGCGGAACGATGAATAATGTACACTTTCCCAGCTGCTTGTCACTGTCTTTAGGAGTAGACTAAGAAGAACATCATTTCTCAGAAAAAGCCTCCAAGTGTGCAGAGTTGGAGGTGACAGCTATTTTTCATTCTGAGTTTTGTTCATAACAAAGGGCAGTTATTCTTCTACTGTAAAAGGAAGCTCACTCTAGGTAAAGTCACCTTTGATAGAAGCTTTTATTTTCCAGTCCTTGCCAGATCAAAGTCCGTACTGTGAAGACCCACCCTACGGGCAGACAGCAAAGAAACCCTGTGTGTGGTGGGCATTGAATCTCTACAAGAGTGGGGGAGGGGGGGGGGGAACAGAAACAAAAGTCCAACTGGGAAAGTCTGAATGGCCCAGAGATACAGGCGCAGTTGGAACTATTCAATTAGAACATTGACAGGGTATTCATTTGCTTTCTTTATTTGTTCTGAAAATTACTAGGATGTTTTCATTAGCTGTCCTGTAAAATTGGTGACAAGAGCCCATTTGAGAGAATTCTAATCTGAGAAGCCCCTCTTAAGTGTGAGTTATATTGGAGACTTATGGCCTGAAAAATAAAGAGTCCTCTTTTCTTTCTACATAATTATGTTTGCAAAATGTGAAGCACAGGGGCAGAGTGTGTAGATTTTCAAAGCACATAGATGAGCTTCTAGAACATGCAGGTAGAGAGAAACGTCTACCAGAATCTTTGAATTAGAAAATGTTATATATGAGAATGGGGTGCAGGTCATAAGAACAGCTATTAAATCCCTTATGAAACTGGAGAGGAAGGAAGCAGCATTTCTTTGCTTAAAGAGCTGACAAGACTGGTGAAGCTGAAGCTCATGTTTTTGGAGAAGTGTATGGGTTTTTGATCCTTGAGAAGCAGAAAGAATTTACTCAGGTTAACAAATTACCAATCTTTGATGTGTCTGCAATGTTATTTTTTCCTATAAACTTGGAATTTAAAAGGTCTTTTTTTCCTGACTCTGAAGTCCAAGAATTTGGAGTCTATATTAAAAGACATAATCATTATTTTGCATTAATATTAATTTGATTGCATTCAATAAATATTCACCAGCAAATCTGATCCTTCATATGATCTGAAATAAAATATGTACAAGTTACGGCAATCTTTTTTTTTTTTTTTTTTTGAGACACAGTTTTGCTCTTGTTGCCCAGGCTGGAGTGCAATGGCGCGATCTTGGCTCAACACAACCTCCACCTCCTGGGTTCGAGCAATTCTCCTGACTCAGCCTCCTGAGTAGCTGGGATTATAGGCAGGTGCCACCACATCTGGCTAATTTTGTACTTCTAGTAGAGACAGGGTTTCTCCATGTAGGTCAGGCTGGTCTCAAACTCCCGACCTCAGGTGATCTGCCCGCCTCGGCCTCCCAAAGTGCTGGGATTACAGGCATGAGCCACTGTGCCCAGCTGGTAATCTTTAATACTAAAAGAAACTTAAGTCTGTTTTGGCCTGACCATACTAGTTCCAAACTAAATTTTATATGTAAAAATGAGAGATTGACATCTATACAAAATATATTAAAATATGTTCTATCAGTTATAGCTACACATATATAATGGTTACATATTATGGTTACATATGTATAAATATTGACATATGCTGATACATATACATATAAAACGTATCTATGTCTCTAGCTAGCTAGCTACGGTTAAGCTGTAAGTACAACAATATCAACAGCAAACTGTCTCATGCATCCTTTCCAAGACTAAATACTTCATTACAAAAATGATTGAGATGGGCCAATATTTGGCTTATGTTTATTTCATTTTGAGCATTTGGTTCTTCTCAGATTTATAAACTTGTGTCCTAAAAATAATTTGGACAAATAATTTTATGGGGTTTAAGTATATAAATATATGGATACTGTTTTAGAATCCAAAATCCCTCCTTCTGGGGTAAAACTATGCCAGTAGGTTCAATCAGAAGGTTTATTGCAGCAAAAATACTAGAGAAAAGCTGCAAGTAATCCCAAAAGGAAAGCAATTGTAGCGTAGGGAACTTTTGCCTTTACCTTATAACTTGCATAGCAGTGTGGAATCCTTAAATTATGCTTACACCATTTGCCCCATGCTCATCTTTGAGATCATCAGAAAACCAGAGATAGGTTATATGAAAAGAATCTTTAAAAATCATCATATGGGGGTGTCGCATCACTAATTATTATTCCCTTTTGACTATGAAGTACAAAGTGCTAATGCTATCTCTCCCCAAATATTTACATTTTAACAATGACCCCAAGTACCTCAACACAGGAGGATGTATTTCAGGCAGCTCCCTACAACATAAGAGATCTTCCTGATATTAAAAGGGGCTGCACCTGGAAGCAGAAGGTAGGTTGCTCCCTGTGTCAGTTCTCAAGGTTTTGTCTTTCAATTCCAAATGCACCCTTCTGTGCTCTGCTTCCCCATGCTCAGAGCTGAAACCTTTAAACATTTCTCCTTTGGCATCAGGCACATGTCAAGTTTTGTCAGCAGACAGTATGAGAGGGCTTTCCCAGGAAGAAAGGGGCTTCCTCTCCTGGTTCTGGTTCTTCCTTTGTTCCTGTGACATGACTTCAAGGGGGGTGTGCGTGGGACACCCAGTAGTCCCCCTCCAGCAGCTTTTGTTTTTTGGATCTCTGTGTACCAGCCTCAACCCACTAACTGTGGACCAGCTCTCCTCTCGGACATCCCAGTAAACCTAACCCCTTCCCCTCATTCCACCCATTTCCTTGGCAGACTGCAACCTCAGCCTCTCCAATAAGGTCTAAATCCCATCCCTGGGGCAGGGCCACCATTCCAAGTTTATTTCCTCCTTCAGTATTTTTCCCCAGTTCTACGGTATTCTTTAGAGACCTCTTTGATCTCTTCTTAGTAGTAGTCTTTGTCAGTAGTTAGTAATTCTGTTTGTTTAATTTCCCCTCTTCAAATTTCTGGATTACTGGTTTGATACTTGCCTCCCACTGGGAGTTTGTTGGATAACATTCCCAAAATCCATTCCATTGCGCTCATTCAAAAGTCCACATTACAAAAAAAAAAAAAAAAAAAAATCCGTATTTTAAAGAAAGAGAAACTATTCCCAAATGGAATTTTTCAAAATACTAGAGCTCCCTTAAGGAATTCCATTAAGGCAAATTCATCATTTCATAGGATTCTCTCAAATAAAATCAACAATATGGAGTTTACTGAGTTTCATAGGGAGATGAGGAAAGTTACACTACACAGAAATTTCTTCTTTTATCCTAGTATATTAGTCTGTTTTCACGCTGCTATGAATAACTTCCTGGCACTGGGTAATTTATAAAGGAAAGAGGTTTAATTGACTCACAGTTCCACATGACTGGGTAGGCCTCAAGAAACTTGCAATCATGGTGGAAGGCAAAGCAGGCACGTCTTACATGGTGGGAGGGGAGAGGGAGAGTGAGCAAAAGCAGGAAAAACTGCCTCATAAAACTATCAGATCTCGTGAGAACTCACTCACTATAACGGGAACAGCATGGGGGAAACTTCCCCGAGGATCCAATCACCTCCTACCTGCTCTCTCCCCTGATACATGGGGATTACTATCTGAGATGACATTTGGGTAAGAACACAGAGCCAAACCATATCACCTAGATTGACATATTTCCAGATCTCCTTCTTGAAGAGCTCCTCCTTATAGACAGCTTCTCAATAAACCTTATCATTTACCCACATGTCAGTTCTAACTTTCAGCCAGTGTATCTTATTTGGCAAAACCAGTTAGGTGGTTGCTCAGGGAGGGGCCACCTGCAGCTTCCACCTGAGCCTCGGTTTTTGCTGTGACTGAAGCCTGCCTTGATTTTGACTTGATTAAGAACACTTAAGTATTTTCAGCTATTGTGCTTTTCTTTTTTGAAGAATCTTATCCCTTATGTAAATCCTTAGGCAAAAGACAGATAACCTTCATCTTTACATTTCTAATATATTTCCTAAATTATCAAAATGTATTTCTCAGAGTTTCATACCGTGTTATTTTTCCCTCATGGAAATGTTTAGAAAGATTCCATGCTTTTCTAAAGCTCATTAACTACTTTGCCAGTGTCATAGTCTAAAAAAATACATCAGATCTCACATGGTGCATCTAGGAGCCATCTTCTCCTTTTTCACAAAAACAAGTCATGTTGAACGCTATTTCCCAGAAAGAGGTACAACATTAGAAAAGACAAGGTCCTTGTGCTCATAGTATACCTGCCAATGAGAGAAATCTACAATAAATACAAAAATAAGTTACTTGAGTAGTGCAGCTCAAGATGGGTTTGAATGTCTCAGCAGGCACTGGAATTTGCAGTCCTGCAAGCCAGGTTAAACTGCCTTAATTTATTCCAAGGGCCAAAGAAAGTCCTCAAAGGCTTTAAAATAGGTGAGCTTTTTATCCAATGTAGTTATTTATTTATTTTAGGGACTGCTTTGCCTGCTGGTTGGAAAATGAATTGTAGGGAAGCAGGAGGAAATTGGGGGGCAGGTTAGGAAGTTGTCACTGGGTCTAGGCAATAAATGATGGAGGTGTGAATTAGATATGGTAAAGATTATAAAAACTGTGTTGGCCAGGCGCAGTGGCTCACACCTGTAATCCCAGCACTTTGGGAGGCTGAGGCGGGCAAATCACGAGGTCAGGAGTTCGAGACCATCCTGGCCAACATGGTGAAATCCTGTCTCTACTAAAAATACAAAAATTAGCTGGGCGTGGTGACACGTTCCTGTAATCCTAGCTACTTGGGAGGCTGAGGCAGGAGAATTGCTTGAACCGGGACCAGGGAGGAGGAAGTTGCAGTGAGCTGAGATAGCGCCACTGTACTCCAACCTAGGCTACAGAGAGAGACTCCGTCTCAAACAAACAAACAAATAACAACAACAACAACAAAACTGTGTCTACTGGGATACACTTGAGAGATGGGAGCAAACAGCACTTGGGGGTTGAAGGAAGAAGATGACAGGATGACTCTGAAATGCTTGGCTTGAGAACCTGGGTGGAAAGCGGTACCATTTGTTAAGATCTGGAAAACTGTGAAAAGAGTTGTTTTTGTTTTAGGTAAAATTAAATGATCAGTTTGTGACACAAATTTGGGACACATCTAAGCGAAAATGTCAAAAAAGATAGATATGAGCTCAAAGGAGATACCTATTCTAACAATAAACACAGACATGATTAAGTCATAATTGTCACTTAATGTGAGGAGAATGAATGAGCTAGCTTACAAAAAGATAGCAGGAACAAAGAGAACACTGGCTCAGACAGGCAAACCACACACAAAAGCTGGAAGGAAGACGTTATGGCTACAGTATAACCTCCTTCTACATTTTGAGTGTTAAATCCAGTTAGATGGAATTCCTTTCATCTCTTACCACTTAATGAGCATTTCCCTCCTGCAGTGCTTCTCAATTCTGGCTGCATATGAGATTCATCTAGGTACTTTGAAATAATTCTGCTACCTGGGTCTCTCATCTCCAGTTATTTTGCTTTAATTGGTCTACCCAGGTGATTCTAATGTTCCCCAAGGGTTGAGAACCATTGTTGGAAGCTGTGAACTTCAAGAAGAGACGCTTCTTAGATGAAGTCAACTGCTATCTGGCCAAAAGCATATATATTGCTCTGCTATTATTCCAATACATTAATGCTCTTAAAGTGCCCCCTAACCTCTCAAAATGTCAGAAAGTTTTATTAGCAAATGAATTTAGTTTAATGATTCCAAATTCTGATCCACAAAGGCAGCACCTTTTTCACTTTCTCAGAATAGTTTTAATTTGAAATGGCAAATGTGATGAGAGGACACACAAAGGGTGCCACCAGAATTCAAATAAGGGATACTAGCTCAGAGTGGTAGAGTTAAGAGCATTTCCCTGAGGATAATAGTGCCTGGGCTACTTGAAGGATCATGGGGATTATCCAGTTGAGGAAGGATGAGAAGGGAATTTCAAAGAAAATGGAACCATTTGGGAAACTGAATGGAGACTTCAAATAGCCTATTCTATGAGGAGAATTAAAAACTGGTTTTCTTCGAAACATGGAGACAGCCATGGAGAACGTCAAGAAGGATAAAAGGGAAGACAGGTGGAGCTCTGTGCATCACTAAACACCTCAGATGCAAGCTAGGGGCCTGCTCTTTATTCTCTAGTTGATGAGAACCAACACAAGAGTTTCATATTTCTGATTGGGACAGGTTACTAATCACTATATATAGCATGGTTTTAAGGCAGTTAAAAGTATATTCAATGAAGCCCGCTAGTCTATTAAGTCCCTCCAGATGAAAGATGATAATGACTTATACTAAAGCAGGGCGAGAGGCGCTATGAGTCAGATCAGATCTGGGAAACAGTTAAGAGGTAAAAAGCACCACAATGGATGGCTGATTGGATGTGGAGGTCCAGGGAAGAAAGAACAACTGTGTTTTCTAGATCAGACACAAAGGCAACAGAGTGCCTTTAATTTAGGTAATGGAAGAATTCACTGGATGCCTGAAATGCAACAGATACCTGTGTCCATCAGAGAGCTGACATCTGTACTAGGTTCTGATGGCAGCTGCAGCAAATCATCACAAAGTTAGTGTCTTAGCACAACACAAAGGTCTAGAAATGAAAAGTCCAAATGGGCCTCATGGGGCCAGGATGGTGGTGCCAGCAGGGCTGTGTTCCTTTAGGGATGCTCTAAGGGAGAATTCATTTCCTTGCCTTTCCAGCTTCTTAAGGCTGTCTACCTTCCCTGGCTCACGATCCCTTCTTCTCTCTTCAACAGCGGCAATGGCTTGTCAATTTCGTCTTATACTGCATCACTCTGAGACCCTTTCTGACCCTCTCGTCCACATTTAAAGATCTTTATAATTACATTGTGTCCATTTTAATGATCCAGAATAAGCTCCTTATTTTGCAGTTGGCTGATTTACAGTCTCAATGCCACTGGTAACCTTCCTTCCCCTTTGCTATCTAAAGTAACATCTTCACAGATTCCAGGAATTAGCAGGTGGACATCTCTGGGGAGGACGTCATTATTCTGCCTACCACAGTATCTGAAACATGGGGTAGCTATGAGGGCTCGGACATCAAATTTGAAACTCCACAGCATATTATGCATAACAAAAATGATGCAGAAACCAAGACTGCCCAGAAGAATGAGGGGAATACAGACAGTGTTTTTGGATGAATGTTTTGGGTGCAGGAGGAAGAGGAGTCTATGAAGAAAGTGAGAAAGAGTGATTGGTGGAGAAAAAGGAGCCAGAAGCAAGTAGCAGAAGTAAGATGTGGTGTAACATCAAAGATGTGAGTCCTGGTTTTAAGTTGGGGAAAAATCTGTTCCTGAAAAATTCCCAATATGTTGAAAATAGTGTTCAAAGAGCCCTGGAGGTAATGTCTCTTAATTTTGAGTTATAGCTAAGACACATACAACATTCCTATCTCTTTTTTATGTGTATATTGTAAAAAACATGTTATCTTCCCATGGCAAACATATATACATCACTTCACATTTCTCATCAGGTCCAAATCACATCTAAAACCTTGTGCCCATAAATGGAGTGTCTGACTGAGAAGAACTATTCCACATAAGAACTTTCCATGGGTTTGTTATGGCTAGATGCAGTCAACTTAAAACCAAAAACCTCCTTTGTGTTTTCATTTAGATTAATGCAGCTCATTCCTGTGAAATGTCTGGATTTCAAGATGAATAATCAATTCTGCTCAACTCTCACAAATGTTTTTGTCATATAAGGAAATTATCAGTAGTAGTTTGAATTACTAACTCTTTTTTGGGAGGGGGGTTATCATTTTTGTTTTATTCTGTAAGTTTTCTTTTGTCTTGTTAAGTCATTAAACATCTAGGTAATTTGACAATGCTCTTGTAATATGCAGTCCATACACAAAAATGCAGGGTTGATGTGGGGCTCGCTCATGGAATGAAAAGCCAAAGATGAAACTGACTATGAGAATAAATTTGATTTCAACAGATTTGGCCAGGGAAACATTTACTGTGCTGAAAAACTCAAGGAAGAGGCAAGGTTTTTATTAGATGTATTTTTTATCACTTTTTTAAGATAGGGTAATACACATTACACAGAGGTATAGGTAATAGATATAGGAAACAGGTAAAGGAAATATGTTAAAAAACTCAAGGAAGAATCTAGGTTTTTATTAGATTTTAAAAGAGGATGATACAGATTATATATAAGTATAAGAAGTTCAGATTATATATATATATAAAGTACAGATTATATATATATATAATCTTATACACACACACACATACACACAGTTGACCCTTGAACAACATGGGTGTTTGGGGACACTGACCCCTTGTACAGTTGAAAGTGTGCATATAACTTTTGATTCCCCCAAAAACTTAACTACTAACAGCCTACTGTTGACAGGAAGCCTTACTGATAACATGAATGATAAATTAACACATATTTGTATGTTATATGTATTATACATATTATTATTCCTCCAATAAAGTAAGCTAGAGAAAAGAAAATGTTATTAAGAAAATCATGTGGAAGAGAAAGTATATTTGCTATTCATTAAGTGGGAGTGGATCATCAAAAAGATGATGTATCATAAAGATCTTCATCATAAAGGTCCTCATCCTCATTGAGGAGGCTGAGGAGGAGGAGGAAGAGAAAGGTTTGGTCTTGCTTTCTTAGGGGTTCTTAGAGGTGGAAGAAACTCTGTGTATAAGTGGACCCTCATGCAGTTCAAACCCATGTGTTAAATGGTCAGTTGTATATATATGGAAAAAGACACAGAGAGAGAGAGAGAGAGACCTTTCTTAATAATATACTTGGCCTAGGCAGAATTCTAAGATGGCCCCCATGGTGTAAGGACTTGTGCATTCCTCTCCCCTTGAGTGTGGGCAGGATCTCTGACTTGCTTTTAACCCAAAGAATAAGTCAAAGATGATGGAATACCACTCTGTTGATTACACTATGTAAGACTTAGCTGAGTGACTGAGACTGCTTAGAGTCTCGGAGGCAGCAAACTTACATGGTGTGAACTGCAGATGGAGAGAGGCATGTCCCAGAGGGCTGCAGGCAGCCACTAGGTTCTGAAGGTGGCCTCCAGCCAAAAGCCAGTGGAAAGCCAGGGCCCTCGTTCACTCAGCCCCAAGAAGATGAGTTCTGCCAACAACCTAAACTTGATTCCTCCAGTCAAGCCTCGAAGGTGAGAATAGAGCCCAGGTGACACCTTGATTACAGCAAGTAAAAGTGTGCAGTGGACCCTAAGCCACGCCCATATTCTCAGATCACAAGAGCTATGAGATGACACACATGTGCTGTTTTCAACCAGTAAGTTTGTGACAATCTGTTATGTGGTATAGAAAACTAATACAAGATAATTTTAGAATAAATTTCCCTTACATTTTTGTTACAAAGAAAAAAATATGTTTGGTAAAACAGTTATCTAAAATTAACCACTTTTTTTCTCTCTGAATTATATGAATAAAAATTTGATAAACTAATACTTTTTTTCTAATACATTTTTTGTCTAAGTTTGGAGATGGGAAATTGTGCAGAGTTTAAATGCTGTCCCCAAATCTACTCTTGATAATTAAATCTTTGGACCTAGAATCTCAATGTAGTGACCAATCCCTTATCTTGAATTTCTGCAGTTGAGTTTCTTAAACATAAAGCAACCACTAATTATAGGGTATTGGATTACTGAATCATGATAAAGGTATTTATCAAGGCAGATGTAATTTAAATATTTTATTTTATTTCATATATATGGGGAATATTT
This sequence comes from Homo sapiens, assembly GCF_000001405.40. Taxonomy (NCBI): domain Eukaryota; kingdom Metazoa; phylum Chordata; class Mammalia; order Primates; family Hominidae; genus Homo; species Homo sapiens. The sequence continues at coordinate 8,073,707 of NC_000023.11, read as the reverse complement.
TCTACCAACATCAATATTTTAAACATTTTTATTCAATTATGTATTTACCATCTTAAACAAATACAGTTGCCAGGAAGAGTCAGGAGGCAGGAGATAAGAAGAGAAAGGTACTCCTGACACTAAGTTACTTTATCAAAGGTACACATGCCACTAAGTTACTTTACCAAGGTACTCGTGCCACTAAGTTACTTTGTCAAGGTACTCATGCCACTAAGTAGTTATACTTTATCTCTCATGAGGTTGTAATTCATTGATGATTGTCTTCTCACTCAGAGGTTGAATTCATTTTTTATTATTCTTTTTTTTTCTCCGATTCTACATAGTTGACACTTATAAGATAGACCCTATCAAAATCTCTCTCTCTCTCCAACTCCCAGATGGGTAAGTAGCTTACTGTCTCCAGAGTATCAGTTGAAGAGGAACGCAAGTTCTCTATTAGTAGTATAGAGCGAGCAACAATAACATGTGACCCCCTAAAATTGCATGGCTCAAATACAGTTGTTTATTTCCTCCTCATGGAAAAGCCCCAGGCAGGAAATCAAGTTGGCAGGCGTATTTCTTTCCTATTGATAGTATGACGAATCACAACAAACACAGTGGCTAAAAACAAGACACAAGACCAGAAGGTCTAAATAAAGTTCACCCAAATAAAGTTAAGGTGCTAGAAAATCTAGTTTCTCTGGAGCCTCTGCAGGGAGAATCCGTTTCCTTGGGTTTTTCAGATTCTCATGGCTTCCAACATTCCTCCGTTTCTGGCCCCTTCCTCCACCTTCAAAGCACATCCTTTCAATCTCTGCTTCCATTGTCTGATGGCCTTCTCTGCCCTCTGAACCCCCAGCCTCCTTCTTTTCATTATAAATACCCTTGTGATTACATTGGACTCACCTAAATAATCCAGGATAATGTCCCAATCTCAAAATCCTTAGTTTATGACATCTGCCAAATCCCTTTATGCTGTATAAGGTAATGTATTCACTGGTTGGGGGACCTTATTCAGACACAGTGGAAAACTGTGTTCAGTTAGGGTCCCACACTAATGACTGTCCTCCTGTGTAGATTACTCATTCTCTGGGATCTCACGGTTCTCTCTTTTATGAACAGAAAATAAATGAACAAGAAAGAGGAAATGGGCCGGGCGCGGTGGCTCACGCCTGTAACCCCAACACTTTGGGAGGCCAACATTGGCAGATCACCTGAGGTCAGGAGTTTGAGACCAGCCTAACCAACATGGTGAAACCCTGTCTCTACTAAAAATACAAAAAATTAGCCGGGCATAGTGGTGCACGCCTGTAATCCCAGCTACTTGGGAGGCTGAGGCAAAAGAATCACTTGAACCCAGGAGGCAGAGGTTGCAGCGAGCCGAGATCGTGCTACTTCCAGCCTGGGTGACAGAGTGAGATTCCGTCTCAAAAAAAAAAAAAAAGAGAAAGAGAAAATGTAGGTCTATGAGCTGGGGCTAAAGGTAGTGTGTATCTATATACACATATACACTCCATCACACATTCCATTAGAGAGAACAAAGTTCTCGGTGGCTACATATCACAGCAAGGAGGCCATAGACATATAACCTAGAATGAGAGAAAGGACTTGGTGGAAAGTGTCCTCAGGGCCACTATACATCTTCCCTGCAACTTTCCTATCAAAGCAATGGGACACCACTTCTCAAACTCTAATAAAAATACCCCTTGGTGTGAGAGACAGTGAAGAAAGAAGCCCAAGGAGCCACAGTATTCACAGGAGCCACAGCTATAAGAGGTGTATTTTTCTTTATTCAATGTTAAAAACATTTTATCATTATTTTGACATTGAAACAAACAGGAAAGATGAATCATGATGTCTAATTCCAACGTGTCCTTTTAGTGTTAAACGCAATTTCAAAGAACAGTTCCAATTTACGGTGGGTTCTTGTGGGGTCAAGTTCAGGGAAAGAAAGTGAATCACACGTCTGCAGGCTTGGGAAGCGCTCAGGATCTCTTCTAAAAGAGGCTTCCTGGAAATTGCACATCCATGTGCTCATGACAAGGAGGAAAAAGTGTTAACCCATCTCTAGGATACTGACTTGTAAATAGTCTTCAGTTTGCTGCCATTTAGTAAAATGTTGAAATTTTGGCTTCAGAGGATATGGGCTGATATAGTTTGGCTCTGTGTCCCCGCCCGAATCTCATCTAGAATTGTAATCCTCATAATCCCCACGTCAAGGGAGGGACCTGGTAGGAGGTGATTGGATCACGAAGGCAGTTTCCTCCAAGCTGTTCTCATGACAGTGAATGAGTTCTCATGAAATCTGATGGTTTTATAAGTGTTTGACATTTCCTCCTACACACACTCCCTCTCTCACCTGCTGCCATGTAAGATGGGCCTGCTTTCCCTTCCAACATGATTATAAGTTTCCCGAGGCCTCTCCAGCCATGTGGAATTGTGAGTCAATTAAACCCCTTTCCTTTATAAATTACCTGGTCTCAGGTGGTATCTTTATAGTAGTGTGAAAATGAACTAATACATGGGCTTTCTACAAAAGGTGCTATAAGAAAGCTCAAAGTAGGTGATAGGTTTTAGTGCATTTGGAAGACTTTTTAAATTTTTATTTTTATTAATATTAAGGCAGGCACAGGAAGACAATTACTGCATGATCTCATATGTGGAAGCTATAAAAGTTGAACTCATAGAAAGGGAGAGTAGAATTGTGGGTACCAGATGATGGTGTGGGGGGATAAGCAGAGAGGGAATGGGGAGTTGTTAGTCAAAGGGTACAATGTTTCAGAAAGACATGAGGAATACATCTTGAGATCTAAGGCATCACAGGGTGACTATAGTCAGTACTAATGTATTATATATTCCAAATAACTAAGGGAGTAAATTTTAAATGTCTCACCTCAAAAAGCATTAAAAGAGGTGATAGATATGTTAAGTAGCTTGATTTAACCATTTCACATTGCTTACATATGTCAAAACGTCACATTGTACCTTACTGGGAAGACTTTTAAAACCAAGGGAAAATCTGTGGTCCCTGGGTTCATGAAAACAGGGCATTACTGATTATGAAGATTCGTAAATTAACTTGTCAAAGACCAGCCTCGTCAAAGACTAAGACTGGTCTTTGATCCCAAAGATTAACTGGGATTATGTCAGTCAAAAATTGATTAATCAAGAAGAACCCACTGTGTATTCAAAACTGTGCTTAAGATCTGTGCGAGTTTTAGATATGCCTCTCCTTGGGTATACCTGGGTCAGAGAAGTGACCAATATATACATTTTTTCAGAGCATGAAGCAAAGAGAATGAAAAGTGGAAAACTGTCAGTCACTCATGGCTATCCCGACCTATGGAAACCACCTACGTGATGTGGCTTGGTGGTTTCAAAAAGTATCCCAGACCGCAAATTTCTCATCATCACCCAGTCTCAGTGCCTGATATTTTCACTGGCAACTTATTGAATTAATTTAGTAAAAATACCAACTAGAATGGAACTAACCCATTTGAGAGAGAATATACAAATTCATTATCAGATGTTGAGTTTAGAATGAATGGTTTCTCTGAGTGGCTAGTCCCAAATTAAACCAGTCATTAGTTAAAGCCACAATACCATCAGACAGAACAGAGACATATGGCATTTTGTTTTCTGGGATAAACCTCAGCCACTGGATCAAAAAGAAACAGCATATTTTTATTGAGCAGCTCATTTGTGCAAGGCATTTTGTTAGATACCAGGTAGACTGCAATGATGAATAATACAGCACGCACACTTTACAGAGTAGCCCTCTGCAGATGTGGGTGAACACATAATCGGACAGGGTACAGGGAAGATTTTGATGATGCTGTAATTCAGTTAAAGGCAAAAGGTGGCCAGGTGTGGTAGCTCACACCTGTAATGCCAGCACTTTGGGAGGCCGAAGCGGGCAGATCACTTGAGGTCAGGAGTTCGAGACCAGCCTGGTCAACATGGTGAAACCCTATCTCTACTAAAAATACAAAAATTAGCCAGGCGTGGTGGTGGGTGCCTGTAAACCCAGCTACTTGAGAGGCTGAGGCAGGAGGATCACTTGAACCCACGAGGCGGAGATTGCAGTGAACTGGGATAGTGCCACAGCACTCCAGCCTGGGCGACAGAGTGAGACTCCATCTGAGAAAAAAAAAAAAAAAGCAAAAAGTGAGGAAGAGCTGTGATTGACTGATGACTGTACATAGAAATGGGGCTTGAGCAGGCCCTGAAAAGATGTTGCCCTACTGGAAGGAAGTCTCCTAAGTAGGAACCTGTTAGGTATAATTGGAGAGTGGACAGATTTCTGTAGGGCTGGTATGCTGGGGATGGGACAGGAGGATGCAGAATGAGGCTAAAGTACAGACTAAGGCTGGTCTGCAGAATCAATGCCAACTTGAACTTTTGAGTCTTGCTCTCCAGGCAATGAGAAACAATGAAAGGGCTGAGCTCTCTGAAGGTCACTCTTTGGGTTCTATTCAAGGTGGATTAGAGTGGGGAAAGACTGCAGTGGAGACAACAGCCAGAAAACTGACGTGACTACTCTAGAGAGAAGTTATAAAGTGTGCACAGTATACTAGGGTTCTCCAGAGGGACAGGACCAATAGTATCTCTGTATATATAAAAGGGAGTTCATTAGGGATAGTTGGCTCCCATGATCACAAGGCAAAGTCCCACGATAGGCCATCTGCAAGATGGGGAAGAAAGAAGCCAACAGTGTCTCAGTCCAAGTCCAACAGCCTCAAAAGTAGGGAAGCCAAGAGTGCAGCCTTCAGTCTGTGGCTGAAGGCCCCAGAACCCCCTGGAAACCACTGGTACAAGTCCCAGAGTCGAAAGGCAGAAGAACCTGGAGTCTGGTGTCCAAGGGCAGGAGGAGTGGAAGCAAGGGTCCAGTGTGGGAGGAAGAAAGAGAGCCAGAAGACTCAGCAAGCAAGGTTATCCCACCTTCTCCAGCCTGCTTTCTTCTAGCCATGCAGGCAGCAAATTAGATTGTGCTCATCCACATTGAGGGTGGGTCTTCCTTTCCCAGTCCACCAACTCAAATGTCAATCTCCTCTGGCAACACTCTCACAGACACACCCAGAAACAATACTTTACCAGCCATCTAGGCATCCTTCAATCCAATTAAGTTGACACCTAATATTAACCATCACGGGCAGCGACTTGGAAAAGTGGAAGCAAGGTTATCTCTTTAGATACCTTACATGTATCTAAGAGATATAATTAGCAGGATTTTGCCACTGGAAGGCATTGGGAGTAAGAGAGAGGAGAACTGAGAGAATTCTGAGGTTCTGAGAGGGGCAAGTAGCAAAGTAACTACTTCAAACTCGAAAAAGAAAAAGTAGACAACATGGGGAGACACTGACCAGCCAGTGGCCATTTAAAGCTCGTGCAGTGTGGAGACAGAAATAGAGATAAGGCAGGTTTGGAACAGCGAGTAGCTGTCCAAAATGTCAGTGGTAATGGGAGCTACACATCTTTCTAATGTATAGAAGACTTAGCTTTGATCTGGCCAAGCCCCAAAAGTTAGTTTAGCTTATCCAATCTGACAATTAGATCCAGGGGAATGCATTGAACATGATATATTTTTAAAACATTGTTTAAATAGAACGTGTAGGGATTTCATTCGCTCAGCACCAAATATGTTTTTAGATGAAGCTCAAGACACCTCAAAATTACAGTGAAAAGTGTTTATATTTTAATCTGAGGCAATATATTGTCAGGAGATGCCAAGTATGACTCACCCCTATAAATCACCTTGCTTCAGACCAGCAAATGTAAATATGTCATCCGATGTGAGCATAAGTGCGGCTGGCTTAGCTGAAATGGTGGCTTGACTAATCTCTTTCTATACTGCTTTATGATGTAAGTCTTAAAGTATTTTTGTTTGCTTCAGCTTTACTTAAAACTTTCTTCATGAAGTATTATCCGTGCTGGTGCAGTAATTAGCCACTGTATATCCAGTGTTTCAGCTCTTTTTTTTTGTAATAAATAAACCTTTCTCCCTAATGTTATGCTACTATTTTAAGTTATTTTTAATATTTATGTTTATTCCTTTAAAACTATGCTATGAAAACATTAATGTATTTTTCCTCTTCAAATTTAGCTATTAACAAACCCTGGATTCCTTGTTAAAAACAAAGAAAGATATTTTAACAGTTATGAAAACCATAAGAAAGGACTGATAATCTGCTCTATTCTCTATATTTGTGTCTACCTTCTCTTGCATAAGCACACTTAAAGACCTAATGCATAACTGTGTGACTGGCAAATAGCCAATCAATAAAGAGTTCTACTCTTCATTTTCCTCCATGTCTCTTCTCCTTCTAATTTTTAGAGATAATCTTCTGTGTTGGACAATTCAAAGACTGTTCTTGTCATGGCCAGGTGGTAATGTAGTTGTTTGAGCTTGAAAGGGCATAAATGAGACATCCTTTGGTCTCACTGTCATCATCTTCAGACTAAGGAGTTGCATCTTGAAGGTCTACATCAGCTCCATAGTCAGTGACTTTTTACCCATCCTATCATTTGGTTATTTCATGGTCACTTTGTTTCTTCTCCATTTTATTGGTCCTGTTCATGAATAAAATCTCCACTCTTTACTGTGTGACTGTATCTTTAAACCAGGTTTCTAATGGCCATTATTTATTGGAAGAAATAAAGCCATTCATTCATTTACTATTTGTTAAATACCTACTAAATAACAGGCGGAGTTTCAGAAGCTGGAAAAATACCAACGAACACAATGGAAAAAGCCTCTGCCCTCATGGAACTTACACGCTAAAGTGGAGAGACAAAAAACTACCAAAGAGATAAATATATATAATATGGCAGGTGATAATGAGAGCTAGGAAGAAAAGCATGCCATGTTTAAGAATAAAGAGTGATGAGGTGGTTGGGATTTTGAATAGAGCAATCAGAAGAAAACAAAAATCTCTCTGGTTGTGGGAGTAAAAAAGTGAGCCCTGAAAATATCTGGTGGTAGAATATTCCATGCAGGAGAAACAGGAAGTGGAAACCCCCTCCAGCACAGTCATACTTGGAGGACAGCATGGCTGGCTCTCTCTCTTAACAACAGGTAAAGAGATGGGAAAAGACACCTGGAAGAGAGCGGGAGCAAGATCATGTAGTAGATGCTGACATGGACTGGATTTCATTCGGATTGAGAAGGAAAGCAATGCAGGGCCCTGTCGTGACTTACACTTTAATAGAACCACTGTGGCTGCTATATGGGGAGACTAGGGTAGGAACAGGTAGACCAGTTAGACTTCATAGCCCACACAATGCATTATGATGTGTGTTTGCTAACTTGATATGGGGGGGGTAAACGTAGAGGTGTTAAATAGTGGCTTCCTGTGGATATAGTTGAAAGACAGAGCCTAGAAAATATGTTCAGGAGTTATACAGTGTAAGGGACACAGAGAGCTAAAAAAAGATCCAAGCTATCTGGTTTGAACAACTGGAAAAAAAATGGCATTTGATCAAATGCAGAAGGATGTGGGAGGGTCGAGATTCTTTTTGGGGGCTAGGGATGGGGAAGGAATGGAAATAAAATATTCTCATAGATGAACAGTTGCTCTCTATAAAGAAAGAAAAATAAAAATATATACCCAAATGTCTGTTTTATCTAAGCATCAGGATTCAGGGCTTTTGAGGCTTTCTTGGTAATTTGATTTAGTTCATACTCAACATGCCTAGAAGCAGTTTCTAAACTCCTCTCTCTGCAGGCACTGTTAATATTAGGACATAGAAAAGAAAGTCTTCCTGAAGTTCACTCAACTAATACCTCCTGGGCACCCGTGATATCCCAGACATTGTTCTGTGATCTGCCTGCATGGAGTTGACACTGGAGTGGGAGGGGGGCGGTGTTGAACTCGTGATTGTCTAAGAGAACTGCACTTTATAGCCCAACTGTCAGAAGCTGCAGGGACTAAGGTGTTCTCAGAATCCCTCTTCCTTCACTGTATCATAAAGGGCCATCAGGACAAGTGCTCTCAGGCACCAGCAGGAGTGCGCCTGCCAGGTCACGTCTTTACTTACATCATTTATACCTTTATACCACTCGTACATACCATTAACCTGCCTCCATTCCCCTCCCCTGTTCTCCCTTCTAAAACCCTTCAGGGATTTTTTGCTCCGGCTTCCTTTGTGTCCTCAGCAAACTCCTCTGCCCCCTGAAACCTTCTCTGAACATTCTCTTCACTTTCTCCCCCAGACACAAACCTAGCTTTTCCCTGATGACGCGGCTTCCTCTGTAGGCCTCCCTTGTCTTCCAGAGCTGACCTACAGCAAGGCCTGGGCAGGGGGCAGGGGCCTCTTTGTTCTCTCCTATTTCTTCCCAAAGGTTTCTCTTCCTTTTTATCCCCTGCTCACAAACACGTTTTTCTTTTTGGAGCCCCCATCTCCATTAGAGTGTTTTCCAATAGCACAACTTAACAGAGTAGAACATTTTCATTTAGTCGCTCTCCCTCTTTCTTTCTCCTCCACATCTTTTTTTTTTTTTAATTTTAAATGATGGTAAAAATCTTGTCTGCCCCTAGAAAACTATTAATTTTCTTTTGGTGCATAACCAATTACTACAACTTGAGCAAATTTCTCTCCTCAGAATCTCACAAGGCCAAAATGAAGGTGCTGGCAGGTTTGGGGAAAAATCTTGCTCAAATTCACTGGGATTGCTGGCAGAATCCAGTTTTTTGTGGTTATAGGATTGAAGTCCCACCAATTTTTTGGGGGCGGGGGGATGGCATCTTGCTCTGTCACCCTATCTGGAGTGCGATGGTGCGATCTCGGCTCACTGCAACCTCCGCCTCCCGGGTTCAAGCCATTCTCATGCCTCAGCCTCCTGAGTACCTGGGATTACAGGCATGCATTACATGCCTGGCTACTTTTTGTATTTTTAGTAGAGACGGGGTTTCACCATGTTGGCCAGGCTGGTCTCGAACTCCTGACCTCAAATGATCCGCCCACTTCAACCCCCTTAAGTGCTGGGATTATAGGTGAGAGCCACCGTGCCCGGCAGAGGCCCTCAAATCCTTTCTGGCTATTGGCTGGGGTCACTCTCAGCTCCCAGTGGCTGCTCTTGGGTCCGTCCACATCCTTTAGTGTCAGAAAGCCTCCCTCCCATCCAAAGCTTCTCATGCTTCAGATCTTTCTGACTTCTGCTTCTGGCGCCAGCTGGAGAAAACACTGCTTTTATATGGCTCACATGGTTGGATTAGTTCCAGCCTGATAATCTCCCTATTTTAAGGTTGACTCAGTAGTAACCTGAACTGCATCTGCAAAAATCCCTTTTGCCTTGTACATAAATGTAACATAGTTCTGAAAGTAATACTGGGGAGAGAAAGTCACAGGAACCATCTATTAATAGAAGTCGACCTGCCATGCCTCCCAACAGAAATTTCCAAGGTGCTCTACTCTCTTTTGAGTGAGAGTGTGAATTATGGGCCTAACACAGAAATAGGAAAGAAAAAGTGGTGTATACTAAAAAAGAGATTTGTGATTAATGAAACTCACTCCTAGATAGTATTTTCATCTCAACATGAGTGTGAATGATTATTCAAAGTTGTCACTACTTTCAGGCAATACAATTAAATCATGGAATGAACAAGAATTGTTGGATGAAATGGATAAGGGGGAAAATGAGTAGAAAAAACTGTGCATCTGTAAATACTTCATTTATTCAATGATTGTGAGAAAAGAGGGACTGCCAAACATTTGAGATGTATGTTTTTAACTCTGCTCAACACACTTACTCTAAGGAACAGGGCCAGACGTTTAAAGACATCATTAAATTATGTTGAGTTGAATGAATTATACCATTTGCCATGCCAACATGGTGAGGAGATCCACAGTGTGTGCTGGTATACTCAAAGTAATACACTATTCTTATAAAACATATATTTTATTCACACGTGGATGTTTGAAAAGCAATAAATTATACAGAGACTAGGTGACTGTTTCTTTAGTCCTTTTAAAGTAACATTATAAAGTTATTTTTAAAAAAAGAAAAAGAAGAGGCAGTGTGGTACAGAATGTTCAGTAGAATCTGGAAAAAAATTATTTCTAGTCCTTGTTTCATTAACTAACAACATAACCTTGGACACACATTATTTTCTCCCTAAAGCATTGTTCTCCTCTATTTCTAATAAGGATATGTGACTTATCAACATCTTTGATCACTTTCACTTTAAAATCATAGTCTAAGAATGCATCTTTGACTTAGTAAAATATTACAGATACGTTCACTAATTTTTACTGTTTTGAAGAATTTTCCAAAAGCTCTGAGGATTTTTTCATGTCACCCCATCTCCTCTCATGAACCATAAACAATTGGCTTGACTCCAAGACCCCCCAGCATCCCAAACTTCCATTTCTGACTGAAGAAGGTCCACTGGTTGTGTCTGGCCTGAATCCTCTCTCTACTTTTCATTCTACTACACCCATACGTAGACAGCTAATTGAGCTATTTTATCGCCTTAATTTCTATCACGAGAGTGCTGTTTTATAGGACCGCAATATAACTGATTAAGCACCCTACACGATCCCATGGTGTTTAGTAACTTTTACATCACCAATCCAACACACTCTGTAATTGAGGCCAAATCCAGAAGGAAGAAGACTAATTTTATGACTTTCCATTAAAGAGGTGAATACTAACAATTTCCTGGGTTTTACTCATTCTTGCTAAGGAATTAAAATGAATTCCAACCATCTGTTGCTTTATTAAACACAAAATTCATCACAGTCTTCCACTGTATTAGCCATTGTCTTACTAGTTCTTACTCAAAAAGAAAAAAAAAATCTAGGCACAGGCCACTGTGATTACAGAGCAAGCTCTTAGAATGTACATAGCACAGAAGAATGAAAATGTTGCCTATTGGGGTATAGAGCAGTGGTCCCCAACCTTCTTGGCACCAGGGACTAGTTTTGTGAAAGACAATTTTTCCGTGGACAAGGGGGTGTGGGGGTGGTTTTGGGATGATTCAAGCACATTACATTTATTGTGTACTTTATTTGTATTATTATTCCATTGTAATATATAATAAAATAATTATACAACTCACCATCATGTAGAATCAGTGGGAGCCCTGAGCTTGTTTTCCTGCAACTGGACAGTCTCATCTGGGGGTGATGGGAGAAAGTGACAGATCAGGCATTAGATTCTCATAAGGAGCATGCAACCTAGATCCCTCACATGCGCAGTTCACAATAGGGTTTGTGCTCCTATGAGAATCTAATGTGGCTGCTCATCTGACAGGAGGCGGAGCTCAGGCTGTAATTAGAGGGATGGGGAGTGGTTGTAAATACAGATGAAGCTTCATTCGCTTGCCCGCTGCTCACCTCCTGGTGTGTGGGCTGGTTCCTAACAGGCCACAGATGGATTGAGGGTTGGGGACCTCTGGGTTGGGGACCTCTGGTATAGAGGATTTTTACCATATTTTGCATATAAGCTGGACTTTGCTTTCATTGCTTTCTTTTTTGGTGGGTATTTGTACAGAGATAGTGACAGAAAATATTTGACTGTGTTTTAAAAATTCCCATAACAAAATTCCATATTAACATGTTTTCCTTTTTTTAATACTAATATCTGACAAGGCTGGTATTTTTCCTTTTCCATGAGTGTTCCTGGAATAAATGTCCCTAGACTCTTTGTATCTCTTTGTGTATCTCTGTGTGTGTGTGTGTGTGTGTGTGTGTGTGTGTGTGTGTGTGTGTATACGTATATATACATACATATATACATACATATATACGTATATATACATATATACGTATATATGTGTATACGTATATACGTATATATAAATATATTTATTTACGTGTATATATACGTTTACATATATACGTATATATGTGTGTATATGTATATACGTATATACGTATAAATATATATGTGTATATACACACACACACATATATATATCTGTATCTATATATGAATGTGTGGTCTATAAATTCCTGAAATACATATATGAAATATATAGATATATATATAAATGTCTACAGACATATAGAGAGATCTGAATATATAAATATAAAACCTTTCGAGCTAAATCATACATTGATGTGATAAACTCAATGCACCATGATGGGAATTGAAAGAAACTCAAAATACTTCGCAGTTATATGTTCCCAAAAGTTAAGTGAGTGTGTCATCTAGAAGTATTTTTACTAAGCATCTACTAAATATCTGTTTCTTGAAGTGAGGCAGAAATGATGAAATAATAGAAAAATAAAAGTTCTTTCTTTCTTTTTTTTGAGATGGAGTCTTGCTCTGTTGCCCAGGCTGGAATGCAGTGGGACGGCCTTGGCTCACTGCAACCTCTACCTCCTGGGCTCAAGCGATTCTCCTGACTCAGCCTCCCAAGTATCTGGGATTACAGGTGTGTGCCACCACGCCCAGATAATTTTTGTATTTTTAATAGAGACAGGGTTTCACCATGTTGGCCAGGCCGGTCTCAAACTCCTGACCTGAGGTGATCCACCTGCCTCAGCCTCCCAAAATGCTGGGATTATAGGCATGAGCCACCACGCCTGCAAGCTAAGTCTGGTGTCATTAAGAAAGTTATCTCCAGAAGGGAAGAAGCCTTTCAAGGGAATACAGAGTAAGCAATGCACTTCGTGTTCTGCTAATTAATGCAAATATACTGCTTTCCTCTGATCAACCTTTCCACTCAAGGTATACTTTTCAAGAGCCATCTTTGCTGTCTGTTGACCATGTTATGCTGTGCCCTTCTCAAATAAAGGCTCAAAAGCCCTAGTGTGCTCTCCAAAGTCACACATTCACATGACTCTTAACAAAGCATTCCTACATTCTAGAGATAAATACTGAAATATTTACAGAAAACATAAGGTGAGCTCCACAGCTGGTATCAAAATAATCCAAAGGGGGAAAAGGAGTCAGTCTGCTTGGTGTGTTGTAACAAAAATACCATCACCTGGGTGGCTTATGAACAACAGACAATTATTGCTCATAATTCCGGAGGCTGGAAGTCCAAAATCAAGGCATGGCAGATTCAGTGGCTGGTGAGGATCTGCTTACTGCTTCATAGGCAGAACCTTCTCTCTGTGTCCTCATGTGGTGGAAGAGGCAAGGGAGCTCTCTGGTGTCCCTTTTGTAAGGGCACTAATCCTATCCAGGAGGGTTCTACCCTCATGAGCTCATCACCTCCCCAAAGCTCCGCCCCCTAATACCATCCCATTGAGATTAGGTTACAGAATGAATTTTGGAAGGAACACAATCATTTAAACTGTAGCAGGAGGAAAGGTATAGATGAAATAAAATTGGCCATTAGTAACTTTCTGTTTTGAAGCCTGGCGATAGAAAGTTTATTACACTATTTTCTTACTTTTGTATGTCTTTAAATATTTTCACCATAATAATAACCTTTTCAAATATCAAGCACATCCTTTTTACTAACCTTTTGTATCTCCTGTACCTAAATTCAGTCATGCTTTTATGTCTTGAGTCAACAAGTTGAACTTTTCCTGGTTGATGTTGCCCATTTCCACTGTCAAGTTTTGTATATGACACTAATTGTGTTGTTCCAGCATGTTAGAATTTCACACTGATTATCTGTCATGGGTTTGTCACTGTCCTAAGTGCTGTGGATAGAATAAGCAATACAACATGACTCCTGTCCCCAAGCAGATAATGGCTGCACAGGTACACACAGGCCTGCACACAAGCGCATATTCCAGCAGATGCGTGTGACTAAGTATGAAGTTTCCTTTCTCATAGTCAATGGTAGGACTCAGTGGTCCATTGTAACTGGGGGTGGAGTAGGGCACCTGAACTCAGCAGAGAGGAGATGACTCTTGAGTAAATAGACAACATGTGGTTAAATCGCTCTAGGCAGATGGAGGTTCAGGAGCAAGACCCCAAGGAATGAAATAGCCTTATGCATTAAATGTCAACTGCAATGAAATAAATGTGTAAATGACTAAAGGAGTGTACTTTATTTTGTACATTATATGTTGCTGGTGATCATTCTTCCTAATAAAAAGAGAACTAAGAAAATCAAGGGATTATCCTGGACACAATATCATCATCATATGACAATTTGCAATATCTCAAAACAAAGCTAATTTAAACTTTTTTTTCAGTTGAAATTTTTCTTTTTCTTTCTTTCTTTCTTTCTTTTTTTTTTTTTTTTTGGAGACAAGGTCTGGCTCTGTTGCCCAGGCCGGAGTGCAATGGTGCAATCTCAGCTTACTGGAACCTCCTCCTCCTGGGGTCAAGCAATCTTCCCACTTCAGCCTCTCAACTAGCTGCAATTACAGGCATGCACCACCATGTCTGGCTAATTTTTGTATTTTTTGCAGAGACAAGGTTTCATCATGTTGCCCAGGCTGGCCTCAAACTGATGAGCTAAAGTGATCCACCCACCTTGGCCTACCAAAGTCCTGGGATTATAGGCGTGAGCCATAGTGCCTGGCCCAGTTTAAGTTTTTCATGATACTAATGTTGTTAAAGTTCTACTCCTTTCTTAATATTCAAGTCCTATTGCTCTGAAGAGATATTTTATATTAGAATAACACTGCCTACTTTTTGGTGAAAATTCTGAGTGATTATTCGTTGTAAAGAGGGATGGAGAATTGTATTCCCAGGTGCCCATTCCTTTCTGACTGCATGCACATCACGGCAGGCCATAGGAACAAAGCGCATTGAGCAGATGCCTGCGACTCTGCGAATGCTGCTAGAGCCTGCTAGTCTGGAACCACACTCAGGGTCCCATGCTGCTAATCTATATGCCGGAAAATTTCTGATGGTTCAATTCCTTTACAGCAAAAAAAGTCACCTGTACAATTCAATTAGTTGTGCTTTGATTATATTTACATGGTATGGGAATGAGAAGATATATATTCTCTCTAGATTATTAAAAATAAAGTCTAGGCTGGGCGTGGTGGCTCATGCCTGTAATCCCAGCACTTTGGGAGGCCGAGGCAGGCGGATCACGAGGTCAGGAGATTGAGGCCATCCTGGCTAACACGGTGAAACCCTGTCTCTACTAAAAATACAAAAAATTAGCCGGGCGTGGTGGTGGGCGCCTGTAGTCCCAGCTACTCGGGAGGCTGAGGCAGGAGAATGGCATGAACCTAGGAGGCAGAGCTTGCAGTGAGCCGAGATCACACCACTGCGCTCCAGCCTGGGCGACAGAGCGAGACTCCATCTCGAAAGAAAGAAGAAAGAAAGAAAGAAAAGAATGAAAGAAAGAAAAGGAAGGAAGGAAGGAAGGAAGGAAGGAAGGAAGGAAGGAAGGAAGGAAGGAAGGAAGGAAGGAAGGAAAGAAAGTCAATCAGTCAGTCTAGGCTGGGCGCAGTAACTTGCGCCTGTAATCCCAGCACTTTGGGAGGCCACAGCAGGCAGCTCACTTGAGTCCATGAGTTCAAGGCCAGCCTGGGCAACATGGTGAAACCCATCTCTCCAAAAAATACAAAAATTAGCCAAGCATGGTGGTGCATGCCTACAGTCTCAGCTATTTGAGAGGCTGAGGTAGGAGGATTGCTTCAGCTGGGGAGGTGGAGGTTGCAGTGAGCTGTGATTGGCAACACTGCACTTCAGCCTGGGCAACAGAGCAAGGCCCTGTGAAGAAAAGAAAAGAAAGAAAAGAAAAGGAGGGAGAGAGAGAGAGAGAGAGACAGACAGACAGAGAGAAAGAAAGACAGACAGAGAGAAAGAAAGAAAGAGAAAGAAAGCCAAATTGTCTAAACAAATTGAAACGATTTTCTCTCATAGAACAATGGGGCTGTTCCTCTAAATAACATTATCTTCTGGAGGTTATTTATTTTTTTCTAATTTCCTTTTTTTTAGAGATGGGGGTCCTGCTATATTGCCCAGCCTGGTCTTGAACTCATGGCCTCAAGCAATCCTCCCGCCTCAGCCTCCTGAGTTGCTGGGATTACAGGTATTAGCCACAACACCCAGCTCTCATTTTTGTATTTATAGACATTTACAAAATAAGGCAAAAAAATAAACAGAAATGCATTAATTGAAATCTAAGTTAATTCTACCTTTTATTTTATTTAATTTATTTTTGAGACAGGATCTCGTTCTGTCACCCAAGCTGGAGTACAGTCGTGTGATTATAGCTGACTGCAGCCTTGACCTCCTGGGCTCACCAAGTTCTCCCACCTCAGCCTCCCAAGTAGCTGGTACTACAGATGCACTGGTAGCCACTGCACCTAGCTCTAGGAGTCTATTCTAAATTTATTGTTCATCTGCTTTATGATTTTTAAATAAAAGAAAACATAAAAGTATAAAACACATTAAGACAAAAGTTCATGTACATGTTACCCCAAAATAACAACAGCACAGTCACGTTTGTTTTGGATATTTTAAAACACCATTAAACATGTAAAGATGAAGTCATTTGTGATAACATCTCATGTCTCATTACTACTTCTCTTTCTCCAGTTGTGACTACTATCAAACGTGTAATATATAACCAATCACTTCTTTGAAGTAATGTTTTCTTAAATAATAATTGCCAGGAACACTATAATGCTCTCTGCAGTTTTGAATATACCTCATAACCGGTAGACAGCAGATACTGTCTTGCAACTTGCATTTTATCCCTCTACGTGATGCTCTTCAGGTCTTTCCTCATTTCAACTGTTATACTGGTTTTTTGTTTGTTTTTTAGTTTAATTTTAAGTTCAGGGGTACATGTGCAGGTCTGTTACATAGGTAAACGTGTGTCATGAGGATTTGTTGTATAGATTATTTCATCACCCAGGTATTAAGCCTGGTGTCTATTAGTTATTTTTCCTGATACTCTCCCTCCTCCCACCCTCCACCCTCTGAAAGGTCCTAGTGTGTGTGTTGTTCCCCTTTATGTGTCCATGTGTTCTCATCATTCAGCTCCCACTTATAAGTGAGAACATGTGGTACTTGGCTTTCTGCTCCTCTGTTAGTTTGCTAAGGATAATGGCCTCTAGCTCCATTCACGTCCCTGCAAAGAACATGATCTCATTCTTTTTTATGGCTGCATAGTATCCCATGGTGTATGTATGCCACATTTTTTTAATTCAATCTTCCACTGATGGGCATTTAAGTTGATTCCATGTCTTTGCTGTTGTGCATAGTGCTGCAATGAACATATGTGTGCATGTGTGTTTATAAGAGAACAATTTATATTCCTTTGGGTATATACCCAGTTAATGAGATTGCTGGGTCAAATGGTATTCTGTTTTTGGGTTTTGAGGAATTACCACACTGCTTTTCACAATGGTTGAATTAAATAATTTACACTCCCATCAGAAGTGTATACGTGTTCCTTTTTCTCCACAATCTTGCCAGCATCTGCTATTTTTTTACTTTTTAACAATAGCCATTCTGACTAGTGTGAGATGGTATCTCATTGTGGTTTTGATTTGTATTTCTCTAATGATTAGTAATGTTGAGCTTTTTTTCATATGCTTTCGACTGCTATATTGTAACAATGAACACACGTCAAGTTTACCACTTATCCATTAATAGGAATTTGAGGTTTTTTTCTGTTTATTTTTTTCCCCTTCACAAAAAAAGTGAAAAAAATAAACATTGAACTTTGGTGCATATGTCTCTTTGAGTTCATGTTATATCAAAGACAGTGTAAGACTGTGTGTGTGTATGTGTGTGTGTGTGAGAGAGAGACAGAGAGAGCATGCGAGAGAGGTGGGGTGATCTGATTGTTTTTACACATGTGTGTTCAAACTATTTATGTCATTTGTTTACTCTTGATTTTTTAATCAGTTTTTGATGCTATATTATTTGGTACACGCAAAAGACAAATTTGGGTATTTTCTCATGCATTTTTACATAAGAATTTTAGCATGCTTAATTATTCTGTTAATAAACCGTTTTGTCTTTCCTCTTCTATGTCATTAACTTTTTAATATCTCTTTGAAACACAAGGTTAAATAGCTTGATCAACCTAGTTTACTAAATTATTTAGTTACTGAGGATGAGCAAGTTATGGATTAACACATGTCAAAGTTGGGTGATAACAAAATGTTTCTGCTGGGAGGAAAGAAGATGTTTAATGGGTTCCAATGTCATAAATTAATCCCTTTGCTGTCTACCCCAGTACATAGTACAAAAGCTTCATCTAATATGCTATTGAATTTTATTTTCTTTTTAATATATTCTTCCCCATTCTGTCATCTCCACAGACAACTGCCATGTCTTTTAATGATAACAGTCATAATCACTGACATAAAAATCATGCCAATATTCACATAAACACTGGGAGACATTATCATGTCTTGCGTACTTATTATAACACCACGAAAGCATTTTTGCAAATTATTCTATTTTGATATCGCCACATTATGATAACGTAGGAATCATTTCTTTATTTTTACAGAAGAGGGAAATGAGACTCCAAGGGTTACCCCAAGTTACTCTGCCACTAAGTGACAGGAGTGACAATGAGCAGAAGAAACTCCAGCTCTGGCCCCAAGCTGCTTTCCCTGGAGTCTGTGTGCCCACAGTGCCTGAGTCTGGGACACAGCAATCACACAGGATTTTGAACAAATAAACATCATGCTTTGCCTGGAAAGCAACTGACAAGCAGGCCCCAAGGGGGAGTGGCCAGAAAACTCTCCGAATGGCCACAGAAGCATCAAGAAGAAATTGTGTTGAAAGGGGTGTCAACTCTGAAATGTTCCAAGGTATCTGCAGCAAACATAACTGTCCCTGGGGGAAATTGGCCCAATCCAAGCCTCCTAGTAATTCCAGAGAGATAGATCCAAATGGAAAACAAAATACCATGAAAAAGTTACAAAACGCACGACTTCTACCTGCCATGTGTGATAGTCATTAGAAATGAACAAAGCTATCATGCACTAGAATCATCAGATACAGAATATAAAATAAGTATTATTAAATGTCTAAACAACGATAGAGGGAATTTGAGACATGAGTAAGAAGCAATATACCAAAAAAATGACCAGGCAAATTTTCGAAAGAGTACCAGCATGAACTTTTAAAATGGAAAAAAAAAGATAATTGATATGTAAAAATCAATGGAATGTTTAAAGGTAGATTAAGATAGCCTTAGAGGATATTAGTGGTTTATAATATAGATATGTAGAAATAACACTGAATAACTATAGAGCAACAAAAATGTAGAAAAATTAGAGAAACGTTTGATATTTAATCTATTGAATGAGAAAGTGCAAAATATATTTGAATGAAATATAAGGAGATTTTTAAAAAGAGAATGCACAACACACAATATTCAAAGATAAAATGGTTGAGAATTTTCCAGGTTTATGAAACTGATAAATTGATAGAATCAGAGAGATCAACCTATTTCAAGCTGGATAATTAAAAGAAAGCCACATTACATGCTAGTTAAGCTGATAATATCAAAGAAAAAGAAGCAGAAATTTCAGTCTAAAATGCATATATTAGGGAAAAATCATTAAAGATTTTTGTGCTATGAATTCAAACCAACCAGTTAAAGAAATAGAATAAACTCAAGGAAATGACTCAAAGAGAGAACAAAGAAATAAAATAGAGCAGAAGAGAACTAAACACTGATTATTTTCAAAGAGAGATAAAATTGATAAGCATCAGAAAAGGGGATTCAGCAATAAAGAAAAAACAGAGCTCACATAATTGACACTAGAAATAAACTGGGGAACGTGACTACATTACGTCAAAAATTTCAAAATTTAAATTATACACATTTCTTTAAAAACATTAAGACAAATTCAAAAAATAGAAATCTTAAATAATCTGATACACATTGAATAAAAATGGTATAATTGTGTTTCTGTACATTGTGTAGTGTGTGTGTATTTTATTTCACAATAAAACATTTAGAAAACAAATAATCACGATGTGATCAGAGACTGCCAGACTTCTTTGTTCCTTGGTTTGTGGTGCAACCAAAGCACAATTTCATTAACTCAATATGGTTGCCACTAACCACATGTACCTATTTACATTTAAATTATTTAAAACTAAATAGAATTTTAAAACTCCATTCTTTAGTAATGTTAGCCACATTTCAAGGACTCCATAGCCACATGAGGCTAATAAAAGGTATTTTGGGAAAGAGATACCAGGCGGGATTCTGCCAAGAAGGAACTCAACAGAAGAGACAACTCAATCGGGATCCTGGCTAGTATGAAGGTCCTTCAGATGTCAGCAAACTTTTCTATAAAGAACTCGGTAATAAATGCTTCAGGCTTTGTGGACCAGAGTCTCTCTCACTATTACTTAACTCTGCGGTTGTGATCCAAAAGAGGTTCTAGACAGCTTGTCTATGAATGGCCATGGCTGGGTTCCAATAAAGCTTTATTCACATAAACAGGCGGCATGCTAGATGTGGCCCACAGGCCATCGTTTCCCGAGCCCAGGTGCAGAAGGAGGGGCATATACAGAGAACAAACTGTTGCACATTTCCTCAGAATGCTTTCTGTTAATAGGAGATAATTACTGTATTGCAGTAAGTTAATATTTGATCCCTTCATGGTACTTTCTGGAACACAACTTATTCAATGAAATAAACATCTCACCAGGCCAATTTTCAAAATTAAATTAAAAAAATTTTTTTTGCACTCTCCTGAAAGTAGTCATGCCAGCCCTGAATTTGAGTAAAGCCAGCTGTGATTTTTATCATCTTTTCTCCCAGGTTATGCTTCACTGAACTCCATTAAAGAACGCACAATGATCTCACGGATCAAACTGTCTTGAATTATAAGCTACCTGGGGAATGTCAAGTCCCTTTAATACAAAAGTTCTTTTTAAAATAAAAAATCTAAAAGGCATTCCTAAAAGGCTGAGCAGCTCTGATTGGACTTTGGCATTGATGGACCCCTGTTGGAAACGTGGCAGTCACCTTGTTAGGGAGACCCAGCTGACCCTCACCTCACAGCAGCTTGTAACAAGCCTCCTCGGGTCTCTCCCTTCGCTCTCTACTCCAGTGAGGAATCAAAGCTACACTCCCTCTTGACTGTCACAAAGAAGCTGTTTGGAAGTCCTTAACTCAGAGTTCAGGGCATGCAGATTAAAAAGGCATGCTCACTTTCCCAAAGCAACCTTTAAGAGATTAATTTAGCTGAAACCTTTGCCCCTCTGGAGACAGAAACACTTAGAGTTATGTTGTTCTCTTGGATGTCTTTACACACAGCAGGAGTATCATGCCACGTGGGGAAAAATACAGCATGCTGCTCAACACAGGTGAAATAGAACACTAACACAAAACAAACAAACATATTCAGTGAGAAAAAAATCCTGACTCTGTCTTTATTGAAAACCATAGTGATTTGACTCACGTTTGAGACTGATTAGGGCATGGATTTTCCTCCAAAACAATGATACCATCTTTTATGTAACACTTATACTTGCCTTAATTCAGTCTAGTTTGTTCAATTGTTCATTAAAAAAGAAACTACATTTATGTAAAAAAAAAAAAACAAAACAAGGAAAAACAATGACAAAATCTGGGTTGCTTTCTGGATGCATAACTTTAGGAAATGTGTGCACTGTAATTCTTTGATAATTGGGGGTAATATTTGGTAACCTCTGCTATGAGCTTTGTTCAAATAGATACTCCTTAAATAGTTGTGGAATTCAAGGATAACTTCCAGCTGACATTAAAATATGACTGTGCGGGGTCAGGGGGAAGCGGGGATGGATAATGGGTACAAAAGAATAGAAAAATGAATAAGACCTACTATTTGATAGCACAACAGGTTGACTGTAGTCAATAATAACTGAACTGTACATTTAAAATAAGTAAAAGAATATAACTGGATTGTTCATCACACAAAGGACAAATGCTTGAGGGGATGATACTACATTCTCCATGATGTGAGTATTACACATTGCATGCCTATATCAAAACATCTCACGTACCCCATAAATATATATACTGAGTATGCACCCTCAAAAATTAAAAATTAAAAAATTAAAAATTAAATAAAATATGACACTGCCTCTGTTTTGAGGGTTGGTTTTAACAACATATTGTATCTTCAGAAATGCCACAAAGAGTCATGCATCACTTAATGACGGGGATACATTCTGAGAAATATGTCCCTAGGCAATTTTGTCCTTGTGTGAAAATTACAGAGTGTACTTACACAAACCCAGATGGTACAGTGTAATATATACTACTTTTAAACTTTTTAATTAAAAATGAAGACACAAACACACACTTTAGGCTAGCTCTACATGGGGCTGGGATCACCAATATCACTGTCTTCCAACTTCACATCTTATTCCACTGGAAGGTCTTCTGGGGCAATAATCACGCATGGAACTGCCATCCCCTATGATAATAATGCCTTCTTCTGGATACTTCCTGAAGGACCCGCCAGAGGCTGTTTTACAGTTAACTTTCAGAAAAGTGTATGGAATATTCTATCAAATAAAGATTAAAAGCAGAGTATAATGAATACAAAACCAATAACATAGTATTATCAAATATTATGGCCTGTACATAATAATATGTTCTATACTTTTACATGACTGGCAATGCAGTAGGTTTGTTTATACCATTCAGTTTGTTTACATGCAATAGGTTTGTTTGCATCACTACAAACACATGAAGAATACACTGTGCTACAGCACTAAGACAGCCACAATGTCACCAAGCAATGGACATTGAAAATGGAATTTTTCAGCTTCATTATAACCTTATGGGACCACTATCAAATATGTGGTCCATCATTGACCAAAATCTGGTTATGTGGCTCATTACAGTATAAGTAGCTAGATAGGTAGGTAGGTAGGTAGGTAGATAGATAGATAGGAATAGAGATAGATAAGGTAAATGAGTGTTTATTGAACATTGTTAAGTCTCAACGCTTTTGTATATATTCTATTTTTCCCAGGTCTGTTAGACTCACATATGCATATTCTTTCTTGTTTCCTACAACACTGGGTTTACAAGCTATCATGTTCTTTTAGAATATATTTAGTAGAAATAGTTTAGAACTGTGGGTTCCTTCTATTTTTTATGATGTCTCAATAAATTGATAAGAGACATCAACAAACAATTTTCAATTAATAAAACAAGCCTCTGACATTTATAATTAACAAAAAGTTGCTATCATGATGTATGTTGAATTTTATCTTATGCTTTTTAAATATACACCAAGATAACCATGTGGTTTTTCTCCTTCTTTTCCTTCTATATTAACATTGCTACCATTATACACACACATACACACATGCACACACACGTGTGTGTGTAGATATATAGAGATATATTTTGGAAAGACTTCACTGCCACATAAAGTTGGTGTCTGATGTTCTCAAAATTCAAGAATAATCAGGATTTAAAAGAGTCTATTACATGGACTAGCACAGAGAAAGCCTTCTTCCAAAATATTAAGAGTAGGCCTTAGAATGGCATTTTAGATATTTTTAAAAATAAATATACATTTATCTTGAATTTTTATTTTTTTTCAAGACAGGCTCAAAAGAAGCCCTCATGGGTAAACGCTATACAGGAAAGGAAAATAAAGTGTGTGGTTTGGAGTTCTGCGTTATAGGGCATTTGTCCTACTCTGTTCCTGATGGATATAAATTAGGTGAGTCCCAGATTGGGAGGAGCTTCCTGGCACCAGCACAGTATCCATCGGTTAGCACCCATCAGGAGCATGGCCCCCCCTCCAGCTCTCCTGTATATCACAAGGCCCCCAACAGGGTACATGTTGGAGGTGACTTTTTCTGATATTTTCCCAAGCAATCACCTATCTGTGCCAAGACAGGAATAGTCTTTGGCCACATTCCCAGACTTTTTAAGGAGTTGGCAGTACTTCTGAATGTGTGTATGGTGGTCAACAGCTGCAGTCAAAATAAACACAGCGTACCCCTGTCTTAGCTGTAGGTTCTTAAGTTTTACCCGTCCCTACCTGTCTGTGTGCATTGCTCTGATCCACCAGCTTCAGCTGCTACCTTAAAAAATATCTAATTTGTCCTTCCGGTCAGGCTTATATTTGCAGAGATCTGCACACCACAGGCATTTGCACTTAGCCCTAAATTTCATGTCAATTTCCAGTACAAGAGAAAGCAATTGCTTCACGAAAGGGTGACTCTCATAAGATATTCTAAGCCTTGCTATGGTTATTTGTATTTTTATTTTCTCCCAACCCCAAAGAAATTTATATTCTTCATGGACGCAGCAGAGGTCATCCTGTAGGGTAGACTGCCTTGGTTACATTAAACTGATTAGGCTTTTTTTGACAAGCTACCTGTCCATCATTACTGGAGACTTGCGAAGCTAAGGAGGAAATGAACCACATGGCACCTATTATCTTGTTTAAGAAATACATCTTTTTTTTCTTCTCCCCATGATAAAAAAAAAACTTGTCATGTTTAAAAGCACATAAGACATATATTATTCTGATAAGGTCTTTGCCTCCATTCTTCAGTGCATTTGAATGTTAAAAGCTCTAATATCTATTAAGAATGCAAACCATGCATCATCTGAGCACTGAAAATCCACTCCCTACATTTTTTCTTCAAAAATAACAACAAAGGTGTCCCTGGTTGCTGCTCATAAAACCCACTGGGGTTGAAAAGAGAGGACAATTTGCAATGGGATGACATCACAAACAACGCTGTAACATATATATTTTTTAAATATGATGAGGAAATGCTTTTTCAGGAGGCATTCAACCTCTATGTTGCTTCTTCCCATTGAACAGGAAGGGTGCTCTATAAATCCTTCATCTCCCTAATCTCAGCCTCTGCTTCCACCTTCTAACAGAGCACAGAGAGAAGAAGCTACTCCCTTGCTGCAGCAGGTAGCTGGAGTTTCTGATTCTGCACACATGGATGGTCACCCCTGTTTACGTTCTGCATTGCATATTTTTGTGCAGGTGCTAATCAGAATACAACAGAGCCATGGATATGCAATGAGGGAAGAGTCTGGACTGTAGGGCCTGAACAGCAATGGAGATGGATACTTCTCAGAAATTATTACATCTGCCTGAAATAACAAAGGGAGAAATGGAATGGTCATGGTGGGACGTGGACATGTATAGGTCCCAGAAAAGGGGTTGGCTATATAGAGGACTAGACACATGAAAGTGGTATTCTTTCTCTCTTCCCCTTTCCCTTTTATTGATACTTACCACAGGTCTAATGTGCTAGACACATGGTTAAGAACTGAAATATCACAGTGAAAAAAATAGTCACCATAGAATTCAGAGTGTGGTGTACAACAAGCAGAATATTCTGCAAATCAAACCTGGCTGAGCCATTTGTAAATTCCTTAAAAATGTGCAAGAGACTTTTGCTCAACATAAGCTGCATGTGGACATAAACACATATGCTTCAGCTAGTTACCAGAACATTATAGCTATTTTCCTTTGTTAACCTCATGCCTATTTTAAAGTGTCCCAAGTATAACTTCAGAGATTGCTAAGGAGAAATCCTCTCCCAGGAGGCTCCAGCTGCCCACTGCTGCTGAGATACAAACAGCAAGAACACAACAACCAGGTTAAGAAGAGCACTCACATCAAGTTGCCAAACAGGCCTCATTTCTATTTGAAGGAGCAAACGTGGTATTGGTCTCTCCTGACCCGGGAACAAGATACATCTTCATGTAAAATGACAGCACGGTCACCCCTTAACTTTCCTTTTTCTGAATTTACACAAACATGCCTTGCTATTAGGTAAGTTTCTTTCATAAGTTTATACTATCAAACAACATGGCCTTTCATTACAGAAGGCAATGTCAATATATTTGAATTGTGAGTGAATTAAACATTTAGATATATCTAGTTTGAGTTTTTAGGACTATGACCAAATCGAAGCAATTTATAGGCTCAATGGGATCAAATGTAACTGCTCATTAAGATAGCTGGAAAATGGGCAGAGATTTTGATTCCCAAATGTTCTGTGTCCAGTCAGCTGTGTGATGGTTCTAAGTTGAAACCAGAAATAATGTTCTAGTTGCTTACATATATGAACTTGTTTCACAGAGATCAAGGCTGCAGATCTACCAGTTAATATTCTCATCCATCAGACTGACATCTTTCTCTTATGTCTACACAGCTTGCCAAAGGCAGCATTCAACAAGTGATGGCTTTATTTTCATAGCATCACATAATTCTAGGGCTGCTTCGAAGTGATTTTATAGATCATCTCCTCCAGCTCATTATTTTACAGATAAAAAGCACTAAGGGTCCCCAGAAGATACATGAAATCCTAAAATCTAAATTCCTTTAGTGATGAAGCAGAAACTCAAATGTATGTTTCAGGTCCTGATTCTTTTTTCTGATGAAGTTTAGATCCTCTTCAGCTTTTATTTGTTTTCATTTGAATTACAGTCTTGGAGCTTGGGATTTGTTGTTGTTGCTTGTTTGTTTGTTTGTTTGTTTGTTCTAGTCTAGACCTCTATACATCTTATATTCTCATCTAGGTTTGATGCCACTTCACAGTCAAGTTTATGTGTTACAGTTCTGTGAAATAAAAATGCTGCTTGCAAAGTCAACATGAAGGATGCTTCAACAACAAAAAAAATCCAGAAGTATGATTTGGCCCCAATTAAACAGAACAATTAAGTGATTCAGTTATTCTTTTCCATTTAATTGGTAATGGTGAACCACAGTATACATGCTTAAGAGCTAAAAATATTTAAAAACATGAATATTTGGGTACATCTAATATGGGAGGGGGCAGGGAAGTGCTGGGTAGAGAAGGCAGTGTCCCTGGTGATGGCTCCATCCTCAGGTCTGTGCCCTCAGGCCTAAGTGGGAACAGGTACTCCAGTTTTCACGCCCAAATGTGGCATTTTCCAAGACCGCTCTGGCCCGCCATGTCCCCCATCCTATACCCATATAAACCCAAGAGACCTTAGCAGGCACATACACAAGCAGCTGGACATCGAGAGGAGCAGAAAAACACACTAGCAGACACTGGTAGGCCAGGGATGGTGGAAGGACATGGATGCCAAGGGGAAATCAGCTGGGGGCAGTCAGGGGAGAGTCCAGCTAATGGGCAGCTCGACTCCAGGGGAAGACCACCTTCCCACTCCATCCCCTTTCTGGCTCCCCATCCATCTTGCTGAGAGCCACATCCACCACTCAATAACACCTTGCACTCATCCTCCAAGCCCACCAGTGATCCAATTTTTTTCGGTACACTAGGGCAAAAATCCAGGACAGAGAAAGCCCTCTGCCCTTGCAATAAGGCAGGGGGTCTAATTGAGTTGATTAACACAAGCCGCCTGCAGATGGCAATGTTGAAAGAGCACACTGTAACACACACCCACTTGGGCTTCAGAAGTTGTAAACACTCACCCCTAGATGCTGCCATGGGGTCGGAGCCCAAAAATGCTCCCCATGACCTCTGGACCTGCCTGTCTGCATGCTCTCCCAAGGGGTTTGAGAGTCGGGGCACTGAAGAAGCAAGCTACACCTCTGTCCCACGCCCTGCAAAGGGGATAAGGTAACTTCTCCCATTTCACATGTTCCCTTTCCCTTCACAATGCTTCTGAAAATGAGCCTGAGCAACATGGTAAAGCCCCATTTCTACAAAAAATACAAAAAGTTAGCTGGGCATGGTGGCATGCACCTGCAGTCCCAGCTACTCAGGAGGCTGAGGTGGGAGAGTCACCTGAGCCTAGGAAGTTGAGGCTACAATGAACTGTGATCACACCACTACACTCTACCCTGGCCAACAGAGCAAGACCCTGTCTCAATAAAACTAATAAGCAAAAATAAAGCTTCTGAAAATGATAAAGTACTTGCTTCGTTCTCTGTATGTAGAAACACTTCACACAAATACACCCTGCTGGACATGCTTGTGCTGCTAAACACCCTCAAATACTGCCCATTCCTGACCTGCCTCCATGGCATTAGACAGTATCTATGAAGAATTGCATTTCTCAGTGGGAAAACTAATTGCACTATGATACTCATGCATGCAACTGGGGGTAAAAAGGAATGGGCATGCTCACAGTGAGTTTTGCCTCGCTTAAATACGTATTCATGAATTGCTCACATTTTTAAATGATGCCATATTTCTAGTTTACAAGGTATTACTCCTAATTTATGCACACAGGAAAAACCATGAAAATCTTCAGTAAGAATTTTTTTAATATCAAAAACATATTTCTGAAAAATATATAGTGTCCTGTCTTTAGGGGGAAAATCATCTTTACTTTTTAAAAAAGTGCAGTAAGAACTGTCTGCTCCATAGGGCTGGCACTATAATTCATACATGCAAAACATCACCCATCTGCCTGGCTGGTAGGAAATGTGGAGAAATTGTACATTTCTCTAAATGTCTATTCAGTTTCTCTGTGCAGGTCTTTTTGTCTGTCTTCAGGTGTGTTCAGATCACCTTTGCCTTAAGGGAAAAGCAAAACAAAAAGAACTGCCGCCTTACCACTTCTCCCAGCTGGGCTGCACGTTTTCTGTTTTCTTGTCCTGAGCCTGTTACCTCTCCTTCCCTCCCACACCTCCCTCTTCAGACGCCTGCAGCATGGCTCCATCTCTTACCCACTGGCACCAGTTCCCCAGGGCTGAGGATAAGCTCCATGCTCAGATCTAGCAGCCTGTTCCTGCCATTTCCTCTTCATTCTCTTTCAGCTCTGTTGGCCGCCCACCCTGTGCTTTCGCTTTCTTGGCATCTGATACGGTTTGGCTGTGTCCCCATCCAAATCTTATCTTGAATTGTAACTCCCACAGTTCCCACATGTAATGGGAGGGACCCAGTGGAATGTAATTGAATCATGGAGGCGGGTTTTTCGCATTCTGTTCTCATGATAGTGAATAAGTCTCACAAGAGCTGATGGTTTTATAAAGGGGAGTTCCCCGGCACATGCTCTCTCTTGCCTGCCACCATGTAAGACATGCCTTTCACCTTCTGCCATGATTGTGAAGCCTCCCCAGCCCCCAGCCACATGGAACTGTGAGTCCATTAAACCTCGTTTTCTTTATAAATTACCCAGTCTTGGGTATGTCTTTATCAGCAATGTGAAAACAGACGAAGACAGCACCTCTGGTAGCACATTCTTGCTGTGTGTTGCTGACCTGGCATCATGGCTCTCTCTCCTCACTACCTTATTCCTTAATGCTGAGTGTCTATGAGGCTCTGTTTCTGGTTTTCTCTATGGTTCTCCATCTTCATCCCTTTACAAATAAATCCAGTCCCTTCTGCGACAGCAACCTCCATAGCAGGGTAAGTATAGGTAACAATAATCTACTGTGTGTGTCAAAATAGCTAGAAGAGCAGATCTGAAATGTTTGCAGCATTAAAAAATGACAAATTTCCAAGGTGACGAATATCCTAAATACCCTGATTTGATTATTACACATTCTATGCATGTATCAAAATAACACATACACCCCATAAATATGTACATTATGTATCACAAATAAACAAATAAAAATGTCTAGGTAATCAGAAAACAACCTACAATGATAATAATAGTAATAAATCCCATCCAAATACCTGCAGACCTCAGGCCTCCCCTGTGTGCTGCTCCTAGATCCTCAGTTCCTAGGCTGCTTGACTCTGTCTACTTGAGTGCATCGCAAATGGAACCATCCTCTTTCCTAAAAATGTGCTGCTTCTTTCCAACATTCTTGGCCACACTACAATTCTGCTGGGCTGCTAGGAAACGTAGAATGTGTGACTATCTTTGATAGTTCTATTTCCTTTTTCTTCCGTGAGCACAAACTTGCTCTATTATCTAGTAAGGTGCAAGATATTCTAATATCCCTTTGATTGATTCTTTCCAATTTTTCTGAACAGACTATTCATTTTTCCTGTGTCTAGAGATGCTGCCGCCTTACCCCACCTACTCATGCCGGAAGCTTGAATGAGAACTTATTTCATTTCCTCTTCTCTCCAGCCCTGAACCTCTGCTTGTCTTTCAAGGGCTCTTATAATTTCCCTGTGATTCCCTTAATGTACCTTCCATTCCAGTGACAGCTTTCTCCTCATTATAATGCCAATCCTTCCTTTTTATACTGGGAAGACAGGTTGCCTCATGCCTTTGGTATAAGGCAATTTCCTGTCTCTCACGTTAGTCCCCATTACATCTGCTCTGAAAAATCGTTTTGTTTCCAGAAGCTCTAAACATATTTCAAAGCCCTTTAAGTTCCACCTCCATGAGGGTGTCATTTCTGATTAGGTGAACACTCTCCTGTCCTCCTATTGAAATCCTATGGCACTACCCTCTATAGTACTTGAATGCACTTGAATTTAGTATGCCACCCAACAGCCACCCTCCCCTTCCTCCTTATTTCACAACCATGACGTTGAGGATGACAATGTATCCAATTAAAATATGCAGCTTCCCAGATTTCCTTGCAGCTGGGGGTAGCCATAGGAAGATGAAGGCAGACCTGCAGATGTGTGTCTTTTTTCTTGAGACCCAGTTTCTACCTGCCTACATCTTATACCTAAGCTCGGAGGTACAGGAGTCATCATGCAAGAATTCCCAGTGGCAGAGTAGGAAAGTTCTAAGGCCCTAAGTCATGATCAGCAAAGCAGCCTCAGGCTACCTACATCCCGAGTTCTTGTTATGTGAGAAGAAAAATAATCTAAGAAAAATAATCTATCAAAGCCCTACTCCTTGAAGCAGCTCTGGCTTCATACTGCTGTTACAGCTGGTATGCTACAATATTTTGGTGCTGTACAACAACTGTGTATTGTTACCAATGTCATGTGTTTTTAATTTTCCATCCTCAACTATGAGAACTTATGAAAATCAAAAGTAAAAAGAAACTAAATGAATATAGCCTTTCTAGACTATTTTCTTCAGGTTCACTTTCATCCATCAACTCAATATCTTGTTTTGCAAATTGTGTTCTCCAACATCTAAGAGTTCAGAAGCTAATAAATGACACCTCTGAATAGTGACAGTCATTAAGTTAACCATCTCACTTAGCTTCACTATAGGAATTGCACATTTTGCCACAATATGTGGACAAAACTGCCAGATTAACCATATATCATTATCAAACGCAGAAGCTTAAGTGGTCCAGATTGTTTTTGGCAATCTAGTTAGACTTATTCATTTTAACCTGTGTATTACATTCTTTTCACCTTATGACTTGGCCCTGCGCCCTTTCTGATTCTGCTCTTTCTAGTTTGGGATAAGGGACTGTACTCACTGTGTACCAAATTAGAGCAGGTATCATATTATGTGCAGGGCTCAATCTAGTTGTCTGTGGATGGGTTTATTGTTCCTTCAATGGGCTGTGAACTAACCCTTTTCCACTTTTCCTCTCCTCAATGCAGCCTCCTAAGGAGAACATGGGTACTGCAAGTGAGTCAGCAGTGGAAACTTAGAAGGTCTCATCAGTAAAGGCAGGACAGGACAGAAGGAGGCCTTGGGGCCCTTTGCTCTTTCATGATTTTCAATGGTTTCCTCTCAATAGTCAAGAACTGCTGAATGTGTCAGGAGAGAATGCTTGGGAGGGATGAAAGACATCCCTATAGGCCTTCATTCCCCTGAAATGCAATCCTTTTGTCACCTTCGCAAGAAGAGCTCTTTGTAGAAGAGGGCAGGTGTCATCGGTCCTCTCCCAATGGAGCCTTTAATGCTGCCCAGCTCAGCCACGGGATCTGCCTGTTTACTGATCCCTCTCTGATAAGGGCTGTCGATAAAGGGGCACTGTCCTTGCAGGACCTAATGAGGAAGCCTGCTCAACCACACACCTGTCACCCCGTATTCTGAGCCAGAGTGGTGCCTGCTGAGCAGGCAACCGGCTCAATGGGTGCAGTGGCCCATGACTGGCGCTCAGTGAATGGCTTCACAACCACCCTGGAGACTTCTTAGGTTTGACAGGAGAAAGCAGACAAAGGAGAGAATGGGCTCATGCATTTGCAGCATGGATCCATATATTGGACTGCAAACTCAAGAGAAACTCAGAAACATACACACAAACACACACACACATAGACCAAACACACTCAACAACAATGGGATGCGTGCTGACCTCTGCACTGAAATACCATCAACTTAGTCATAAATGAAATCATTAGAATTATCACAAACCACAGCCTATACAATTTAAGTATCTTCCATTGCATTGTGTACATATGTGTGTGTGTGTGTGTGTGTATTTCAAATAATACTTGATTTAATCAAGTTAAGCTTGATTAAGACAGGATAATAATGTGAAAACTGAAGAAAGATATCTGTGTTCAAATCATCAGGTTTTATTTGCAGAAAGGGGGTAGAAAATTAAAACCCAAGTTATTACTCATAACTATACACTTTTAACAAAGAATAATTAAAATGTATGGTTCTGAATTAATCCCAGATTAACTGACTGGCATCAGTAATAAATTAGCTATTACTAATTACCCTGCCACATATGTAAGTGGCCCCACAATTCCCCAGCACAACAATGGGCTTTAACAAATCTTATGGCATACTGGTGTGCCGTGCACTACATAGCAGCATTTCACATAGAAGCAGGGGAATTCCTTAATTTCCTCTCATGGGGAGTTCTCACTCGGGAATAGCTTAGCCATAGTTTCACTTGTTTACTCGCACTCTGATTAGCTGACATCCCTTCCTGTCTTCATAAAGCATCCAACTTGGTCTTTGAAAGTGTCTAAACTTGTCTGAGACTCAGATTTTTACTTTTAACAAGGGACTATTTAGGGTGTTTAAGGGGCTAACATCCAAAAGCTGTCTTCATAGTAGACATTTAAATATTAAATAACAAACTCCCATTATTCACATACTATGTATAGAGTTTAGGTCATTTTATAAAAAATTAAGTCTATTTACAAAATTCACAGATAAATTTGGTGTCTAAGCAGTAGAGTAAAATTCTATGTTTCTTTGAACACATTAGCTATGTTAATCCACCTTATTTAACTCCAATTCGGTTTCCAGTGATTCTAGTGTTATGTAGTAAGTATTTTCTGACAACTGCCACACTTGGGTAATCAACAGCCTTAGTTAAATGGATGTCTTTTGCAAATGTTAGTGAAAGCTATGCCTTGATACTGAGGGAAGACAGGAAAACCTGAGAGTTTGATAGAAGACGTCCTATTCTGGCCTTTGGACTGTTGAGTTTTCTATAGAAAGCAAAATAAAAAGAAATCCCAAACGTCAGAAGACAAACCCATCAGACTTTATAAGTATTTCAGCATTTGGGAAGCCTTTGTCTTTAAGAGGCTCTGCTTGAGGTGCTATAACTTAGAGAAGGAAAAAAGGATGAAAGAGATAAAGAGAGGAAAAATACTATTTATCTCATCTTCCTCATAATTGCCTTAGAGTTAATTCATTTATGAAATACAGAAATTGCAGAACATATTTCCAGAATGTTATCTCTAGGTTTCCTTTTCCTATAGTCAATTTAATTCAATAAACATCATTTCCAAAGCTTCATGTACATTTTGAAAACTTTTATGTGATTCCCCATAATCATTAAAGCTCCCTCAATTTAGTCTTAATTTTGTAAATGATTCTTTAAGACATTTTACTGTTTCTCAATCCATTATTTTGCCTCAAACACAAATTATTTTTATTTTTTAATTTTTTAAAAAACCTGATAACATATGTACCTTGAATTCACCTTTTCTTCTGTATGAAAATTTTAAAAGATTAGAAATCCCTTTTTTTTTCTTTCAAACACATATTTTTATAAAACAACACTTAACCTGGACAATTTAGGGACTTTTAGAAATAGTTATTACAAGGTATTTTTGAGGTCTCAAATTCTAAGACACAGTCCTTAATCTGAGAAGTATTTAAGTATTGATGTGAAGAATTGATCTTACCTTACTATTCTACTGAGCTACTAAGATTTGACACGAGGCTGGGCATGGTGGCTCAGGCCTGTAATCCTAGCACTTTGAGAGGCCAAGGCGGGCGGATCACCTGAGGTCAGGCATTAGAGACCAGCCTGGCAAACATAGCAAAACTCCATCTCTACTAAAAATACAAAAATTAGTCAGGCATGGTGGCACACATGCCTGTAATCCCAGCTACTCAGGAGGTGGAGGCAGGAGAATCGCTTGAACCCGGGAGGCGGAGCTTGTAGTGAGCTGATATCTCGCCACTGCACTCCAGCCTGGGTGACAGAGTGAGACCCTGTCCCCCCCCACAAAAAAAAAAAAAAGGAAAGATCTGACATTGGAGAGAAGATGGAAATATTATTGCAAAGATATATCTTAATTCACAAACACAAGGGTGTAGGTAATTGAATCACCATTATTTTACATAATTTAATTTCATATTTATTCCTATATTTCATGGAGGTGATAGAATGGGTTAGCTTCAATTTTTTGTGTGCAGGAGGGTAGTGGGGGTACATTCATCCTATTTTCCCAAGGTTCTCTTAAGTTTCTAGAGCTTACATTCTGGGACTTACATAGTAACAAAAAAAGTGGGTGTCAGATAGCTGTTAGAGGGAGAGTTTATCAGTCAGGGTTCCACCATAGAAACATACCACTACAATATCAATACTGAATATACAGTATTGATACCTATATCTATATTTAAATCTAGATCTACAGGAGATATAGATAGATGGATAGATAGATATGATTATATATATGCTATTTATATCAATAGTATACTGATTGAGTATATATATCATGTAAATATATCTACATATCTACAGGTATATAGATATATAGATTCACAGAAATATATGATATATAGATATCAGTATTTTATATATCTCATATATATAAGACATATCAATCTATCTATATGTCTTCTATATAGTCTATATCTACATCACATACACACACACATATGAACACACACAGACACAAGCATATATATTTTCTTATCCAATATAGTACACATAAATATATGCATATATGCCTAGAGGTAGACAAATTGATTAATCAATATCAGATATACATCTACCTATTTATATCTATTCACAGTTATTAGATACTTATACATACAGTTAGAGGTCTTTATGACAGAGCTCTGATTTGCACACTTGTGGAGCTGGTTGAGCAGTCTCTGTAAGGCTTTGATGTTGTTTTTGTGTTTGATGCTGAAGCTAGACATCCAGAGGGCAGAAATTCAGGAAGGGAAGAGGAACATGACATGGGAGAGATCAGGGGCTGGAGCCTGCAAGGACAGACTGAAACCCATATCAATTCTTGGTGCCTCCGCCCTTCACGAAAGCCATTACAGAGACCCACATGGCAAAGGCTTCTAGTAATTTTGCCCTAAATTTTAGTAACGGAATCCCTATATGCACATAATATTTCATAGCCTCCCTTGCAAACAGAGTGGCTGTCTGATTAAGTTCTGGTCAATGGGTGAAAGCAAGTGTTACTTCTGGATAGTAGCGTGAGAGGGTTAGGAGGGATGGCCTCCTCCTGCTTTTTCTCTTTCTATTCTGCTTTGCTGAGTGTGTATGTGAAGGTTAGTGCTACAACAGCCCCTCTTAGCACATGGGATACAGTGGAGTGGAGACCCGGAAGAAGCCCGGCTCCTTGATGAGTTAATGAGGCCACCGTATCTTCCCTATACTGCCTCCTCCAGACTTTATGAGTTCAGATGAACTTTTACTTGTTCAAGCTGCTGCTATCTGTGTCTTCCTGTTGCATAATGCTAATTGACTCAGTAGCCTTGGGATTCAGACTTGGGTCCACCCAGGGGTATTTAGAAAAGCAAGTCATGTCCTCATGACCCTTCAAACTTGGAGGAATCACTCCTCCTGGTGTTCACAGCTTGGAGAACACAGGAACCCTCTGCCTTCTCCGTGCCAGCACAGGAACCTTGGTGAGACCCTCTCACGTCCCAATTCTGACTGTTACTTTGGGATTTATTGAGGAAGCAAGGTTTCTACCTTTTAAACCAAAGATTTCCTAAAAATGGGTGTGGTGACGTTCCCAGATACGCTGCAAGATTCCCGATTAAATTCAATATCAGTTACATAGTGAAACAAACAATGTTGGCAACTCACAGGGGCTTGCAGCTTCCATCAGCTGCAAGAACATAGCAGTCTCAAGACTGAAAGTGAAACAGGAAACAGGAAAACCATAAAATAAAACCAGTAATCAACAAACAAGGTATTTGAGGACCATTAATACAAAGGCAAATAGTCGTATGCAGCCCAGTCTACCTTGAGGATGACCTCTGTATTATAGGCTTAAATAGAATTGACCAACATGCAAATAAAGTTTACAGGTTCTACTGCAGGGGCAAGGAGATGGGTTATATATTGTATACATATTTTTTCTGCCAAAATGGATGAATACACTTTAATAACTACACATTTTAAAATTCACACATGTGGGAAGCCTCAGTTACTTTTCCTATGATGCTGAATAAACTGGGATGAACAAAGATGCTTGCTTCCCTCCCCCCTTTTTTATTGCAGTGTAAATAGTCTTCTAATGACCAAAAATATTAATGTGCCTCCTCAGGTGCCTAATTTAATACAAGAAAAAGAAAAATACTGTATTTAACATTTATATGTCTCCATTTGTACATTGTAGGAATGTTTTCTGAGCTGACACTTTTAAAACTTGATGAAATTTTATCTGAAAAAGATGTAGCCATTTAGGTCAGTGAAATGAAACAAAACTGGATTTAAACTGTGGCTCACAAACAAGAGGAATGCCCATGCTAGTTCTAAATCACACTGTACTAATCATCAGTCCACAGATGGTTAACCACTCTCCTATCTGTTTGCTTGCCCCAAGAATAGAATCCACTTAACGTTTTTAGAGCCAGCAGTAGGCTTATGTTATCCAAGTATTTAAACAGCAATGGTTTTCATTTGTAGACACTTCGTTATTCGACTCCAAAGTCAGAAGCAACAGCATTTTGTTCACACTTCCATAGCCACTAGCATAGCGATTCTGAGGTGTGCTTCTCATTGTAGGGGATAAAATCCTCATGGTTTCACTGGATTAAAACAGTGTCCTATTTTTTCAATTAAGGAAAATGAGTAAAGCCTTATAATGTAGGCGTCTGTTGTTCTGGTTGTTGGAGGTAAAACCAAAACACCTGAAAGTGCAATGATAGGCAATGCTCAATTGTCAGAAACAAAAAGACGGTCGGTTAAGAATATAAATAACATTTCCCCCCTGAAGTGCCACTGGCATCAAATGGATGCTTTTAAAGTGAGTGGCCTCTTGACTGTGATTGTTATAACCTAATTAATGTAATTCTTCCTAAATCATTGAAAACCAAATACAAATTTAAAGACAAAGAAAGGAGGAACATCTGTAAAAGACACTTGCGATAACCTACAAAAGCTTGTGCCAAACCAACATCGATCATGTGCTAAATTCTCTCCTAGAAACATTTTCTGGCAGAATCTCTCTTGTGAGTATTCATAAAAATGTATAGTAACAGTTCTCAAGATTCTTAAATCTCAGAAACACCTTTTATTGAGTGTGACTATGCTGCATTATTAGATAGAAGCTGGCTTATGTTACAGATGCTTGGGGCCTTTGGTACTGAAGTTCTATTCATGGAACCCAATTATATGTACTTGTCCATGGGAAGAAGTTGCATTCTTTATAACTTTCCACCAAACTGGTTCACTTCAGCACTATGTAGCAAATTACCTGTGTTCTGGTACCTTTGATAAAGTCTTACAGTTTTACAAAGTTATATTCTGAAATGACTGTTTATGCCCAAAGTCCATCTCTAAAGTACGCTGAAAGAATTGTTTTTTCCAAATCTGCTTGGTTCCTGGGGTCAGATACTCAGTTTTTATTTAAGCAAGGGAAAATATATTTGAAAATACTCTCCAAATAATCCTATCTCAAAACTTCTGTTTCATGAGTTTAGATAGCAAGTATTCAGTTAATAAGAGCTTGGGTAGTGAGGGACATTTTATATGTGCTGTTTATATATATCTGTTATACTTACTGCAATGTCTCCAAATGTTTTCCATTAAACTTTGCATGTGTGGTGATAATGAATAGATTAAGATAGGTGTGCGAATGCAGTGCTACAGTGTGAAGGAGAAACAACAGCTCATTCCTTTTCAACAAACCATTCAATTCTAGTTGTTTATACTGAGTCCCTGCAGCATTCTTTTATTCAGTAGTTTAAACAGATATTTTTATATAAAATATATGTATTTATATTTGATATTTGTATCTTTGTATCTTACATATACATGTATATTTTATGTATGTATAATTTATATCAATATACAAATATAGGCCAGGTGTGATGGCTCACACCTGTAATCCCAGTACTTCGGGAGGCCAAGGTGGGAGGATTGCTTAAGGCCTGGGTCCGACACCAGCCTGGGCAACATAGAGAGGCTCCATTCCTACAAAAAATTTTAAAAACTAGGCAGGTGTGGTGGCACATACCCGTAGTCCTAGCTGCATGAGAGGCTGAGGTGGGAGGATCACTTGAGACCAGGAGGTCGAAGCTTCAGTGACCTACAATCGCACCAATGCACTCCAGCCTGGGCGACAGAGAAAGACCCTGTCTCTAAAAATGAAATAAAATAAAATAAATAAAAATTAACTAACTATAAGTAAGCATTTACATGTAAACTTACGTATATGAACACATGTAAAATATACATGTTTACATATACGTAAGTTTATATGTAAACTTATGTATACTAGAACTTCTGCATAACAAAATTGAAATCTTTCCTTCCTGATATATATTTAAATCTTTTCTTTCTGATATGTATAGAGAGATAGGCATATAGATATATATAATCCTATATCTCCAAATAATCCTATCTCAAATATTCTGTTTCATGAGCTGAAATAGCAAGTATTCAATTAACAAGAGTTTGGGTAGTGAAGGACATTTTGCATATGCTATTAGCTCATATATATCTGTTATACTTATTGCCTCCAAATGTCTCCAAATGTTTCCCATTAAACTTTGCATGTGTGGTGATAATGAATAGATTAAGATAGATGTGGGAATGTAGTGCTACAGTGTGAAGGAGAAAGCATAGCTCATTCCTTTTCAACAAACCATTCAACTCTGGTTGTTTATACTGAGTCCATGCAGTATCCCCCAATGTGACAATGTTCACTTAGATAATATATATACATACACATATATAATTATATATTTATATTAATCATGTATTAATTTATATATTAATACACTGTATTAACTTATATTAATATATACATATATAAATATAATTATATATTTATTATAGTAATACAATTATATATTTATTATATTAATACGTTAATATATATATAAAATCTAAGTCCCCAAAGTGACAATGTTCACTTAGAATATATATATATATATCTTAAATCTTTTCTGATATATATATCTATATATATTAGAAAGGAAAGATTTAAATGTTGTTATGGAGAAGTTCTAGTTAACTCCCCATACAAAACCATTCAAATGGAATCGTAAGGATTGAAGCCCAAGTTTGGAGAATGCGGGACACTATGAATGGCAAGCAAAGAGGGTTGTGATGGGAGGTTCTGTAGGATGGGTCTTCACAGGAGGGGTCCATAGGGATTTGTTAAAGCTGAAAAGAACAACTGGCGTCAGAGCTTGTGCTGGGCTGGGTACAGACCTGAGCTTCATGATTATTCGAGCTCTGATGCTGCGGTGGAGTCCAGAGCAAACAGCTGCAATGTCCCCACCACCAGGTTGTTGATGCAGTTCTCGCTGGTTTTCATTCAGAGAAGCTGCGTCCAGCCCACGCTGCCTGCTCTTCTGGTCCTGACCCCTTGCTGTCTTACAGTGTCTCAAACTCCCCAGGCTCAACATTCCCTTCATTCTCATTTCCACTAACCCCAGGATGTGTCCAAGGACATACTGTGAAGTAGGGAAACTGAAATGGAAAGGAGGCAGGGAGAGCAGCAGAATCAGAGAGGAGGAGGGAAGGTTTTCCAACACATGAGAAGTGTTGGGTGTGCTGTGCTGTGTGTGTGTGTGTGTGTGTGTCTGTGTCTGTGTGTGGGTGTGGGTGTGTGTGTGTGTGATGGGAAAGAGAATGAATTCAAAATTTAAAAGCAAAGAAGACGCGAAATGCTCACCATCCAGGGGCAGAGAAACTCATGTCAAGTTCCCTAGCACATCAAAATTACCAGATTAAGAAACAAAACAAAATGTGTGCATGCACAAGATTCAGACCCTGGACTCACAGACATTTTCAGAAGTTTTCTTGGAATCCAATTCAAATCCCCAAGATGCAGAACTTTCCAGAAACGTCTTTGGAATTTAATTCATGCCCTAACCCCAAGCTTCAGAATTTTCCAGAAATTTCTAGAGGATCCACAGGGGAAAGGAAACTTAGACCTCACATATAAACATATTTCAAAAGGTCATTACATTTGGAAAGAGATATAAATAAACATGGGAAAGGAGGTCAAGCTGTGAGAACCCATTCATTCCTTCTCAGCTTCACCGAACAGCCAGCACTGAATTTCTCTGCTTGTTGCTAGTTCCGTGTCAGCGCCCGTAACACCTGAGTGGACCTGCTGAGGAATGAGTGTACCCAGAAGAGCTCTCAGCTGGTGACTGATGCAAGCTGAGTCTGCAGAAATGCTCCATCCCCTGTGCCCTCAGGTAGACTAATTCTGGGGTATCTTCCACTCTGCCTTCCAGAATTCCCAGGGAAGATTCCCCTCTAGTTACCCAGAAGGATAACTTGCTGAATACCAAACACTCTCCTGGGCACCCTCTTTAGTGTCTCAG
Organism: Homo sapiens; assembly: GCF_000001405.40. Lineage (NCBI taxonomy): Eukaryota > Metazoa > Chordata > Mammalia > Primates > Hominidae > Homo > Homo sapiens. The sequence continues at coordinate 8,033,154 of NC_000023.11, read as the reverse complement.
TTCCCACTCCCCCACCACTCTTCCCCAGGAACCCATCCCAAATAAACTACTTGTACTGGAATTCTTGTCTCAGGTTACTAATTCACACGGAGAGAACACACAGAAGTCAGGTGAAGTAGACCATCATTAAGTTTTATCCCAGAAGAAGCTCTGCTAGACACATGAGTCCCACTGGCCACAGGTGGGAGGTAGCTGAAGTCACTCCTGGCAGTAGATGGGTTATATTTGCAGAGAACACCTGGTGTGAGAATGGGAACCTCAGAGAAGCAAAAACCTGCAGGTGCCGACTGAGGAAAAACAGAAGGGAAAAGACAACGCAGGGAGAGCCTGAAACAGGGGAAATCAGGTGAAGACTAACAAGAATATGAAATCAGGAGCTCCCTGGAATATTGGCAGCTAGAATAGGCATTGCAATAAGCCGAGGACTTCAAGGCTTCAAGGCTTACTGTGAGGGCATAACTATTATATCAACATTAAGAGACCCAAAAATAACAACAAAAGGATAAAGAAGCCTATCCCCATCCTCCAACACCATACTATTTTATTTATTTATTTGTTTATTTTTTTGAGACAGAGTTTCACTCTGTCACCCAGGCTGGAGTGCAGTGGCGCAATCTCCGCTCACTGCATCCTCCGCCTCCAGGGTTTAAGCAATTATCTGCCTCAGCCTCCCGAGTAGCTGGGATTACAGGCGCCCACCACCACGCCCAGCTAATTTTTTTGTATTTTTAGTAGAGACGGGGTTTCACCATCTTGGCCAGGCTGATCTTGAACTCCTGACCTCGTGATCCACCCGCCTCAGCTTCCCAAAGTGCTAGGATTACAGGCATGAGCCGTGCCCGGCCAACACCATACTATTTTTTATGCTATTTGTTTCTCCTTTTTTTTTTTTTTTGAGAGTCAGGGTCTTGCTCTGTCACCCAGGCTGAAGTGTGGCAGAATCACAGCTCACTACAGCCTTGAACTCCCAGGATCAAGCAATCAATCCTCCTGCCTCAGCCTCCAGCATAGCTGGCACTATAGGCATGCACCACCACACCTGGCTATGTTTTAAAAAATTTATTTTAGAGATGGGATCTATGTTGCCCTGGCTGGTCTAGAACTCCTGGCCTCAAGTGATCCTCCCACTCAGCATCCCAAAGTGCTCAGATTACAGGTGTGAGCCACCAAGTCTGGCTATTTTTTTTTTTACCAGATTTTTATAAACATGGTATTTTCCATAGATATTTTTAACATAATAGCAAAATATATAAAGTCTTAAATTTATGGTTTAAAAAAATCCATAAATCCTAGATATGGGGTAGTGGTATATAAAATTACCTGAAAAGACACATCACTGTAAGTTCAATATAATTCAACAGTAGAATGATTGTCTCAAAAGCTACTGCAATTCTGACTTCCTTATGGAACTATGAACATCAAGGGAAAAAAGTACGCCCAATCCACTCTACATCTTTAGACTTCTCCTAGGGTGCTGGATCCAGTTCTGGGCCTCTTGGCATGAGTATTGGCAAGCGGGGTAGGTGTTCCAAAAGATAAACCTAATTGTGAGAGAATGGGAAGCACTCTACTCAGAGAGGAATTTGGAAAAATGGAGGAAAAACCTAGAGTGGAGGCACAATGATAAACCCAAAACATCAGAAGCTGTTTCATTCAGAAACCTTTTAAAAATATTCAGTATTGCTGGAAAGGTCAGCACAAGAAACAGAGAAGAAGAATTCCAGAGAGGCATCTTATTTCAGAACAAACAGGAACGTTAAAACTGTTAAAAAATGGAAGTGGCCATCTCAGAAGGTAGTGAGTTCCTGTATTCTTGAATGAAGGACTCTGTTGGTGAGAGTGTCTGTGAATGGGGCAGATGGCTGAATTGGAAAAATTACATCGTTTCTAAGTATGATAGTCTGCAATCTTTGCTTCTATGAGATCCAAATTTCCAAAGATTAAAAATTAAATTTTTGTGTTGTTCTCTTTCCGTCTTTTCACCACCTCTCTCCCACTTTAGTCTGTGCACAGTGAATATCTTAGCCCCACTTTAGTCTGTGCACAGTGAATACCCTGGCTGAATGGACCAGGAGAATCCATGGCTTTTCTACTTACAGAATTCCATAATCTGTTATTACAGCTCTTTGAAAGTGTAGAAACCAGAGTATGTAAGTAACTCCACTTTTATAATGAAAACATTTCCCTCTCTTTGAATGCACATGAAAAATGTTGAACACTTAGCCAAGTGATGAAAAGGAGATGTATTAAAGGTCATTAGAATTTTGTTTCAAATGTTGGCAAAATACAAGACTATTTCCCAAATAAATGAAGGAGAAAGCGTTTGGCAAATCCAATAGTTTCTGATTTTTATTTAAAACTTACTTTTCTATTCTGCTTGGCTCTGCTGTAGCATATGGAAGCCAAAAACAATTAGAACACAAAGAAGGGTTTGAAAATATTTGCACGTAATTCACAAAGGTAAAGGTAAGTGAGTCTTGTAGAGTTGGAAGCCAAGGAATGAGTAAGAAGTAAAATATATACCATAAAATGATTCCCTTGAAACTTCCTACTGTAATGACGACCATAAAAATTCCAAATACCAAGAAACCAAATGCAATACTAAACACCTGGCTGCAAGGCACCATATTAAACAACCATAATCTTTATTTGTATAATGCTGAGGTAGGGAATGTCAGCATCCGATGGTTAGAACATTCCATAATTAGTTTAGTTCGGTAACATTTAAATGGACATTTCTCCAGTCTGGCAAATGTTTGCATTTTTTTCTTTAAGCACTGATTGTAGGTTTTCTCCCAGCTGATAATGGCGTAGGACTGGGGAAGATGTTCCCCAATTGATAATGGCATGAAAGTGCATGGTGCTGTTCAAGGTAGTTTGGTGAGCACCTTAGGAATGGGAAAGGCTGAGATTAGAATCTTGGCAAATGGGCAGTGAGGGTGTTGCCTCTTAAAAGCTGTTGTTTATGTCCCTAGCATGACATCAAAACAACCCAAGACATTAAATCATTTACAATATGTGTCTCTAAGGAAAGAGGCAGATCATTTTTTTTGGCAAACACGCTGAATCTTACACATTGAGTACCGTCACAGCCATCCAAGTAGTCATCTTTAACGTTTTACTTATTTAATAACGCTGCCCCTACTTCCATCATTTTTGCATTCTCTCCTCCTTCAGTGTCCTTACATCTGAAGGACATTTTAAAAACTATGATCAATGGTGTCCCTTTAATCTTTTACGGTGGATTTAACTTTCTGATGCAACTAAATATCATTCTGGACAAAGAAAGTCTAGTAGATATGGTGAACTAACCAGTTAATTTAATTTTCTTTTTTTTTTTTTTTTTTTTTTTTTTGAGACGGAGTCTCGCTCTGTCGCCCAGGCTGGAGTGCAATGGTGAGATGTCAGCTCACTGCAACCTCTGCCTCCGGGGTTCAAGTGATTCTCCTGCCTCAGCCTCCAGAGTATCTGGGATTGCAGGCACCCGTCACCATGCCCGGCTATTTTTTATTTTTTTATTTTTTAGTAGAGATAGGGTTTCACCATGTTGGCCAGGCTGGTCTAGAACTCCTGACCTCACGTGATCTGCCCACCTAGGCCTCCCAAAGTGCTGGGATTACAGGCATGAGCCACCGCACCTGGCCTAATTTAATTTTCAATATAAAAAAAATCTAAAATTAAAACTGCTATTCTATCCAGAAATCCCACTACTGGATATCTACCCAAAGGGAAACAAATCATTATATCAAAAAGACATCTGTACTCTTAAGTTTATCGCAGCACTATTCACAATAGCAAAGTCATAGAATCAACTTAAGTGTCCATCAATGGATAAAGAAAATATCCATTGATGGATAAAGAAAATGATACACACACACACACACACACACACACCCGGAAAAGTACTTGGCCATAAAAAAGAATGAGGTCATATCTTTTGCAGCAACATGGATGGAACTGGAGGTCATTACCTTAAACGAAAAACTCAGAAACAGAAAGTACAATACTGCATGTTCTCACTTATAAGTGGGAGCTGAACAATGAGTATACATAGACAGAGAACAGAATAATAAACACTGGAGACTCAGAAGGGTAGGAGGATGGGAGGGGGGTGAGGGATGAGAAATTACCTTTTGGGTACAATGTACTCTATTCAGGTGATGGTTACACTAACAGCTCAGACTTCACCACTAATCAATATATCCATGGAACAAAGCTATACTTCTACCCCTTAAATCTATTTTTTAAAAATCATGAAATGTTTCCTTAAAACATTTGAGAGCAATCAAAAGAGAGTTTCCAATAAGACGAGTTGAATAAGTTTATAAACTCACCCCAGCAGCCCTAAAAATACCTATGGAAATCAGTCAACAGTATTTCCCAACCACCCATGTGAGAACCGACACTGCTGAGCAAGAAGATTTTACAAATCCGTAAAAAGTTTACTCTGAAAACTGAATTTTCTAAAAGTTATCATCTTATTTAGTCCTTATATTAGGACATATTTGCTGTCACATTTGGAAGATACAGGGCGTCTTGTATCTTTCTTGAAAGTTGTAAAAGGAACAGAAATATAGACATAGATGTCTCATCTTAAAAGGATAAATGAGCCTGGGTAACATAGCAGGACCCTATCACTATAAAATATAAAAATTAAAACAAAATAGCTGGGCATGGTGGTGTGTACCTATAGTCCCAGCTACTTGGAAGGCTGAGGTGGGTCAATTACTTGAACCTAGCAGTTTGAAGCTGCAGCAAGCTGTGATTGCACCACTGCACTCCAATCTGGGCAACAGAGCAAGACTCCATCTCTAAAAATAAATAAATAAAAGGGCAAATACCAGTACACATTCAAATCTGTTAATTTAATGAACTATCAATTTAATGAATTTTCATCATTTTCCCAAAAGCCACCACTCACTTCAAATATTAAATTATCTTTGTTCTCCATAAAATTTCTGCAGCTCTCATCTTCTTTAATTCATATTTCACTGGCTTTGGATTCCAACTTCTGTTTTACAGAAGCACAGCTCCTAAAGAATGGGATCCAGTGCCTCTCCTTCCACTTACCCAGAAGAGGGCTGCCAGTCCCTTTCAAATGCTAAACACCTCATTACTCGTGTCACATGTTTGGCTTAGGGAGCCCCAAACCTCAAGCTTGGCCTTTTATATGGGTCTCCTATTTGGCAGCTATGGACTGTTAACACATCATTCCAACAGTTACTTAGGAGCCTCTGGCTTCACTGGGTCAGATGCCTCTGACCAGGGGTGAAAATTGTTAGAGTAGGACATAAAAAGGCTCATTTTATGCCTTTTGCAGTTACCATCTTCAGTTACACTCTTAAACGAGTGAGTGGATTAACCCTTGCAATCCAGATACTTTAGGAAGATTTAGTAAATGCCTCTGTGGAATTACATGGCAAGTCTCAAAAATTCTACTGAGGAACTCTTTATGCTATATACAGAAACTCCTCTGAAAGCCCACCTGTAGAACAATTGATCCAAAAAAGCATCTTTCCTATTTCCAGAAACTAACACAATTCCTGACACTCTGTTATAATATCTGCTCTTGGCCGAGAATTTTCATTCACTAATGAAAGAATGGATGGATGGATGGACGGACGGACGGATGGACGGATGGATGGATGGATGGACGAGTGGGTGGGTAGATGGGTGGAAGGAAGGAAGGATGAGTGGGCTGGTGGATAAATGGATGGACGGATGGATGGATGAGTGGGTGGGTGGGTGGAGGCATGGATGCATGGATGGAAGGATGAGTGGGTGGGTGGACAGATGGATGGATGGATGAGTGGGTGGATGAATGGATAGATGGAAGAATGGGTGGGCGAATGGATGGATAAATGGAGAGACGAATGGATGAGTAGATGGATGGATGCATGGATGAGTTGATAGATGAAAGGATGAATGAGTGAATAGATGGATGGATGGATGGATGAGTGGGTGGGTGGGTGGATAGAAGGATAAGTGGGTTGGTGGATGGATGGGTGGAAGGATGAGTAGGTGGATGGTTGGAAGGATGAGTGAGTGGGTAGATGGAAAGATGAGTGGGTGGGTGGATAGATAGATGGATGGATGGATAGATGGGTGGGTAGATGCATGGATGGTGGAAGGAAGGATGAGTGGGTGGGTGAACAGATGGATGGATGGATGAGTGGGTGGATGGAGGGATAGAAGGATAAGTGGCTGGGTGGATGGATGGGTGGAAGGATGAGTGGGTGGGTGGGTGGATGAATGGAAGGATGAGTGAGTGGGTAGATGGAAAGATGAGTAGGTGGGTGGATGGATGGATGGATGGATGGATGGATGGAGGAATGAGTGGGTTGGTACATGGATGGAAGGACAACTGGATAGACGGATAAATGAATGAATGTATGGATGGATAAACCAATCAATGAATGGACACCTAATTGTATGCAACTTTGACTTTATCTCTGGCCAGGAAACTCCCTTTTATGTAATTTTTCATATTTGTTTTGGGACTTGACTTAAAAAAAATGAAGAACCTGGGCCAGGCACAGTGACTCATGCCTGTAATCCCAGCACTTTGGGAGGCCAAGGCGGGCAGATCACCTGAGGTCAGGAGTTCGAGACCAGCCTGGCCAACATGGTGAAACCCCGTCTCTATTAAAAATACAAAAATTAGCTGGGCGTGGTGGTGGGTGCCTGTAATCCCAGCTATTTGGGAGGCTGATGCAGGAGAATCCTTTGAACCTGGGAGACGGAGGTTGCAGTGGGCTGAGACCCTGCCATTGCACTCCAGCCTGGGCAACAAGAGGGAAACTCTGTCTCAAAAAAAAGAAAAAAGAAAGAAAGAAAGAAGAAGAAATAAATAAAATGCATTTTATTTCCAAGTTACTTTTTCAGAGTCACTTATTTAAAAAAAAAAAAAAGTATTTTTTTTTTTTACCAAAAAAATGTTTACTGTGAGTGTAACTAGATCAGTAAGGTTATCAAAAATTAATTATCTCTCAGGTTAGTAGGCAACTGCACCTCCTATAGCAAATGTGTTTCAAAATCTTAGTAAACAAAAATAGCTTTCTAAAGCAAATATTCTAAAAGATGTCATTGCCAATAACAAGCATATTCTAGAATCAAGGTTATGACTTAATGATCTTTGGAAATGCTGAAAAATATCTTTCAATGTTACCTTGGCTCTTTTAGTCAGACTTACAACTTTGTGATGATGAAATTCAGAGTAAAGATAGGCTTATCTTTAATGTGTTATAACATTGTGTAACTACTGACCTCTGCCATGTCAACATGATAAAATGTAAGTCACTGGCTGAGTGCTTACCATCTCCAAGCACAAGTGTACACATGTGTCCTTTTATTTTTGGGGTTTTCTTGCAACTGTTGTTTGAAGCCTATAGTTATTGCTTTAATTACACATCTAAACTAAGGATGAACACAAATTTGGTTTTAATTTGAAACTAAATTAAAAAAATAAGAGAATAATGTGAAATTTTATCATGTTCTCAGATGACTTCTAGCCCTAATAATCCATGGGTTTGGCCACAGCTTTCTTTAAGGCAGGTGTTCCTATGTGATCGAGTTTTGAATCTTCCACAGTGCCCAGCACTCTCCTGTTCATATGTTAGGAGCTCAAAAGCACCTGATGAATCAATACAGAAGTGAATCTTGCTACTACTCCTGTTTCAGATGGGACCACAAATAAATTATCCCCCTAGATCTGCACTTAGATCAGCTCCACCTTCACTAGTACTTGGCAAATACTATATATGCAGGGGACTGGGGAAGAGAGTGATAACAGAATTGCAATACCTCATCTCTGACTTCACAGCTGATATGGTTTGGCTATGTCCCCAACCCAAATCCTCAACTTGAATTGTAGCTCCCATAATTCCCACATGTTGTGGGAGGGACCCTGTGGGAGATACTTGAATCATGGCAGCGGGTCTTTCCTGTGCTATTCTTGTGATAGTGAATAAGTCTCATGAGATCTGATGGTTTTATAAGGGAGGGGGGTCCCTGCACAAGCTCTCTTCTCATCTGCTGCCATGTAAGACATGCCTTTCACCTTCTGTCATGATTGTGAGGACTCTCCAGCCATGTGGAACTGTGAGTCTATTAAAATTCTTTCTTTTGTAAATTGCCCAGTCTCAGGTATGTATTTATCAGCAGTGTGAAAATGGACTAATACAATAGGTGTTTGAAAAAAGGCAAAAGCTTTTTAAAAAAGAATAGCATAATAACGTATATGATAAATACTAAGAAGCTATGCAGATTATGAGTGTTATAGGACTAAAGAATGCAGAGCCATGGGTATAAAGTTAGAAATGGACAAACCAACCCAAGGAGGCCCAGACCGAAAAGAGAGGTGTAAGAAATAATCCAGTAAATTCACACTAGCAGAAGTGAACCCATGGGAAGTCATGCAACATCAGGCAGGTCAGCCAGTGGTCTAAACCATGACCACTTGCAAGCTGAGAGGAACCTGGCTTTAGGACAGTGTGGAATAGACTTTATGGAATAACTGGGTACACTTATGGAGCCAGAAGCAAGATTGAGATAAGGCAAGCCCTTACTCCCTCAGGAAGTAAGATATCACTAGGACAGAGACATGAATGCAGAAAGTAGTAACTTTGTGGCTAGCGGGAAGCCACAGCCCACTTCTAGATCAGAAGGAAGAAAACCAAAGCAGTTCTGGAATCAAGGTCGGTCTTTCCACCATATTCTTTTCTATCTTTCAGCCGTTTCCTTTTCTAAACTGTATTGAATTTACTTAGCTGGAAAGCAGGAATTTTAGTTCCAGGTACTACTTTATCCCAAGATGTTCCCTGATAGCGTGAGAGTCTGGGCTCTAAATAGTAAACTCAATTCCCTTTGTGTACTCCTGCAATCCTGTCCAGTCCAACACTCTATCCTTGGTGCCTTCTTAATTCCTCCATAATAAGGTTTTAGAATCTCAGTATGGTTCCATCAATATGAAGAGCTGGAAGTTTCTATGTGCTGTGCAAATTTTGTGTTCAACTACCCATGAGATCTACCCGAAGAAATGTCCTGGAAAACCCAAAACTGAGGTATGACACTAAAACTATTAACTTCCTCCATGTGACATCCTTCTCCTCCTCTTTTCCCAGTGACTCAAATCACAATCTTGGCCATTTCTCTTCCTATACTGGTCAGGGTTCTCCACAGAACCAGAACCAATAGGATGGATGGATAGACAGACAGACAGACAGACAGACAGATAGATAGATAGATAGATAGACGATAGATAGATGGAGATAGGTAGATAGATGATAGATAGATAGATAGATAGATAGATAGATAGATAGATAGATAGATAGATAGATGAGACTGATTATAGGAATTGACTCATGTGATTACAGAAGTTGAGAAGTGCCACAATATGCCATCTGCAAGCTGGAGGACCAGGAAAGCCTGAGGTGTAATTCAGTCTTGAGTCCAAATGCCTGAGAAACAGAACCAAGGGAGTCCATGGTGTAATTCTCAGTATGAGGCTGAAAGCCTGAGAACTGGGTAGGAGGGGCGGGGCAGTAGGGTGTGGAACCCTGGTGTAAGTCCAAAGGCCTGAGGAGCAGGGGCTCCAATGTCCAAGGACAAGAGAGGGATGTCCCAGCTCAAGAAGAGAGAGAGAGAACTTTTCCTTCCTCTCCCTTTTTGCAGGCAGTCAATGGATTGGAGGATGCCCACTCACATGGGGAGGGCAGTTTTTTACTCAGTCCACTGATTCAAACGTTAGTCTCTTACATAGAAACCCTCATAGACACATCCAGAAACAATGTTTTCCCAGCAATATGGACATTCCTTAATCTAATCAAGTTGACACATACAATAAACCATCACACTTTCTTTTCCTTAAACCTCACCTCCAATTAACAAATGGGTTCCACTGACTTTCCTTAACATGTGCCTCCATCATCTCTTTAATCCAATCCTAGGGTTACCATGTTTGTTCAGCTTCTCAAAATCTCCTTGTCTACCATCCCCTAAATATTATCTCTCAACCACACTACATTGCCAATAGAGGTTTTCCAAAATTTAGCACTGTCCATGTGTCTCCTGAAGTCAAATTCTTCAATGGCTCCCAAGTGTCTACTTGACAAAGAACAAAACACGGTTTTCACAGCCTTCTACTGTTTTTCCCCACCAGCTTTCACCACCTCCTCCCTTTGCGATGCATCATTATTCACTAGTGCATGTGACATACGGACAATTTCCATTTGCCAAAATTCACAATTATTTCATGCATCCATGTCTGTGTTCACACTGCAACTTGTACCAAAATTACTTTTTTCCTTGCTGCCTAGAATACCCTTATCTATCTGTTAAGACACAGTTCAAATATCATTTCTGCTGTGAAGGTTTTCCTAAACATCATCTCAAGCACCATGTAGAAGTGACTTCTTCACTGCAACTCCTTGAGGTCAAGGGCCATGTCTAGCTTGTCTCTAAGGTCCGAGGGCCTCATGTAGTGTCAGGTCTATAGTAGGCACTCAAGGGAGGTCTAATAGATAATATAAATAAAATTTTGAGTAACTGTGAATCAAATGATAAGATTCTCATTTGCTCTTCCATAATTAACTCCTTCAGTAAGACCTAAGTGAATATGTTGCACTTTAAATACAAAGCCCATGAGCAGAACTCCCAAAAATAACATAAATGGGAGTTCCCAATAAAGCTGTATTATCTGTATTATCTGACATATTTCATATACCAGGACAGAGCATTGTAATCCTGGGAGCTTTAGATGAACAATAAATATTTTTAATTTCACTAAGAATAACTGCTCCACAGCCAGGTGATATTGTTAGGTAAACAGTTTAGTGAAGAACAAGAAAGCCTAATTTATAAACCCAATAAAAAATTGCATTGTGTGGCTCACACCTGTAATCCCAGCACTTTGGGAGGCTGAGGCAGGTGGATCACTTGAGCTCAGGAACTCAAGACCAGCCTGGGCAACGTGGCGAAACCCCATCTCTACAAAAAAATTAGCCGGTTGTGGTGGTGTGCACCTGTAGTCCAAGCAACCCAGGAGGCTGAGGCGGGAGGATGACATGAACCTGTCCAAGAGGTGGAAGTCGCAGTGAGCTGTGATGGTGCCACTGCACTCCAGCCTGGGCAACAGAGAGAGATCCAGTCTCAAAACAAACAAACAAACAAAAAACAAACTGCATTGTCTTTCTATATCTTTATCAAAACTGTTTGAATTAAAGCTTCGTTCTACTCAGTGAAATGTAAGATCCAGGACACTTAGAAAAGAAAATGATCCTACACAGTATCTACTCAAACTTCCTCCCCGAGATTGTTTTTCCAAAAATAAGTAAAGTGTGTGCCAAAAAGTTAAGAGAATTTCAGGGTCACAATGTTGTTAACAACAGAATTGGGATTTAAATCTCTTTTGAAACCTAGTTAATATATCTTGCCTACCTGTCTATGTCATAAGCAAAAACAACCATTATTAAAACAACAACAATACAATGTTTCTTACTTCCAAGCACTAATATGTATCCATTCAAAAAATAGTTATTAAGTATGCCCTACATGTTAGGCAACATTCTGGAAAAGGCCACTTCCAACTACTGGATTTAATATGGCTGCACCCTATTTTATCCATGTTTAAAATTATAACTGTAATGCACTGTGGTTATTTGAAGAAGCCAATGAGGTGGTACAGCATATTTTATAAAATGTAAAGCAATGTATGCAAATACAAAGAACTGTTTACGTATTTGGAAAACTAAGCATTAACGGGCACCATGTTCTTTCATAGTCTATGACTGGAACCTCAAACATCTTCAAATATCAGCCAGGACCCTGGCATGAGATTTGTTGAGCTGCTCAAGATTGACAAGGTCAGATGTAATTGACAAATATTTCACACTGATTTTTGTTCTAAATGTCTGCAGGAAGGAATTCAAGATCAAGTTATGGCAAGTGTTTAAACAAGAACAGGAGAGTAAGTTGTTGGTGGGGTACGGTGGCTCACGCCTGTAATCCCAGCATTTTGGGAGGCCAAGGCAGGTGAATCACTTGAGGTCAGGAATTCGAGACCAGCCTGGCCAACATGGTGAAACCCCATCTCTACTAAAAATTCAAAAAAAAATTAGCCAGGCATGGTGACAGGTGCCTATAATCCCAGCTGCTCAGGAGGCTGAGGTAGGAAAATCACTGGAACCCTGGAGGCAGTGGTTGCAGTGAGCCGAGATCACGCCATTGCATTCCAGCCTGGGTGACAAGAGTGAGACTCTGTCTCAAAAAAAAAAAAAGAACAGAAGAGCAGGTTGCTGAAGCTAATAGTTCAGGGGGGGACCTCTGCTGCCTGTGGATAAGATACACATTATTAATTGGTGCACAGTGGGAAGCCAAAAAACAGGAAATCACCATTCTGTAATAATACGCTCTATTAATCAGCTCAAACTCATGGATTTTACAACTGTGCTAAGGTCTCAATGTGCTTCTATTCCTAATCAGCTTCTTTATTTCTCGAATTTAGGTGCCTGTGTTTATTTTTAATAGTTCCTGAGATCCTATAATTAGCAACCGCCATATGAATATTTTTGAAACCAGCCCAGCCCACATGATGGGTGAAACCATACCCGAAAGCATAAATGTTTTCACAATTGAGTAGAAGATAATCAAGTACGAATATCCTCTTGGAATAACAAAATAAGTCATAAAGTGCATTTCCAGCAAGATACATCTCTCCACATAATGCCCTGCTATGACTTGTAAAATATAATGAGCAGCATAAAATATTCCATCATAGGGCATTCTTACCTAGTTTTGATGTAGCTATTTTTTTCTTTAAGGTACAGTTGCTCTTCATACTTCATTATGAAGTTCATCTGTCCACAAAGTGTAGAATACTGAATGCTAAAAATATCAACTTCTAGTTGTACTTTAAAAAGTGAAAGAAAATGGCCTCTGAGGCACATCAACTGCATAATATTTACACATTCCAAAACAATTAAATAAAATAAATCCAGCTAGTGTCAATACAAGAGCTGTTTCTACAACTTAAGCTGATAATAATTAGGCTCAGGCCTCTATCATAGTAGTCTGTGACCCAACGTAAGTTTTTAACTTTGTCAAAATCGTGAATGTCAAAGAAGAGAAAATAAACAATGAAATAGAGAAGGCTGAATTACCATGGAACAATTTGAATCTTGAAAGCATCATAAGTAATCAATTAAGAAGGTCAGTTTTTCAAAAGTTTTAGGAAACATGAAAAGTACTATAAAATGTAGAAAGGCTCCAGGTACTGCTAAATGCCCCCTGGAAGGGCAAAATCACCTCTGGTTTAGAACCACTAATAGATAAGCAATCCAGTGGCTGTGAAAATACCGCTCATGTGAAACAAAATATTAAAAAGTCAGTTTATCATTAGCATTTATACTTATAAATGTCTATATTTGCATTCTTTTTCTTCTTTTTTTTTTTTGTTTTTTGTTTTTTGTTTAGAGACAGATCGTGCTCTGTCACCCAGGCTGGAGTGCAGTGGTGCAATCATGACCCACTGCAGCCTTGAATTTGTGGGTTCAAGCAATCCTCCCACCTTGGCCTCTTGAGAAGTAGCTGAGACGTGCCACCATACCTGGCCTTCTTTTTTTTAAGAGATGAGGTCTCACTATGTTGCCCACACTGATCTTGAACTCCTGATCTCAAGTGATCCTCCAACCTCAGCCTCTCAAGGCACTGGGATTATAGGCATGAGCGACCTCGCCCAGGCTGCTTTAGTTGTTTGTTGAGCCATTGCTGCAAAAGATAGTTATCAACAGCGCTTTGGTGAATAATAACTAAATAATGACAACACAGGTGAACCTACTGGCAGAAACTCCATCCCTTGTTCTTATGCCCCCTGCATCATTAAGCTGCAGAAGGCTGGTGAAATAATAGGCTTCATGGAAGTATCAAGAAGGAGAGAAAACAGGCCCCGCTCTTCATTCTTTCTATATTCTGTTGAAAGCTCATACGTCACCTTTAAGCCACTTGGATTTCACCCTCCTGGCCCTACTCCTGCCCTACTCCCGCCCTACTCTTCCTGGCTTCCACGGAAATGGTGCCTTTGGTTAAAACCTTACATAATCATGCTACCTTGGGCAAGTCCCTTTGTCTTTCTAAAAATAAATTTATTTCCCTATTGGTTCCATATTTCATAACTTTATAACTCTTGGTTTATGTGGCTCAAATAAATGTACCCTTCACCTAGACGTGCCTCATTCGCTGTGGGGTGGATAATAGCAGTGATGCAAAGGTTATATTTTGCAAACTCTACTAATGTGCTTTCCATTTTTGCCTTTCTGTGAACATATCCTTCTCGCTAGGCATCCTGAAGCATTCTGAGGGATCCAGGGGCCTAAGGCAGAGAGGGGGGCTTTTGAACTATTGCTGCAAAATGCAAAATGTTGAGCTACCGAGCAAAGTGCAAAGGGATATAAAGAGGCCATGTTGAGCTACTGACAAGCACAGGGGATTTTTCTTTCTTTCAAGGCAATAGCTGTACAGAGCATACTTCGTTGAGGGGGACAAAAGGATTCTTTAAGTCAAAATTTCCCAAAATGAAATAGTTACCATTTAACATATTACGAGGCTACCCTTGCAGTTTCTATCTCTTTCTCTACATGCACATACACAGACACACACATACACAAGATATAACAGATTTTAATTTTATGCCAAGAGTAGAGAGAACTCAGGATACAAGATAACGTTTTGTAATCCTGGTTGCACATTAGAAACGATTTGCAAAACACTCTTACATGCAGGACATATCCAGATCAGTGACTGAGAATCTGCAGGCCCCAATCATCAGCATTTTTTAAAAGCTTTCTTGGTACAGTAAAGTTTAAGAACCACTGATGTAGGACAAAAAATAAGCTGTTCCTTCCAACCCAAGGACATGCAGGGAGAAGATGTGGATGTGAGTAAAGCTGACAGTAGGAACATATACTTTGATCTCCCTCCTCGGGGTACAGCCAAGGTGAGCTTACATGGGCTGAGAGTCATGCTGACCGAAGACAGAGTTTAGTGCTTCTTGCTCTTTTGGACGGCAGGAGGAGACAGGTGTCCCACAGCAACCAGGGTGGCCACCTGTGGAGGCAGCATGTATGTCTGAGTTAGCAGAAGATTCCACTCCCTGGATCCCTGGGGAGGAGTACAGATGGAAGGCAGTACAGGCTGGCGGACTTCCCACGGGGTTGCTGCAGGCTGAGGTGCCCGCTAGCAACAGGAGGCAGAGCAGAATGCTGGGGCTAGGAATGGAAGAGGAGTCCCCACCAGACATCTAGTAGCAGCAAGAGCTGAGGTGGGGCAAAGTCCATAGGAAAGACCAGCAGGCCTCCAACAAGCTGGAAGAGACCAGACCAGGAAATATTCCAGGGGCAAAACTGCATATCAAATGGTGGAGATTTTGTGGCTGGATCTAGACAAACTCCACCCAGTGGAAGTGAGCCATGCACATGCAGGGACCAGCAAGAGCCCAGGGTCGCCATCCCATTGTACAAAGTAATGCCCTCATGAACTTATCCACCATCTTGGGGAAGAAGAAGGTGAGTAAGGCTCTCATCAGCTGAGCATCTACCCAAAGGGTCTGAGGTGCCCATAAGTGATTGTTTAAAACGGGTGTAATAAGCAATTCCACTTTACTACACCAGATACCTAAACTGAAAGGCACTTGCTTAGCAAGAGACTGAAATATTTTAAATTGGAAATCAGGTTTCCTAGCTATTGTGTGCTGTTTACAGAGAAGATTTGATTCTCGGCAGAAAACTAAAAAGTCATATTTTTAAAACCAGTCTACGAATACAATGCAAGTTAAGTGAATACAACAGTGTAGCAGGGAGGATGATGAGCTATTACTGGTACACAAGTGTGAATTCCTCTGCTACAAAGAGAGGCAGGGGGATAGATAAATAAATTAGTTACTCTTCTCTTTTGCACATTTGGAAATAATGTGAATAAATGTCCAACTCTGTTACCGTAACTGTTTTCATGAAACTTAGCAGCACTTTTATTCAAAAGCTTGTCATCAAAAAAAAAGTTTAATCATAGATATAGCAGCTGCATGGGAATGTATTTGCTTTAGATAATCCTCCAACCATTTAAAGAAAAACACAGAGAATTTAAGCACACCTCTAGGTTAAAAGAAGGGCAGCTATCACCCGTTTATCTTTGCGTTAACAGCATGACAATTAACGCAGTCCAAGGTTGGCCTGGCTGGGGTGATTTCTCAGAACACTGGATGCCTCTTGGCAGTGACCATTGTGTTGCTTAAGTGGCAGAAAAAATCAGAATATGGCAAGGTGAGAACTTTCGTGTGATATGATTCCTTCATGTCTTGGAACTTTTGTGACACGCTGAAGCTGGGGTGGCCAGGTCATGAAACAGCTCTGAAGGCAGCACCACATTGCTCAGAAGAACCCAGGGGGAGCATGGGTCATTTATTCACCCACTGAATAAAGGAAGGCTCACAGAATTAGAAGAGATGCACTGCATTAATCTTGCAAGGTACACAAGTTTAAAATCTAGAAAAGACAAGTGAAGGCCAAAAAGTGACAGGAAAAATCTAAGAGAGGCACTGCCTAAAAAAAGAGTGAATGCCTGAAATGATGGATGAATACATTGTTGGATGGATTCAGCAGGAAATAAGCATCAAATAAAAATAATGACAGAAATAGATTATAATCTGTTTAATAAAAAATGAATCTGAGTCCAGGTTAAGATAAATGGAGATACGATAAAGCTCTTCTTTACTGTATACTGTCAATTGATAGAATGTAGAAGAAATGGTGGAATTAGAATATTACTATTTCATAATGATAACTGTAATAATTCATCCAAGAAATATTAATGCCCAGCACTTTTGGAGGCTGAGGCGGGAGAATTGCTTGAAGCGAGGAGTTCAAGATGAGCCTGAGAAACACAGCAAGACCTGGTCTCTGCAAAAACAGTTTAAAATTAGCTGGGCATGATGGCTGTGCCTGTAGCCCCAGCTACTTGGGATGCTGAGGTAGGAGGATCACTTGATCCTAGGAGTTGGAGGCTGCAATAAGCTATGACTGCACCACTATACTTCAGCCTGGGCAAGAGAGCAAGTTCCTGTCTTTAAAAAAAAAGAAAAGAAAAGAAAGAAAAAGAAATATCAATGAATGCTTAAAACAGTGGGTACAAATTTGATGAGGAATGGGATATTTACATAGTACCAAAGTACCTCTGTACAAAAGTCTTATTGATTACAACAGAGAAACTTGGAATACTCTGCCTTAACCAAGTGATCAAGGTTAACAAGCCAGGAGAAAAATCGACCACCGGATGGGATGCAGGGAGAAAAACACAGAGTCACATTTGTAGTGTTCCTACTACAAATGCATAATCCAAATGTAATCATGAGCAAACATAAGACAAAACCAATAGGCAAACTAACTGGCATGAAACCTTCAAAAACATCAAGGTCCAAAAACAATAGTCCAAGAAAGGCTGAGGGATGATTTCAGATTGAAAGAGACCGCCCCCTCCCCGACAAAAAAAAAAAAAAAACCACACACATGAAACTAAACACAATGCATGATTCTGTATTGAATCTTTCCACTGTGAGGGACATTATGAGGACAACTGGCAAACTTTGAAGGGGATATGTGGCAGCTACATGCCAAGCTGCAGTTCCTGATTTTGGTGGCTGTACTCTGATTATATAAGAGAATGTACTTCTTTGTAGAAAATACACACACAAGTATTTCAACAACTGTCTTCAAATAGCTTAGGAAAAATAAAAGTTCTTGGATTTTTTTGAAATTATTCTTAAGATTAAGAATATTTCAAAATTTTAAAAAATGTATTATACAGGGATTAATCAGTTTTGAATAATTAGAAATATTTTGTTAATAAATTGGTGAAAATACACATTCACAGTCACTAGGAATAACTTAGGAAATAAGTAAACCTTTATGTCTGCAGAAAAAAAAATACTCGCTATTTAAAGAAATTGAATTTGTTAAGGAGTGTGAATGAAGAAATATTTTCTTACAGGAAAAACTACTCTTGTTTTCTTTACATTATTTTTAAAAAGGCAAGGATAAATAGCTATATTGCACGGACAATTATCTTCTTTAAAATATTTTTTCGGAGTGAGATTGTTTAATCTGATTAAGGAGATTTTAAAATATTGACATGCATGTGTATGGAACACATATTATTCAAGTCCAAATAGCTTTACATCAATGATCAGTACACGAGTTGGTTTGATCATAACATCTTGAGGCACATTAATTTTGAGTGCCTAATCAGGTAGAGTTCAAACAGCCTAGATACGTATCTGTAGCAACCCCTGGAGGAATTTTTAACTGGGCAATAAAAGTTATGTTAGAGTGATTGTTCTATGCACAGGTTCAACACACTGTTGTGATATAATTTGCCAAGTCTCCCACACTGAAGAGTTAGTGCAAGCTTTGATATGAGGAGGGTATTAATCCAGCTCAGTGGTTCCCACCCAGGGGTGACACTGTCCCCCAGGGTACATTAGGCAATGTCTGGAGGCATTTTTAGTTGTCACCACTGAGGGTGATGTTCCTGGCATCAAGTGGGTGGAGGCCAGGATGCTGCGAAACATCCACAAGGCACAGGGCAACCCCACCACAGAGGATGGATCCAGCTCCAAATGTCAGTAGTGCTGCAGCTGAGGGCAACTGACCTTGGTCCTTGTGCAAACCACCCACTTTGGGGTAGGGTTAGCATGGGCAGGTCCCACTGTGCTGGATCCTATGGTCCAAGTGACTGGATTAGAAGTAGATTCCAAGTGACTCAAAGGAGAATAAAGAATTCCGTTAAAAAATCAGAATACTACAGAAGTATTCTAAAAGGATATTATTTTTGATATACTTTCAAAAACCACAGAATTATAATGACGGAAAGTTAATTTTCTGGACTGCGCACAGTGACTGACAACATGATCTTTGGGATTTTGGCTGCCAGAGCCACCACAACTGCACAATCTACAATCTATGAACAGAGTGATGCTGATCTCCAGGTCTCTCAGGCTGAGAAAACGCCATACATTTCATGAACCAGAAGTCATTTCGAGGCAGGGAGAGAACATTTGAAAAGAAGGCAGTAAAATAAGGCATAAAACAATGATGGAATTTTCCAAGACACTTTGGTAGTGTAAACCTGTGACAACCAATCCTGAGGACGAGAGACTTTGCTACTTCCATCTGCAAATCAGCTGAGATTTCTGGGTAAATGATAATTTCTTGGATATTATTATTGCAAGGTGGTTCTGTTTTGATAGGTTTGGGAAAGGCACTTGGGTTGTAAATTCTAATTTAGGGACAATTTATAAATACAATTAGTTCATTGTTTATTTCTCAATAAATAGTAAGGATTTTATTATAATGTGTTAATTTTCCCATCTTCAGGCAACCCCAACTGTTTTTACTTGATATGAACTAATAAATTGTATTGCCATTATTTAATTTCTATCTTAAACATGTACAAAATAATAGCTTTTGGATGCACAGCCACTTTAAAAATTCACATATTTGGCCGGGCATGGTGGCTCACACCTGTACTCCCAGCACTTGGGAGGCCGACACAGGCAGATCAGCTGAGGTCAGAAGTTCGAGACCAGCCTGGCCAACATGGCAAAATCCCTTCTCTACTAAAAATACAAAAATTAGCCAGGCCCGGTGGTGTGCACCTGTAATCTCAGCTACTCAGGAGGCTGAGGCAGGAGAATCACTTGAAGCTTGGAGGTGGAGACTGCAGTGAATCGAGATTGTGCCACTGCACTCTAGCATGGGCAAAAGAGCAAAACTCCATCTCGGAAGAGGAAAAAAAAACACATATTGCTTACAAGACTATAATTCTGCACTAAATATCATAGCTTATCTGCCAAAATTTACAGTATCTAACTCAGAAATACTGTTCCCTCGAGACAAATTGGATCTCAAATATTTCTGCTGAATGATTTATTGTATTTCAGATCATGGAGAACAACCAGGATTAAGCTAAGGCCAGGACCTTCATGGAAAATAAAGGTTAGAATACAGACTCTAACGTAAAAATTCCAAACCTGAAGACCCAATGCAGGTTCAAGGCAGGGAACTTTGGATCAGAAAGTTTAACCCCTGAGAAGGGGTTAAAGGAAGAGAATTGGTGGAGAGGAGGAATCATCTAGGGTAACTGATGACAACAAGACAGCACATTTGAAATTCACCTGTATAGGCAAGAAGTTGCAAGGCACATAAAAAAGTTGGATTGGCCAGAAGGAAGTAGACAGTTCTGATCCATCCATGCCTTGCCATGTGTTATCTGTGTTTGTTTATGAAGGTATCCACTCATTTATCCATTTATCATTCATTTAATAGTAACTTATTGAAGTCATCTGTGAGAGAATTCTTGCAGAAGAGAACATCTGGCTTTTAGTATCCAATATACTTTTGGATACTAACTTTGTATTCAACTTTCCCCTACTTTGTAAATACCAATAGCTCCTACTATTCACTGAGTGGTTACAAATGCTAGAAACTGTGCTAATAACCATGTAATGTAGATATCACTATTTCCTATTTACATATGTGGAAACAAGTTTGAGAAAGCAATGTGCCCAAAATTACAGAGCTACTAAAGAATGTAGCCAGGCTTGGAAATGATTCCAGCAATTTCTTATCTCCTACCAAAATGTCTCTGAAAAATAAGAAAGACAAAATCTCACACCACCACTAAAACCTCTTTCATAAAAGCTTTTTGATTTGACCACTCCAATTCTCAGGGCAGGCAAGAAGAATTTCAACTCGCAATAAGGATGATGGAGGTTTTAAAAAGAAAAAACAAAAAACAGTGCAATCAACCTAAAGCCAAGTGAAATCATGTGGCTATCATGGTAATCTAATAATTTGGTGTACCTTCGAAATATGTTATCTAAATATCTGTCCACTATTTATTAAATGGAAGCAGAGAAAATACTTTTTAGGCAAATAGCATAAATCTATTATTCTGTGTTCAATATAAAAAATGTATTTCAGGCAGGCAACATAATATTCTAACTTACTTGGTAGGATCATACTAGGTTAATCACTGATTCTCATTAAGAATAAAGTTTAGGCTCTGTGAAACTGGAAGTATACATTAAATATAACTCAGTGTAGGAGGTGGGGATTAATTAAACTACCCTAGTCGAGAGAGAAAGAATTTTGCAATAGACGTTACCAGGAAACTTGGTTAAAATTTTGGGTAAAATAAACAGATTTAGAGTTTTATATCATATCAAACACAAATTTTAAGCCCAAAATTGTTTAGAGAATTTAATTAAAACTATGACCCATAGGAGAAAAAAATAGATAAGTATCTGATCTTCTTGAGGTGAATGATTTTTAAGCATTTAAATAGGAGAAAAAGATTCATTTTCTGTCATAATTATATACTTATATATAATTATCCCATATATTTATATGTAATTATAAATATATGTAAACTTTTCCAGACATTTATAAAGGTTATCTTAATCTTTTGAGAATTAGAAACTTAACCATCAATCCCACTAGTGGATGTATATTGAAAGGAGGTAAAATCAGTATGTCAAAGAAATATCTGCCCTCCCATGTTCATTTCCACGTTTTTCACAATAGCCAAGATATAGAATCAACTTATGTGTCTATCAGTAAATGAACATATAAGGAAAATGTGGTATACATACACAATGGATGTGATGTGATTTTTCTCAATGGAGTATTGTGTATATATACAATATGTTGTGCATATATTGTGTATATATATACAATATGTTGTGTATATATTGTGTATATATCTACAATATGTTGTGTATATATTGTGTATATATACACAATGGGGTAATTCTGTAATGAAATTCTGATTCAGCCTTAAAAAAAGAGGAAATGTCTGTAATGTGCAACAATATGGATGAATCTGGAGGGCATTTTGCTAAGTGAAATTAGCCAAGCACAAAAGGACAAATACTGAATGGTTTCACTTATGTATGGAATCTTTAAAAAGTTGAACTCATAGAAGTAGAGAGTAGAGTGGTCATTATTAGTGGTTAAGGGGAAGATAGGGTTTGGGTTGGGGAGATGTTGGTCAAAGGATTCAAAATTTCAGTTAGGCAGGAGGAATAAGAGACCTACTGTACATCATGCTCACTATATAACAATGTACTGCATACTTGAAAATCACTGAGAGAATAGATTTTAAGTGTTCTTACCACAAAAAAATAAGTATGTGAGATCATACATATCTTAATTAGCTTGAGTTAGCCATTCCACATTGTATACATATTTCAAAACAACATGTTGTACATGATAACATACATACAATTTTTATTTGTCAATTTAAACATGGATTTTTTAAAAATATTTAAAAAAACAGAATGAGAACCTCTAGCAACACTCTCAGGCATGTTTTTCACAAAAGTGAATTGCACTCTTAACCTTGGGAACCAGTTGTCTTTTCCTGTGTCATGTTTGTGTAGTTCACTCACACTAGGATATACACCCTTCTTGGAGGGATCTGTCTTGGTCATCTTTGGATCTGAGGCAAAAAAACAGCTTGGTACGTCATAGGTGATTTTTATTAGGTTGGTGCAAAAGTAATTGCGGTTCAGGTTTAGAAAAAGTCCTTATCTCTTTTGTTTGTTTCAAATTTATCTTAACATTTTGCTAACAGTCCCTCTCAGAGAAGCCCCATTCCTATGCTTTCCTGGAGCCTGCTTCTTTCTCTCAGGCCTTGGTTAGTAGGCCCTCCTCTCCACACCAGCATGTGAATCTTTTAAGAAGCCTAAGCGCCAATGCTTTTTCTAGAGCTCCGCTAATGATCTGACTTTTCCACTCCCTGCAGTTCCTCCCAAGTCCTGTAGGCCTTTTTATCAGTGGCTCTTTTACTCCTTACCAAAAATATTTCCTCATTCCTTTTTAACTCTTGAAATGGAATCGAGAGGGAGCATAGATGACCTACACGTATTATTATAAACATTACAGGAAATAAGGCCCATTGCAATATAAAGCAGAAATAAAGACAATATGATTTATGTTACATTTTAAAATATGTAAATGTTAGGGCACAATGGCACTCGAATGCAGAATAAGGTTGTTATATGCTTGCTCCTATTAATAAGAACAATCTCTTCAAATGAATAATATGTTTTTTTTTAAAATGGATATTTTGAAAACAAAAGTGTATTTGTGCATAGTTGTAAATGTGCCATAAATACATAAACTTCACCTGCAGCCTGACGTATGAATATAGACCAACAATTCAAACAACAAGAGGCACTGTCAAAAGTGATATGATTTTCTCAAGCAGAAAAACACTCTTAATGACATACTGAATAAAATAAAGTGAAATATATTTCCTCAAGGCCAGGTGCAGTGGTTCATGTCTGTAATCCTAGCACTTCGGGAGGACAAGATGGGAGAATCACTTGACACCAGGAGTTCAATACTAGACTGAGCAACACAGTGAGACCCCATCTCTATAAAAAATAAAAAAATATTAGCCAGGCATGATGATGTGTGCCTGTAGTCCTAGCTACTTGGGAGGCTGAGATTGGGGGATCACTTGAGCCTAGGAGTCAAAGGATGCAATAAGCTATGATTGTGCACCCAGCCTAGGCAATAGAGCAAGACCCCATCTCAAAAACCAACAAAATAGGCTGGGGATGATGGCTCACACCTGCAATCCCAGCACTTTGAGAGGCCAAGGTGGGGGGGATCACTTGAGACCAGGAGTTCAAGACCAGCCTGAGCAACATACTGAGAGCCCATCTGTATAAATTTTTTTTTAGAAACATTAGCCAGGCCTGGTGGCACATGCCTGCCTGTAGTCCCAGCTACTACTTGGTAGGCTAAGGTGGGAGGATCACTTTAGCTTAAGAGTTCGAGGCTGCAGCAATCTATGATTGTGCCAGTGCACTCCAGCCTGGGTCACAGAGCAGGAGTGCACAAGCAATCAAACAAATTTCTTCAGGCTACTTGCTCGTTGCACTGCTAGAATATGCAGTATATTTTAAAACAATATATAGAATGCCTGGGGTTTCTATGTAAACTGAAGTTTGTTTTTAGTGTTGGAGAATGACACACAACTATTTCCTGGGGGTCATTCAAAACTTATGTGTGACATGGATACTTCTCTGTAGAACAGAACCCTCCCATCCATTGCCTGTGCAATCCCCCTCTAATTGTGACAACCAAGCATGCCCCCACCCCAATATAAATACCACTTAGGGAGCCCTGAAGCCCCGTTTGAGAACCACTGGTTCTCCTTTGACTCCTTCCCAGGTCCTTGAACACTATTTTAGAATGTTGCTATTTCTTTTGATCTTTCTTTCTCCTTTATTTGTACCATCTGAAACACAACCTGTTCACACTCTCAGCTTTTATTTCCTCCCATATAAATCCTTCATCTACACCTGTGTTTACCTTTGTATGGGTCAATATTTACAAACGAACTCCATTTTCATCTACACACACATAGCTACATTTTCTTAAGAAATATCATGACATTTTTATTAGCCAAGTTAACACGCATTTAGTTTGATGGATTTGGTGAGAATTAAAGGAAATTTAGCTGGTGAAAGTGTAAAGAAATGTGAAATGTTAGGCTCAGATATATTGTTTATTGAATGTGAAATGGTAAAGATAACAATGACATTTTAAAATAATCTTGTGTCATAATACATTATTTAATAATTCCAGATACCAGAAATTGCCAGAATATTCAATCATCATATGAGAAAAGTTAAACTTAAAGCATTAGCTTTTTGTGTTCCACGGACATAAAGCACTGAGCTATTCATATGAATGAACTTCTCATTCATCTAAGAAACAGGTGACTATTGCATTACTTGCTTGAGGTGATAGTATTGCCAGGATGGAAATTCTGTAATAAAATTCTGATTGTATCAGTCCTGTATTGCATAGCTCCTTCTTAACCTGGGGTTTCAAATGCTATTAGAAAGCAACGGCCATTTATTATTGCTGGGCCCATGTATAACATTTCAGGGTAGAAAGGACCCATCTGTGTCCCTCCTCATGTGGTGTTGACAAGACTTCTCAACTTCTCCCAACCTATGAATAAGTCCTAATAGAAGGCTTGGAATGAAGACAAATCCCTCAAGAATTTAAACTTTATTAGATATACTAATCTCCATGATGACAGATGCCACCCATTCTCTCAGAGCCTGAATTTTAGCTATACCATGAGCTTCATGGAGAGCAATTTAATCTCAGCTTCGTTTCATTTCAATCATTATCATTTTAGCACTATCTATCCCTGTGCATACTGCACAAAGGCTCTGGAAACACAAAAATGGATGTGAAATGATCATGCACATTGCTATTCATGAGGAGTCATCAAAGTATTTTCACTCATCAGGCAGAAAAAAAGGAGAGATCTTTCAAAGGTAAGCTGAGGGTACTTCTGCTGAGTTGCATAAGAAAGAAGAGAAGAAATCACTTCTTTGTATTCATGATCATGGCCACATTTGATTGGTACCTTCCCCTAGGCTTGTCATAATACTTCTGAAAAACACAAGGCACTGACAATGACTGTAAAATAAAATAATTCTATGAGCCACAGAAGAGGCAGGTTGATCAACAGAATAAAGGAACAAAAGGAGCAAAGAAGAGCTTTCTCCTGTATTCCTGGAAAATCATGTTTTATGGTCCAATGAAAAGCTGGATTAATTACTCACATCAGCTGAAAGATTCAGAACCTTGTTCCAGCATGTGGCTTTTCACACAGCATCTGTATCCTACCAATGTTGTCTTTAGCTCGGGGCAGTGGTTATGTGATTGGAAACAAGAAGGAGCTTGAACCAAGGTCAACATCCAATTGATGCTAATGAGGAACATTAGGTTCTCAAACATCATGTGACCTAACCATCCCAGTCATATTACTTTTCCTACAATGAACAGAACGTGACTTCAGGTCACCTCTTCTCTCTCCTGCAGCTCTCCCTTAAACACAGCCATGCATTTGTGATCCTGGTCAAAGGAAAAAGAACTAACAAAATGGCAATTGACCAGGAAAAGGGTTAAAAAATAATCCTGGACACAGGTGAGAAGCTAATTACATCCAGCCAAGTGAGGGCTGTAAACAAGGTCAAAAGTATAAGAAGGCCCTGAAACCAAGACATCCAGCTGGATCAGAAGAGAACAGAGATGAACGCAGGTTTAGAGACATCCAGAGAAGAGCAGGGAAATTAAAAGGAAAACAGCAAAATGGGGGGAAACAGATTGTTCTTTCAAAGGATGGAGGGAAGGGCAGCACAACCAATCTTGCTTTGGAAACAAAAGTTTACTAATTATATTTATGTCTCTCCAGGTCATAAGATGGAAGCTTCTCAAAGTGGAAGTTTTGTTAATTTTCTGAGTAAAGCTAATAAAATATATAGGTATTAAGACCCATACTTGTATATAACCTGGGTTTCCTTGTCAGACTCCACAAATTGATGCCGAGATGCTGTGGGTAGAAGGTGATTTTTTTGTGTGTGTGTGTCAACTGCATGAGCAATAAAGATTATTAACAAAATAAAACTTTGTATTTTTCCCCACATCTCTACAATATGTCTCTAGATGGAATATGTCTTTTTCTCCTGGCCTTTGCTGTACTGAGTTTTGTCACTCCATATGTGTTGATTTACGTAGCAGCAGAAACAAGAAATCCAACCCCAAATGGAAAACCCTCCCAGTCTTTGTCACTCAGAATTCATCACGCTGTTTTCCTTGTCCTTCAGGGACTACCAACACTTATATCTTGCTCATGGGTTTCAATTCACTACCCCTTACCTCCTGGCTTTTATGCTCAGCTTGCCATATATTGATAGATAGCAATTGCTAAATTTTCTTTTCTCTAGACATGCCATAGAATCTATTAAGTTGATTTTTTTCTTGTCTGTAAGACAAATTCTCCTTTATTCATAAATCCGGTTTAGCAGAAACTTAGATTCATGCCTAACCATGACCTACATCACACTCTTAGCTTCTGACTTTTCATGATAGCTTCTGACAGTAAGGTCGGCCAGAGGAAAAAAAAATGCAGAAAACAGAAACCTAGAACAAAGGGAAATTCCATATTCCCTTGAAGCTCCTTCTGCTGCTAATTTCCTTTAGTCTCTGTCTGTGGTTGTCACCCAATTTTCACCTTCAAGTTTTTTGTTTTCTTTTTATTCTTTTTTTTTTTTTTTTAAATTCTTAACCCTCTGCCAGGACCTGTCTCCTTCCTGTGTCAAACAGATTGGCTTATTCTAACTCCTTCAGATATTTATTTGATTCCTGAACCATTTTAACACTCACATAACACCACAGATTTGTTCTCAGAGGAAATAAAAGAACCATCAGGTACCTCCCAAACATTTTTCCCCTTGATTAAGCAAACAATTGAATAATAGCAACCTTAGAAGCCAAGTAAATGTTTCCAAAATAAATGTTTGCTTTGCCAGAAAATATTTCTAAAAGCATTTCAATAGCAGTAATAAAACAAATACCTGCAAAATGGACAAAAAAACACATCAAATATGTTTTTTTGCAATCCTTTCTAAGCACCTGGTGTTGCTTATGCTGAATTTTTGACCTAACCAAGAACCCAGTAGATATTGTGTGAAATTGTTTCCCAATTCTCCCTACCACCTACAGAAAATTTAGTAAAAATATTTTGTTTGCCAGAAGGAGGATATTTGTAGTTAATATAAACCCATATCAAATTATTTGCAGTTACTTACAATTCAATATGCACAGTGGCAATCTAATAGAAAAGGATTGAAAAAAATATATGAACTTGGCACATTAAAATATAGCTGTAGCAGGTCTTGATTTGACTGTAAACTGGCTAGAGTAAAAAAATATATATATTCCCACAAAAAAATCCTTATCAGGAATGAGTGCTTTTTTGACCAGTTATAACAACTGCAATCTTGATGACTGCTGTTCCAGGATTCATTCTTTCATTTGACAAGAAATCCTATCAAAATCTATTCATAGATAAGTCAACTTGCTTAACTGACATGAAAAAGGACTACATTTTGTCCAAACTATGATTGAATTTAACAATAACACTTAGTCCTATATCATCTATTTTAATATATATTATGCTGTAAAAACACACCTTCAGAAATATTTAAAATGTAACCCTATCTGGTCTTTTCTTTGAAATTTATAACAACTCAAACTTCTAATAATGTAAATGTTGACAATTCTACTCCACTAGAAATCTGTTATAATCTATAATTACTTCTATAGTTACTAAATTGGAAGTCTTTAAAATTACATAAATATTCTAAAATTTGCTTCAGTTGTTCTCAACCAGTGGCAATTTTACACACACACACCCCACCCACATAACCCAGAAGGGGACATTTGACAATGTTTGGAGATATTTTTGTTTGTCAGGATTGAGGGTGGGGGTGAGACTGGCATTTAGTGGGTAGATGCCAGAGATTCTGCTAAACATCCTGTGATGCAGAGGACAGCCCTCTCGCAACAAAAACAATCCAACACACATTTCAGTAGCGCTGAGGTTGAAAACACACAATTTACTCTGAGCATGTATCTTCTGTTGATAAAACAAGTTTAAAACATCAGAAAATACCTTGTGAAACATATTCTTTAAAATTAAATATTACTTATTCTGAAATATTCTACATAAATATGAATAAAGGAATAACTAGAAAACTAGTAAACTTTGAACACAGTAGGATTCATGAATGTGAAGGTATACTATTTATATATTGAATTAGAGTTTTTGAGAAAGTAATGTTGTTTATATCTTTTTACAGAATGTGGCTTTCTATTTTCCAAAAGACACAATCAAGAAGTTCTTACAAAGGCATTTCAGTTTGATGAGTTTTCAGGAAAGAAAAGATTCAAGAGGTAAGCAAAATTTAATCAGAAACATTTGAGTTTTATTCAATTTCCTATAAAATGCCGTATGGATTTCAAAATTAATAGTGGAATCTACATGACAGACGAATAAGTGGTCATTCTACATTCTAGACATTAGGAGTACTTGTCATATGTTAAAAGAGGAACTGATGTTTCTCATGTCTAAAATTTTGACAGAATTATTTTATTATAGAATCTAGTCTTAGCTGCTAATTGAGCTAGCATCAAGTAAAGATTTCATATGGTTTAAGAGTGTTAAAATTGGGGAACATTTTAATCAAATCCTCATCAATAATAGGACAAATTGAAAATCATTTGCTTAGAATGTGGCAGAATGTGAAGAAAAGAACAGGGCCTCACTTTTGCACTAATTCTGGAAAATATGTGCAGTCCAGATACAATCAGGAGGAAATAGCAGACAAACTCAAATGGAGGGACATTCTGTGAAATAACTGGCTGCTACATTTTAATTGTGCTACTGAGAGGTGACAGCGTGCTGGCAGCCCTCGCAGCCCTCGCTCACTCTCGGTGCCTCCTCGGCCTCGGTGCCCATTCTCTGGTCTGGCCAAGGCCAGAGCCGCCTCCCTTGGCTTGTGAGGAGGTGTGGAGGGAGAGGCACAGGTGGGAACTGGGGCTGCGAGTGGCGCTTGCGGGCCAGCTAGAGTTCTGGGTGGGCGTGGGCTTGGCGGGCCCCGCTCTCGGAGCGGCCGGCCCTGCCAGCCCCAGGCAGCGAGGGGCTTAGCACCTGGGACAGCAGCTGCGGAGGATGTGCAGGGTCCCCCAGCAGTGCTGGCCCACCGGCGCTCGATTTCTCACCAGGCCTTAGCTGCCTCCCCACAGGTCAGGGCTCAGGACCTGCAGCCCGCCATGACTGAGTCTCCCCGACGAGCACTGCCCCCTGCTCCACGGTGCCCAGTCCCATCAACCGCCCAAGGGCTAAGGAGTGTGGGCGCACGGCATGGGACTGGCAGGCAGCCCCATGTGCGGCCCCAGTGTGGGATCCACTAGGTGAAGCCAGCTGGGCTCCTGAGTCTGGTGGGGACTTGGAGAATCTTTATGTCAGCACCCTGTATCTAGCTCAAGGTTTGTAAACACACCAATCAGCACCCTGTGTCTAGCTCAGGGTTTGTAAATACACCAATCGACACTCTGTATCTAGTTAATCTGGTGGGGACTTGGAGAACCTTTATGTCTAGCTAAGGGATTGTAAATACACCAATCAGCACTCTGTATCTAGCTTAAGGTTTGTAAACACACCAATCAGCACCCTGTGTCTAGCTCAGGGTTTGTGAATGCACCAATTGGCACTCTGTAGCTAGTTAATCTAGTGGGGACGTGGAGAACTTTTTTGTCTAGCTCAGGGATTGTAAATGCATCAGTCAGCACCCTGTCAAAATGGACCAATCAGCTCTCTGTAAAACAGACCAATTGGCGCTCTGTAAAATGGACCAACCAGCAGGATGTGGGTGGGGCCAGATAAGAGAATAAAAGCAGGCTGCCTGACCCAGCAGCGGCAACCCGCTCAGGTCCCCTACCGCACTGTGGAAGCTTTGTTCTTTCGCTCTTTGCAATAAATCTTGCTGCTGCTCACTTTTTGGGTCCACACTGCCTTTATGAGCTATAACACTCACCATGAAGGTCTGCAGTTTCTCTCTTGAGGCCAGCAAGACCACGAACCCACCGGGAGGAATGAACAACTTCGGACAGGAGGAATGAACAACTCCAGATGCACCGCCTTAAGAGCTATAACACTCACTGTGAAGGTCTGCAGCTTCACTTCTGAGCTAGCGAGACCACGAACCCATCAGAAGGAAGAAACTCCGAACACATCCGAACATCAGAAGGAACAAACTCCGGCCACGCTGCCCTTAAGAACTGTGAGACTCACTGCGAGGGTCCACGGCTTCATTCTTGAAGTCAGTGAGACCAAGAACCCACCAATTCCGGACACACTACGACCAGGAAAGTCAAAGAAAGATGAGAAATCAGACTGAAGGAGACTAAGAGACGTGAAAACTCATGGCAATGCATAATTCTAACTGGCTCCTCCTGCCTCAAAGCATTTAAAGGCAGTCTGACCATTAGAAGGTAGAAATACATCAGTGCCCATTTCCTGATTTTTAGGTCTTGACTGTGTCTGTGTATAATAATCCTCTTCTAGGGAAATGCATGCTAAAATATTCAGGATATGAAGCATCAGAGTGGAAACTTACCCTCAGATGTTTTAGGAAAAAAGAAAGCTCTTTGTATTCTATACTCAAATTTTTTGTAAGTTGGTGACTGCTTCAAAATAATGTATGAATAGTATGACATTTCAAAATTACATATGTATACCTATAAATTATTGTTTCAAAGTTATGCATATATATTTTTAAGGGGGTACCAAGTCAACCCCAATAAAACCGCATGACTCAAGAAAAAATGATGTTCAATTTACCCACACTATAGAGTTTAGAAAGTAATAGAAAATATTTTCATTTAAAATTATTACAATAAAAATATCTTACCACTGAATAAGGGAGGTACTTCATAACAGCTAATGATTGAAAACAACCCAAATGCCCATTAACAAAATGTCATGTAACTACATAATCATCACTTTTCAGCCACAAAAGAATGAACTACTGATAGATGCTATAACATGGATGGACCTAAAACCATTTTCCTGACTAATAGAAGCAAGGCATAAAAATGCCACATAGTATATTATTACATTCATATGAAATATCTTGAATAGAGAAACCAATAGAAACAAAGTAAATTAGTGGTTGCCAGGGGCTGGGAGAAGGCTAGGATCACTGAGGATGATGGCTAAAAGAGATGAGATTTCTTTCTGACATGATAAAAATATTCTACAGTTGACCGTGGTAATATTCACAATGTCTGTGAATATACCTGATATGGTTAGGCTTTGTGTCCCCACCCAAATCTCATCTTGAATTATAAATCCCAGGTGTTGAGGGGGGAACATAGTGGGAGGTGATTGGATCACGGTGATGGTTTCCCCCATGCTGGTCTCATGATAGTGAGTTATCACAAGATCTGATGGTTTTATAAGTGTTTGGCAAGTTCCTCCTTCACTCACTCTTTTCTCTCCTGCTGCCATGTGAAGAAGGTACTCAGTTCCCCTTCATCTTCTGCCATAATTGTAAGTTTCCTAAGGGCTTCCCAGTCATGCAGAACTGTGAGTCAATTAAACCTCTTTCCTTTATAAATTACCCAGTCTTGGATATTTCTTTATAGCAGTGTGAAAACAGACTAACACAATACCAAAAACTACAGAATTGTGCAATTTAAATGAGTGAATTAAGTGGCATACACACTCTATCACAATAAAACCATTTGAAGAAAAGAGAGATGGGTACTCCTTTTCTTCCCCCTTATTCCTTCAATTTTTGTAAACTACATAATGTACACTGTTAATCATTTGTTCATTTACTGAGCAAATATCTTACCACTGAATGTCACTGAACTTAAATACAAGTAGGAACAGACATGGTAAGTGGCTATTAAATAACTCTTCCTATGTCATTATCCAGGTGTGGCTTGTTTGTGGTTTTTTTTTTTTTTTTTGGAGATGGAGTCTTGCTCTGTCACCCAGGCTGGGAGTGCAATGGTACAATCTCGGCTCACTGCAACCTCTGCCTCCCAGGTTCAAGAGATTATCCTGCCTCAGCTTCCTGAGTAGCTGGGTTTACAGGTGTCTGCCACCATGCCTGGCTAATTTTTGTATCATTATCCATGTTTTTAAAAGTTATGCATCTCAAGGTTCATTAAATATGAGTGAATAAATGGAAAAGGAATTATGTACATGGATTACATAACTCTGACATTTACATTTGTATTTAGATCTTTATTGAAGAGGGGAAATGTAGTGTACTCTGTTAAATAACTTGTGCCTTTATATTGCAGTTTTATAGCACTTACACATTCCCGATGTATGAAATATTTGGAAATCTACTAAATACTGCTTTGTTCTTGGTTTATGCCACATGTACAAAACTTTCAGTTGTAGTGATCATGGTATCATATTGTCACATTCTCCCAAAAAAATGTTTACTGTGCCATTCTATCTTTGTCTCTTTTCCCCCATTTTCCAGATATATTGGTAAGGAAGCCAGAAGTATGTTGCTTCAGAATATGTATTTTCATTTTTTTCTTCTCTTATGTTAGGAATGTAGACACCAGAAAAAATTCTTAGCTTCCTCAAAGGTTACTGTGACTACATTAGCACTGTTTTTCTCTTAGAGTCTAAGACTTAGGCTAGTGGTTATCTAAATTTAGTTCCCAGGATCAGCAGTAAAAGCATCACCCCAAAGCTTGGATAAAATGCAAATTACAGAACTCCACCCCAGATCAACGGAATCAGAAACTCTGAGTCTGGGCCCCAGCAATCTGTTTCACAAGCCTTTCAAAGGTCATCTAATGGTTTGAGAAACAATGTCTTGGATCACTAGTTTTCAAAGTCATTTTGTGGTAGAACTCACCTGAGAACCTGTTTAAAAATTCAGGCTCATCCTGATTCAATAGGTTGTGCCTGAGCATTAGAAATTTGTGCTTTTAGAAGAGCTCTGGTTGCTTCTAACTTAGGTAACTGGGGCAGGATGAGTGACTGCATGGTCAGTCTCTCTGCTGCATCAGCATTTACAAGAAATCCAACAATGACACAGCATGGGTGAAGGGATAGCTTTCATTGGAGACTGGGGTACATTCAAAAGCCAAGGTCAATGAGAGAAGAGAAACCACTGTTTCTGTCCATCCTCATCCTTCAGAGAGGTGTGCAGAGGACAGCATGGCTGGACACACCATGAGGGTCTAGGCTGGACACCCGGCCACCTGATTGCTCTCCTTTGTGTATAGGACAAGCATGTGGGCAACCTTATCAGTGAAATGACACACAAACTTCTTGGCTGTCTGGTCACCTGGAACTGGTCAGCAGCCATTTATAGCTGCTGGGCACCTAGAGACTCTGGAACCCAAGGGGTTGTTACAGGCCCTCCTGTCATGGGCAGCTGAGTTTGCATGCAGCTCCCTGCTAGAGGGTAGCGGAAGAAGTCCCCTGGTTCCAGGTGGCCCAGGGTCAATGCAATCTAGAGAGGGCAGTCAGAGTCATGTTAAAAACTTAGCTCACTGCACCTCAGCCATATGCAGACCATGCTTTCAGAAGTGTCTTCACAGACTATTACATAATCTCTAATCTTTTGGATTTCTTTGATAGGCTTTTTTTTTTCCATCTGCTGTCCTGGAAAAAAAAAATTATGGAAGGTCCTATTTTAGTCAGTAGGTCTGCTATAAGAAAATACTGTAGCCTGGGTGGCTTGTAAACAAAAGACATTTATTGCTCACAGTTCTGGAGGCTGGAAGTCCAAGATCGAGACTTGGCAGATTCAGTGTTTGGTGAGTACCTACTTCCTGGTTCATTGACAGCACCTTCTTGCTGTGTCCTCACATGGTGGAAGGGGCAAGGGAACTCTCTGGGATCTCTTATATGAGGGCACTAATCCCATTCATGAGGGCCCCACCCTTATACCTAATCAACCCTCAAAGGCCTCACCTCTTGAAACCATCATACTGGGAATAAGGATTTCAACACAGAAATTTTAGAAGACATAAACATTCAGACTATAACAGTGCTTTATTTCTGAGACTCTATTTCCTTTCTAATCCTTAACCCATGCCCCACTTCCCACTTCATGCTACATGGTTCTAGAAGTTCACATTATTAGAGTCTGAAATGAAGCACTCACATATGGCTATTAGTTTGATTTTTTTTTTCCATTTCTGGGTCAATGAAGGCCTTTTTGTGGGTCCATAAAGATATAGTCAAGAAGGTATATGAGGTACACTTCCTTCTTGCATGTTATAAATGAGGGTGGGTTGATCCCTTCCAAAGCCTCTACATGGAAATGATTTAGAAAATGACAGGCGTGGCTGTTGAGTATTTGCCTTTATAAGCCAGAGGGCACTGAATGCAAATTGAAAAAGCATAAATTGATTAAAGTAGAGCTAGTATTTCTAGAGGAATTTTAAAGGTGTTTCCCTACGAGGTCTTCATGCAGTGCAAATAGGTGCTCCAATGTTTGCTCCCAACCAATATTAATTCACAACCAAACAGGAAGCAGTGCAAGCACAAACTTTTGTTGCTTGGCAGGATTTGTCTCCATCTCAACAGTAAGTGGAACCTGGAGTCTTATTTCAAGTTGTTGTATACCTTATAGAATCTGTTGCATATCTAGAAAATATTGATACAAGTGTCTGAATATTCATTTGGCAAGCTATTGAGTTTTATTATAGAGTGTGGGCTTCATTATCCTCAACATTTTGTTGTATTTGTAAAGCTAGATTTTATAGAATGCTCTTTAAATTATTATAGAGAGAGGTACCTGAAAAGATGAACCTTCTCAATAATGGGGGGCAAGATTCTAATGCTCAGAAGAGTCAAACCAAGTCACAAGTACCCTTAAAAGACTGAGTTTTAAATGAGGTTCAGGAGGCATGCTATACATTAAATTCATCGAGTCTGTATCTTGAAATAAATTGCAGAAGAGGATTGGGAGGGTAAGTTAAACACTTTAAAAGTGGCCTCGACACATGAAGTATTTTTGTGATGTATGTTGAGTGAGGAAAGAACAAGCTACCCAGCACAAAGGCTTGGGTGCTCAGAATGAAGGCTGGAGTCAGGAAAGAAGAAGCCACCCAGCACAAAGGCTTGGGTGCTCAGAATGAAGGCTGGAGGGCATAGAGGAAGCCTTGTGTTGACACAGTTGTAAAAAGGCAACAGAGCACTAGCACCAGGCCATTAGATGCCTGCTTCTCAGGCTGCTTTTTGTTGAAAGTGCACATTACACACCCTTGCATGGATCCAGTGAATTAAGACATTGAGAAACAATTGAAAAGAGTCAATAAAATGAAGGCTTTCCCTGAGTTTATGGAATCTCTCAACTCTTAAGAACTCATTCTCCCTACTTTAATTGAACAGGAAAAGTCATTTTTGAATACGAATGTCAACAGAGGAGACAGAAAGTAACAAGCATTATTTTTCTGTTTGAAGTGAATAGTCTATTTGGCAACAATATTTCCACCTTGGTTCTTCCAAGAGGACAGGGGCCAAGGTATCAGGCATAGAGTTAAGCTCCTAAATCCTGTGAGGTGCTACAAAGTGAACCATTTGCCAAGGAATTTCCTCTTATCTAACTCAAGAAAAGCCCCAGTGCCTGTCCAAAGAGAAGGACTGGGGTGCTTCTGACACACCCACAGGGTGACCAAGTATGTGTGGTCAGGTATCACTCAAGGGTCTTTACCTAGAAAGGAAGAATTTAGCTGCATTCAGGATGATTCAGGATTTTTTGGTTTGGTGAAAATTAATAATAATGATAAATATATAAACTCCAGAAATCTAAGATATTATTTCACTAACTGAATACCTTTAAAAAATACTAAAAATAACAATCTAATGTTCAATAGTAAAAGTTAAATATCCATATTTGAATAAAGGACAAGAACAGTTGTTAATAGATATTACCACAAACAAAAAAGTTCATTTTTATACTATAGAAAATGTATGTTTAAACATTAGGTCAAGAAGGCTAGTATTGAATTTTTAACAGGGCAGTTCATAGATTGGTCTTTTTTATTGTCGGACAGTGCCACCTGCAGGAACAACTCAGGTTCTTCACTTCAGAGTGAAGGTTTTCAGCAATCTAATTTTCTTGTGTTCAGTTTGGTTATTTTTTAAGGTAATAGGCAGGTGAGAAGTCTGTTAGGCTATTTCATGTTGAAATCATATTACATTTGCAACACTTATTCAGGTGACACGTAATGTGCAAAAATAAATCTTTAGTTTCTTCTTAAGAAAATACTAAACCACATTATTAAAAATTCCTCCAAGGAAACTGTGACATTAGTGCAAAACTTACAATTATATGTATATACAAAACTTACAATGATATGTATATATAACACTTATATGTATATATAATCCATTTTACCTGGTTTTGGGTCTCATAAGAATAATAAATAATTTCTATTTCAGGAACTCTACAATGAATATGTAGACCGATTTATTGATTCATTTGTTTCTATTTTATTGTTAAATTGATTTAATCTTATCACAAATGAACATACCAT
This sequence comes from Homo sapiens, assembly GCF_000001405.40. Classification (NCBI taxonomy): domain Eukaryota; kingdom Metazoa; phylum Chordata; class Mammalia; order Primates; family Hominidae; genus Homo; species Homo sapiens. The sequence continues at coordinate 7,996,135 of NC_000023.11, read as the reverse complement.
TTTTACCCTCTTAACCATCTTTAAGTATACAGTTCAGGCCAGATGTGGTGGCTCACGCCTGTAATCCCAGCCTTTGGGAGGTGGAGGCGGGCAGATCACAAGGTCAGGAAATTGAGACCATCCTGGCCAACACTGTGAAACCCCGCCTCTACCAAAAATACAAAAAATTAGCGAGACTCTGTCTCAAAAAAAAAAAGTATACAGTTCAGTATTTAGCATATTCATATTGTTGTAAATCCAATTTCTACAACTTTTTCATCTTGCAAAAATGAAACTGTGTACCCGTTAAACAATTCCAAATTTCCCCTGCCCCACACCCTAGTAGCCCCCTAGGGTGCCACTTTCTGTTTCTAGGAGTTTGCCCACTCGAGATACCACATATAAATAAAATTATACAGTGTATGCCTTTTAAAAAATTGACAATATAAACTTTGAAAATCACTCAAGGTATTTATTCTTGCAGATACTGAAATGGATCCTGGAGGAAGGTATTTATTATGGATCAACACATGTGAAAAGGAGGAGATGGAAATAGGATGAGGTACAGGGAAAAGATGAGCTGCAATGCAGCCTTGAACCACAGGAGCTAGGGAGCAAATGTCTGTTAGTGTTGTCCTATGCTGGATTCAAATGACTGGGCTTTACATCCCTACATGATGCCTTCTTTGGAAGTGGGTCACCCAGGGAAACACGTGTCTCTCTGCAGCCAAAGGAACCCGAAAGGATCTGCCGCCTAACCATATACCTGCGGCTGGCCAGCAAGACCATCTTTTTTTGTGACGGAGTCTTGCTCTGTCACCCAGGCTGGAGTGCAGTGGTGCGATCTCGGCTAACTGCAACCTCTGCCTCCCAGGTTCAAGCGATTCTCCTGCCTCAGCCTCCTATGTAGCTGGGATTACAGGCATGCACCACCACGCCTGGTTAATTTTTGTATTTTTAGAAGAGACGGGGTTTCACCATGTTGGTCAGGCTAGTCTCAAACTCCTAACCTCGTGATCCACCTGCCTGGGCCTCCCAAAGTGCTGGGATTACAGGCGTAAGCCACAGCGTCCGGCCTAGACCATCCTTGAAGGATGATCTGGGTGGCATGTCATGAGTCCGCCACACTCCATCCGAGGCACCCATCTCTGTTTGGGGAACACTTCTCTTCAGGATCCCAGCAGGCTTCTCCTTCTAGGGGAAAGCTCAGTACAAACAGGTTAAGAGAAAAACCTGAAGCCCCAGTGCAACATCTCATCTCAGGATCACAACAGACATTCATCTCCTGTCTCCTCTCAAAATGCTTCTAGATCCCATACCCTTGGCTACCATTTCTGCTGGTCGTGACTTGAAGCAACAGAAGTCCTCACTCCTGGGGGTCACTGAGCTCAGGCACTATGTTCTTTGAAATCCAGGGTCGTTGTCCCTGTTCATTTTGGTCACAGTAAATCCTGAGGTGACACCCTTCTTCCTCCCTGCTCCATTGTGTAACAGCATCATGATCTCTTCTAATAATGAAGGTCAAGATGGCAACACTTCTACTTGCGTATTGGAAACAATGAGCCTGAAGTGCCCAAGCAGCCTCTGTTGCTTATAAAATTAACAGGGTTCTTTCCTATCCCCTGGCAAATATATGCTGCCTTTGGGGGACTAGTAGTACCTCTAATTCTGCAGAACTAAGAGTTGCAAGGACAGGAAGCACAAGGTCCCTCAGTGGGTCACTGGGAACAATGGTGAGTGGGGACCTTTCTACTTTTATCTCTTCGCTTCATGACCCATGTAATCTTCTCACTGGAGACGTGGTGCCATATTCAATCTTTGAATGTATAGACCACACACTGAAGGAGAGCATCCTACCTTCACAGGCAGCCTGACAACTGTCTAGTCAGTCATTCATTTATCTTGTCCTTTGACACTTGTGTATTGTCCAGTCTTTATCTGATACGTAGCCAGTGTTTAGCTTCTTATTCCTGAGCTCGCCTGCTCTCAGATTCCTGCCCTGATATTGTTTTCCATTTTTGCTCACAGAGTCAGGGTCACTGTGTGAAGTTGTGCAATTGTGCACTGCCCAATACCAGGGGTGTGCTTTGTGCAGGATTCCTCTGTATGAACAGTTCCTCTAGGAGTGACGCCATTCTTACTGGTTGCAGTATGATGACGCCATCCCCAGTGAACAATATTTCTAAGTCAATAACAGTAGTTCAGAGATGCCTTTTCATATTGAGAAGCTGGTGTTTGGAGAGAGACAAATGAATCTTATTAGTGATTTTTATCAGGACAAATCATTATCTAATATTTGGCTACTGGAAATGCAACACAACTTATATATTATATTTGCATATAACTAAAGAAACTCTATCACCTTTCATTATCACTACCCCTATTGCCATCAATAAAGAAATCAATATGCCACTAGTGTAAAACAGAGATTTTTTCTGAGGGTACATTCTGTGGGAGTGATAAGCATGTATTCTAACAGAAAAGATGGAAAGCTGCCTCTTTTAAGTTTTATAGTTTTCATTTCCTATGCTTTTTATCTCTGATGGTCTGTAAACGTCATAAAACCTTTTAAGAAATTTGAAATATCAAGGTGTGTTCCCTGAGAAAGATGTAATTATGGATGTGCACATATAGTTTCCGAGTGTTTACAGCCTCCCTAATGTCTATCCATAGGTTCTGGGAGATTCCATGGGTCCTGGAATTTGGTAGCCAGGGTGATATATAACAGACACCGAATTTGGAGTCAGAAGGCTTGGTGATAATCTTGTTCTACAATTTACTAACTGCATGACCTTCTGCAAGGCAATTCTGTGTACCATTGCCAGTTGTAGTGTGACTATAATTATTTTTATAATGATATCTTACACAGTGTTTTTGAGCATCAGATGGGAAGACAAACTGGAAAACCTCTGGCCAAAGCTGGATACATTTTTTTTTAAGTGGGATTAATAAACATGTTGTTCACCTGGTACTTATCAGTATGGGTTTCTACAAATGGTTGCCTTTCTGTAATCCCTTCTATGCTTATTGGTCAGCCCAATCAATCTTCAAAACAGTTACACCTTTCACAGAAAATGAGTAAAGTGTTTTCCATTAGGATATTTCCCCATTACATCTGGATAATAAAATCTCAATAATATCCACATGATATTTAGGCAGCTGTGTGCTTAAACACACAACCAGTTTGATTATGTCTTGGTGAGTAGTTTCAGGGGTTGTGCATGTCCAAAGGCATGCAGTGTGAGCTGTAAGCATGCCAAAGTAGCAAGAGAAAACCCAAAAAGATCTCCACAATGCCGATATTTGAAATGATGAGGTTTCCTCTTGTGTTCATTGCTTAGTTGTGCTAATTCAAGGAACCAATTAATAATCTTCAAACATCTACTAGATTCAAAGTATCATAACAGATATGCCATGAGGATGCACCAAAGTATGAGACACACACACCTGACTCTCAAATATTTTACAATGAGCTTCCTTCTGGACTTGCCCCATGCAAATGAAATCTCAACTCAAAAGACATTGGATGAGGGTGATTTGTGCTAAGGGAAGAGAGAAGCAGTCAGAGCCCGCACACCCTGGCATGTGCAGGGAAAGCAACAAGTAGTGGTTGGGACAGAGGACAGAGCTGGAACCAGGAAGGCTAGCTGGGAGAGCTCAGATCATTTCCCATACGGCTAATGGAATAAGGGAGGGAGAAATAATGGCAGGAAGGTGGGCTCTAGGGAGGGCTCTCCAGGCAATTGTCTATTTGCTGCTTAATAATTACCGATGGAGCCCTAAATGTATGGCAAAAAAAAAAAGTTACGTTTTTTACGGTAAGGAAGGCTGTATCATTCTGCAGAGGATTGAGGTGAATCAGTCCAGCGTGCCTTCAATCATTCTATCACTAATTTACTACTACTTCTACTACTACTACACACACGCACACACACACACACACACACAGAGAGAGAGAGAGAGAGAGAGAGAGAGAGAATGCATATATCACAATATATTGACTACAATATAACTCTGAATCCTTTCTGGACCTTCTTCCTCCAATCTCTACTGTAATAAGATGCCTTTGCATGCCTACTCCATTGGACTGATGGAAAAAGGATTAATGATAGAGTCTTTGGATGAGTTTAGAAAGCACTGCAAAAACATATGCAGTGAAAGAGAGAGGGAGAGAGAAATATGTTTCATGTTAATGTCTCAGATCTGAGAATACTTTGGACACCAGACTCGGGAGTAAGCATTTCAATGGTGATTGAATCTTCAGTGGTGAACCCAATGCCCAAAGCTTGCTCTACTGGCATGAGTTTAATCTGTACTCTAGTCCCCAAGCTGCATTTGGTGTGATTTGAGTTATGATTTTAGAATCTAGGCTCAGCACCATGTCCTAAAGTTATTTTTCTGATGCACATATGAGATTTCTATCACAATTAGAAAAGTGACATGAATTGTGCAGAAGACTTCCCAGTTCCAGATGACTATTCCTATGGGTCACACATCACTGTCAGCCACATGCTTTTCATGAGAGTCACAAGGGAAGGTCAGGGAGAGCAGGCCATCCTTGCCCCAAAATTCTCTAAGGCACCAGAACTTTGACAGGGTGTAGTGAAGACAGTGTCCTATTACAGCAAATAAGAAGACAGGCCAGAGGTTTTAGAGGTGTTGATTTTTAAGCCTTAAGCAAAACTGGCTTAACCATAAGAAAAGAAGTTAAGAAGAATATGAAAAAAAAGATTTTATCTATTACATCTGTGCCACAATAAATGTCACAGATTTAATTAGCTCATTTCACTGTATTATATGAGTCTATTTTTTTACATCATCAATTGAGCATCCACATTCACTACATTGCAAAAGACATTTTCCAGAAGTCCCCAAATTTATCCACGTCTTAAGATGGTTTCAATGAATGGTCCATACATTGCAATCCCGAAAAATGGAGGCAAATGTGCTTCATTTCTTCTTGCTCATGAGCAGGTGGTTTTCACTAGCTCATATCTTTGATACCTCTAAAATGGTTTTTGAAAAGTACAAATGTGTCACTTACAGGGAAGACACCAGCAATAGCTTCAATATCCATAAAAAATGTGTCAGTAAAAGGGAGTGAAAAATGGAACACAAGTTTCCTTTTCCCTTGCTATAAACAATGAGCAAGCCCAGAATATTTTCTATAAAAACACACATTTTGTTTAAGAGCCAGTATCATGAACCCTGTGTTCGTTCCTATAAAATATTGCTTCCAATAACAGTTTGGGGGAGGAAAATATATTTAATAATTCTCAGTCAACTTAGTCCAGTGCACTAAAGCTTAAATAAAATGTAATTTAGAAAACAACATCCTAGACAAAACAAGATGACAATGGTGAGGTTTTAAAAAAATCTCTATAAATCTTTTCACAAAACTACACAAAGCAACTGAAAAGAAAATGGACACTGTGTTGGTTTCCCATTCCTGCTATACCAAATGACCACAAACTCAGTGGCTGAAAACGAATCAGATTAATTATCTTCTAGTTCTGAAGGTCAAAAGTCCAAAAACAATCTTCACGGGACTGAAATCAAAGTGTTGGTGGGGCTGCATTCCTTTCTGGAGGCTTTAGGGGAGGATTTTTGTTTGTTTCTTTAAAATCTTATAATATTGCCACAGCATATCTCAGTGTTTATTGTTTGGGATTAAGGTTGATGTTCATAGCTACTCACTGTGCCTTTTCACTGTGGAGATTCAAATCATCTTTTGATGCTCTCTTTATCTCTTGAAGACATGGTAACAGAATGGAGCAATATAAAAATTATTAAAATAATGTGCTAAAAGAAAATGATTAATAAATAGCTAATAGCAATAATAAAGCATCTACAAGTATCTAAGTAAGGATAAAATCCAAGCAGACTCTTCTGCGATGATTTGGTGAACCCTCAGGGGTCAAGCACGAGGAAGCCCTAGGGGTCTGATGTTTTACGGTGGAAGTTCAAGAGAGGACACCCTTGGGTTTGACCTCCATCTCATGCACACAGATGCAATTTGCATCTTAAGCATGTATACATCATTATTGTAGGGCATACTCAACATATTTTATCACTATGACTGACACAGAAGTTAAGGCAGGAGCTTCCCAATTATAAAAAAAAAAAAACCCAACCCACTAAGCTGAGCCAGAGAAAACTAATAAAAACAATTAGAGCAGTTTTGATGCAGGTCTTGCTGGAGAGTCATCCATCTCCAGGTGAGTCCATGAGCTCAACCAGATGTTCAGCTGCAATAAGACCTTCTATCTTATTCTTCAGCTGGCTAAGCCAGATGGTGGGGAGATGTTATCTCTTCATCCCTCTTTCTCACTCACTTGTCAAGTTTAAGTCTTTTTCACCTTGGTCCCCAAGTAACTGAGAGCTGCCAAGTGCCTAGGTGTTGACAACAATGCAATCACTCCCTCTCAAAAGAGAGAAAGGGATGGTTTGTCTGTGGCAAATAACTGGCAGCGTGGGTAGGGGGGAATGTCTTAATCTGTTTGTGATACTATCACAGAATAGCTGAGAGTGGTAATTTATAAACAACAGACAATTATTTCTCACAGTTCTGGAGGCTGGAAAGTCCAAGATTGAGGCACTGGCAGAGTCAGTATCTAGTAAGAACTGCTCTCTGCTTCCAAAATGACAACTTGTGACTGGGTCCTCAACATGGCAGAAGCCAAAAGGGACGAGTTAGTCCCCAGAGCCCTTTTATAAGGGCACTAATCGCCTGCTAATGGCCCCATCTCTTAATACATTCCCTTTGGGGACTACGTTCCAGCGTATGAGCTTTGGAAGACACATGTATGTGTAAGTCCTACACTGTCAGAATCTATCTTGGCTCATCATCTCCTTACTAGCCAAATCCATGGGACAACGGCAAACCAAGCTATCAGGGGCCGCCACAGTGCTGCTTAGGGGTGGTGCAGCCACTTGGCTTGGTTTCACCTTTGCTTCCACATCCTCCACTGTTAACCGACCCCAGTGCCTGTATATTGGGGTATGGATGTTCTGTTGTCAGGCCAACTTGGGAGGATATGATTGTATAGGACGTCCTCCCAGTGATGTAGCCACAAGTCCCTTTTGATGTTCCTAAATGGTTTGTAAACTTTTTCCACATTTCTGTACGTCAAGGTTCTCCTGTAACCTAATAAGTCCATTGCCCCGTGCATGTGGCAAGTCACTGCCCCGAGACACCGGGTTGCAGCAGAGAAAGAGGTTTAATCATGGGGCTGCCAAATGAGGAGATGAGAGGAAACCTTCAATCCATCTCTCCAAGGAGTTTGGGGCTAGGGGCTTTAAGGGTTTTGGAGTGGGCCGAAGCGTGGAGATCACTGATTGGTAGAAGAGTGCAGGGTGAAGTCATGGGACAGGGCAATGAAGAAGCTGTGTTCTCACGCTGATTGGGTTCCTCTGTGGGGGGTCTTCAAACTGGTTGGCCTCAGCTGTTTCACTGGAATTCAGGATCTGCTGAAGCAATTCTTAAACAGAAGCCTCTGATTCTAACATCAGAGATCCTTTCGATAGGAACAACAGAGATGCAAATGGTCAGGATCTAGTGCTATGGGGCTCGTGGTTACAAGGAAGTGGGTGCAAGTGCAGCCTGAGGAATGCTGAATGATGACTCTATTTCTGTCCGGAATTCTTGGGAACCCTGTGAGGATGGCTTCCTGCCCTGAGTAGCCCCAGAACTCTTGTGGAGCATCCACTAGGAATGTATGAGGTAAAGGGGTTGATTTTATTAGATCCTCATATTGCTCCAGGTTTATGAGTCACTACTTGTCCTCAAATGCAGTCAATACAAAGGTATTTCCTTAAGAAAAAACAGTGGGCTCATCAAGTCAACACCACACTGTATTTCATCAAAGAGAGCCTTCCTTACACATTGACAGCATGTGAACTTCCCCCTGACTCAAAATACCTATAAAGTGCCCTGAGCAGACCCGGGAGCAGGATCACAGTTAAGTAAAGTGTTCAAGTCTCACTGTAGAGTATTTTCCTTTGGTCCCTAAGCCCTCTCCTAGCCATAGCTTTAAAATAAATAAATAAAAGCCCTAGCTTTCTCAGGCAACTGTCAACCCGTCATTGTTTTCAGCTGTGGCTCTTGCCACAATTGAACCCAAATTCATTTTTAATGATAACATTTCTACACTTTTGCAAAGTAGTTAACCCAGATGTGACACACTGAGAATAAAAAGCAGATGTCTTCATCAGATCCTGAATGTGCTACTCTCATAAAACATATCTATTCATAAATGTCTTAGGCTAGACGATGATTTATTGTAGCTGAGCTTTTCATGCCCCGCCAAAAGAAAGGCTAGAAGCACAAGTGTGGGAGTTTACCAGCTGTCCTGATGAAACAAGAGAGAACCCACTCATGTCTTCATCACAATTGTGCCCAAGGACAGTTTTTCTAATCATGCTATGTCAAGTTTTAGCACAAACAATGTTGTAATTTCCTACTTCCTCTTTTCAGAATCACAAGTTACTAATGAAGAAAAGAAATAAAAGAAAAAACCCTAGAGAGCAACTGTACCCCATCTGTAAAATATTCAAAAAAGAATAGAAATGAAGGCTTATTGCACACACAAACGAGGCTGCAATTTGTGAAAGTTGTGAGAATGAAGTGGGGGTGACTAGTGTTAAGAAAATCCTGGCAAACAGAGCCAGGGAAAACCATGGAGATGGTTCACATGCTTGTAGGTCTGATAACAAAAACTATCACAAAAGGCTGCAAAAACCACAACCTTGCACAAATGTCATCGCAACCTTACAGAAAAAATACTTCTATAAGGACATCTGCCAAACAACTCCCTGACCAAACTCGGACTGGTGTCACCTTTGTTATTGATTTTTGTAGTCAAAGATAATGATTTCAAAACAGTTACATCATCCTCCTCATTTTTCCCTTTAAAAACTTTTGTCTTCCTTTACCTCCCTGAATAGGCGTATAGTTTACTATGGCATGTGTGTTTCTATTGCAATGCCCTGTTCACAAATAAACATCTTTTCTTTTGGAGAGACTCTCTGTTATTTAGGTTGACAAAGTAAAATGTAGTTTTCACTATTTTGACTTCATGGCATTTCCTTTAAGTCTCAGGCTCACCAGTGCATGTTTATATGGAACGAAAAAAAAAAAAAACTATTATTTGAACAGACAGTGCCGCCATAAGAATGTGGGATTTATAAGTACCACGCGCTAACCGATTGCGCCACTGGAGAGTAAACTATCGCAAGAACAAAGAACCAAACACCGCATATTCTCACTCATAGATGGGAACTGAACAATGAGAACACATGGACACAGGAAGGTGAACATCACACTCTGGGGACTGTTGTGGGGTGGGAGGAGGGGGGAGGGATAGCATTAGGAGATATACCTAATGCTAAATGACGAGTTAATGGGTGCAGCACACCAGCATGGCACATGTATACATATGTAACTAACCTGCACATTGTGCACATGTAACCTAAAACTTAAAGTATAATAATAATAAAATAAACCAATCCAAATGAAGATTTAAAAAAAAAATTTAAAAAAAAGAATGTGGGATTTAAAGACGGTGCATTCTAACTTCTTGAGGGTCTGAGTTTAACACTGATTCCAGTGTGCTGAGATTCCTTTGTCCTTGGGAATGACCTCCTTGTGTTTGGGTGGTGGATCCCAAGGGCCTCCTTACAGAGACAAGAGAATCTCCAAGTTCAAGGGGACCTTACCTTAAATATTAACCAGTCCCAAATCCATAGAGACAGAAAGATTAGTGGTTGCCAGGGGCTGGGATAAGGGAAGATTGGAGGGTGATTACTAATGGCTTTCTTTTTGAGATGACAGAAATGTTCTGGAATTAGATAGTGGAGATGGTGATACCTGTACACCCTTGTGAATATACTAAAAACTAGTGAATAGTTATACTTTAAAGTGGTAAATTTTGTACTATGTGCAATATCTCAATAAAAATGAATGAAAAGGTCAGTACTATGTTAAAGTTCTTTTGTGTGCATGAGCCCACACACACGTGTCACCAGTCAGTCTACACATTCATATGGTAATGCTCACATCAGCACCCTTGCCATGGGATCACCCAGCTTATGTACAAATACACCCAGGATAGAGCAAGGCACCACCTTTCAAAGAAGCCCCTTCCATTGTTGAATGACTCTTGCTATTAGAAAAGAATCCCACCAGCCAGCTGAAATAGGCTTTGCTGTGGCCTTCACTCACTGGCACTGCTGTTACCCCTTGCAGCTTTAGAAAATGACTTTATTAATCTTTATGAAAAAGATGCCTTAGCAACAACTTTCCCATTACTCCTGGATCATCCCTTCTCCAGATTATATAACCTCAGTGTCATCAACCACACATCCTGAAACTTGGTTTTGAGTCATCTTTCTCATTATTCTCCTCAAAGTGTGTTCAGTTTATCCAGGTTTTTTCAGTAGTGTGGTTTCTTGAGCTGGAAGAAGTACTGCTGAAGTCATCTCATGCAGCTCTCCAAGAAGCAAAGCCCAAGTCCCCAACATCTCCCCTGACATTGTGGTGAACACCAAGAAGCTATAAGATCAGATGTCTTCTCTCAAGTAGGGCTGCCAGATAAAATACAGGACTGTTTAACATGAATTTCAGGTAAACAATGAAATATTTTTTGTATAATCATGTCCTAAAGACTGCCTGGGACACACTTATACTAAAAAAGTATTCGTTGTGTATCTGAAATTTGCATTTATTTGAGTACCTCGTACTTTTTGGGTTGACTTTATTTTTTAGTATGGGTTTAGATTCACAACAAAATTGAGCAGTAAGTACGTAAGGTTCCCATGTACCTCCTTCCCCAACAAACCTACATGCACACTTTCAATATCCCACCTCAGACTGATAGGTTTGTTATCACTGACGAGCCAATAATGATACATCGTTATAACCTAAAGTTCATAGTTTCCATTAGGGTTCACTCTTTATATTGACAAATGCATCATGACAAGTATCCATCATTTTAGTATGATGCGCAGTATTTGGGCTGCCCTAAAAAATTCTCTGTGCGCCACCAATTGATCCTTCCCTGTCCCCAGCCCCTGTAAACATTAAACATCTTACTGTCTCCATACTTTTGCCTTTTCCATAATGTCATCTATATAGCAGGAATCATACAGCATGCAGCCTTTTCAGATTGGCTTTTTTCTTTTGGCAATATGCATTTCAGGTTCCTTCTGATCATTTCATGGCTTGCTAGATCATTTCTTACAATTGCTGAATGGTATTGCATTGTATGAATGTGCCACAATTTGTTTAGGCACTCGCCCATTGAAGGACATCTTAGTTGCTTCCAAATTTTGGTAATGATAGATAAAGCTGCTAAACATTTGCATACAAGTTTTTGTGTGGACATAAGTTTTCATTTGGGTAATTACCAGGGAGTGTAATTTCTACATCGTATGGCATGTCTATGTTTAGTTTTGTTAAGACTACGCTTAGTTTTGCAACATTTGGCAACCCTATTTTCATTGAGTTGTACCCCTTTTTAAGAGGCAAAGAACAAGCATATACTTCAATGAGAAAAGGCTGTAAAGGACATCTGAAACTCATGTGTTCAGTCATTCATGCATTCATTTGATATTTATTGAGCACAGTTATGTGCGAGATCCTGGAAGTACAAACATATGTAATGGAAAAGATTCACGCACAAACCAAAGCAACATAACAAGGGCAGTAGGAAAGGCTCCCAATATGCAAGTGACAGAATGAAGAAAAGATGGAGGAATTTTACCTGCAGCAGCTTCAAGAGATGCTCAGAGAGGTATGAACTAGCAATGTCACACATTTATCCAATCAACATTTTTTTACCCTTTTCCTACACTGGGTCTGAGGACACAGCTATGGTGAAACAGGTGACCTCGCCAAGTATCCTACAGAAAAACAACTAAAGCACATTTGTGCAACTCAGAACTACAAGCTCTTCCTCATGATTTGGACAACAGATGCCTTCAAAGAGTGGTTCTTTTTCCTATATTTTCCTTCCCTTAAGGGAGAATTCCTTCTTCCACCCTAAAAAGAAAACACAACCATCAATTTCCCAAATATGAAGAGGGAAATGCATGTGTGTGTTAACAGTGGTTACCACCTAGTGGAATTTTAAGCTTTAAGGATTTTTCTCCCTAATGCCTGCAATTTCCTAAGTTGAGTCAACATTCAGAACTTCAGCTACTATTTTCCTACGTGAGATTTTTGTTTCTTGTATCCAATGTGCTAGTTAGGTATTTCTTTATAGGCTTTTTAAGATTTACAGGTGTACCTGATCAAAAATAGCTGGAAAGTTCTGAGATTCTTTTACTGGCTAATCCATGTGTACCCAACTGCCAAGCACTTGGCAAATGACCAAAAGATATGATTTGAAAAGCCAGAATAGCTTGTGCAATAAGTAGCTGACAGATAAAGAAAAATGGCAACTTTATGCTTTAATGGCAATGTAAACTATCTAGAAGGAACATTTATCAGTTCAACAAGAATTGATTTTCTTCACTCTCAACTCCTATGAACAAGTCTTCACTTTCTAAAAGGTAGGAATGTCTGCTCCAGTAATTAATTTATGTGTAACTAGTACATTGTGAGAATCTCTATAAGGCATCTTTCTCTGGCACATATTTTATCTTGATCCTGGATGGAAGATAATACTAACCAAGTGAACTGTTTGTTGACGGGAGCACACTTAAAAGCAGGTATGAATATTTGATTTGATGTACATTAGCAGGACATCGATGCAAGTGTTGTGTGAGTACTGAGACAGATAGGCAAGTGGCAGGGTGAACTTCGCTCCTTAAAATAGTGAGCTCAAGAGATGTAAACTACCTAAGCTGTTTGATTTTGTTCCACATGCTCTTTTAAAATGATACAAGGCAAAAGAGATTTAACTGATTAGTGAAAATCTAGTAACAACGGATGTCTGCTTAATTCATGGAAAATGGGAAGTTTGAATAAATTTCAATATAATATTTGAATTAGGCAAAGTTAATTCTTGTGTTTGCATAAACACAGAGATTGGAGAATTGCTGTGTATTCAACACTTATTCTTTCAAATGACCAATCATTCATTTACTTAGTACATGTATATTGTGCACCTCCTGTATGTCTAGAAATGTGCAAGGTTCCAAAAACAAAACTATGATAAAAGTTTTACTCTCAAGGGTAACGTTTAAGTCACAGCCACGATACGGGGTTTGAGAGGTACAGAACCACTAAAAGAGAAGAAAACGGGCACAATTTTGTTTGAGAACTAACAGATTCCAGAAAAGGTGAAGAATTCGGTGGTCTTTGACACAAGCCTTAAAAGAGTAAGTAGGCACTTGCCACACATAGAGGAAAGAAAGTGTAGCAGACAAAGAATAGACCAGTCATGGTTATTAACTATCAACTAGTCCATCTTTACCACTTATTTGCTTTTCATTCCTGGACACAATTGATCTCAGGGAGGTAGTGAGTAGAATGGTGGTTACCAGAGGCTGGAAACGGTAGGAGGGATGTCAGGGAAAAAGAAATGCTGGACAATGGGTATAAACATACAGTTAGAGGGAAGAAATAAGTTCTAGTGTTCAATAGCACACTCGAGTAACTACAGTTATCCTGTATCTCAAAATACCTAGATGAGATTTGCAATGTTCTCGACACAAAAAATGATAAAACTTTGAGATAATGAATATTCCAACTACCCTGATCTGATATTTACATATTCACAAATCAAAATATCACATTTACCCTTTTATATTTACAACTATTACATACCAATAAAAATCATGAAGGTATTGGTAACTAATAGCTAACATTAATTCAACATGTACCATGTGTCTAACCTTCTCACCATCATCGTTTCCTCTGACACTCACAGTAACCCTCTGACACAGACACCATCATCACTGTCTGTTTTACAAATAAATAAGAAGAATTGATTTCAATGTGCTTTGGATGAGTAGCACTGAGAAAGCCTTGATTCACTTGGATAAGAATGCAATGTGCTGCCTGGTTCAATTTTACATCTCAGAGCTTTTGTACTCTGAGTGCAATAAATGAGGTGTGTACACAGAAATCATGGCAGAGTTAAGCTCCTCCTAAGGAGTGAGCCGAGTATTTAGTGATTTGGCTGGATCACCTTAATTTAGATATCTTCACAAAGATATGAACCTATCAATCCAAGATGAAATTTTAACTAACATCAGGGAGATGAGATCGCCATTTCCCTCCGGTGTCAGGAGAACCCCTCTCCAAGAAGCAGAGGCAAGAGACTCTGTTTCTCCTGGGTTTCAGTTGCTGAAGGAAAGGACTTGCCACTTGCAAACTTCCTTGGGAGCTGTCTTTGCATATGACCTCTGAATTTTGTTCAGTACATCATTGTTCTAAGGATATATTTAGTGCTTTGTGGCTGTACATTTCAACATTCAGCTGTTGAGTGAGACCATATTAGGAGACATGATGCTCTTGATATCAGCCATTCTTTAAAGGGAATATTTATTATGGAACAAAAGAAAATATGTGCTTCGGTCTAGAATTTAAAGGGACTAACTGCAATGTTTCAAGCATATGTATGTAAATAAAACTTATCTGTCTTGCCATTTTCAGAAGAAAAGTGAATCTTTACATTTGTTTTAGTGTGACTTGTTTCTGATATTCTGACCTAACATTTCCCGGTCACAAAAAAGTATAAATAAAATGTTCTCTTTATGAAAAATAAAACAGGGACTACTAGCACAGGTGACATGAGAAAAATAGTCACTAAAAAAAAAAAAAGGAACCAAGAGTGAACCCTGAAATAATCTATGGACTTGGGGTGATAATGATGTGTCAATGTAAGTTCATGGGGTATAAGAAGGGCACCATTCTGGTGGGGGATATGGATAGTGGGAAATGCCATGGTGGAAGAACAGGTGGTAAATCAGAAAGCTCTAGACCTTCAGATCAATTTGTTGTGAACTAAAAACAATTCTAAAAAATAAAGTCATATATATATGTATGTGTGTGCATATATTCACATTACATATATGCATAGAGTATACATATATGCATGTTATATGTATACACACATACATGTATATGCACATATACACATACATACACACTCACATTTATACATATACACACATTTAAACACATACATACACACACCCCTAATAACTTTTAAGGGCAAAAACTTTCTTCCCTTCAGAATATCTGCCAAAGTGACTTCAAGTACACAGTTACTCACTTGAGGTAAGGGGTGGCATAAATATCAACTGTTCCATCACTAAGTACATTATGGCCTCTTTCTTGTCCTTCCACTATAGAACAAATAGTCATATAGCCCAGTATGTATAATAGAACTCTCACATGGACCTCTGCAGTGCTTATTTTGCCCCTGTAACTACTGAAAGAGATCTCAATTAAGGATCTTCTTAGAAACTTGAAGTAGTACTTAAGACTTACACATCAACACATGCTTTGGGTAAAAGGAAAATCCTTTAGAAAAATGCAAACTTTAGGAATTAAATGCTCCCCATAAGGACTCACTTATTCCTGTATAAGTGATTGCAGGCAGAAAAACAGAATCTGAATGAATTTGCTTTTTTTCTTAAATGTGGAAAACCTTGAAAAGATAAGAGTGGTATATAGGAGCCAATTAAAATGAAAAGAACAAGGAAAAATGAGAGGCAGTCACTCCTCTCCTCCCAATGGGAGTATGGTGTTTTGAACCATCCATAAATGGAATTTCAGAAACTCAGCAAAAGAATATATTTAACTGACTTTAAATATATTCTGAATTTCATACTCTAAATATACTCTGAATTTCATACTTACTAAAGTGTTTCCAAATGAACATTTTGTATGTTGTTACATGCAAAAACTGCATATTACAAAAGGAAAGGTAGGAGAATTCATCATTCAAGTTTTTATATGCATGTATACTTAAACTTCCACATACTTTACAAATATTAAACTTAAAAAACAAAGCACTCTACATAATTTGCCTTGACAAAGATGTGAAATAATTGTAAGCATAAATAAATGTTAATAAAATACTTTCATTCAATGCTAAAGGGAGGTATTATTGAATGGTGGACCAAAACAAACTAAATGGCATTTTGATGTCTTTGTGGAAATGACATACCCACAAACCAGTGGCTCAGCACTGATATTAATATATCCTGCTCAGTTGTTGTATTAGTCAGGGTTCTCTTAGAGTGACAGAACTAATATATATATATATACACACACACATATATATATATGTACGTATATATGTGTGTGTGTATACACACACACACACACACACACACACACACACAAAGGGGAGCTTATTAAGCATTAACTTACATTATCACGAGGCCATAATAGGCCATCTGCAAGCTGAGGAGCAAGGAGAGCCAGTCCGAGTCCCAAAACTGAAGAACTTGGAGTCCAATGTTCAAGAGCAAGAAGCATCCAGCACGGGAGAAAGATGTAGGCTGGGAGGCTAGGCCTGTCTTGCCTTTTCGCGTTTTTCTGCCTGCTTTATATTCACTAGAAGCTGATTAGATTGTGCCCACCAGATTAAGGATGGATCTACTTTCCCCAGCCCACTGACTCTAATGTTAATCTCTTTTGGCAACACCCACACAGACACACCCAAGATCAATACTTTGTATCCTTCACTCCAATCAAGGTGACACTCAGTATTAATCATCACAAGTCCACCCCTTGTCAACTTGAACCCATACACATCTCCTGAGATCATACATAATCTTCAAATAAAGACAATAATGAGGTCATAATTATGCCTACCATAATACAACTATTCTTTCTACAACCGGAAACACACCAATCCCCAACCCAAATACTATTACATAAAGTTAACAATACTTAAATGCTGATATAATGTCAATAAATCTTATGCCACATGATAAAGAAAAGGGAAAAAATGAAGATATTTTCTTAGAACAAGTGTACACATGCATACAAACATGTTTTTAACAAAAAAAGGAGGAAATACTCACGACAATTACAGTCCTTGTTTCTGCAGCTGGTTACGTGGTAGTAGCTGATACTGATGACTATCTTCTTTTACTACCCATTCCGTATTCCCTTTGCCTTCAGCAAGTACCTCAGCAGGTCATAGTTTTTTTCCTGGTGGAGTGACCCAAACCTTCATTCCTGAAGGGCCTGGGTCATCTGTAGTCCTGTCTGGATTGGGCTGTTGTCGTTTCCCATTGACCTTAATCAGAGGGCATGGTAATACTAAGAGATGCCCTAATGGATCTCCTGTAGTCCATGCATACTCTTCCTGACCTCCGTTGTGGAGTAGTAGACTGATTTCATCTTAATAGTCAGGGTCAATCACCCCAGCCAACACTGTAACTCCCTTCTTAGCCTGTTGACTTAAAGGTAGAAGGAGCCCAAAGTGTCCTGGCAATCTGAACTTCCAGTTTAATGGGATCGTTGTTGTGTCTCCTGGTGGCAGCATTCCTCTCTCTGGAACTAAGACCTCTAGGCCAGCAGAACATAATGTCGCAGGAAGAGGAAGCAACAATTTTGCTAGTGGATCACTAGGGGTGATTGTGAGTGGTGTCACCTCCACTTCCACTCCTTGATTCCTGGACCCATGAATCCTGGCTATGGGAGAAACAGTACCATATATTGGATGCTGATTCAGAGTATACACGGCCTTCTGGAGAACTTTGCCCCAGCCCTGCAGTATTGTCACCTAGTTGGCATTGTAATTGAGACTCCAAAAGGCCATTCCACCACTCTATCAATCCAGCTGCTTCAGGATGAAGGGGAACATGGTAAGACCAGTGAATTCCATGAGCATGATCCCAATGCTGCACTTCTTTAGCCACAAAGTGAGTGCCTTGGTCAAAGGCAATGCTGTGTGAAACACCATGATGGTGGATAAAGCATTCCATGAGTCCACAGATGGTAGCCTTGGCAGAAGCATTGCATGCAGGATAGGCAAACCCATATCTGGAGTAAGTGTCTATTCCAGTGAGGACAAACTTCTGCCCTTTCCATGATGGAAGAGGTACAATATAATCAATCTAACACCAGGTGGCTAGCTGGTCACCCCGAGGAATGGTGCCACATCGAGGGCTCAGTGATGGTCTCTGTTGCTGGCAAATTGGGCACTCAGCAGTGGCCGTAGCCAGGTCAGCCTTGGTGAGTGGAAGCTCATGTTGCTGAGCCCATGGGTAACCTCCATCCCTGCCACCATGGCCATTATGGTCATAGTCCCATTGGGCAATGACAGGGATGGCTCGGGAAAGAGGCTGAGTGGTGTCCACAGAATGGGTCATCCTACCTACTTGACAACTGAACTCCTCCTCTGCTGACTTCACCTGTTGGTGAGCACTCACATGGGATACAAATATCTTGTTTTTTACCACTCAGAGAGGACGATCCACATACCTCTTCCCCAAATTTTTTAGTCACCAATTTTCCAATCATGCTTCTTCCAAAGTCCCTGACCATCCAGCCAAACCACTGGCTACAGCCCATGAATCAGTATATAATCGCACATCTGGCCATTTCTCTGTCCATGCAAAGTGCACAACCAGGTGCACTGCTCAAAGTTCTGCCCACTGGGAAGATTTCCCTTCACCACTGTCCTTCAGGGATGTCCTAGAAAGGGGCTGTAGTGCTTGAGCTGTCTACTTTCGGGTGGTGCCTGCATATTGTGCAGAACCATCTGTGAACCGGGCCCTAGTCTTTTCTTCCTCTGTCAACTGATCATAGGGAACTCCCCATGAGGCCATCGGTGCAGGCTGGGGGAGAGAAGGCAGGGTGGCAGGAGTGGAGACAATGGGCATTTGAGCCACTTCCTCAGGTAACTTACTTGTGCCTTCAGGACCTGCTTGAGCCCGATCTTGTATATACCACTTCCATTTGATGATGGAATGCTGCTGTGCACGACGCACTTTATGGCTAGGTGGGTCAGAAAGCACCCAGTTTATGAAAGGCAGTTCAGGCTGTATGGTGACTTGATGACCCATAGGTAAAGGTTAAGTTTCCACCAAAGCCCAGTAACAGGCCAAGAGCTGTCTCTCAAAAGGAGAGTAGTTATCTGCAGAAGATGGCAGGGACTTGCTCCAAAATCCTAGAGGCCTCCACTGTGATTCACCTATGGGGGCCTGCCAAAGGCTCCAAACAGCATCCCTATCTGCCACTGACACCCCAAGCACCATTGGATCTGCTGGTCATATGGCCCAAGTGGCAGAGCAGCTTGCACAGCAGCCTGGACCTGTTGCAGAGCCTTCTCCTGTTCTGGACCCCACTCAAAACTGGCAGCCTTTCAGGTCACTCAATAAATGAACCACAATAATACACCCAAATGAAAAATGTGTTTCCTCCAAAATCCAAATAGGCCCACTAGGCGTTGTGCCTCTTTCTTGGTTGTAGAATGGGCCAAATGCAGCAACTTATCCTTTACCTTAGAAGAAATATCTTGACAGGCCCCAAACGACTGGACCTCTAAAAATTTTACTGAGGTAGAAGGTCCATTAATTTTCGCTGGATTTATTTCCCATCCTCTGGCACGCAAATGTCTCACCAATAAGTCCAGTGTGTTTGCTACTTCTTTTCACTGGATCCAATCAGCATAATATCATCAATGCAATGGACCAGTGTGATGTCTTGTGGAAGCAAAAAGCAATCAAGGTCTCTCCAAACGAGATTATGACACAAAGCTGGAGAAGTGATATACCCCTAAGGTAGGAGAGTAAAGGTATATTGCTGCTAAAGGCAAATTGCTTCTAGTGGGCCTTATGGACAGGAATGGAAAAAAAGGCATTTGCCAAGTCAATGGCTGCATACCAATTACCAGAAGATGTGTTAATTTGCTCAAGCAATGAAACCACATCTGGTACAGCAGCTGCAACTGAAATCACCACTTGGTTAAGCTTACGATAATCCACTGTCATTCTCCAAGATCCATCTGTCTTCTGCACAGGCCAAATAAGAGAGCTGAATGGGGATGTGGTGGGAATCACCATCCCTGCATCTTTCAAGGTGCATTGATGGTGACACTAATCTCCACAATCCCTCCAGGGATGGGATACTGTTTTTATTCACTATTTTTCTAGGTAGGAGCAGCTCTAATGGCTTCCATTTGGCCTTTACCACCATCTTTGAATCTATATTTCAGCTAACCAAGCAAATAAACTATTAGAACCTTTTTTTAACTCCCCAGCTGCAAAATTAAAAGCAGAGTCCCTACTTAGTGGGCCCAAATCAATAAATTCAGCCTGATCCAACTCTATGTTCTTTCCACCATTATCCCATACCCTTAATATCTATTCCCATGCCTGTTCTCCAAAATTTCTGTTTATATCAATTATAGAACTCAAATGGTTCTTTTCGAGTGTAGCGCACCTCCTCATGGGTCACATTCTCAACCTCACCTCTAGGGGCCTGCTGGGACTTTAGTGATAGATCTAGAAGCAAACAGGGGTGTTAGGGGTGGCTCCTGAGGAGAATCAACATTATTTTGTCTGGCAACTGCCTCAGGGGAGGCCATCACTGTTGCCTCAGGCAGCACAGGGTTTATCTCCTCAGACAAAGGTGGAAAGGCTGATGGCAGCCATGGGTCAGGGAAAGGATGTTGCCATTACAGGGGATGGGGAAGCTGTTCCTTCTGGCAAAAAAAGGTTCATTGGAGTTTACAAACTCAGTGTCCCCAGCTTCATCAGGGTCCTCCCTCACCGTCCCCATTCCAAGTTGCAGGGTCCCATTCTTTTCCAGTCAATGCCCTCACTTTAACAGTAGACATCTGGCGAGGCTGTGCATGCATCTTTCATTGAAGGTCAGCCCCTCACGTGATAAGAGCTTGTGTCTGTTTTTCCACAATTTCAGCTCTTTCACATATATGTGTGTGTGTGTGAATATATATACATACACACACACACACACACACACACACACACAAAGGGGACTTTATTAAGCATTAACTTACAAAATCACAAGGTCCCATAATAGGCTGTCTCCAAGCTGAGGAGCAAGGAGAGCCAGTCCGAGTCTCAAAACTGAGAAACTTGGAGTCCAATGTTCGAGGGCAGGAAGCATCCAGCACAGGAGAAAGATGTAGGCTGGGAGGCCAGGCCTGTCTCGCCTTTTCACATTTTTCTGCCTGCTTTACATTCGATGGAAGCTGATTAGATTGTGCCCACCAGATTAAAAGTGGATGTGCCTTCCCCAGCCCACTGACTCAAATGTTAATCTCTTTTGGCAACACCCACACAGACACACACAGGACTAATACTTTGTATCCCTCAATCCAATCAAGTTGACACTCAGTATTAACCATCACAGTTAATCATTTATTGTTTATTTTTTGTCAAGAACACAGATGTTAAGGTGCTTTTAATAATTTTATTAAGGCCATAGATTATATATAATTTTTTGAAGTCATACTTTCTTTGGAATTGCCTCTTTAACCTAATGAATAAATACAAAAGAATGCACAGATAAAATAGGTTTTGTATTTTTTTATTACAGAAAAATGTACTTTACCATGCCCGTGCTTTCTACATTTTTGGAACTGATACAGATCCACAGAGGCCAAATCTAAAACTAAATTATCTTTAATGTTAAAATTTAATTCACCAGGTGTATAATTCTGCAATTGCTGCTTTCTCACAGAACTACCTTGGTTTCATTCAAAAGATGACAGAAACAAGGTCTGGCATTTAACAAACAGACTAATGAGAGAAGAGATATACTGATTTATACAAGATTATCAAAGCACTGTCATGTGGTTCAGTGTAGCTCAAATTATGCTTATATCACATAACATAGGTTCAAGTTTTTCCTTCAGTCATCAGAATAACAGAGGTTAAAGAGACAACTGAATAACTGCCACTCTTGCTGCAGCTGTTTTAAAAAACGAAATTTAGTAAGTGTGATACACATTTCTTCAAATAAAATATTCCAGTAATTACATCAATCTTGAGTTATTAAGATTAAATACGCACTACTTACAGTCTCTGACACAATTTTATTTTGGAACACAGCGATTTATTTTTCAAGTTGACACTCTTCACCAACCAAAAAGAATTCTTTCATGATACTCTTCCAAGTCCTGGATACTCTACAACAAAAATTCTAGTTCACTGACTAACCACCGCTTTACATCTCACGTTTTAAACAGGGTAAATTAAATGTCAAAAGGAAACAGCTTTTCATATTCAAAGGATGCTGGTTATTTATTTCAAATTTAAAAACTGTAATCAATGCATGGACCTCCAAATACCCACTTAAATTTTGTAATGCCAGATTTCAGTGAAATATTATTATTATGGCAGTTCCATCAGTCATGTACTTTGCTTGAAAAAAATGAGTTGATGAACATCTTAAGGTCAAGATGGAGCAAAGACAGAAAAAAACTGGCAGTCTGATATTATAAAATAACATATTTTTTCACCAGGTAGTAACCCATTTATTATTGCTAATAGTCCACATAACACAGTTTCCATTGAAGGGATAAACTTCTCTGTGATACTGAAATGGCATCCTTCACTGGGTAATACCAGAGGTTCATTGCCTCATGCCAGGGAAATAAAGGACATGGACAACCCGAGGAGTAAGTTTAAGAGTGGAGGTTTAATAGGCGAAAGAAAAACAGAATAACTCTCTTTCCTGCAGAGAGAGAGGGGTGCTACCCAAGTGGGTCTTCGATTTTGTGGTGAAGTGCATGGGGTTTTACGACTGACTTGAGGAGGCGGTGTCTAACTTACATAGGACTCAAAGATTGGTTGGACCAGGTGTGATGTTTATATAGCACGCAAAGAACCTGGCTGCCCCATGCTAATCTTTTTATTATGCAAATGGGTTTTCTAGTGGGCTAGTGAGTGCCATGTTGTCTGCTCCCTACTGCACATGTGGTTGGCAAGGAAAGGGGAAGATGGAGCCACCATGTTGGACATGCCTAGCTTCCAGGTAGCCTTTTCCTATTAGCACAGCTGCCGGCATTCACCCGTGTAAGCTTCCAGCTTGGTTATCTATGTCTGCAGCTCAATTTTACAGGCTGCTCTCTGTTAGAAAAGAAATTATTTGGGGGCTTCTTTTCATTAAAAGGGAAACCTTACCAAGGCTGGTATCAAACCATGGGCAGAAGTAGCCATAAGGGCAATCTCAGATGAGCACCCAAATTTGTAATCTCCCAATAGGTTCACCTTGCCTGCTACCCAGACAAAGTCGATCTCTCAAGATGGGAACTGCAATAGAGAAAGAGAAATTCACACAGAGCCAGCTGTGCAGGAGATCAGAGTTTTATTATTACTCCAGGAGCAGAGTCTTTAAGGAGAACTTGGTGGGTGGGGTGAAGCCAGTGAGCCAGGAGCTCTAATTGGTGAGGGATGACATCATAGGGAGTTGAAGCCGTCCTCTTGTACTGAGTCAGTTACTGGGTCAGGGGCACAGGATCAGATGACCCAGTTTACTGATCTGGGAGGTGCCAGCTGATCTGTCACATGCAGGGTCTGCAAAATATCTCAGGCACTGATCTTAGGAGCAGTTTAGGGAGGCTCAGAATCTTGTAGCCTCCAGCTGCATGACTCCTAAGAAACAATTTCTAATCTTGTGGCTAATGTTAGTCCTACAAAGGCAATCTAGACCCCAGGCAAGAAGGAGACCTCCTTTGGGAAAGGGTTGTTATCATCCTTAGTTTAAACTATAAACTGAGTTTCTCCCAAAGTTGGTTCACCCTGAGCCCAGGAATGAACAAGGACAGCTTGGAGTTTGGAAGCAAGATGGAGTCGATTAAGTTAGATCTCTTTCACTGTCTCAGTGATAATTTTGCAAAGGTGGTTTCAGGGGCAGAATTGGAATGGGGACAAAACAAAACAAAACAAAAATTCCAATTAATTATACCCTGTATTATACAAACAGTGAAAAAGAAAAATAAGGACAATGAATGTAGAGTTCAGGAAAAGATTTAGTGCATTTTTACACCCTTTTCCTATTGCATTTTCTTCATTTGGTTTATATTTTGCTCTTTCCAAGTTAGATGCTTGCTTATTTTAGTTGCTCTACATAATACCTGCTTAGTAAGCAGTCAATAAATATCATTGAAATTGACATTCCAAAAGACCCAAGTCCTAACAAGAAATCTCAAAAGAAAGGAAAATAAGTCCACAAACTGTCATGATAATCATGTGATATAATAAAATATAAAACCGTAGCAAGTACAGTTTGCCATAATTTATAGAATGGGTATGTTCCCAAGCTGTCGAAAGCTAACACAGTATTTTGAAATCATAGAACAAGACTTCACAAAATTCCCTGATAAAAGTAAGTGTGGATTTGAAACTGCTTTTGCAAAAATTATAACTGAGGAAATTATGACAGTGAAAGAAATCAGACCTAACTGGCCCCATCCTGCTTCTAACCTTTAAGCTGTCCTTGTTCATTCCTGGACATAGGCCGAACTAACCTTGGGAAGAAATTTAGTTTCTCATTTAACTCTGAAACAAAATTGATAATGGCCCTTACCCAAATAGACCCCTTCTTGTCTGGGGACCAGTCTGCCTTTGTAGGACTAACAAAGTAGCTTTAAGATTATAAATTACTGTTTAGGAGTCATGCAACCTCTTGCTTCAAGTGTCTGAACCTCCCCAAATTGCTCCTGGAGATAACACCACTATTGTAAAACCTAAGATCAATTCTTGAGATATTTTGCAGACCCTGCCCTTGATGGATCAGCTAGGTCCAATAATGCAGGAATAATTAAGGGAAAGGTAAGATGGGGAGTGGATGAGCTCAGATCTCTTTCACTGTCATAATTTTCTCATTGATATAATTTTTGTAAAGTCAGTTTCACAATTTGTGGAATGGTCACTGTGCAACACATTATGCCAAGTATCCTTGGCTGCATTCCAAGATAAAAGGGTAGAAAGAATGGAAAGAACAGTTACAACTTCAGAAAGCTTCAGTGTTCATCAATGGGCAAGAATCCCTGTGATAAGAAAATGCTGTTACATTCTTTAAGTGATGGTCCTAGATCATGATTTATGTGAATTATGCCCTTTCAGTGCTTTCTTCAGCTTTTACCTAGAGATTCTGTACTTTCTAGTTTATAGTGGTTTTAGTAATCTCTGTTTAAATGGAGTCACACAAAACCATTGAAGAAAGCTTCACTGAGATGTTTGTTTCCAACATTTTTATTTCCATATATTTTAGGTTTAAACAATCTGATGCATTTTATCAGTATAGCTAGCTCTTTAGTAACCTCCATCACAACCATTCTTTAACATGTGCGATCTCTGTCTTTCGATCTGTCCCTAACTTCACTTGTATAACAAATCTTTAGGATCGCAACACCGAGAGAAGTTGTACAGTGCTATTCTAATTTGGGCTTATTGACTTACAATGCAATTTCATTCTATTTAACACATGCTTTCTTTGATTGGGCTGGTTGTCACCGGGAAAAACTCAGATTTACGTATTTTTAAAGTGAACCTGACAAGTAATTCTAATCATGGAAGAATTACCAACTTTCTCCTGAAGGTAACTTGTACAAGATTAAGCAATGTTCTCATGCTGACAGGTCACCTGATGATGCAATGATTAAGTTTACGCTTTTAACCCCTTTAGGACATTAATTATATTCCTTTGAACTTAGCCCCTTCTCCTTTTAATTTCTGTCATGTGCCCAGAAAAGACAGTTCTATTTTGCTGTGTACTGCAAAATCAAAAAAGGTTTGAGTCCAGAAATTTCATAGTACACAGGAAGTACAGAACTCACGTCTCCAAAATCCAGGTATATTCTCCTTAAAGGCCTCCTAATCTCATATGCCAAACCATCAATTGAAAAGTTCATATAAATACAAATATGGCTAAAATCATATAAATGCATCACATACATGCTCTGTGCATTTATGCCGCATGCTGTATTTTGCTTCCATTATTTATTTTCATTTCAATAGCTTTGGGGGTACAAGTGGTTTCTGGTTACATGAATGAATTGTACAGTGGTGAGGTCCAGGCTTTTAGTGCATCCATCACCCAAATAGCATACATTGTACCTAACAGGTAATTTTTCATTACCTCCTACCATTCTCTCCTCTTCTGAGTCTCCAATGTCTATTGTACTACTCTGTATGTTTTTGCATAGTCACAGCTTAGCCCCCACTTGTAAGTGAGAACATGTGGTATTTGCTTTTCCATTCCCGAGTTACTTCACTTAGGATAATAGCTTGCAATTCCATCCAAGTTGCTGCAAAGGGTATTATTTCATTCTTTTTTCATGGCTGAGTAGTATTCCATGGTGTGTGTGTGTGTATGTGTATAAAACACACTTTCTTTAGCCACACATCAGTTGGTGGGCACTTAGGTTGATTACATATCTTTATAATTGTGCACTGTGCTACGATAAACATATGTATGTGGGTTCTTTATTATATAACGACCTCTTTTCCTTTGTATAGATACCTAGTAGTGGGATCACTGGATCAAATAGTAGATCTACATTTAATTCTCTGAGAAATCTCTATATTGTTTTCCATAGAGGCTATACTGATTTACACTGCTACCACCAGCATATAAGTGTTTCATTTCCACCACATTCATGCCAACAGCTATTGTTTTTTGATTTTTTAATAACGGCCATTCTGGCTGGGGTAAGGTGGTATGTCATTGTAGTTTTAATTTTCATTTCCTTGGTGATTAGTGATGTTGAGCATTTTTTCCTATGTTTCTTGGCCATTTGTATATCTTCTTTTGAGAAATGTCTGTTCATGTAGTTTGTCCAATTTAATGGGATTATTTGCTTTTTTGCTTGCGGATTTGAGTTCCCTATAAACTCTAGGTATTAGTTCTAATATGGTTTGGCTGTGTCCCCACCCAAATCTCATCTTGAATTCCAACATGTTGTGGGTAGAACCCAGTGGGAGGTAACTGAATCACGGGGGCAGGTCTTTCCCATGCTGTTCTCGTGATAGTGAATAAGTCTCATGAGATCTGGTGGTTTTAAAAAGGGGAGTTTCCCTACACAAGCTCTCTTCTCTTGTCTGCAGCCATGTGAGATGTGCCTTTCACCTTCTGCCATGATTGTGAGGCCTCCCCAGCCATTTTGTAAACTGCCCAGTCTTGGGTATGTCTTTATCAGCAGTATGAAAATGGACTAATACAAGTTCCTTATCAGAGGTATAGCTTGCAGCTATTTTCTCCCATTCTGTTGGTCTTCTGTTTACTGTGTGAATTTTTAGCTTATAATGTTTATTTATCTATTTCTTCCTCTATACTAACAATGGGAGCACAGTTTCTACATTCTGAATAAGATCATGGAAAATCTACAATGGGAAGAAGATTAAAGGATTGGTGCAGTTGTCAGAGTTGAATTCCAAAACCTACCGACTGGCTGTGGAGCTGTTTAGATGTTCAACGCATCATCTTAGTTTCCTTACTTGTTCTGCATGCACTTCAGATGCTATTTCTAAAATTATATTTGAAACGAGATTAGTTGTTAGATTTTGCTATAGCATTAGTGGGGGCAGTGAGTTATACTTCTATAAAACATGTTACATTCTTATAATTAGAAGGCTCTTGTTATTTTGTATAGCTTAACCTAGCCCACTATGAAAATGTACCGATGTGTTTGCTCTTGCTTCTCTAGTTCTTTTAATTGTGATGTTAGGGTGTCAATTTTAGATCTTTCCTGCTTTTTCTTGTGGGCATTTAGTGCTATAAATTTCCCTCTACACACTGCTTTAAATGTGTCCCAGAGATTCTGGTATGTTGTGTCTTTGTTCTCATTGGTTTCAAAGAACGTCTTTATTTCTGCCTTCATTTCATTATGTACCCAGTAGTCATTCAGGAGCAGGTTGTTCAGTTTCCATGTAGTTGAGTGGTTTTGAGTGGGTTTCTTAATCCTGAGTTCTAGGTTGATTGCACTGTGGTCTGAGAGACAGTTTGTTATAATTTCTGTTCTTTTACATTTGCTGAGGAGTGTTTTACTTCCAACTATGTGGTCAATTTTGGAATAAGTGTGATGTGGTGCTGAGAAGAATGTATATTCTGTTGATTTGGGGTGAAGAGTTCTGTAGATGTCTATTAGGTCCGCTTGGTGCAGAGCCGAGTTCAATTCCTGGATATCCTTTTTAATTTTCTGTCTCGTTGATCTGTCTAACGTTGACAGTGGGGTGTTAAAGTCTCCCATTATTATTGTGTGGGAGTCAATGTCTCTTTGTAGGTCTCTAAGGACTTGCTTCAGCAAAGTCTCAGGGTACAAAATCAATGTGCAAAAATCACAAGCATTCTTATACACCAATAACAGACAAACAGCCAAATCATGAGTGAACTCCCATTCACAATTGCTTCAAAGAGAATAAAATACCTAGGAATCCAACTTACAAGGGATGTGAAGGACCTCTTCAAGGAGAACTACAAACCACTACTCAACGAAATAAAAGAGGACACAAACAAATGGAAGAACACTCTATGCTCATGGATAGGAAGAATCAATATCGTGAAAATGGCCATACTGCCCAAGGTAATTTATAGATTCAATGCCATCCCCATCAAGCTACCAATGACTTTCTTCTCAGAATTGGAAAAAACTACTTCAAAGTTCATATGGAACCAAAAAAGAGCCCACATTGCCAAGACAATCCTAAGCAAAAAGAACAAAGCTGGAGGCATCACGCTATCTGACTTCAAACTATACTACAAGGCTACAGTAACCAAAACAGAATGGTACTGGTACCAAAACAAAGATATAGACCGATGGAACAGAACAGAGCCCTCAGAAATAATACCACACATCTACAACCATCTGATCTTTGATAAACCTGACAAAAACAAGAAATGGGGAAAGGATTCCCGATTTAATAAGTGGTGCTGGGAAAACTGGCTAGCCATATGTAGAAAGCTGAAACTGGATCCCTTCCTTATACCTTATACAAAAATTAATTCAAGATGGATTAAAGATTTAAATGTTAGACCTAAAACCATAAAAACCCTAGAAGAAAACCTAGGCAATACCATTCAGGACATAGGCATGGGCAAGGACTTCATGTCTAAAACACCAAAAGCAATGGCAACAAAAGCCAAAATTGACAAATCGGATCTAATTAAACTAAAGAGCTTCTGCACAGCAAAAGAAACTACCCATCAGAGTGAACAGGCAACCTACAGAATGGGAGAAAATTTTTGCAATCTACTCATCTCACAAAGGGCTAATATCCAGAATCTACAAAGAACTCAAACAAATTTACAAGAAAAAAAACAAACAAACCCATCAAAAAGTGGGCGAAGGATATGAACAGACACTTCTCAAAAGAAGACATTTATGCAGACAAAAGACACATGAAAAAATGCTCATCACCACTGGCCATCAGAGAAATGCAAATCAAAACCACAATGAGATACCATCTCACACCAGTTAGAATGGCAATCATTACAAAGTCAGGAAACAACAGGTGCTGGAGAGGATGCAAAGAAATAGGAACACTTTTACACTGTTGGTGGGACTGTAAACTAGTTCAACCATTGTGGAAGACAGTGTGGTGATTCTTCAAGGATCTAGAACTAGAAATACCATTTGACCCAGCCATCCCATTACTGGGTATATACCCAAAGGATTATAAATCATGCTGCTATAAAGACTCATGCACATGTATGTTCATTGTGGCACTATTCACAATAGCAAAGACTTGGAACCAACCCAAATGTCCATCAATGATAGACTGGATTAAGAAAATGTGGCACATATACACCATGGAATACTATGCAGCCATAAAAAAGGATGAGTTCATGTCCTTCGTAGGGACATGGATGAAGCTGGAAACCATCATTCTCAGCAAACTATCGCAAGGACAAAAAATCAAACACCGCATGTTCTCACTCATAGGTGGGAATTGAACAATGAGAACACATGGACACAGGAAGGGGAACATCACACACCGGGGCCTGTCATGGGGTGGGGGGAGGCGGGAGGGATAGCATTAGGAGATATACCTAATGTAAATGACGAGTTGATGGGTGCAGTACACCAACATGGCGAATGTATACATATGTAACAAACCTGCACGTTGTGCACATGTACCCTAGAACTGAAAGTATAATTAAATAAACAAATAAATAAAAAAGAAAATGTACCAATGGACATTCATCTTGGCTTTTTTGAGGACAGTAGATTACATTTTTCTAATCGTATCCTCCTATCTATCTTCGTTCACAAATATATGTGCACCATTTTGTGTTGATACTTTTTTTGGAAGTTTATATTAATTAACCACCTCTAACAAGTTATTACTCTACTTGTAAAGTAAGGGAGAGAGAAGTACAAGAGGAACGAACAAGACGGATTTCATTTTGTGTCTCCTCTCTGCCTAACCCTGCTAGGTATTTCACATATATTATCTTTCATTAGCTCACATTTATGGTTTAACACTCAAGAGTTACAAAAAAATAAAACGCATAAATTCTGCATAATTAAATGTGACTCCTGAGCAGAACATGCTTTCTCTGCTGAGACTGGCAGCTGAGCTTTGTTTCACCAATGGATCCAGTTGTGACTTGTAGGCTTCCTGATTTCTGGCTGATGGACAGGCTTGCAAGTCAGCCGAGTGACAAATCTGAAAACAAATCAAGAGTGGGCATGTGCCAGTGACTTCCTGGAAGACAAACATCACAGCCCTGAGCTTAATTCTGACACCCTGGGCGTAAGAAAAAGTTCTGCCGAAGCTAGGTTCAAGCAGAGAATCGCAGCACTGGATGGAAACTGGAGGGAATCATTCCCAGGGCATGCAAATTCTAAGATGGCCCAGGATGCTCGGCAACGTTTTATCTTGTGTTTGAGACAGTCTTTATTTTTCACGTGATGCATGTGCATGAGCTCCTGGCCTGCAGAATGAGTATTATGTTACAGTAATCCAGTCCTGTCTTCTCCTAGGATTCTTAAATCTCTTCCATGCCTCTGAGCATGTGCCAGCAATGCGGCATGCTTTCCCTAGCCATCCTTCCAAGAAAATCCTTTGAGAATATTAAATTCATTCAGAAGAACATTCTCATCCCAGTAAGATTTCTCTGTTTTTCCTTTGAGCTTTTTGGTAAAAGATGCCACATTTACTCATTGATTTATGGCTTCCCAGGAATCTGGAGTCTCACCTTTCATGCAATGGATTCTCTCTGCATATGTATTATTAATTATCTAAGGTTTGTGATAGGACAAACTATCCTCAGGCAACCAATATTGCTTACCTTTAAAATGGGAACATGAGACAGAATCAAGGAATAGGGGCTGACCAAAGGAAAGGCAAAGAGAAGCAATGCCATGATTCCTATCTCCTCTATCCCCCAATCTTTCCTTCAATACAGAAAGCAGTGGAAATGATTCAAGCAATGCTAAATGATCCTGGTCATTTTTCCCTGGGTCTTCTAATATCTGACTCTTCCTCCAGAAGAGGGATTTTTATCATCCAGCACGATTTCCACTGTATATCAAGAAATCTTAACTCCAAACCGCTTTCAAAGTCAGGAAAATTACAATTTTGTAGAACAGGAAATGCCTGGGAAAGGCTGTAGCAACTGCAGCGGCCCAGAGACGTCCTCATCTTTCATGGCGTAAGAGAATCAACCACAATTCTACACACCACAGGCAGACTGGCTATCACCTAGGAGAGAAGGAACAATTGCTTCCTACTGGCTGTTAGCACCAGAAATAGCTGTTTTATCTCTTACTCCCTGAGTTCTTCTAAAAGCCAGGATAGTGGGTAAACCTGTGTTTCCCTTAAAAAACTCCTACAGTGTTGCTGAGTTCTTCCTTCTTGTAGGATGAGTGTGTCTTCAGGGGATACACCTCCCACTGTGGGGATTTGGCTCTTGAAGGTATCTTCTCCCTCCTTGACTCCTGCCCTGAAAGCCACCACACACGTGTCTATGTATTGCAATTGTTGGCCCTAACTGAGGCTTCCTGTCCTGCCCCCAGTGTCCCTAGGTCCTTAGATAAATCAGCTGATTCAAATTAATTGAAGGTGGGTGGGGAGGTCAACGCATTATCTAGTGTTGAAAATTCTCTATTATTCTCATTTTCAGCCACATCAGACCTCCTGTCATATAGCATTATCTAGATATTCTGCACACCAGATGTACTCATTCAATGCTGCTTACCATTTATCTTTCTAAAATGAAAATTCTTTCCTAAATATCATTTGTGAATTTCAAAAGAGGTGGCAAATATTCAATGATTCTCTAGGAAATAGCTTAGAAAGTTGGAATAAGACAAGCAAACTGAATAGTGATTTGACTGCAGTGTCTTTCTATTCTAGGACAAATTTGATCATTTTTAAAAAGAGCTCTAATCTCCACTATCCATTAAACCTAGGAAAGTCTTAAACATTATTGTCTTGATATCAAACGGCGTATTACAGGAAAAGTGCATTCAGTTTTACTATTCAAGGAGTTAGAATTACTACTCATGGAGTACTTAATTTCTCATGAATAAAGTTTTAAAAGAAAAATGTATATATATTGCTATTTAAGGCAATGACTATATACTTTTATGACATCTGTAAATTTGCACTGAGCTCTGCAGCTGACTACATTCTTTCACACACATTAGCTATCTGCAAGGCTCAACAGAAGGGTTTATATTAGCAGTTCCTCTTTACAGATGATTTAGCTGAAGGTCCTACATGAAAATGAACTTTCTGTGAATGAGAGTTAAATGGTAGACCCAGAATACAAACACAAGACTTCTAATTCAAAATTTTATGCCCTTTCACAAAGCATTTAAAAATTAACTTACAAAAAATTTCTCTTGTGGAAAATGCATGAGACAAATTATCTCCATCATTGTACCCGTTTTTCTACCATTTTTAAAATTCATAAAATGTTTATTGGAATTAACTTCAAAAATGATGGCTAGTTCACTTATATTTGAATGCTAAAAGCATAAGGACTTGATGTAATGATTTTGTACTTGATTATATTTGCAATCTACTTTATAACCAGTTACCAATTTTTTCATCTTCACCTACAGAGACTTTAGAAATTTAGGCTATTTACCACGCTTGCCTAACTAAAGATATTATAAACATAATGCAAGACGGAGAAGGCTGAGGTGAATGAGTTGTCAGGGTAGTGTTGTGTGTAATCTGAGCATAAAACACCCAACAAACGAGCACTGTTATTTCAGGATCTACCCCTTTTCTACATTGCCCCACAGAACCGGGGGATGACTCTCTCAATGCGCCTTGTATAACAGACCAGGTTGAATTAAGAAGTTCCTTTGAAATCCTGTCGTAAAAGGTACAGTTAGGATTTAAAAATAGAAGAGTTGAAATGGAGGACCTTCTTTCAAATTCCCTTCTAGCATCATGCTTGATGTTAGAGATTATAATCTGTCATAGTGTAACAGAATTTATATTTAGTGACTCAAAAATCCCCGCATGCCAAAGGTGAAAATGACTTAGGTACTTTTCTTATATCATTCCCTTACAGAAGCCATCTGTTACTTCCAAGAGCTGCTTGGAAACACCATGCAGAATGTATCTTAATGTTGTACTTAAGCACATTGATCTTTTCCTCTTGACATTTTCTGACTCTCTTATAATAGCTTTCAACTCTAGCATCTTTCTTGGACTGGACTGTGGATGTAACGTCAGCTTTCCCTGATGAACTGGAATTACCAACCTGAGACTTTTGAACACTGCTCTAAGAATGCTGAACCCAAGAAAGATGGCAAAGGAATCTGAAAAGCTGTGAAAATATAGATCTCATTAACCAGGTCATTATTTTGACATTGTGCCTTGATTTTTGATCATAAGGAGTAGGTAGAAATGAAATAAATGATGGTACCTGTATGAACAATAGGAATATATTATGGGCCACCTTCCTTGAAGCCATTTCCAAAATGAAGTCAGTTCCTTAGCCTGCCACAGCCTATTCCCATGTCTTCTCCATTCCCCTGAATGTCCAACACTGAGGCCTATGATTGCCTCCCAGCCAAATCCATGTGAGAACTGTCAGCTTCCACTCATTTTGGTCAATGGGACACAGAACTTCATTTCTCGCAATGTCTGTCCTTCTTCACCCAACAGCTCTCATCAGGTGCCACGTTACCTGCATTCTACTTCCTGAGAGCTCTCAAATCCTTCTCTTCTCTTCATGTCCACCTTCACCTTTCTAGTTCAGGTGCTCTTAACTCTCCCTGACCCAAACTACCAGCTAACTTGTCAGCTCCCTGTACTTTTGCTTCACACAATCCTTGACACCTCCACACACAATTAACATTTTACCAGTTCAGCTCTCCTCATCCCCACCTTCCTCATGCATGTGACATGTCTCCTGCTGCTCACAAGCCCAGTCCAAACACTTTAGCTGATGTTGCGCTGGTCCCCTGGTCTGAGTCCATCCGCATCCTGTAGCTCTCCCTCAATGGTACACAACCCTGATTTTCTGACATGGCACATCTATAAATTACCCCAAAGAGAAAATGTCCACTTGTCTCTAATAAATGAAAAAATAAAACTTGAATGTAAATCTTGATAATTACTTGAGTGTTATTTTCCATTTCATTATCTGTTTAGAAATGTGTTTTTCTCAGTGAACATGCATTGCCTTGATAGCAAGAAAGTTCAGAAACTGCTGAGCTATGGGCCACTTACAATTGGGTCCTCCTGCCGTGCTCTGCCTTAATTTCTGCTTTCCAACTTAGTTCCTTATTGGAAATAGGAAATAAGCCCAAATTTCAGGCTAGATGGCTCTGGCAACGAAACCATGGGGACTCATCCTGCTAGCATTCTTCCCACCTCCCAGAGGGACTTGATTTCTATTCTACTGCCTAAACCTTGATAGAAATCTCTAAACTTCAATGGCAACTTCTATCCACTGTGGCTACCAAAAAGCCCTTTTACCCACTGCCCCACACCCTAGGTTCATGCTCGGTCCTGCCCTCAAATTAGCCAAAAACTGGGATGATAGAGGCTTCTTCACTTTTCTGCTCTTCTGTTCCTCTTCGCTTCTGCACAGATCCTACTGTCAACTAAATTAGTCAAGTTGCAGCCAAACCATGCATTACCATCCTACATATATGTTTGTATATACACAGACACATTCATCTGTGGATATGTGTGTGCATATGTGCATGTATATGTATATGTGCATGCATGTGCATGTGTGTGTATTTCCCATCTCCTAGCTGAAAAGCAAATACTTTTTCAAAGTTGCCCACTTTATTGACTGCCCTTAGGGAAGAATGAGGTGCACGGACAAAGTTTGAAGTCAGAGAAAAACAGGGCATCAGCAAAGTGGTAAAATTTAGAACCACTACTCTTTGTAGCTGAGTATCTGCAATAGCTAAAATCCTCATATTTTCACAATATCTCTGCTTTATTTCCCAACTAAATATCTTTGAAAATCTGTAGATTTTGTTTTCAAAACAAATGCTGTAGAAGACCTAAACGTAGGGAACTGACTCACGAGGGTACATGTCACATCCAATAGACGAGACAATCTTTTTAAGGAGAAAAATAAAAATATATTATGCTATGCATGATTGTTTTTTATGAGTTTTTGTAAACATTTAGGGAAAAAAATTGAAAAGCAGTGTTGTTGAAGTGTCAACCAACCTTATCAATATCAGACATTCCACAGAATTCCCAAGTGGATACACACATTTGTGATGCAAGTAACAGATTTAGAAAATTCATGTAGTGATTCTGCTCAGTGTGACATGAATCATGGTTTATGAAGTGCCATGAAAAAACAATGAGGTGCATGTGAAAATATATAGGACACGACTGTCTCAGAGAAATTAAACAGAAGGGAAAAAAGCCATCTGCAGGAAAAACAAAGTCATAAACATATGGCAAAGCAATGTTCTCAAACAAAGAACAGAACTGTAAATAAATTACAAAGCAACAGCAAGGTAAAGTAATAGAAAAAAGGCCCCAAAGAAAACAGCATTTCCTTGTAAAGAATTATCTTCAAGGAAATTAAATATTTTACTTTAGAAGAATATTTCACATGAAAATAGTCAAAATAAAACAAAGATATTAGAAATGAAAGAACACAAAATAGTAGACCCACTGTCAGTAATACTTTTCTCAGTAGGAATTTTCTTTTAACTAAATACTAAGCTTATCAGGGGTGGCAACATGGAGAGCCAGAACAAATTACTGGGACCCAATATTATACAGCAGAGCCAGGGGTGCGTCTAGGACATATATTGGTATAGATCCCAAGTACAGATGTTAGAAGTGCAGACTGAGTTCTGTCTTATTTTGTTTTCTTTAACTAGGACCCCCAAACTACTCTCTGAGTACCTCTCTATGGTTAAGTGTATCAAAGGCATGTATTAAAGTCTTTTGCACAGGCTATTGGTTTTACAGGCATAGGGGAAACCCTGTCCCATCACTGGCTGGTTATATAACTTCCTATAAAAGGAAACTGGTTGTGTCTACCGTAAGGACTATTGACAGAATCGAATGAATCACTGTGGAAAGCAGCAGGAACAGTGTCTGGGACGTACAGTTGCCCCATCAATACTGTTTGCCTTCTATCTTTTGTTTTTCCTTTCTAGAGAAAAATGTATTCAAACAAAAATTCCTGAAGTTCTTCACTGCAGGGAGCATCCTACTGAGCTGTCGAACAAAAACCTCCTATCCAAGGGAGCACAGGTCAATAGAAGGCATCACCTTAAATGACAAGAGGAGGAGGAAGAGGAGGAGGAGAAGGAAAAGGAGAAAAAAAAGAAGATGGAGAAGAGAAGTAGGAAGAAGAGGAAAGAAAGAAAAAGAAATAAGAGAAGGACAAGGAGAAGAAGGAGGAAGAGAGAAAGAAGAAGGAGAAGAGGAAGAGAAAAAAGGGAAGAGGAGGAGGTGGTGAAAAGAAATAGGAAGAAGAAACAAAAATAAGATCACAATAATAATAAGAAGAGGTATATATATATATATATAGGAAAATACAGTGAAATAAATTTAAGTAACTCAATATTATTAAACTCTTATGTTTCTTTGTTTTGTTTTGAGACGGAGTCTTGCTCTGTTGCCCAGGCTGCAGTGCAGTGGCATGATCTTGGCTCACTGCAACCTCCGCCTCCCAATATTAAACCCTTATGTTTCTATTCTGCTTTATGCTTAAGCATTTTCAAATTATTTCTTGTAAAATTCTGGCATAAGATAGTATATTATACAAACGAGGGAACTATACATTCAAGGGACATGACCAGGTTATACATCAGGTTAAAGACAAAACTGAGATTCCAACTTCAGTTGCCCCAAAACTAGCCTAATCTGATTCCACTAAACCATGGCCCTCTGAAACTCCTCAGAACAGGACCCTCCACAGCACTCCACATTCATAATACTTGCTTTTGAAAGAGCAGTATAACTCCATCCTAATGAAATGCTTTCAAAGCACACCTAAAGAAAATTAGCAGTGCTCTCATGATAGTCTGGATGAGAGCCACTAGCTTGTTTACAAGATATGACAAGCTTATAAAAATAGGATGTATTTTAAAAATAATCAACTCAATTATTAAAATAAAAATTATTGATACTAATGTCTGTGCTTATTGTTCATGAAGGAAAGTCCCCTTCTTTTGAATCAAAGGAAGCCCAAGGCTGAATACATAGTCAAGTCCCTGAAGTCTGCCTGCAGTGGAAGTGCTTTCAGTCATTATTTTGTGGTTAGGATGTACCAGGTACACTGCATACTATTAAGACACAAGGAGGAACAAGATAAAATCCAAAATCTGGGCAGGTTCATGTATGTAAATCAGCAGTGACTTACATAAATATCATGTATATGAAAATAACCAGTAATGAACCAATTGATAAGCATTATAATAGAGTATCAAGAAGACTTCTATTTCTCCCTTATGTAGGAAGGACATAAGTTGAAATGCCAACTCAAATAAAGAGAAATTTCGCTGGTCCAAAGGACCAGTAGGGAGATTCCAGGCAAACAAACAACACAGGGGAGAAGGGAGAGTGATATGCTTTGACTGGATCCCCATCCAAATCACATCTTGAATTGTAGCTCCGATAATTCCCACATGTTGTAGGAGGGACCCAGTGGGAGATAACTGAATCATGGGGGCAGTTTCCTCCATACTGTTCTCGTGGTAGTGAATAAGTCTCATCAGATCTGATGGTTTTATAAGGGGTTTCTCTTTCACTTGGGTCTTATTCTCTCTTGCCTGCCACCATGTAAGACATGCCTTTCACCTTCCATCATGATTGTGAGGCCTCCCCAGCCACATGGAACTGTGTGTGAGTCAATTAAATGTCTTTTTCTTTATAAATTACCAGTCTCAGGTATGTCTTTATCAGAAATGTGAGAACAGACTAATATGAGGGCATACTCAGTGAGGTGAAGAGTTTGTGCAAAGGCAGAGAGGCACAAGAAAACTTATGATCCTTGCAAATTGAGAATATAGGTTGATTAGGCACTTGACATATGGGAGGGTGGCAGGTGAAGAGAGATAGTGCTATGTTGGGAGCAAGACCCCCAAAATCTGGCCATAAACTGGCCCCAAAACTGGCCATAAACAAAATCTCTGCAGCACCATAACATGTTCATAATGGCCCTAACACCCAAGCTGGAAGGTTGTGGGTTTACAGGAATGAGGGCAAGGAACACCTGGTCCACCCAGGGTGGGGAAAACTGCTTAAAGGCATTCTTAAGCCACAAACAATAGCATGAGCAATCTGTGCCTTAAGGACATGTTCCTGCTGCAGTTAACTAGCCCAACCTATTCCTTTAATTCGGTCCATCCCTTCGTTTCCCATAAGGGATACTTTTAGTTAATTTAACATCTATAGAAACGATGCTAATGACTGGTTTGCTGTTAATAAGTGGGTAAATCTCTGTTCGGGGCTCTCAGCTCTGAAGGCTGTGAGACCTCTGATTTCCCACTTCACACCTCTATATTTCTGTGTGTGTGTCTTTAATTCCTCTAGTGCCGCTGGGTTAGGGTCTCCCCAGCCGAGCTGGTCTCAGCAGTGCTAGAGTCAGGGAGGGGCATAAAAAAGGAGCTCTTCTCACAAGTGCTCAGCAATGCCTCCTGCTCCTCCTCCTCCTCATTTCTCTTAACTTGAAGGTGTAAGATCAACATTTAAAATGAAAAATGAAGAAACAGAGAAGAATGAATGGGGGAAGAGAGATAAAGAGACAGAAGGGGAGACAGAGATATACAGAGATGAAGAGAAAGAGACTCAGAGATGGAGAGAAGGAGAGAGGATGAATTATAGAGATCTGACAATAACTCATCAGGTGCTGAATACACAGTTATTGGGACTTATTGAGGAGTGGCATGGGGAATATAATTATTCCTCATAAAGACTTCCACCAAGAGGTGAAAAACACACAGGTGTTTCTGTTCTTAAAGCTCCTGTATCCCTCTGGGAAAGCAGAAAGTCAAGTATAATAAGGCCTTACATCCATGCAAGTAAACTAACCATGCAGTCATAAGCATCACTGAGAACCATTCAAGGGAAGCACAAGGCAAACATGAGGTCAAGGTAGACATGGATGTAAAAGTAGGACATGTGGAATTTGATGGAGGTGGGTGAAGCAGGAGGACAAGAGTTTCTAGACAAGGAAAATCAGATGAACAAGAGTTTGAGGTCAGATTGTTCACAACATGCCCACACCCCACGCCAGAAGGGATGAGATGTTGATGGGTCCATTTTAAGAGAGTGGAGAAGATATAGTGGAAGCATGCTCCCAGCTGGTAAGATCCTGTGGTAATGTGACTAAAAATCAGAGTCAGAACAGGGCTGTAGGAGCAAAGTGGCAGGAAATGTTAATTCAAATGAAATAAGTAAGTATATATTCCATCATTATTATGGTCTTACCACTGTATGAGATCTTGAGAACACAAAGATGATTAAAACCTGATACTGTTTTTAAGGAATTCATAGTAGAACAGAGAGATACACACCCGAAGTCACCACAATTCAATATATGGAGGGATGCCACAGAGCTTAGAATGATGAAGCCAGGAGGGAAGTCAAGAAAGTCATAGACAGTACGTAATGCTTAAGTGGGTGATGCAGGTGAGGAGGAGTTAGCAAAATGGTCAGGGCAGAGGGAAACTGGCAGAAAAACACAGGGAGCTGTGTGTGCATATAAGGAATGCATGAAAGAACACAACCCTGACTGAAACGTAGGACACTCAGAGAGAGAGGCACTGGGTGCTGCTGCTGAAAATGTGGCCGGGTGCCCCAGCCAATCAGACCTCATTAGACCTGGTAGAAAGTAAGTGATGGAAGCAAAGCTCTTAACCAGGAGACATCGTGGATGTGAAGGGTATTGACTTTGGAATCATACAGATCTTTGATTCTGGTTGGTCGAATCACTAGCTATGTCACCTTAAGAAATTAATTTAACTTCAGTAAACTTTAAGTGTCTGATCTTAAAATGGGGATCAAATGACTGCCCATCTTTCACTCAGGCTCTTGGGTAGATTAAATGATAAAATGCTGTCTAGTGTGTATACCTGCCACATAGTGGGTACTTAGAAAATTATTAAAACTCCACACATTTGGATAAAAAGAGAGAAATATGGGTTCTAGTGGATTCTGGAGTATCAGTTCAAATAAGTGCCTGCAAGGTAGGGCATCTTGTAGATAACTGCCCTATGCCAGCATACAGAAAGGGGTCTGGACCTAGGATACAGAGTGGCTTCACAAAATAACACATTAAATAAGGGCTTTGAGTCAGAATTTCTGCAAAGGAACTATGCAATAAACCAAGATAGAGAACACAGGATATTTGAACAAGAAGAGAATTAAGTTGCATTTAGATGCAATCAAGTAAGGCCCTAATCTCTTGAAATCATCAGTCATGTTACATTGGAATGTAATTGCTAGTTTTAACTGATGGAGATTCCTTGCAGCTTAACATAAATATCTGGATATATTTGAGAGATAAGAAGCTGTGTTTGCAGTTACAGAATTTTGCTCTCCTTAGGATGTTGGGCTTCATGAGATTTCAGAGCAGATAGATCACCTGCCCAGACAAGGGTGGCAATCCAGTCAGACTCCACCTCAGACAGGAACTGCCATCACCTGCATGGAGTATGGGCAGAAACACTCTGATCTGAAGAGGCACTGATGGTTTCCTGACAGTTTGGACAAGGACAAGCCAGTAGCCCCAGTGAGTCACCAAATACTGCAAAAAGTTTTATTAGGCACTGTCTGAAAACTTAAACTAAGCAGAGCAGGCAGGTCTATAAAATACAAAAGGATATTCATGATTATTGCAAGAAAGAGCATGAAGCAGACACAGACACAAGTATTCTGGGTCATTTACAGTTAGTTCTCTAGGACTGAGAAGCTGCATCTCTCTACTACAACTGTATTAAAAGGCTGAAAATATAAATGGATTTCTGGGTCTTGCATTCACCCTAGATCTCTTATCGAGCTATTTTAAAAATGGAAGCTAACCTCCACTGCAGAAAGAGTTCACACAGTTAGAATTAATACAGTGGCAGAAAGTTCTAATAGTAACACCTTTAGAAATTAATTGAGTATGCTGATTTCCTCATCATTTTGAAAACTGGAATTAATACTATCACGACTATAGGGTGCAGATTTTATGGAAAAAAGGTTTTATTCCTGGGAAAAGTAATTCAATTGCTTATGAA
This sequence comes from Homo sapiens, assembly GCF_000001405.40. Classification (NCBI taxonomy): domain Eukaryota; kingdom Metazoa; phylum Chordata; class Mammalia; order Primates; family Hominidae; genus Homo; species Homo sapiens. The sequence goes on along the minus strand of NC_000023.11, from coordinate 7,954,577 downwards.
AAAGACAAAAATATTATTTTTTTCATAATCTTCAGAAATGTCTGTCCTGAAAATTAGAACTACTGTCTCCTAGTTCTAAAATACCTGATTTCATTAGATTAAAAAAATGAAGAACTGACACATAGAAATGAGACAAACAATATTCATATGAACATATGAGGTAATTATTCTTTCACTGCAGCTTATGTATAATATATTCCTGTTAAAAGTAATACTGCTGTCCAAGGTTATTATAATTTAACATCTCTCCTGTGTTTTTAGAAAAACAGAAACATAATCACTTTTATCCAAGTCACATGAAATAGTTTCTGTCATCAGTAAATTGTGAAGTTAATTATTTTGCAGGATTTCTTTAAGGCAGATAGTGGTTAGCAGTAAACATCAACTACCCTTCCCAAGCAAACAGGCAAACAAAGGACACTCGAAGAAAGGAGAGATGAATTAGTCAACTCTGCCACCTCTGCTAGGGCTAATTTCAGGGAAATTTTTCTCTAAATCTGTTTTCTGGACAGCAATACAGTTCCAAATCCCTGTTATTTTGTAATGTTGGTGGGTCGGGGATTAGAGACTGTGAGGGGGCTTCCAGTAGTCTGAGGTTGCCCAGCAGCTCCTTACATATGCTGGTTTGGCATCCAGAAGGAAGAGTTCCCATCATCCTGCAAACTGGCAAAAGCACAGAGCAAAATACCTCAGTGATGTATAGATGGTAACGAGATTAAAGGGATTGATTTATACTTGGAGAAAAATTCCCAAAGCAGCCTGTAAACATTACAAATTGTGAAGGTGTAGAAACTGGTTCGGTTATAAAACTCCCCTACTCCCACGAGAATTGCATAACTTTATCAACCTACACATTATACTGGTATATACATGACATCGCTTTTGATTAGTAAGCAAAACTGGTGTCTCGGGGCCATCTGGCATTTTATGGATAGGCACAACTGAACTCAGCCAGCTGGTTTATACTCTTGAATACACGCTTGGAAATCAGTAACTGCTTGACATTACAAAAAGCAGCTTTCTGTTCAGGAATCCAACTCTCTATACTTTTTTAAATTTTTTCTTTACCATGTAGGGGATGCAGTGGCTCAAAGGTGGCACCTTTATGTAAGAAAAACACATGGAAAGTCTAACAGACTCAGAGCTCTTACATTTTGGAGTTGACAGCTGAACCACCTCTTTAGAAAGGGCTGTCACTGATGAGGCAGGTGATAGTAGGATTAGTAACTCACTTTTGTTTCTTTTTTTGAGACAGAGACCGGTCTCACTCCGTCAGGATAGACTGCAGTGGTGTCGTCTTCGGTCACTGCAACCTCTGCCTCCCCTCCCGGGTTCAAGCAATCCTCCCACCTCACCCTCCTGAGTAGCTGGGACTACAGGCTCGTGCCACCACAGCCTGGCCAATGTTTGTATTTTTTTCTTGGTAGAGACAGGCTTTCATCATGTTGCTCAAGCTGGTCTCAAACTCCTGGGCTCAAGCAATCCGCCTGCCTCAGCTTCCAAGTGTTGGGATTATAGGTGCGAGCCACTGTGTCCAGCCTTGTTTCTGATATGTGCAGTGATTTTCACTCACATAGTGAGTCAGAATTTTCTAGGCTTTCTTAAAATCTTCCCATTAGGTCATCCTCGGTTGATCTCATAATAACATTGTTCTAGAAAGGGTATCAATGAAGCTTTGGGCATTTCCAGGTTGAAAGACATTCCACACAGATTGGATTAACTCAAAATGAATTTTGATGGGCATGACTGTTTCAGCATCCTCAGAAGAGTTATTAAATTAAATTGTTCCATTTGAGCAAAAACAGATTTTGGTAAGCCTTTCTTACTTCCCTTGCTCTTCCAAGCAGGTATAGTAAGATGGTGATTCTCTCTAGACATTGAGTGAGTTTAACTGTCTCATTCATAGGAAATTTCATTTTACCATTTTGGCTTCAGCTTAAATATTATAGCTCCCTGAGTGTGTGTGGAAGGACTCCGAGGTCACACGGCTTGACTGGATACTCAAGGTGCTCTTCATTTTGTGGGCAGTTATTAATTCACTCAAAGTTTTTGAATATCCATTGTGTTCCAATTTTGTTGCTAAGTGCGGGGGATGCAAATACGTCTGACCTGATTTCTGCTCTCCAGTCTAGTAATAGAGAAAGACTCACAAACAAATAATTACAGTACAATGTGCTATGAATCACGATAAAGGGATGTGCATACTGCACTAGGAATACAGAGAAGAAGCACTCAACAAGGCTTGAATGAACCAGGAAAAACACTTTCAAGTGTCCCATTTCCTCTGTGTCTAGGGAAATCTGTTGATCTTTCTTTTTTAAATTAGGTAATTATAAGAATATAGATTTCCCAGACTCTAAATCTCAATGTTAGAAAATACACTTGGCAAATAACAAGAGTTTGTTGAGGGGCCACATATGCACAGCTATAACACAGTTCCCAACATTCACAGTGAGGCTATGGAACTGTTTACATCAAAGGAAGTCCCAGCGTAGTTTGCAAAGGCTTTCTTGAGACTTTGTAATAGAAAGAATCTCTGCTACTCAATCAGTTTCTGACTTTCACCCACAATCGTCGATGAGCAAGACGGGTGAATACTCTAGTCTCCACCAGGGTGATGCACATTGGATCCTTGGAATATCATACAATCCCTGGATTCCCCAAGTAGGTGAAGTCATTAATGCTGGATGAAAAGAACTTATTCTGTCCTTAGTTTCATTCTGATGGGTTTCAATGGCAACACCTCTGGAGGCAAACCTTCACTTTTCAAGATCTACATTTCTGATTGGGTCAAACTGGAACAATATGCCCAATGATGAAAAGAAACACTTAACTATTACTCTAGAAATGTGCCCATATCAATAGATTTTGATGCGAACAGAATACAAACTTCCTTTATACTAGCTTAAAAGTATCTTCATTATTCTGAGAAATGCACATAATGGATTATGATGACCTAAATGCTAAAATTAAATTTGACATTGGCTGCAAAATCTCAACCAAGAAGACTGCATCACCACGTCCAAATTGCGTGTTCAAGTCTTTTGATTAGAGGTTTCATTAAATGTCATCATTAGACATGTCACATACAGCAGGATCCACATTGCTATGCATGATGATATTCAGAAAACCAGTGTCAAGGCAGTTGATAAAGCTCTTGATTTGTTTTCTAAACAGAATTTCCTAAAGAACAATTGATGGCATGCATGAGAAGATTTTTCCAGCAACTGTAAGCAATAATCAAATGTCCTCATAAAGGAATTGGGTCAGATAACAGACCTCAGTATTGCATTACTTAGTTGAGTGACAGGGAAACACAGCATATTTCTATTTTTAACAGTTTTATTGTCACAGAAAAATTAAGAAGTTCTCTCACTTTAAGAATACCAAGAAGCAGCCTGCATACCCACATGGTGTTCAACATGACTCCAAGGGAGTCTCTGAAAGCCCAGGTCAGACACTATATTTAGTTCCTTTTTAGAAGGGAAACAGCTTCTCTAAGTCTCAGTTCCTTATCAGCAGAGGGACTACACAATTTATCATCCAAACTGTGACACCTGAGAGTGAAAGAGGGCAGGACCATCAGATGGGACACTGAGCAACAAGTGTCAACTGTAACTGCCCTAGGTAAATATACAGTTATCGTAATTATCAGAAAGAAGTGTGTTGGTCCAATTCAGTCATTTTTGTCCCCCGACTATACATTAGAATCATCTTGGGAGAATACATGCACACACACACACACACACACTGAACTGGATCATCTCTAAAACCTTTTCTGGCTTTCAAATTCAGGGATCATAATTTCTGAGCATAAATTTATGGCACTTGCTATTGGCAAAGTTGTGTAACTGCAAACTATTCTCATATCTAGAACACATAACTACTGAATACCAGTAAGATAATAACCAATATTCATTTAGGAAGAGTTTGCAGTTTACTGCAAAAGTGGCTTGCAGTTTACTGCAAAAGTGGCTTGCAGTTTACTGCAAAAGTGGTTTGCAGTTTGCAAAAACACTTTCTCAGTGTCATCCTTTTTTTTTTTTTAAGTTCTAACCTTAACCCTGTGAGAAAGTCAGGTTGGTTTATTATTATCAATTTTTTGTAGGAGAGGAAATCATTGCTTACAAAGTGTAAATATACAGATTTAAGTTATACAAAGAGCAAATGGAATAATCAAGCCCATGTCTTGATTCTAAATGGTGGCAGATAAGAGAAGGTGCCTGGCCCTCTTCCTGTATGGGTTTGAATTCTACTTCTGTCTCTTTATTAGCTCAATAGATTGGTTCAAGTCATTTAACCTAAACATTATCTCTAAAGTCACAATAATATTAATCCTTGCTTCACAGTGATGCCAGTATTTCATGAGGTATTACATGAAATGTCTTTGTACTATGTCCAATAAATATTAGCAATCACTGCTATTAGTGCTATTACTACTCTTCCTCCACTCTTTCTCCTTCCTTTTACCACTGTAATTACCATACTACTATCATTACTACTACTATTAGAACTCATAATATAATCCCTGTTTGCTATGGTCTGAATGTTTGTGTCCCTACTCCTTCTAAATTCCTATGTTGAAATCCTCACTACCAAGGTGATGGGGTCTTTGGGAGGTGATGAGGTAATGAGGATTGGGCCTCACAAATGGCATGAATGTCCTTATAAAAGGGACCTCAGAGAGCTCTCTTGCCCCATCTACCATGTGAGGACACAGCAAGAAAGTGCTGTCTCGGAACCAAGCAACAGGCCCTCACCAGACACCAAATCTGTTGGCTCCTTAATCTTGGACTTCCAGCCTCCAAAGCTCCAAAAAAAAAAAAAAAAATACATTTCTGTTGTTTATAAGCTACCTAGTTTATGGTATTTTGTTATAGCAGTTTGAACAGACTAAGACAGTATTATAGGCAGAATAAGTGTATTAGTCCATTTTCACACTGCTATAAGTACCTGATGCCTGAAATCCCAGCACTTCGGGAGGCCAAGGTGGGCAGATCACCTGAGTCCAGGAGTTCGAGACCAGCCTGACCAACATGGCAAAACCCCATCTCTACTAAAAATACAAAAATTAGCCAGGCATGGTGGCATACACCTGTAGTCCCAGTTACTTGAGAGGCTGAGGCATGAGAATTGCTTGAACCCAGGAGGCGGAGGTTACAGTGAGCCGAGATCACACCACTGCATTCCAGCCTGGGTAACAGAGCAAGACTCTGTCTCCAAAAAAAAAAAGAAAAGAAAAAGAAAAGAAAAAGGAAAAAAAAGAAATACTCAAGACTGGGTAATTTAAAAAGAAAAGGTTTAATTGACTCACGGCTCTGCATGGCTGGGGAGGCCTCAGGAAACTTACAATCACAGCAAAAGGAGAAGGAGAAGCAAGTACCTTCTTCACAAGGTGGTGGGAAAGAGAAAGAGGGTGAAGCGGGAAAAGCCCCTTATAAAACCATCAGATCTCTTAAGAACTCACTCACTATCATGAGAACAGCATGCAGGGAACCACCCCCATGATCCAATCACCTCCCACCAGGTCCCTCCCTTAATACCTGGGGATTACAATTTGACATGAGATTTGCATGGGGACACAAAGCCAAACAATATCAATAAGTGTCCCTTCAACTAAACAAGCTTAATTACAATGAAGCCCTTTGTGCTTGTCTTTACCCCCCCTCCCACACACTCTTAAATAAAACAAACCACACATGAACAGTCTTCAAGTAAGACAATGTAGAGAAACAAACACCCAGAAATGTAGCAATACCGAACTCTGGCAATCCTTGGCATTTATAGCACAGGAACAGACTCTATACAGATACTCGAATGGATTTAGAAACATAGGTGACTGGCAGCCTTGGAGATGTGCCACCAGAAGCTCCCTTTGGAAAAGAGGTCATTTACTAGCTTCAGGGACTACAGCTGGCTGGTAGCCTCCAGCTGCAATGCCTCAAGATCAGCTGCTGTGTTTATGTGGAAGTCACACTCTTCTTGTGGGAGCTCCTAGCCAAGGTGGAGTATGGTGACCAAACAGTAGGGTATGCCCATTTCTGTCTTCTGTGTTGCTACCCTATGAATGATTTTCGCACTGGAGACCCCTGGGCTGGCTGAACCTTCCTCGGAGACACAATGACACCTGAGGATCTTCCTATCCAATCTTCCTCCACTCCCACTTCCCTTTACAGGTTTCAGACTGCACCGTGGTCAAAAGCCCCCCAGGTGCAAAATAACAGCCTCAAACATCTCCACACATCTTAAACAACCCTATCCAAGGTTGTACTCTGCTTATTTGAGAAATAATGAAAAAAAATTCTAGGGAAACACTTTGTTCCAAAATTCTGTTATTTTCCTGGTTTTCTAATAGCTTATTTATTTTGACAGTTCTATGGAGTTATAAGGTTGACTAGCTTGTCTTTTTAATGGCGTGCCTACCACATATGGCTTAGGAAAAAAGTGATTATGGATCATGCTCTTTTCATGTCATCTTTGTTTTGCAAATTAAATTTGTTAAGCCACATTAGCTCAAAGATATGAATATTTTAATAATGTTAGATCTATAAATTATAGGAAAGTGAATTAGAATTTCAAAATGTATTTAGTTCCAAGGAATTGGATTACTTGAAGATACATTTTTCATCTGGGGAGAGAAAAGGTGTTCTAAATTACTGCTCATGTTAACCATTGAATTTCATTCTTGTTTTAGTAATTTTTATTTTTCAACATATTTAAAACATTAAAGATAATCAAAAAGCTTCATGCTAAATAAAAATAGTAAAGTATTTCAAAATATTAGTTTGATCTGGTAATCTAAATGTTTTTAATATAAATATTTTTAAGGTTAACAAAATAGTTGCTGTGTGACAAACAGTAGTCTATACTCTTTGCATATATTAACTCATTTAGCCTTAGATACATTTTAAAGTTTAAGTATAATCATTATCCTCTTAACACACATTTTATTGATTACTCTGATCTACTAAGTTAAATGTTTTTAATGTTAATCTTGTCATGATTTAGGATAACAATACAATAGTTCAACTGTTCTGAACACTTGACAAATAGTATCCCGTGCTCCTTACGTATATTAGGTCATTTAGCCTCATAAACATTCTATAATTTAGGCATAATCATTATCCACAGTCCATAGATTAAGAAACTGAGGGAGGCACGTCGCGGGTGCAATAGGCTGGGGCCAGTGTTGCGTGAGGTAAAGGAATTTACCAAGACAGCTGTAGGTAAAGAAAGGCAGATTTATTAGAGAAAGTATGAAAATACATTACAAGGGTGCAACAGGCAGCACAGCAGAAAAGGGGCTGTCTGCCAAGAGGCAGGGGGTGGAGGGAAGTCTTACAGGGTTGTGCTGGAGGGGGCTACCAGTGGAATGAGGTCATGCTGTTGGGGTTATGTGCGCAGGGAGGTAGTTGTGTCAGTGGGTTGTTTGTGATTGGCTGTCTCTCAATACAAATTCATTGCTCACTCTCACTAGGGGCCCTCCCCAATCTGGGAACCTCCCCGACCTGGAGCCCCTTCCTTGTTGTTGCTTACTTATCAGGACTCCACAAGGTAGAACAAGAGGGCAGAACAGAAAGCTCTACAGATTGTCCCCCAGCAAGGACACCAAGTTAACAAATATTTACACAGAAAAAAACACCTTCATAAGAACTAAATATCAGATGAGCACTCATAGGGCCTGGTTTTAACTTCATATCACTGAAAGAGGCACTAAAGAGAGAAAAAAACAGTCCTGAATCACCAATGCCACTCACCCCACGCCCCACAGCAGTAGCACTTAACTCAGTGCTGTTCTATTAGAGCAGAAAAGAAAATCAGACCACTGTCACAACCGTTAATTCAACATAATACTGGAAGTCCTAGCTAGAGCAATCAGACAAGAGAAAGATACAATGGGCATCCAAATTGGAAAGGAAGATGTCAAATTATCCTTATTTGCAGATGATATAAACTTATATTTAGAAAAACCTAAAGACTGTACAAAAGAACTATTAGAACTGATAAACAAATTCAGTAAAGTTGCAGGATACAAAATCAACCTACAAAACTCAGTAGCATTTCTATATGCCAACAGTGAACAAGGCGAAAAAGAAATTTAAGAAGTAATCCAATTTAAAATAGCCACACATAAAATATAATACCTAGGAATTAATGAAAGAAGTGAAAGATCTCTGTAATAAAAACTATAAAACACTGATGAAAGAAACTGAACAGGACACGAAAAAATGGAAAAATATTCCATGTATACGGGTTGGAAGAATCAATATTGTTAAGAAGTCCATACTACCCAAAGCAACCTACAGATTCAGTGCAATTCCTACCAATATGCCAATGACATTCTTCTCAAAAATAGAAAAAACAATCCTACAATTTATATGGAACCACAAAAGACCCAGCATAGCCAAAGCTATAGTAAGCAAAAAGAACAAAGCTGGAGGAATCACATTACTTGACTTCAAATTATACTACACAGCTATGGTAACCCAAACAGCATGGTACTGGCATAAAAGCAGACACACAGACCAGTGGAACAGAATAGAGAACCCAGAAACAAATCCATACACCTAGAGTGAACTCATTTTTGACAAAGGTGCCAAGCATATACACTGGGGAAAAGACAGTCTCTTCAATAAATGTTGCTGGGAAAACTGGATATCCATATTTAGAAGAATAAAACTAGATCCCTATCTCTCACCATATATAAAAATCAAATCAAAATGGATTAAACACTTAAACCTAAGACCTCAAATCGTGAAACTACTACAAGAAAACGTTGAGGAATTGTCTCCAGGACAATGGTCTGGGCAAAAATTTTTTGAGCAATACCCCACAAGCACAGGCAAAAAAGCAAAAATGAACAAATGGGACCACATCAAGTTTAAAACCTTCTGCATAGCAAAGGATACAATCAACAAAGTGAAGAGACAACCCACAGAATGGGAGAAAATACCTGCAAACTATCCATCTGACAATAGATTAATAACCAGAATAGATAAGGAGCTCAAATAACTCTCTAGAAAAAAAATCTAATAATCCAATCAAAAGGTGGGCAAAAAATTCAAATAGACATTTCCCAAAAGAAGATATACAAATGGCAAACAGGCATATGAAAAGGTGCTCAACATCACTGATCATCAGAGAAATGCAAATTAAAACTACAATTAGATATCATCTCACACCAATTAAAATAGCTTATATCCAAAAAACAGGCAATAAGAAATGCTGGTGAGGATGTGGAGAAAAGGGAACGCTTGTACACTATCGGCAGGAATGTAAATTAGCACCACCACTATGAGGAACAGTTCGGAGGTTTCTAAAAAAACTAAAATTTGGGCTACTGCATGATCCAGCAATCCCACTACTGGGTATATACCCAAAAGAAAGGAAATCAGTATATCAAAAACATATCTGCACTCCCATGTATGTTGCAGCACTATTTACAATACCTAACATTTGGAAGTACCTAAGTGTCCACCAACACCAACCGATGAATGGATAAAGAAAATGTGGTACATATACACAATGGAGTACTGTTCAGCCATAAAAAAGAATGAGATCCAGTTATATGCAACAACATGGATGGAAATGGAGATAATTATATTAAGTGAAATAAGTCAGGCACAGAAACATCACATGTTCTCACTTATTTGTGGATCTAAAAATCAAAGCAATTGAATTCATGGAGATAGAGAGTAGAAGGACGGTTACCAGAGGCTGGGAAGATTAGCGGGGGTGGGGTGGGAGATAGGTGGGGGTAGTTAATGGGTACAAAACAAGATAATGAATAAGACCTAATATTTGATGGCACAAGAGGGTGACTACAGTCAATAATAACCATACGTTTTAAAATAAAGAGTGTAATTGGATTGTTTGCAACTCAATGGATAAGTGCTTGAGGGGATGGATACCCCATTTTTCCTGGTGTACTTATTACACATTACATGCCTGTATGAAAACATCTCAGGTACCCCATAAATATATATGCCTACTATGTACCCACAAAAATTGAAAATAAAAAAAATTTTGAAAAGAAAGAAACTGAGGCACAGAGAGGTTAAGTAACCTTCCCAAGGTAACATAGCCATAGACGGTAGAGTCTGGATTTGAACCAGGTAATCTGCATGAATCAAGAAAAGCAAATGCTGACTTAAGTCACATCAATTAAACCTGCAGTCTGTGAATGTGTGTACATATGTAAAGGTATCAACACACTTGCAAACTGAGTAATTTTAAAGTGAACAATATATATATATATATATATATATATATATATATATTTACATACACATATATTTACATACATATATTTGCATACATATATTTACATATATTTACATACATATATTTACACACATGTTTACATACATATATTTACATACATATATTTACATACAGGTATATTTAATTGTTTGATTTAAAGTGTATCAGAACGTTAAAATCCAAATGCTTATAGCCCTCGTCGAAGTACTCAACTTGAATAGTCAAGGCATATTCAGGCTGCCAATACTCGGATTGGCAACCTGCCCTAACTTGTTCAAATGAGTCTCTTACTGCAGGAGAGTTCCTGGAAGCAATATAATCAACTAGCAAGCTATACAAGCAAATCTGTCTCAGCACTCACATCTATCTGGTTTTAGACTAGAATTTTCCAGTTGTGCTTCAATCATTTTGTTAGCTGTCTTGTAGTCAGTTATTGATAAGCATCCATTGAGCATCTACTGCATGCCTGTCCCTCTGTTAAAACCCTGGAGCTATTAAAAGGTCAGTGTGACTAATACTACACTGACCTAGCAGCCGGTATTACGTTAGACTTTAGCTTAGAGAAAAAGAATACAAATTACATCAAATGTTATCATTTACTTCCCTATAGGCTATTCAACAAAATACCCTAAACCTTTGAAGGCAATTCCAAAACAGCTCTCTCCTTTTTCTGGGACTATGATACAATCCTGATTAAGGTACCTTCTCAACTGTTTAGCCATGCCCTGGAATTCCAATGGCCAAGACTGAGCATAGGAATCATGTTGTTTTCACATGTGACCCGACCCCTGGGACTGGAGTGGGTAAGATCCCACATTGTCTTGTACCACCTTCCACTTACAGCTTAGTTCCTGTATTGCAAAGGCTATCATCTGCCCCCATCCTTAGACTGCGGACTACCTGTGTCATTCATTATTATGTCCACAGTGCCTATGAAAATGCCAAGACACAGAGTACTCTCAGTTGATATTGATGAATAAATAGATTCATGGAAACACATTCATCAATTATGGAAACAGTTGGTAAGCTCTTAACCTATGTTGACGAAAACACTTGCTTGAAAGTATGAGTACTGACAGATGTGTTAAAAAATATATCCTATTACTTTATAGACATCCTCGCCATTCATGCATTTAATGTTTCTAGTATTGAGGCCCCTGGCATGTCATAATTTATAAATTTATTAGGACACAAATTCCACCAGCAAGGTTGTTAAAAACAGTGGGTGAGAAGTCATTTCAGTGGTGACAAAGCCTAGTAAATAATCAAACACCAACATCTAATACAATCTTTAGTCTCCTATCCATAACTATTATGTGCAAAAATGATATTCATGAGTCTAGGTTATTGATGTCTGGAAACAAAATATGTAAAAAGGAGTCGTGTATATTTCATAATATTAGGTAACTTACTATGTAAGAACTTAAATTACTGGCAGCTCTTTTATTAGGTTATAACATATTGGTAGTTTTGATATAATGTTTTGTGTTAAAATTTGACATAGAAATTTCTACAAAGTAAATTACAAAATGCTTTTACCTATATGTGTGTGAATATATCATACATATAATTTTATATAGGTAGTCTTTTAATTCCTGTTTGTATTCTTTAAATTTTCTATGGTGAACATGCATTTCTTTGGAAATCAGAAAAAAAATTTTTTTTAAAACTAAATTCCAACAAGAATAGAAATAACATATATTTGGTTTGTGAAATGAATAGTCCCCATTGAGTGTGTGTGTATCAACACACAAACATAATTCTAAAGCCTAGCTTCATATCCTAAAGGTTACATTAGCAGTAGCTTTAATTTTAAGATCTAATGAATAATTATGCTACTTAATGTAGAAATTGTCTTATGTTCACTTTTAACCTTTAGTTTGCTTCACCAAAAAAATAAAATGAATCCATAAGTGGGCTTAATAAAGTAATTACTATTTGGCAATATAGTGAACATTTTAAATAAAAATAAAAATTAAAAACAGTCTGAACAAGTAGCTATACTCTATGACTGTTTGATTTTTTAATTCTGGACAAAATCAAATTCATCTATGTTCAAAATCAGTAAGAGCTCCGCAGAGTCAAGGTAAAGGATGCATGAAACAAGAGACACAAAGATGATGAACACTAATCTAAGTTATTCTCTTTTCAATCTTTATCAATTTAATTTTGCACTGACATTTCAGTCATGACTCAGATAAGTAACATAAAGCAGCCTTTTGCCATGCAGCACAGGTAAATGCAAGCAGAGGATAACATTGATCTGAAAACTTCCTGATGCCTTCCTGGAGTTGGTTTGGGAAAGGGTAAAATACAGGTAGTGGGAGAGTCAGTTGGTTTCTGAATGGACTAAGGCCTTATGAGATTGAGACCTCCTTGGCTCTTTCAACCCAGGGAATTGTGGCTTCTCTCTGGCATTTACTTGCCTGGGTCTGTGATTTGCAATATCCAATTCTCATGAGCCAGCAGAGGGCAGACTGGAAACGGCTATAGAAAAACATCTTGAAAACACAAGAAATCTACTTTCACACGCAGGTCAGGCCCACCTGGCATCAATTTTTGTGGGATTATGCATGTAATCTTGGAGGACACACTAGCACTATTCTGAAAGTCACTCATTAACTAAGGGCAAACATTTCTGACAATCTGCTGTGCTTAATTGCTACTATCTTTTTAATTGAGTTCCTTGAAAAAAATCAAGCATCAGAAGTTGTCTGAACTCTGACAGCAGTCAATGAATAACCAGGGAGAAAGTGAGGGCTATAATGATAATGATGATAGTTTCTCAAAAGAGTACATAATCAAGCCAGCTCGTGTTTGTTATTTTCTAGTAAAAAGAGTACAGGCTCAGCACTGATTTGAATCTGGATTTCTTTCCTGGCTCTGCTTCCTTCCTGTCCAGGCCCCTGGGAAAGTGCCTTGGCATTTTGGGGTGAGTGACTTTACCCAGCTCCAGGGTGCTTATTGTGGACACTGACACAATGAATACAACGCGATGAGCAAAGATACTGGCACACAGCGTGGGCTCTGCAACTGCTCCCAGATTATTTTTATTATCTTTTATTTATAAAATGTTGTGCTCATCTTCTGTATTGATCCAGTTACCAAAAAAAGAAATGTAAACAATAGTAAGAGAAAAAGCAGATATCTAGATCTAGATGTATGATTTATCTATTATAAAGTTAACTTATGACCAGGACATTTAACCAAGTACGAAGGGTGCAGTAGAAAACTTCAGGAATGTTGTCCATCCCATGAGCTTCCAAGTCCTGGCCCCCCAGCCCTCACCATTCATCACTGCTAGGACCAGGGACATCTGTCCAATCACATTCTCTCTGCCAGAAATATGGACTAGGAAAAATGAGACTCTACACTGTCTGTGCTGTTTGCCTGAGCTGAGGTTGTATAAACTCCAGAGCTGAAGGCTGCCACGTTTGGTTATGGTGTGCACACTGAGAATCAGAGAAAGTGGATCTCCTGGAATGGAAGCAAGAGATGCTAAGTGAGAATCCACAAGACCCTGGAAATCCAAAGAGGACACATGGTTTCCGGTGGCTTTCCACTTCCTAGTGCCAATCCCCTAGACATCCCCCCTTCCCTGGGTTCTGTATTATTTTTTTAATTGACAAAGAAAAATTTTATATAACTATCACGTATAATATGCTTTGAAATATGTTTACATTGTGGAATGCCACATCAACTTAATTAACATGCCTTATCTCTATATTTATCATTTTTTTGTGACGAGAACACTTGAAATCTACTTTTTTAGCAAGTATATTCTAACAGTAATCTTCTTTATCCACATATAATTTCTGCTTTTTCTCTCAGCAACCAAAGCAGTCTTAACTAAGGCAATGAATCTCAGGAATAGAAATTTTAAACAAACAGCCAAGAGTAAATTATTTTGTTCTTTCATGTTATCACTAGTATCTAATAATCACAACAGTCTCATTTCATGCAGAGCAAAAAGTTTCTTCTCTCCCCATTTTCTGTGAGATGTTAACTGGGAATACTGGAAAGCATCCCTGAGCAGGACCAGATTCATGGGGAGGTAGCTGGCACAGTCAAACAGGGCCCCATGCTCAGAAAGGACCCCATGCTCAGAAGGACCCCATACTTGGATTAATGCTCTGCTGTGGCCATCTTGAAATCTGTAGTAATTTTATGTTTGAACTTGTGTTTTCTAAGGGACATCTGATGGGACACTGATGTATAAACATGAGCAGAGGAGATACTGGCAATGTGCACGTCTGCTGTTCCCAGCTGCCTGCTTCGTACACATAGGGTCTATGATGCTTCATGAGCACAGAAGAACAATAGACCCACAATGCGTGGGAGATCACAGTCTCAAAGCAAGTACCAAGGGACAGTGTTATACTCATGGCTGAGTTAGGAGAAATGCTGCCAGCCTCAGATGCCACATTTTCCCATTTGAACCAGAATTTTCTTCGAAAGCAGAGAGAAAGCAAATGTATACTAAAGAAACACATGTGACCAAGGAAGCCTGTTATAACCTTTCCTACCTATCCATGTCATCTCCTGGATTGGCCAGCCACTTAAGCTCAAAATGATGACACAGAGGAAAGCAAAAGATAGAGGAGCCCACAATTCTTTTCCTTTCAGGCCTTCCTCACTCAGCAGGTGGAGAGTGTTGGTTCAATGTGTGCATATCAAGAAGTGGAATCAGAAGAGTTGGGCTACTCTTGCACGGCATCCTCACTATTCAGGCCAGAATGAAACGCATGTGCATGTGTAGGCTACAAAACATGGGTTGTGTGATTGTGATAGTCCCACATCCTACTTAAATGCTCTGATATTTGTCTGTAAAACTGGCATCATGCAATATAAACATGAATGATGAAGTTTCATGCTAATTATTTACCATTTTTTCTTTACTTAGACATCAAATAGCAAATTTAAAACTCTTTAACAAATTGAGGGAGATAGGCCACAGAAATAAGGAAAAAGCTAGTAATGGCAATTTTTTTTTTCCTGCTCTTTGTGCACAGGTTCTTCATTTCCCTTTTGCACTGGACCCTGCAAATTGTGTATCCAGCACTGTTCCTAGGACTTTGTGAACGGGGAAGAAATGGGAGGTGTGATCAAGTACCAGAAGGCTCTGTGCTGTCTCTGCTGGTCTGGGTGGTTCCTGGACTGGCGTTCCCTGAGGTTGCACCTGGCACGTGTGGCACCAGCTATGTTCCTGATGCTGGACTCCATGGTCCTGGTCCTTGCCTCTGTTCTCTATACCCCCAGGACTGCATCCCCATCTCAGGCCGGCCTGGATTTGCTCAGCTATTCTGTCACTCCTCATTGGGGTAGGCAGAATCTTCCAGATCCCTTGATCACCAGGCTGACGCTTATGTTAGCTCAGGATCCAGGCATATCCTTCTCCCAAACCTGCATTATAGTCCTGGTGTCATGTTGACCAACCAGAGAACTTCTCTAAGAATAGTGGTTCTCAACCCCAGCTACACATTAGATTCACCTGAGAGGTCCCCTCAACTCCCCCCGCCACCCCTACCCCGCCGACTCCCCACCACCAAAATAATATTGATGCCTGGGCTCCATCCTAAACTCATCAAAAGCAGCAGAATTGAGAACCACTGTACTAGAGTATTATAGCTCCCCAAGGCCATGTGTGGGAAAACAGGCATGCCCTTTACCTTCCTGTGTGCGTCTACAAGAGCACTCCCAACATAGAACCATGAAGGTGGGGGAAGTAGCACATTAATTTTCTGCCTCGGTAGCCCTTTTTCCTTCTCCCACACCTCGACTGTGCTAGTGGGCAGGATGGGCTTTCCCCCTTCACCTAGGCAGGGGCTTTCCCTGAGTTATATCCTGAGTTGGCCCCTATGCACAGGTAGGCAGTCCAAATTAGGAGTCCTCGTGTTACCACACTACCTGATGTGGAGGCCGGAGGCTGAGAGACCACACCAAAGCTTTGGGCAGGAATGGTGTCCCCTAGTTGGCACAAGGAAATGGACCCCAAGTCTAAGTCTTGATAACTCGACATTTAATAGCTTGGTAGAGGAGGATGAGCCTCTCAAGATCCTGCTGGGGTACAGCTGGACAGCCTCATTTCTCAATTCACTTATCAATGTCTCTACGAAAATGCCTGCCATAAACAACCTGTGAACATGGGTCTACTTTGCTACTTTTGACTTTGGCATTGGGGAGGCACCATGGCAAAATGGTAAAGAAATGAATCCTGGCTCTGCTACTGATCAAATGTGTGATCTTGAGAAAGTTACTTAGTCTCTTTGTAGACCATTTAGCCACTCTTAAAATGTTAGTGCCAGCGCAGTACATACCTCACAGCGTTATTAAGATGATTAAATGCATTGATATCTGTAAGGTGGTTAGAAGACACACACAGTAAACACCATGCAAGTGTGTGTTAATTAAAAAAACATAAACTTAACACTCTTTCCTCTAACAACATAAAATATAAGGTAAATTAAAAGTACATACAGAGAGGTTTTGTGTTGCATACAGTATCATAGTAATTTGCCATTCTAGTATACAAAGTAAAAAACAAAATGAGTATAGAAAGTAAAAAAAGAAAAGATATTTGAAAACATCTAAGTGATGGAAAATGGCCTGCAATTTCAACAATCACATCAACAGTTAATGAAAATTTAGTTTGGGTGGATGTTAAGTGTAAGTAAAATTGGGGTCATTGAACCAATGTGTTTGTCCGCATTAACAGAAGGTACTTCTCTTTTAACAATTAAGCAAAAATGTCATTTCAGTTTCTTTTCCAACAGAAGTGAATGTAACTTTTGCCTAGGTTCACAGAATGGTGAAATGAAGCTCAGTTCTCTTTAAAATATTATCTTGTAAATGTTTCTATACCCTACAGAATCTGAATTATTTTCTCTGATAAAACTAGAAAAATGTCCTCATCTTTGGTGCTCAGTGAATTTTCTAAATTTTGGTGTAGATATACATGAAGATACAGGAAAACTAAATTCCAGAATGATAATGAGCCTTTTGAAGAACCTTAACCTTATGGTATATTTATGGTGTGTTCTGCTTTCTACAGTTGCTTTTTGATTTTGTCTTGTTTTGTTTTGTTTTTGAGATGGAGTCTCACTCCATCACTTGGGCTGAAGTGCAGTGGAGCGATCTCAGCTTACTGCAACCTCTGCCTCCCAGGTTCAAGCGATTCTCCTGCCTCAGCCTCCTGAGTAGCTGGGATTACAGGCACCTGCCACTACGCCCAGCTAATTTTTTTGTGTTTTTAGTAGAGATGGGGTTTCGCCATGATGGCCAGGCTGGTCTTGAACTCCTGACCTCAAGTGATCTGCCCGCCTCAGCCTTCCAAAGTGCTGGGATTACAGGCGTGAGTCACCATGCCTGGCTTCTACAGTTGCTTTTTAAGTGAGATGTGAAGGTGCTATATGGCTACTCAAATGTTTATATTATGAAAGGTTTACTGTCTTAATATGACATTTCTAGTGCATCTTAAGAGTGGGATCATGCTCCCTCAAGATGAGGTGAGAGAATAAAATATAGGAAAGAAAGCTTGGTGCTTAAAAGGACAATATAGATAGGGCTCTCCAGCTTCCACCTGGGAATTTTAAAAATGCAAAACACATCTTAGGCAGGTATACCTGGGGATAGGCTTTCCCATGTAATTAATGCTGTTGGAATGACTTTGAACTTGCCATCTCTTTCGTTCACAGAGGGTGAATTCTGTGTTTTCATTATTTTACATTTAGCTGCTTACAGGAATCAATGACAGTTCATTAGAGCTTGGGAATTTTTTCACCAGGAATAATAGAATCAATCCATACAATTCAACAAATATTGTCCCACATATTATTGGGTTCTATTAGCCCCCTACTTCTCTGCTGGTTTTCTGAGAATTCAAGTCATAATAAGAGAGCCTGAAACTACAGCCACCTTCTACATGTCAGCCAGGGCCCTTTTGGAATTTCACTGTGACTTCCAACTCACATGCCTGGCCCACTTTTACCTATTCTTTTTGTAGTTTTCCAAATGGGGAATGCATCTGTATAGGTTGGGGTATTATGTTACTTTTGTTAGAAATTTAGTGAAGTTGTTGTAAAGAACATTTTTGAAAGTTTATGTCAATAGTATATTTATTTATGGCTTTAACACAAAATATGATACCTTAAAGGATGTCCACTAAATGGTGACTATTCTCTTTTTCAAAATGCCTTATGATGCTATGTTCTAAAGTAAGAGATGATGGAGAGAACCTTGGGATCTCCTCCTACTCCTTAAAAATTTTTGGCAGAAAAGCATTATCATTATTGTCACTGATGTCAAAAACAAACATTTACTTAGCATCTACTTTCATCCCATGTGTAAGATAAGATTCTTGCCACCACTCTAAGTAGCACAGCTCCCTATGGGGAAATTTATCACAGTGAAAAATCATTCATTTACACTGACTTGGTGAGCAAGTCTTATGCCCCCTCTCACATCCAAAATAGCCCATGAAATTCAAAGAAGCCAAGTAACCCTATAGTTAATTCAATGCTGGACAACACTGATGCCAAGTAACACACTGTTAATTTGAACATATCTAATATTGCAACTAACTTTTGGTTGTACTAAACATCATACTTGTGTTCCTATTCGCTTAGGCGGAATGTGTGCCAATTAGATATGTACTATATAGTTTTATGTATCAAAAGGAGTAAAGCAAATTGTCCCATTTTATACAGAGATTACAGCCGCCCTTTTGCTTTCATTGAATTCAACAAATATTTATCAAATACTGCAGTGGACAGGTGGATTGAGTCTGCCAGGCCTCTTCCTAGGAGGGCTTTCCCACCCAACTGTCTCTGGACCCGCAGTGCATCCATTCATATTTACCCACTGTCTGCACAGCCCATGCTCATCTCATCATGGGCTCAAACCATCATGTATCATAATTTGCTGTTCACATTGATTATTGCAAGGACATGCATGTAATAAAAACAGAACCAACAGGAATCTTTTTCTAAATTTGGGAGGGAGATAGTGATAAAAGCACTTTTCCACTGATAAGCTAAGAAGATGAGGGGCTGCCTGCAGAATGAGACTAAGAAGAGAAACATATAGAGGAAGTGGCAAAATGGTGATCTGATATGGTTTGGCTCTGTGTTCCCACTCAAATCTTATCTCAAATTATAATTCCCACCTGTTGAGGGAGGGACCCATAATCTCCATGTGTCAAGGAAGGGAGGTGATTGGATCATAGGGGGCAGTTTCCCCCATGCTGTCCTCACGATAATAAGTGAGTTCCCATGAGATCTGATGGTTTTATAAGGGGCTCTTCCCCCTTCGCTCACTCCTCTCTCTCCTGCTGCCTTGTGAAGAAGATGTCTGCTTCCCCTTCTGCCATGATTAGAAGTTCTCTGAGGCCTTCCCAGCCATGTGGAAGTGTGAGTCAGTTAAACCTCTTTCCTTTATAAATTACCCAGTCTCAGGTATTTCTTTATAGCAGTGTGAGAACAGACTAATACATGGCCCTAACAGCATTCACTGAGTGCCTGACCGAGCCATATCTGCAGTTAGCACTACCTCTAGCACCTTGATTATTTAAAGTAGCATATTTTCCTCTGCTAAAGCTAGCTAGATATCTGAAACATGTAGTTTAAAGATTTTTTTTTTTTTTTTTTTTTTGAGATGGAGTCTCACTCCATCACCCAGGCTGGAATGCAATGGCGCAATCTCGGCTCACTGCAACCTCCACCTCCCGGATTCAAGCAATTCTCCTGCCTCAGCCTCCTGAGAAGCTGGGATGATAGGCACCTACCACCAGACCTGGCTAATTTGTGTATTTTAAGTAGAGATGGGGTTTCACCATGTTGTCCAGGCTGGTCTTGAACTCCTGACCTCAGGTGATCTGCCCACCTTGGCCTCCTGAAGTGCTGGGATTACAGGCGTGTACCCAGCCCAGTTTAAAGATTCTTATTATAAACATTTACTCATTTCCTATGCTTTAGCTAACTTCTATGTGCTGGAGAAAGCCAAAAAGTACAAGTCATAGTCCCTGCTCCAAATGAACTCTGAACCTAGAGAGTGGTGGCGAGCATATCCCTAACTGAAATAAAAGGTCAGAGATGCTACAGCAATAATGTACACATAGTAACAAAGATGAGGGTGTGGCTAAGATTAACAGAGGTGGTTGAATGTATTCCACAAGTAGAGTTTGATTTAGGCCTTGAAGAAAAAGTAGGGCTTAATGGGACACAGAAGTATGAAAGGACATTTGAACAAGAAAATACAGTGAGCTAAAGGAACAGTTTACCTTAAGATTCTTTTAAAATTTATTTGTAATGCCTAGCCCAGCTCTTTTCATATATTGGACAAAAAGTTTATCTAATGAGAGCAAAGGCGTGAAGACAAATGAATAGATACATAATTTATTTGTAGTTAAGACCTTAGCCAATAACATAATCCCCTTTTATAACATTGCTCCTAATGGAAATTATGTTTGTTTTACAATCACCTACTTTATGACATAGCTTCCAGGAAAAGGAGACATAAAAAAGAGTTACTGCTGCAAATGATCAATAGAGAAGGGTAGTTTTAATTAATTGCTAGGCTTGCTTTATTTTTCTTTTCAAGACGCGAACAAGTTCTTTAAATGCTATAAACTCATATATAACATCTATTAAGACTTTTACCATTTTTAAATTATAAACATCCAGATATGAAACCAATCACAAATTCTAACCTGAGAAAGAATTACAGGAAGAAAGATTCTGAGACTCAGAGTAGCCAAATAACACAAAGCTTGGCACATCATAAAAGCTTAGTATTTTACTAATTTGTGCACAGGCTTTAGAGCAGGGCAACCTGGCCTTATAATCTCAGCACAGATATGGAAAGGCTACCTTAAACTTTCATCTATTATATATTTCTCTTTTTATTTGAGTCATCTATTATATATTATTATATATTTCTGTTTTTTTTTTTTTTTTTTGAGACAGAGTTTCACTCTTGTTGCCCAGGCTAGAGTGCAATGGCGCCATCTCAGCTCACCGCAAGCTCCACCTCCCGGGTTCAAGTGATTCTCCTGCCTCAGCCTCCTGAGTAGCTGGGATTATAGACACGCGCTACCACGCCCAACTAATTTTGTATTTTTAGTAGAGACGGGGTTTCTCCATGTTGGTCAGGCTGGTCTCGAACTCCCAACCTCAGGTGATCTACCTGCCTCGGCCTCCCAAAGTGCTGGGATTATAGCTGTAAGCCACCACGCCCGGCCCATATATTTCTATCTTTTAACATTGTACAAGTGATATGAGACAATGTATATAAAGGACTGGCATGGAGTGGGCAGACAATAAGTGTAGTAAATATTAATAATAAGATTCTAATAATAGGAGTGGGTGCTCAGGAAAGCAAGGCATTTTACTAACAAAGAATAGACCAAAATCTTTATTTTGTCTCTTTGAAATGAGGTGATTAGATAATTAAATGTTTTAGTAGTTACGGTGTTCATTTTGATAACAGCACTGGTAATGTCTAGATCTTGTACTCCAAATTAAAATACAGTATTTTGGTGAATTTGATGGAGCATAAGGCACTGAAGCTGTCCACCTGTCACCCAACAATATTACTTACTTGATATTGATATTATTTCCTCAGTAATCGGCTCCATGATAAGAAAAATATTTGAAGGCTAGAAAGGACTATTTATGTCTGAACAATTGGTGGACCCCTAGCAGCCATGTCCACTGTACAGTTGCTTTGCGATGAAGTACACAGAGCAGAGAATACCAGTTTTCTTTGACTGGGATTTTAAAAAATATTTAGGATTATGTGTACATTTGGTACCACATACTCACCACCTGGCTATCAAGGATCTGAACCCGTTTTCTATAAAATATATCGTTTAAGTATAAGAACTCTGAAAGCTTGCCTACTTTACTATCTCTGTTTTTCAGCTCAATGCATAATATTACATTTGGAACCCTTCACATATTAAATTAAAATGAAGTTTATAAAATAAATGTCACATTTTTAAAATGTTTCTCTTTAATAGAAATAGTCTGATATTTAGTTTCAACACCATGTTAAAAGATCTAAAGATTATCATATATTATCAGATATACTGAGTCATAAATAAATTATATTTCCAAAGGATGGCTATTTTGAATTATGTTTTCAGATTGCTATGGTCTGAATGTTTGTGTCCCATCCCAAAAATGTATTTGTTGAATCCTATCCCCCACAGTGATGGTGTTAGGATGTGCGGTCTTTGGGAGGGGAGGAGGTCCTGAAGGTGGAGCCTCATGAATGGGTTTAGTGCCCTTATCAAAGTGGCCCCAGAGAGCTCCCTTGCCCCTTCCACCATGTGAGGACAGGGCAAAAAGGTGCCATCTATGAATCAGGAAATAGGACCTCAACACACACCATCTGCTAGTGACTTATCTTGGAATGTTCATCTTCTAGATCTGTGAGAAACACATTTCTATTGTTCATAAGCCACCCGGTTTTGGGTATTTTGTTATAGCAGTCTGAACAGACTAAAACACAGATGCTATCAAAGAAAAGTCTTATTTTGTTTTATATAAATATGTAAACATATATATAACAGAAATATGTAATAATGTAATATATATAATATGGTATATATATAAAATTCATATTTTTTGAAAGTATATTACATTTAGAAAGAATTTACCCAGTGTTCCTTTAAGTAGTCAGTTTTTGTAGCATATTTCTAATGGAAAACAGCCATGCGCAATGTAAAAAGCACTTACATTAGTAAGAACGGTTTGGTTTGCAAGCTTTAGAAACTCAATGCTAACTAACTTAACAAATAGAAAAGGGTAGGTGTAGTGGGGAAAGCGAGTCAGGAATATAAAATATATTGTTTATGCATGAAACCTTTGAAAGCTTACCGGCTCTACCTTATCTAGAACACCAGTTACAAGCACTGTAATTAAGGAATTCTAATACGATAACAGAAATACTCAGGAAATCCTTACCATCTCTATTTTTCAGTTCAATGTATAATATTACATTTGCATCCACAGGCTCAAGAGGGGCAACCACACCTAGGTGCCTGTCTGTGTCTGTCTGTCTGTCTGTCTGTCTCTCTCTCTCTACCTCATTCTCAGCTCTGGATCCCTCTAAGCTGCCTCTGTTTTCAGGCTGGCTCCCTCCACATAGTGGCATTCACACATGACCTTCTTCATCTATTCCCTCACTGTGTTCCTAGAGATGGTGATCTATAGGAAGGAAGTAGCCCCTCTTTCTATGGTTTCGGATGGGCAGTTCTACTCCAAGATTGCAAAAGTTCCTTTCTCTGAACTCCATGGTGGTCTCAAGACAAGATATTGCTTAAACTAGGCACAGAGGGCATGTTATCATGAGTATCACTTTGAAGCCCCCATGGAAAGGGCAGTGCTCCAGCAGTGTTGCCACACTCCCCTGAAATTAAAGTGCATGTATCTAAGCTCCACAGCTCATCGGGATCAGTTTGCAAGATTTGGGGAGGAAGTGACAAAGAAGAGCAGTTATCAAGCAGGAGGCAGAATAAGCAAAGCATATTGAATACACGACAAGAGATTTGTTTTTTTAAAAAACCAAAGCACTTGTAACGTTGACCGACAAGAGGTGTTAAGATGCCTGCCGGGCACAGTGGCTCACGCCTGTAATTCCAACACTTTGGGAGGCCGAGGCGGGCAGATCACCTGAGGTCAGAAGTTCGAGACCAGCCTGACCAACATGGAGAAACCCCGTCTCTATTAAAAATACAAAATTAGCAGGGCGTGGTGGCACATGCCTGTAATCCCAGCTACTCGGGAGGCTGAGGCAGGAGAATCGCTTAAACCCGGGAGGCGGAGGTTGCGGTGAGCTGAGATGGCGCCATTGCACTCTAGCCTGGGCAACAAGAGCAAAACTCTGTCTCAAAAAAAAAAAAAAAATGCCAAGACTGGAAAATGAAATAACACCACAAGGAGAGTAGACTGAAAGAACTGATTAGACTCAAAGATTCTGAGATATGGTCCTTTCCCTGGAGCAGAGGTGTGGACAAGCAACACTTACCCATGTCCATTTCTCCTCCCTTATGGGATACAGGATAAAATCTCCTGAGAGGAAGCACTGGAGAGGAAAAGGAGCCATCAAGCTGGGGCATTTTGTTTCTGTGCTGGGTGCTACTGTAGGCACCTCCCGAAGCTAAAGGTTTCCTACTCCGTAGCTGGTGTGCACAACCAGGGCATCTGTGCATGGCTTTGCAATACCACATCATCACGCCTCTGTAATTACACATCAGATGTCTCCCTATCCACTGGACTCTGCATCCCTGATAAGGGCTGAATTCTTTCAACTGTGTATGCCCTGTACCAACGTAACACTTGCTATACAACAGATGATTAATAATTACGTAAATGGCTAAATAAACAAACCCGTTTGAAACTAAATTACTAAGGAAAATAGACGAGCAAAAATAAGCAAATTAATTACAGAAAAAAAAGTTTCAAAGAGCAATTAAATTACTATATATTCAGATCACAATGGTAATTTACATAAATCCAACATCCAAAACAAATATTTATTGATCATATACTATGGGCCAAGTGCTAAGCTTGGCGATGAGATGACAAAGACAAATGTGAATGAATATATCCTTCCTTACATTAGAAAGCTGAACTTTTTTTGTTTTTTGTTTTTTCTTTAGAGATGAGGTCTCACTACATTGCTCTGGCTGAAGATGAACTCCTAGGTTCAAGCAATCCTCCCACCTCAGCTTCCTGAGTGGCTGAGACTACAGGCACATGCCACCTCACCCAGCTGAGAGCTGAACTTTTAACTAGTTACATGGAGATATGATACGGGATTGAAGGGAGTAAGGAGGAAATAAATTTAAAATTTTAAGAGTTAAATTATGGAGCATTTTGCTGCTCCAAAGAGACTTACCTTTGGTGAGCTCTCACTCTGCCAGCCAGGTGTAGAAATAGTGGATGCCCTTATCTTTCCTTTAAGTGAAAGATATCAAAGTTGTGGTGTTCATCCAGGCTGCCCGGTGATAAAGTTTTCACCTGTCTCCTGAATCGACCTGCTGACAGTGTCCAAATGCAGGAAATAACTTGCTCTGTAAACAGCATCCCAGATTCTGGTTCTGTAAATCCAGTCTCTCCTTAAACTTCTGATGCCACCACATCACTTTAAACCAGACCACCTGTCTTAATCCATTCAGGCTGCTATAATAAAGTAGCATTGACTGAGTGTTTATAAAAGAAATTTATTTCTCACAGTTCTGGAAGATGGAAGTCTGAGATCAAGGTGCCAAGATGGTCAGGTTCTGAGGAGGGCCCTTTTCCAGTTTGCAGATTGCCATCTTCTCCGTGTACTTTTATCCTTACATGGTGGAAAGAGACCTCTCTGGGGTCCCTTTTCTAAGAGTACTAATCCCATTCATGAGGGCTTCACCCTCATGACTTAATTACCTCCCAAAGGCCCCACCTCCTAATACTATCACCTTGGGGGTTAGTATTTCAATATGTGAATTTTGGAGGTATACATGCAAACAATAACACCACCAAAGGAGTTAGACCACTGCTTCAGGATTCTGTTAAAACGCAGATGCCGACTCAGATCAGAGATGGGACCTGGGATCCTTCCTTTCTCATGAGCTTCCTGGAAGATGCAGTTCTGGGGAGGATCACACTCGACCTTAAAGAGCTAGAAGATTGTGGAAGGTTTAAGGACTGGAGTGTGTCCTGTATTTTCCTAATGTACGTTGTGCCTTCCCTTCACTAAATTCCGGTAGAGGTAAAGAATTCTGAGTAATGCAGTCATTCTACGATAAGGCAATAAGGTGTTTCAGGATCAATTTTCTCTAAAGAATAGTTATGTGAATTAAAAACATCTTCCCTAATCGTCACATCAAGGACTCACAGGTGTTGTTGGCCAGAGACGATACACCAAAACAGAAAGAAAAAGCCCAAACCAGAGGCAATTTGGAGAGCTCCACCCCTCCTCCCTGTTTTGTCTAAGGTAGAGACATTCTCGCAGACGCTCCTTTGTAGCCTCAGAGAAAGTAAATCTCTGCCCTTAAACTAGGGGACCTGGAGAGCCTTCAATCACGAAGTCAGGGATTCCTCCAGGCTTGGTTATTAGGATTAGATAAGGAAAACACCGTTTGGGGAGAGAAAGAATTATCAGAGTCCTTTAAATCTTGGTGGGCATGGCAGGCATCTTGGCGGTCGTTGAAGCTGCTTAAGTCTGAGCCAAAGGTGCCAGAGGACAAAACAGCCACCTGCTCACGGCCCCCTATGTGGAAAAAGCTTTCCAATTTAGCTCTCTCATTTTAGCATCTCAATCTGCACATAAGGCACGCGGGAAACTCAGAGAGGTTATGCTACCTGCTCAAGGTCACACAGCCTAAGGTCAACTGAGGATATGAAAGTTCCCCAGAGTCATAGTCCAGCTTTTCCTTTAGATAGCACTTCTTAAAAAAACCAAAGGCACGCCTTGAAAAGCTGCGGGATGTCCAGCCCCAAAATAGCCGCTGGAGTTGGCCCCTAGGGGCAGCTGGACCGCCCAGGCGGGCGAAAGGGTGGAGAGGGAGAAGAACCACTTCCGGGAAACAGACGCGAAGAGGGTAAGGCACTTCCGGGGCACAGAAAATGAGGATTATTAAAGGTCAGTTGCTCGCAGGTAAGGGCCAAGTAGCGTTAAAAGACACGTAAGGATTACAACGCCTCTCTAGGGTGTGGGTTAAAATGTCTCTCTAGGTACTCGAAGATAACATGACTCTAAACGAGGAATCCTTGCCTGCGCTGGAGGACGCTCCGGTCTAGCGGCCAGGTTGAGTCCAGAAGTTTAAATAGAGCAGGCGGGGCCTAGCGGGCGCCTTCGTCGGCGCGATGACGTCACATACCTGCGCGGGAGGCGGTACCAACCCCTGCCGCAGGACTTTCCTGGGCCGGCTCGCGGAGAGCGTAGCGCGGCCTTGGTGGCGGAATGGCGTTGAGTGACGGCCCGGCCCCGCCATCTGGTTAAAGGGACTCGTTCAACACGGAAGTGTCCCGGGGCTGCATTGGTACGGAGCCCTGGGGCCCAGCAAGGGTGTGCTCCTGCGGGACTGATGCGGGGACCACCCCGGCCCTGCCGGCCTCCAAGCCGCGGGAGGGCACTGAGCCTGTGCTGGCTGGGCCTGGCCGCCTGGTTGCTACACACCCAACCCCCTTCCCGTCCCCATTTGCAGAAGTGGAATCAAAACTGGGGCTTGACCCCGGATCGATGACTGGGACTCAGCCTACGCGGACGCCAGCGCAGCCTGCGGCGGCCGAGCCACCTGCCCTCACAGGGCCTGGCCGGGTGCATCAGGAACAGGCGGTCTTAGGTCCCTAAATTCGAGGCCCTGTAATGTGCCTCATCTTGGGGTCCCTGAATGGGGCCCTTGGGCCCCCAAGGAAACCCTGAGACCTTCAGAATGGACAGCCTTGTGGAGGCACAATTTCATTCACTTGGGCAAATTGTGCGCACTGAGGCATAGGAAAACATGTAATTTTGTATTTAGATGTGTTCCAAGTATAAAGTGGCGTGGCTGACATTTCATAGAGCCTTAAATTGCCTTCACCAGGCATGACCTCAGTTTGTGTTGAGATACTTGGCAAAGAAATGTATTGCATTGTTGAGTGATTGCTTATTGCGTTACTGAGTAATTGTATTGGCGTTCATAAAAGCATGGGTGCTCACAATAGAAATTGGGAAGGGGAGTAGGGAACTGTATTTGAAATCTTCTGATACACTTACCAAGAACAAATGTATTGTTCATTTGGAATTTGATACGGTCTCTAATAATTTTCTGTTTCATAATGGTAGTGCCGCCCCCACCCGCAAAACGTTTCAAAGGGTCAAGAGAAAAGACCAAATGCCCTTGTCAACTGGAATTTATACGTCTGTTTCCTGCCAAGTAATTAAATCGTAGATTCATAATCTATGTACCGAATAAATGTGGAATGTTTTTGTTTTGTTTTGTTTTAATGTATAAGACTTGGGTCAAGGTGAGGAGGGAAAGAAAGGGTTTCCTTGAAAGATTCTTGTGTTTAATTAGAATTAATTGAAACCACTGTGCTTAAAACAGAGAATGATGTTAGAAGAAAGCCTTGGAACGATGATCAACATAAGACTACACAGTATGTGGGATAAACTATTCCAACTTACAGCATTTTTGTTTTTTGTATTGCCAGTGCTACAGCTAGAATGAAGCACATCAACCTATCATTTGCAGCGTGTGGATTTCTGGGCATTTACCACTTGGGGGCAGCATCTGCACTTTGCAGACATGGCAAAAAACTTGTGAAGGATGTCAAAGCCTTCGCTGGGGCGTCTGCGGGATCGTTGGTTGCTTCTGTTCTGCTAACAGCACCAGAAAAAATAGAGGTAATTAAGTAGTAACTTAGGCTGTGTTCCTCATCAAGAAATTAAGACCCAAAGGCAAACACCAGCATTGACTCTACTAAGTTAACACTGCAGAGAAATAATCGTTTGCTTGGAAACAGAAAGGATTAGGACTTTTCTCTTAAGATGTAATTATTAGGGATCTGTGCTCTGGTTGTGGAAAAGATTATTTTGGGTGATAGTGAAATAAGGAAATAAAATGACTTATATTACTCTTGAGTTTTTATTTATCCTTAAGATTCCAGCTCTGTTCCTTTCAAGCAAAGGATATTTCTTCTTTCTATGATCATGAGAAGAGCATGGGGCCTGTTTTCAAGGCCTTGAACATGTGGGCAACAAGTCTTACCTCACTGCTACTTAGAAATAGATACATAAATTAAAATGTGGGCATGCAGTTTCTATTAAGTGGAATGGTATAGGAATTTAATTCTTTTTTAATTCTCACAGTAAGAGGAAGCTCTGAGTTCCAAGCAATTTATCCAGAAGTAATACAAATAATTATTCATTAAGTACTTTATTTAATGCAATCTATGTTTTAAAATCTGTTTTCTGCTATCCAGACAGTGATCAATCATTTGCTGACTGTGAGAGCTGGATTCCGTAGTTGGAGAATATTATATTTGTTAATCATTACGTACTCTAGCAGCTTTGAACAATAATGAAATAACAATTTAACACCCTCATACCCAAGAATGAATTTCAGTCACATTTAAAATTCCAAAACTATGCAATGTTAAACATCAGAATCTCATTTCAGATCTTTTGTGAGCTGCTTATCAAAGGGAAGCTAGATTTGAGGCCAATCATTCAGAAATCCACCTATCTTCCTGTCTTTATATGGTTGATTTACAGGGAACTAGAAAAGTGATTTAAAAACTGCAGAGATTAAACAGGACCAGAACCTTAAGCCATGCAAGGTATAAATGAGGTCGGAAAATTCCCCCTAAACTAGCAGATTCATAAGCTTTGAATTACAAGCTACCTCCTTCCCATAACTGTGTTTCGTTTTTGAAGCAGAGGGCTTTCAGGGTGTCACTTCTTCCTTTTTACTGCAGTCTTTTCTTGAGCTGTGGCAAATCCTAAGCTTTGGAGTTATGTAGACTTGGTTTCCAATTATCAGCAAATTAAAAAATGTATTGTATGATTTAGAATTAACCTGATTTGGAAATACTGCACTAGTACAGCCATTTATACTTAACTAAAATTCTGCCATGTTAAGACATTGAATAATTTACCTGAATTGGAGACTTGATGTCATCATATTCTCAGATCAGTTTACCTGTTGTTATTTATTTTTTGCACTAAATGAGAGACTGGGTTGTGTTGTCTGATGGTGCTGGTATGATGAAAAGGTGTGTGTCTTTATCTGGTGCTCCCATGGGAAGGTAGAAAATAATTTTCTTAGTTTCCTTAGGGCATCCTCATTTGTTCTTCTTCAAAATAATTTTTCAGCCAAAGTAACCCTTTGACTTAAGGTTATTTTAGTTCCTTTATTTTTAGCATCTGAAATAATCCACTTGTAGGATAGCCTTGAGTTTTTTTTAGCAAATGTTTCTACCTACTCAGATTCGTGTTCGCTCGGTTCTCGCTGATGATATAAGTTCCTCAAGCTTTTTACTGTTGTGACAAATACGTGTGTAATTAATCTTCTGAGCTTATGCATGAATAATTAAGAGGAGCACCTGATACTGGGCATATTTTAAGTGGTAGGCAAATTTAGACATTGATGTGGAAGAGCTCAATGCTGCAAGACTTTCCTCAGCCCTCACAATTTGCGAGGAAGCCATGGTGCTAGACTCAGTGGGGAACTCAAAGATGAATAAGTCCATCTTTAATAAGTTTACAGTCTGGTCCGGGCTATGGAGAGTATTGAATATAACTAATATTAGTACAAAGAAATAGGCTAGATGGGCAGTCTAGCTCAGTAGAATGAACATACATTTGGTGGGGCTACCCCCATTTCTCACCCAGGAGCTTCCCACAGCCTATATCAATTCAAGCTCCCTACAATCCACCTACCTCATAGCGCTTAGAGTGATGTCACCCAAAGGCACATCTGATCACCTCATTACCCCCGGGGCAGGGGCTGTCTGTGGACTTAGGACAATGTGACCCAGGTTTCTCAGCATGTATCACAAGGCCCCATGTGACTTAGCCCTACTTGTGGCTCGCCATAGGGACACATTTCAGCTCTGTGCCCCTCTCAGAATTGTTCTTGCTGTTGTTTTTACTATCCTCTGCTTTCACCTTCGTCCTCTGCCCAACTCCTGTTTATATTTAAGTCCCAGCCTGGGTGTCAAATTGGAGGGAAACCTTTGGCAACCCATGAGGTTGGAGGTTGACACACACTGTATTCATTTCCCGTTGCTGATTTGACAAAGGACCTTCAGCGTAGTGGCTTAAAACAGCATGTGTTTATCATCTTCCAGCTCTGGCGGTCTTAAGTCTAAAAGGGTCTCACTGAGCTAAAATCAAAATGTCCATGCTCACTCTCTCCAGAGGCTCCAGGGGAGAATCCATTTCCTTACCTTTTCCAGTTTCTGGAGGGTGCCCAGACTCCTTGGCTCCTGACCCCTTCCTTGATTTCTAAAGCCATAAGCACAGCATCTTCAAATCTCTCCAACTCTGCCTCTCCTACCTCCCTCCTTCCCTTACAAGAAACCTTGTGATGATATTGGGCCTACCCAGGTCATCCAGGATTATCTCCTCATCTCAAGGTCCTTAACTGGATCTACAAAGTCCCTTTTAACATAGAAGGTCTCCTAGTCACAGGTTCCAGGGACTAGAATGTGGACATCTTTGTGGGGAGAGGAGAGACTGCTGCAATAATATAGCCACTTAACTGAAATTCTGCAATGTTAAGACATTGAATGATTTACCTGAATTTGAGACTTGATGTCCTCATATTCTCAAAACAGTTTACCTGTTGTTATTTATTTTTTGCACTAAATGAGAGCCAAACACACCCTTGTGGGGGCTCTTATAGCCCTCTATGACCTGCTCTTGGAGGCACTTATGACTCTCATGAGCACAGGGTCTTTGTATCTTGTCCTCTCCAAGTCCCAGTGCCTAGCCAAGTACCTGGTGCCCAGTTGGTTGCCAAATTAATTCATTATTTAATACAAAATAGACTTAGATGTAAATTCTGGCTCTGAGACTCATTTTTAATGAGATATTGGGATAGACACTTGAACTCTCCAATCCTCCGTTTTCTTGTCTGTCAAGTGGGATGGTTATACCCACCCTGCAGGGTGATGTGAAGATGAACTGACAGTGTCACCTCTGTGGATCCCAGTCCAGGGTAGACATGAGCATCCCTGAAAGACTTTATAAAATACCAGTGCCCAAGATGAATCTCCGAAGACTCTGATTCAGTCTGTGCAAACCATAGACGTCACTACTCCTATTTCTGTCACTGGTGCTGTCATTTGTAATCAGCTTTGTTGCACGGTTGTAATCAAACTGCTGCTGAGACCACAAAATAGGGGTGGGAGAGAAGGTTAATTGCGCTGAGGAAACCTTTTGAAGAATGTGCTCAATTAAAATTCAGATTGAGCCTTCAAGGATTTTTCAGATGGGGCAAAGGCCATTTAAGGTGCTTTACAAAGGAAAAAACAAAAAAAGATTAGGATTCTTGAGAGTGTATACCTTGCAAAGGGCCTGAGAGTGGTGGGTGAGGCCCCGGCCAGGTGGGGAATTTGCACACCTTTAATAACATGACACCCTACATTTGCTGTTGGGTCTATAGAATCCCAAGTTTTAGAAGTGGAATGATTGTTTTCTTTACAACACCTAGGGTCACTTCTTAATTTTCTTTTTTTAGGAATGTAACCAATTTACCTACAAGTTTGCCGAAGAAATCAGAAGGCAGTCTTTCGGGGCAGTAACGCCCGGTTATGACTTCATGGCCCGACTAAGGTATACAGAGTACATTTTGCCCAAAAGTACATGAAGACAGAATGTTGACGACTCTCTGTACAAACTTTGGCAAGCTCAGCATTCTCTCTTGTAAAATATTTACAGGGAGTTCAATAATTAAAGGTGAGTAATTCAGATTGCTTTTTCTTCTTTAGAAGTGGGATGGAGTCGATTCTTCCTCCCAGCGCTCACGAGCTGGCCCAGAACCGACTGCACGTATCCATCACCAACGCCAAAACCAGAGAAAATCACTTAGTCTCCACTTTTTCCTCCAGGGAGGACCTCATTAAGGTAACAAAGCCATGTTTCCTATTTGAAGAAATCAGCAAGTGCTGATTTCAATACTTCATATAAAGTAATGAGCATTACCACGTTCTTTAGATCCTGTGTCTCTTACCAGGCCCGATAGATGGTTGAGTGCTCAGTAAATTACTTGTTTGATGAAAGTATTCGCCAGGATCCCTCCTGAGGCCGCCTTATGATGCACTGTGATCCAAATGCTCCCTGTACTTGTTCAGTGTTTTCCTGCAATGTTCAGATCTCACGTTGATTATGTGAAGCAAGTCGCTGATGCAGTTTAGTAGCAATAATAATTCCTGAAATTTATGTGGCTAATACTTTGGAGTGTATGTAGGGTTTTTAACATGTACTCTCTTATTCAGTCCTTCAAGTCCTTCTGTAAATCAAGTAGGGTAGGTGTTATTGTGACCCTTTTATGTTTTTGTTTTTGTTTTGAGATGGAGTCTCGCTCGTTTGCCTAGGCTGGAGTGCAGTGGTGCAATCTTGGCTCATTGCAACCTCTGCCTCCTAGATTCAAGCAATTCTCCTGCCTCAGCCTCCTGAGTAGCTAGGATTACAGGCACGTACCACCATGTCCACCTAATTTTTGTATTTTTAGTAGAGACAGGGTTTCACTGTGTTGGCCAGGCCAGTCTTGAACTACTGACCTCAAATGATCTGCCCACCTCAGCCCCCCAAAGTGCTGGAATTACAGGCATGAACCACCACACCTGATCCCTTTTATGTTTTTAACAGAGAAGTGAATGGAAAGATTTTATGTGATGTACGTACCTATGTACCCAAGATTATCCTGCGTGGCAGTGGGAGCTAATTCTGGTACCCAGGTCTCCTAACTTTTCAATCTAATGTTCCATTTTGTTTCTTCCATTTTGTTCTGATGTCTTTCTATCCAAACACATTTGAAAGTTGGTTGGTTGAGAATTCATCATCTCTGGGAAATACTTCAGCTGGTTGATTTCCAAATACCAATGTGCCTGCTGTGGTAATGCACTGAATATTTGTAGGGTGGAAAGGGTGTACTTCTCTTGGAATTTTTTCTTGTTTTTCCCTCTAGTGCAAATCATAACAAGCTTCAGGTAATATGGAGAATGTATGTTTTCGAAAGCAGAAGGTAATGGGTTGAGAGTAAGTGGTAAGATTCCATATATTCGGATGCTGTCATTTGAAATACTTAATGAAATGTTGAATTGACAAGTAAAATTACTTTGCCACTTAATAGATTAGAATATTTTCCCTCGATATCCCTATTACGTCATTCTCTCACTTACAAGAGTCTATCTTATAAAAAGACATTATTCTATAATCTTATTACAATATTATGTAGACTTGACAGTGTCAAGGGAAGAGCTGGGCAACCCATGCTAAGTGGTCCTAAGCCATCAATGTCCAATACAGACAGATAAGGCTTGCGGTGGGCAGACATGCATCCTCTTGTTTACCTAGGAACAGACTGTGTGCTCTTGTGACATAAAATGAGGGGGATTCTGCCCCAGATCTCTCTCACGGGGTCCATCCCTGGTTTTTCTGTCTACAATGACAGAACTCTCAGCCCCTGATCTCCCCACATCCCTCCTGATTTACATATCACTCTTTAGCATGCTACCTCTTTTACTGCTGTCCTGTTCAGCTTTCATTGTCCATCCTCCTTCACCAGAATGTAAGCTCCAAGAGGCAGGGGTTTCTCTGGTTTGCTCACTGCCGCAGCCCAGTACCTGCCACACTGCCAGCCATTGTGTAGGCACTCCGTAATATGCGTGAAACGAATGGATATGAACCAAGGTTGCATCTGTTACACTGGCTCGATTTAAAATAAAAGAAAAGAAAGAAGCTGGGCCCTCCATACTGTATGACCTGGGCAAAATCACATAGCTGGCTGGGGCCCAGCTGTGACTGTGGTTCATGTGTCTAGCATTCTTCCCTAACTATATATACCCCACACTGGATAAAATGCTCATCCTCCCTATCCATCCCTTTTATGTGGCAGAGAGAAGAATGACACCCAAAACTGTCCTTACCCTAATCCCCAGAACCTGTCCAGATATAACCTTACCTGGCAAAAGGGATTCTGTAGATGTGATTAAATTAAAGGTCTGAGATAGGAGGATGATCCCATATTATCCAAGTGGACCCAAACTAAGTACATGAATCTTGAAAAGTGGACACCTTTTCTGGATTCTGTGTCATGGCTGGTTTGGAGATGTAGCAACCACATGCCAGGGAAGCACAGAGGCTTCTCGGAAAGCAGGTCCCCACTGACAGCCAGCAAAGAAAAGGGGGCATCTGCCCTTTAACCTATGGAACTGGATTCTCCTAACACCTGACTGAGCAAGGAGACACATTCTCCCCCAGAGCCTCCAGAAAGAGATGCAGCCCTGCCGACACCTGGATTTTCCCCAGTGGGACCCATACCAGACTTTGGACCCTCAGACTGTGTGACAATACATGTGTCTTGTTTGAAGGGGTTAAATTTGTAGTAATTTGTTATAACGGCAATAGCAAACTATTGCTGTTAAGAAAACATGACGTTTTTCTAGTTCCTTTGTTTTGGATAATAACTATTCAGAGAATTTGTGTAATTACTTGAGTTCATTGAACAGAAGAGAAATTGTTGACACAAATGTGTAATACTTTGTAAGGAGAATATGGAATAATTGACATTTATTCTAGGTTCTACAAGAAACATTCCACGTGTTTAGGAGGATGTTTTAACATTTTTCAGAACTAAAAAGGAAGGATGAATAGTTCCTTGATAGCAGATGGTGATTATCAAACTGTGAAACCTATGCCTGGAATACTCATGAAGCATTTAGGGGAAAAGAGTGAGAGTGCGGGAAGACTAGGGATGATGTAGCAAAGGAAGAAGTGTGAAGAGGAAGTAAAGTAAACCCCCTGCCAGGTAGGGACATGATCAAGTATATATGTTCCGGTGAAAGAAGTGGCTGGTGGGAGAATGTTGTCTGAGGTGGTGCCATGGGAGGATGGTGCTTCCGACCTTTTTGGTTGGGACTGGGGAGGCTGCCTGAAGGTCACCCCACTCCCCTTAGGTGGAGACAGGAGGCTCTGAAGCCATGCATTGAAGCAGCTCGATGATGGGTAGCTGTGGGTCTCCCAGGGCTTGGCACACCTCGCTCTGAACATACAGCCTGGGGTCTTGATATGGTTTGCCTGTGTCCCCACCCAAATCTCACCTTGAATTGTAGTTCCCATAATTCCCATGTATTGTGGGAGGGACCCAGTGGGAGATAATTGAATTATGGGGATGGTTTTCCCCATCCCATTCTGTTCTCCTGGTAGTGAATAAGTCTCACAACATCTGATGGTTTTATAAGGGGTTTCTGCTTTTGCTTCTCTCTCATTCTCTCTCTTGCCTGCTGCCATGTAAAACGTGCCTTTCACCTTCCACCACGATTGTGAGGCCTCCCCAGCCACATGGAATTGTGAGGCCATTAAACCTCTTTTTCTTTATAATTTACCCAGTCTCGGGTATGTCTTTATCAGCAGTGTGAAAATGAACTAATACAGGTCTACTTCCCAGTATCTGGATATTCTGTAGATGGGAGGGGATGGGAGACAGAGAGAAAGAGAGAGGTTGATTAAAACTCAAGTTAGAGTAAAAGAGCATGGGAGAGCATGAAATACTAAACACTGGTGATTTTCACCTTCTTTAAACTTTGCTCCATGTTGTATTTTCTGTTTTTATCATTAACTCATTTATTCTGCTACTTAATAGTTGAATTTTTTAAAAAATGCCTAGTTTTTCATTATCCACTAGCTGACTGATGCTGTTTGTTACAGAGTGCCTATGTACCTGAAAATCCAACTAGAAACCTGTAGCTTAGAATATGTGAGAGTGTGTGCTTGTGTGTTTGTGTCTGTGTGTGTATTTTGACGTGTTTTTGAATCTCCTCAAGAATGATTACTTGTTTTATGAGTGTCCCGGTGATCATGTCTAGGCCTGTCGTTTCCTGACGTTGTCCTCTTGGACTGATTACTTTTGAGTCTCAGTTTTCTCATCTCTGAAATGGAGTAATTCACACAGTAATACTAATGAGTGTTACTGTACAGAATAAATAAGATAAAGCATGTGAAAGTGTGTTTTAAATGATAAAGCCCTTTATGCATGCTGAATGGAGCTAATATTTCATAAATAATGAACGAATAACATAATAACCCACACACACCCCTGCTCAGCACCCTTGTATGAATCTGTCATGAAATTTTAAAGCCATATTAAATCACAACTTTCTTTTCTTCAGGCTGAATAGGATTACTTTTTCTTATCAGTGTTATTCTTTAACCCCTTGCTTATTACCTGTCTTCATGAACAATGTGCTAACCGATATCTGTAATACTTCAGGAAATGGTTGCTACTGAGTTCTTGCTACCTTTAGGCATCTGATTTTACAGCTCATCATTATAAGCCTTCTTTTTTAAAATAAATAATTTTGTGTGATGATTCATACTTAATTTATCTTAATGAGCTTCACCTTTAGTAGCATGGAAAAATCACTCATTTGATAGCTGCAATGCTAGTTGATTGTTTTCTTGAAACCCTTGTGGACTGTGTGGTCCAACTATTCATTTTATTTGGGGTTGAATTTCCACAGAATTTTGAATCTTACGTTCATGAGGATTTAACTCAGTCTTTTCTACTTTATAAACTGTTATAAGACAGGTGCAGGCCTTAAGGCATTCCTTTGTTCAGAATTTATTGGTGCCAACCATTCCCCTCCTCCTTTATAGTAACTGTACTGACAAAGGGAAACACAGATGATGTCTGCTCAACTACTTGAAGGCAGCCTGCAGAGGGGAGACCCCTTTATAGAGTTAACCAGAGCCCCAGGAGGCCCCCCTCCAAAATCATGTCTTTATTTCCCGTCTGAGAGATTTATTTCCAGGTGCCACACCCAGAAAAATGTTACCCCCAAGGATGACCCTTTATGTCTGTGGGTCGCCAGCAGATCAACACCAAGCTGAGATCAGTTCCTGCAAATGCAGATAATTTAGGGAATTGAAAAGAGTCATGGAGGGGTGGTACACATCCACCTAACCCTGTTGTTGGTGGGCTCTGGGACCCTTGGCGAGTCTCAACTTCTTGGAGCCTTGGTTTCTTCATCTTTAAGATGGAGACCTTCAGAACAAGGTCAAATGAAGTATGTATGAAAGTATTTCATCAGCTCTTAAGTACACACCAGATGTGCATGGTCACCTTCAAGTGCCTCCACTCTCCAGACATCCATCCCTTCATACTGTTCATTATTTAGCATGATTCCTTCCTGATTCCTCTCCTGGTGTGCCGCTCTACACAGTATCCCCCGAGTGTCAAGTGTGTGCATTTTGCATACCAACTCATTCATTTCGAGTTCCAGATTTTATTGTGGGCTCTTTTTCTTTAGAAGCATGCATGCAACTAGGAAATCCAAACACATTTTAATGTTAGCCTTCAGCAAAGCCTAACTAGGGAGGTGAGCCCCTAGGTTAAAAGAAAGTCATATGCAACTTCCAAGGCTGAGCTGAAATGATGCATAAATTAACAGTGCAATGGCGTCGTAGAGTTCCACTACTTCCCTGAATTGGTACAAATCATTGAATTCTTCATGTTTAAGACTGATGCACAAGTGTTTTCCGAAAGGGTCTTTTGACACGTGTGAATGCTCTAGGGTAGAGGTACCCAGGAAGCCTTTCCTGCACCATAGTGTCCCTGGCCGTCTTGAGAAAATTCTGCCCTGTCTCTGTTGCAGTGATGTCCTGAATTTCTTTGCATGTGTGAGAATGCTCTTAACAAGATCCTCTCACATTTAGCCTTGTGAAGGTGAAATAAAAACTGAATTTAAGATTGGTCATTATCTTGGAAAAACTGAGGAAGATAAATTTGAATCTGTCTTTGAATTTGAACTACAGCAGCAAGTTCTGTATAAACAGTTAATTCTCATTAAAGTCCACAGTAAACTTTAGGCATAAATGAAACTTGCTGAGAATTTAATCCCTAAGGAAGCTAGGCCACATAATTTTCTAAATACCTCTTTTCTGTAAAATGCAAAATGAAGAGAGTCAATCAGAACGTGTCGGGAATGCGCACCTGGCGATGTTTTATACAGTTGCTACAGGAAGACACTAGCTCTCATTTTTATCATTGTGTGTTTAGTAAGAACACAAATCAGTGGTTTCACATATGTCCAACATTTAAAGTGCTGTACCAAGTGATAGGGTGTGAAAAGTATACCCCTGCTTTCCACATCAGCGTTCTCAACCACAAACACTGCACTCCTGGCAGTAAGGGCCCAGATTATTACCCAGATAGTTATGTATTGTGACAGCTGTCTGTCCTTTGTAGGAATTTGAGCAGCATCCCTGGTCTGTGTTCAGTAGATGCTAGCAGGACACACCCCCCCCCCCACCCTCCACCCCAGGTTATGACAGACACATTGCTAAATGTCCCTAGCGGGTAAAATCACCTCCAGTTGAGAACAAGTGCTGTAGACGTGTTGAGGTTCATTGGCGAGGTGAATTTCACTGGGAATATTGTGAGGTGAGATACACTAAAAGCACATGTTTAGGCATAATATTTTATTACATGACCTTAGAATGTCAGTCTTTATCTCCTTTCTTAGGAAATTCTATTTGCCTGCAATAAAATGGCAGTAAGCTGACTACAAATAAGAAAAGCTGCTTAGCTCTTAACTATCTAAAGCTAATTTCCCAACTAAACTTGGTTTGATATACAAATCATCAGTCCATATAAAGGGAGAGTCAGCTATGACAAAAACAAATACATTGATTTGGAGAAGTGACAAGTATTTTCCAGTTCATTGCACTTTTCATATCATTTAGGAGGATTCTTACTGTTATTATCTGTAGGAAAGTAATTGGATAGCATTTTTCATCCAAATATCTCAAAATAGTTGCAAGCATTAACTTGTGAACTCTACATTATACTTTGACACGGGGGAAAAGAAAAAAAAAACATAATTCTAAGGTTAGTGATTTTTTTGCAGTCCACATGTCTCTCTGCAGAATAGTGAAATAAATCATTATATTTATGTATTGTCTTTGGTTCTTTAAAGACCTCTAAGTACTGTAATTTCACAATATGTACGCTATCTACAAATTGCTCTAGTTATTGCTTTGCAGTGTTGCATTTGCTGAATAACTTCATTAAATAGCTACATTGTGCTTGCGAAACATACCTAGGGTCTGTGATTATTTTTTTAAAAGCATAGCCAATTGATGATAAGGTCAGGTTTAGTTAGGGTGAATGCAGTTACCTTAACCGTAAACAACCTTTCTCTGAAGCCAATGATGTCATTGCTACCGGTGGACTGAGAGGGTTGGAGTTGAAGATGCCTGCTTTCTGTCCTCTCTCTCCTATTGATTTATTAAGCGATCTTCACCAAATCACCCAAGGTGCTACTCACTCCTGCTTTGCCTCTTTGTGAAAGAGACATGATTGCTCTAATGTCACAGTATTGCATTATGCGGGCCATTTAAAGTTGAGATTTTGAGAAGAATGTCACAGTGCGGGCATGTCCACATTGACATTTTGTAGAAGGTTGGCAGACCTTGCGTGAGGTTATTATTATGCCTTGTAATAAATAAATAAACAAGCACATAAAAAATAAATAGAAGTGCATGCTTTCCTTTGGGAAACAGTGCTGCAAATTAGCATGCTTTCAATATTTCAATAAACAAGCGATTGAGATAGATGTGCATGAAATTGACCAAAAGATGAAAAAAAGACCCATTGTGAGAAATCTGACGTGTATGTTGGCTCTGGTAAAAATATACATTTTATATTAAATTGATTCTGGGGACAGTCTCAACCACGTATTAGCAGAGAGACCTTTGAGCAACTTTATCTTTTTGAGACAGGGTCGAGAAATAATTAAATGAGACACTATATTTGAGGCAAGGTCTACTTCATGAATGTATGACCTGTGCATTTGCACGTGGCTCCACTATCCAAAGGGCCTCACCATTGGTTTAATGCTCTGCTGTCAACATCTTAATATTCTCCATACTTTCTGAACAGGGGGCCCTGCATTTATCTTATTTTGGACAGGACCCAGAAATTATATAACTGATTCTGGCACCTAGCACCAGCATGGTGCAATAGAACCCTTTCACACTTGGCTATTTCTTACCTTCTTTCCTGCTGGAGTCCTTGTGTTGTGCTGTTACCCTTGAATTTGCCACTGCTGAAACCTGAGGCCCCAGAAGCTTCTGTGGGCACTCGTCAGGAGCCTGTTGCTATAGGAGCTGTTACAACCAGGCCTGTGCCTTTGCAACCAACATGCCACCAACAGCACTGGGCAACCTTCTTTAGTGCCACTATTGAGGTAGGTGGAGGAGTGTTGGGTCCATTCCCATCACAGAGAAGGGAGAGAGATACCCAACAGATGTTTGTTGAGTACTAACTCTGCCAAGGGCTGGACATACCAGGAGAGACACAAGTCCCTCTCCTTTCAGTGGGTTTTTTGGTAATGAGGAAACAGGAGACATGTCCAAGGAAGAACCACTGCATAAGAAAGCTATGGAAGTTCCCTGTACCTGGTGCAGAAATAAACATGGCAAGAGTGGATTCCAGCTGTGTCGGGTCACAGCTCAAAAGAGGATTTTCCTATGGAAATTGTTATGCTGGTGACTGAGTCTGTAATTTAGTTGCAGTTCAGAATAAATAGGCTTTTGAGAGCTGACCCAAAAACCATACCTATAACATTGATTTTTGGAGGAAATGCCTTCTGAGTTCTAAATAATTGTAAGTGGATGATCTGCAAGTCAGCATTTGAGCCATAATCCATTTCTGAATAATGTATGATGAAAAAAAACTCATGAAATCTTTGACAACAAACAGCCAGAGTCTTTCACTTATCAGTTGAAAGATTATAGCTTAAAAAATATTCAGTATCTAATGCTGTATGTTTTCAAATAGAACACTAGTGATTTGGAAACTACACGGCAAAATAAAACATTTACATTTCAGAAAAGCTATCAGAGCCCAACTTCCCATGATGTATGGAATGGTAATTTCCTAAATGACAATCTTTTTCAACTGTTTAAATGGGAGATAAAGCATAATTGATGTCACTGCTTGCCAGGGTTCCATTACATATCCTGACCACGTCATTGGAACATAAAATATGCCATTCCCTTTGCAAATCCTGGTGACATAAATGAGAACATCTCTGAGCTGCGGACTAATCTCTCCTGTCATAATCGGAGGGCTTTGTTCCTCCAGAAAGCAGGAGTGCAACTGTAACATGATTTTTACAGTATATGATGGAACATTACATATAATTTATCTGTAACCTTTACATACTCAGGAACTTAGACTTACCTTAAATTTCATTTTGTAGTAACTTGTGTGTCTACTATTAAAATGCTGATTTTTACCTAGGTGAAGTTGATTGATTCAGAGTATGTCAACTTGTACCTATCTGTTTAGAGTCTTTTCCGATATAAAGTGTTATCTTTTATGTAATTACGTGCAGTGCTGCACTTGAAGTCTGTGGGGCTTATTTATTGAGATTTTGCTAGTCAATACTACATCAACTGTATTGTCTGAATGTTCATGCCTGTAATCATGAGCTGCTTCTTTATTTTATCCATCTAGGTCCTCCTAGCCAGCAGTTTTGTGCCCATTTATGCAGGACTGAAGCTAGTGGAATACAAAGGGCAGGTAAGCTTGTTATAACTGAGGAATTACCCTCCTCCCTATATTAATATGTTTCTTTTGAAACATCCAATTTTATAATTATTCTAGTGGCTTCAAATCAGTTTATGTTTTTTTCCTCCTAAATAGCTTTGTTTCTCTTTAAGAGGGAAAGAATATACAGGGCTAGTGATAACTTATCATCAAGATCTTGTGAATGGGAATGATTGACTGTGATGCTCTTATTTTCATCATATATATATATTCTGTTGTTGTTAGCAGTGAACGATTTTTTTTCCACCTAGTAAAGTCCATACTCACAGCCCCTTCTAAGCAGAGTTGTACCACCGTCAGGGTGAGAAAAGGCTTTAGGGCTCCACACCTTGTCCTCCCCCAGACAATGCGGCATAGGTTCCTTCCAGCCTGTCCTCAGCCCCTCTGCTAGGGGACGACCCACTCCCCTCCAAGGCTCTCTACTTACCCAGACACGTTGATCACTGCAAGGCCAAAACCCATTTTGTTTGAGGAGAGTGCTCCTCACTTGGAGCTGGCACTTAAGACAGGATGCCAGTTCTTTTAGGGAAATTTAGACATGGGCTTCCACCTGAAGTCTGCGCTGACTGTGACCCAGCTTCCTTCTGTGATCTACACAGAGTTTGTTTTGAGTATTCACCATTCGACCCAAGGCAGCTCCTCCATTGCATGGACACAGGTTCAACATGAGCATTTTATTCTCAAATATAGTGTCTATTTCACATATGTCACAGATACGTATTTTATAACCAAATATAGTATTTGGTTTAATGTGTTTATTTAACGTATACTGGAAACATGCATTTTATAATTAATACAGTAGCTATTTTACAGACACCAGAGATATGTATTTTATAATCAAATAGAGTATCTGTTTAGCACATACCAGAGATATGCATTTTGTAATTAAATGCAGTATCTATTTAACACATACCAGAAATACGCATCTTATAATCAAATGGAATAGCTATTTAACACATAGCAGAGATATATATTTTGTAATCAAATAGAGTATCTGTTTAGCACATACACCAGAGATATGTATTTTATAATCAGTTATCTAACAATTACTAGAGATATGTATCTTTTAATCAAATATTATACCTATTTAACACATTCCAGAGATATATATTTTATAATTAAATAGAGTAGATATCTAACTACTAGATATCTAAATAGAGTAGATATCTATTTATAATTAAATAGAGTAGGTATCTAACACATACCAGAGATATGTATTTTATAATCAAATAGGGTATCTGTTTAGCACATACCAGAGATATGTATTTTATAATCAGAGTATCTGCTTAACACGTACCAGAGATATGTATTTTTTAATCAAATATAGTACCTATTTAACACATGCCAGAGATATGTTTTATAATCAAATAGAGTAGATATTTCATACATATCAGAGATATATATTTTATAATAAAAGTATTTAGCATATATCTAATAAAGTATCTATTTAGCATATATCAGAGATCAAGCATATATTCAGGATGAATAAATTACATTTATTTTATATATATGTAATATATATTTATTTATTAATAAAAGAGTACATACAAAGTGCTTTAACCATCTTTCATTCATTCATTCACCCACTCACCTTGAGGGCCCAGCACCAGGCCTGTGCTCAAGGAATTGATGGTCTCTCAACAAAAGAACTGAGTTTTACAAACCCTTTGGCTAATAGGATCGAGGCAGTGTCTCTGTTCTGATCTCATCGGTCCTCATCAGTGTCTTTCCTTGAGCTTTGCTGAGCTTTGGAATTTTTTCTTTTCTCTCTAGTGCAAATCATAATAGGCTTCAGGTAATATGGAGAATGTATGTTTTGATA
This sequence comes from Homo sapiens, assembly GCF_000001405.40. NCBI lineage: Eukaryota > Metazoa > Chordata > Mammalia > Primates > Hominidae > Homo > Homo sapiens. Next base: position 7,910,178 of record NC_000023.11, on the reverse strand, counting down.
GAGCAGAAGGTAATGGGTTGAGAGTGAGTGGTAAAATTCCACATATTCAGATGCTGTCATTTGAAATACTTAATGTTGAATTGACAAGTAAAATTACTTTGCCACTTAGGAGATTAGAATATTTTTCCTCTATGTCCCTATTACGCCAGTCTCTCACTTACAAATTAAGAGTGTTTCTATCTTAGAAGGAGAGGCAGGTGGTAGAGGCTCCAGGTTCTCTTCCAATATACACTTTCTTCTTCTTTCTTAGTAACAGAATCCCAATTTTTATCTGAACCTGTGGCTGTGCAGCTAGGTTATACATCCCAGCTTCCCTTGCAGTTAGGTGTGGCCATTTATTTCATTGTTGGGCAATGACATGTGAGCCGAATAACTGTGGGACTTACAGTACAAGGAAAGTTGTATATCTTTCCATTTTTCCTGTTGCCCAGAACTTAGATGTGATTACTGGAGCTCCAGCAGCTCTTGTTCATCATGAGGTCAAGGATCACACCCTGAAGATGGCCAAATAGTGAGCTGGAAATACCCAGGTCCTAAATGATTTGAGGAGTCTACCTTACCAGCCTGCCCTCGATATTCCTGTTACCAGAAAAAAGAAGTAAAACTTTTTTTTTTTTTTTGAGATGGAGTCTCACTCTGTCACCCAGGCTGGAGTGCAGTGGCACGATCTCAGCTCACTGCAAGCTCCACCTCCCGGGTTCACGCCATTCTCCTGCCTCAGCCTCCTGAGTAGCTGGGACTACAGGTGCATGCCACCAAGCCCGGCTAATTTTTTGTGTTTTTAGTAGAGATGGGGTTTCACCGTGTTAGCCGGGATGGTCTCTATCTCCTGACCTCGTGATCCACCCGCCTTGGCTTCCGAAAGTGCTGGGATTACAGGCGTGAGCCACCGTGCCCAGCCTAAAACTTTTGTTATTATTGTATACACCAGAATCCAGTGCTATCTGCTGTAGGGATTCTTACTTCCAATTTTACATGTGAGGAAATTGAGATGTAAAGACATCAGTCTACTTCACTGAAGTCACTGAGCTTGGAAGGGGTCAACTTCCCCAAGATAGTCCTTAATGTTTCTATCTTTGCTATGCCTCTTACTCTGCTTTGCCCTTTAGTTCTTTTCAAACAATGCGTTCCTTGTTTTCTTCCTGTCCAGCCGCAGCGCCATGTTGTGGGTGTGTGACAGGAAGACTAGCAATGTTTAAAAGGGCATGAATGAGGAATCAGTTTCTAGTGAACTTTCCATGATGTGATTAAGTACTTTGGACATGGACATAGAGTGACAGCCACAATTAAACAGCAGGGAACGCACAGGCCCAGAACTGTGAGGAAGATGGAAAGCGACCCACCCAAGCCCCTTGACCCTGGACAATGTCCCAGGACAGTGTCTTGCTGATCATGTGGTGTCTGTGCATAGGAGGCACACCAATAATTACTTGTAGAGTTGAACCTTATGTCTCCTGAAAGCATTCAGTTTTCCTCTGTTGTTTAATGGAGTCCACAATAAGGGGGCCTCATGCACATGATTGACAGAGAGCCACAGCGGCCTTGCATTGTTTATAACACCAGAAAGGGACAATTTAGAAGTGCCATTCTCTGCTTAACACTAACTCTCTTTAAGCCTGATCACCTCCCACATTCTAATAGGGCTTCCATGCCGAGTTGTTTTCTAGAATCTTTCCTTTCCATTTTCAGGGAAGCGTGAATGTTGCTTTAAATGCAGTGTTTTAATGTGGGTATAAGCTTTTTATGTGACTTAAATTACATAAACATTTCAGTTGTGCTGAATACACCTCTTATTTTCTAGATTTTCATGTTTTCATACAGCTCAGGTTTTGATGTATTTGTTGTCTTTAGTTGTTTTTCTGAAGTGACGAAAGTGGAGGTGGCAGAAGGGGAAAAAGGGACTTAGCGTTACTTATATTTGTGGCACTGAGTCAGGAAAGGCAGAGAAAGTGGGACTCAGCCAACAGGGGCAGAGTCTAGTCTCTCCACTTGTGACTTTTGTTAAATACACAGACCTCCTCATTTCTACATTGCGGGTATTACTGGATTTTATTAAGATATATTTGTGGATCCAATATGTGCATTAAAAAATGTTTTTATTAATCGCTTAGAAGAATCATACCTTAATAAGACTTAAGATTAATTTCAACCACAGCAAATACCAGTATGAGTCCTTTCAAAACCCTCTACCAGTGATTTAAAGTGGAATGATGTCTTTGAAAATTGCTTTTTCTTTTTAACTTGGGAAACATGGCAAAACCCTGTCTCTACAAAAAAAAAAAAACAAAAATTAGCCAGGCATAGTGGCATGTGCCTATAGTCCCAGCTACTTTGGAGGCCGAGGTGGGAGGATCACCTGAGCCTGGGGAGGTTGAGGCTACAGTGAGCTATGATCACACCACCGTACTCCAGCCTGGGCAACAGAGTGAAACCCTGTTTAAAAAAAAAAAAGAAAGAAAGAAAACTGCTTTTTAAAAAATATTATTTTAAAAAGTTCTGTAGCTTTCTCTGGCTTCATCTTATGACTATTTTGATACCTTATAGTACATACTCATTAATAGATTTGTCAGTGAATGAATGGAAATAAATTGAAGTTTAGTCCTATATTTTTGACTAATGATTTTTCTTTACTACATATGAACTCTTTCCAGTGGTAGAATAAATCCACAGGAATGTTCACACATTTAGGCCATGTTTTCACAGATTCTTGTCAATTTGGAATAAGAATGAAAATTTTCAAGAGGAATTCTTAACTCATTTGTTTTAAGAGATAGAATTAGCATTGGCAGGTGACTAAAATATCAGAATAAAATCATCTCCAGAACTGGCACATGCAGATCAGAAGAAAAGCTGTAGGGTTGGCTGGGCACAGTGGCTCACGCCTGTAATTCTAGCACTTTGGGAGGCTGAGGCGGGCGGATCACCTGAGATCAGGAGTTCGAGACCAGCCTGGCTAACGTGGTGAAACCCTGTTTCTACTAAAAATACAAAAAATTAGCCGGGCATGGTGGCGCATGCCTGTAATTCCAGCTACTCGGGAGGCTGAAGCAGGAGAATTGCTTGAACCCAGGAGGCAGAGGTTGCAGTGAGCAGAGATCATGCCATGGCACTCCAGCTTGGGCAACAAGAGTGAAACTCTGTCTGAAAAAAAAAAGAAAAGAAAAGCTGTAGGATTTTGCATTGTTTCTTTCATCTGAGTTGGAATTCAAGTAATATTTTGACTGTGTAGTATTACAAGATCGCTTCTTGGCCTTTTGGTTAAGATTAAGTATATACTATTACAGGAACGTGAAAATGCACTGTTGTATTACCCTAGTCCATGCGGATATGGGTCATTTTTCCTTTCATTATTGACACTTGTGTGGGAAAGAGAATTGTGGAATACTCCATGTAACTGTGCTTTTATATGAGGTTGATACTGTGGTCCTTAGGCTTCTATTTCCTCGTGGCTTAGACTTTTTACATGGAAATGCAGCTCTGTCACTGTCATAGCAAACAGTGGTAGCTGGCCTTGCCACCAGCTAGATTTGGCTGGATGGAAACCTGGATATCAATTTCTAGTTATTCTGAAATAGACGCTCTTATTCTTCAGTCACTTTTTAGATTTTTTTGCACTGTCTGTTTAATTTTTGAAACAACATGTTAGTCCTCTAGGAAAAATTTTCTGTATGGTGTTTATAGATGGTCAACTGTTAACCCTTTAGAGCCTTCTCAAAAGTAGATATCTGGAGTCATCATTTTTAATCATCCTTCACACATGCAAAAACCAAGAAAGCAATGCACCAAGAATCAATGCTTAGTAGAGGTTAGTATGGCAGGTTTCTCAACCTCTCTTTTAGAATTGTATTTTTACTTGTCTTTCTTTGATTAAAAAATCTCATCTGTCTCTTCTTCCCACCGTAATTGGAAGATTCTCACCTGTGTCTAAGGAAGTGGATATCTCTTTGTCTCTTTCCCTCTCCCTTCTATTTTAGGAATTGCTAATCAAGAGCATTGTTGGGCATTGCTGTCTGTAGGCTATCTCATGAAAGCAATGCAGATATGTTTGCAAATAAGAAATTATTGTTCAAAGCACATTTACTTCTTTCTCACCCCTCAGAAATCAGTTCTAATTTGCCCTGCCCCATCGAGCATCCCTGAATTTTACAGTGTGCGAGAAAAAAAACCTGAAGTGAAAAGACAACTATCCCTTCTTGCCTGTATATTCTATAGCAATAGATGTTTTATTCTCTGTAAAGTATCAGATAGCAAATGCTTTCAACATTGTCTCTGTCAACACACCTACTCAACTGTGCTGTAGTAGAGGGAAGCAGCCGCAGGCAATATCTCAACAAAAGGTCCTGGTCATGTGCCAATAAAATTTTATTTACTGAAGCAGATGGTGGGTCGTAGTTTACCACCCCGTGAACTATAGCAAGGAAACCTGCAAGCCTCAGTTTCCTCTTCTGTAACATGAGGGAACTGAATATACAAGCATGACCTTTCTGCCTTACAGGGTTCGCATATTAAATTATACATGTGAAATCACTTTTAAACTACTAGGCCCTCTGCCATGGTATTTATAATAATTATAGATAGCAACATTCATTCTTCCAGCAAAGTATTTTTTATTCACTTGTTTTTTGAGCAAAATATACCTTAAGAAAATGGAGCCCTTCATGGAAGTTCTATCAAAAACATATCCCCAGCATCTACCATACATCCAGACACACACTAGATGCTCAGGGATCACTTGCTGAATGAATAAACTGGCCCTTTCAGTACAGGTTAACTCATCAGGTCCTTTCTTAAGTTTTCCACTTGCGTTATGTAATAGCAGTTACTTGAATTCATAAGGCATGTTCTCAATAGCTACCCATAACACATGAATGTCTAAAGCGAAGTTTAACAAGTACTGCCAGATGAATATTCTAGCCTGTTTAGGTGTAATGGGTAGCCTTATCTCTTTAGAAGTGATTCTATTAATTCCAGTTTTCAGTGCTATAACTTTCAGAGAACAATCACAGTAGATGTCTGCCCCACAATTGGGCATGAGTTTTTTTGTTTTGTTTTTGGTTTTTCTATTGAGCAGTTGCTTATTTCTATGTCTTAGGACTCAGGCATTGACTTGAATGTGGAACACATTTAGAATATGGCCAAAGATTAGAGAAAAGAGTAGTAGGTCTAGCAGTGGGACTGAGAGGTGGTCACTGTACAGCCTGTAACGAGTATGATTTTGAAACTATTTTGCCTTGGAATTTTTATGTACTTGCTCTCCCTTTTCCTTTGAGGATGATGGTGATATGTGATGAAAACTGACAAACACACAGGAAAACTCTAACGGGGTAGACCAGCAGCTATTTTTCTTAAGGACAATTTTGGAGTCACAGAAGCTCATGGAAGTAGCTACCAGCATGTAAAATGCTGCCCATGAAGCAAGAAGGTGGGAATGACTCACAGCCATATGTTGTGAACAGCCAGAGAATTCATGGGCAGAAGTGTTTACTATGCAAGATTTTAAACTATCAGTAGAGCACAAGATATAAAATGTTTCTACTTTTAATTTGGAGGTTGAAGAATATTTGTTGTTGTGACGGTTGTTTCCAGAAACTGCTGGAATCTGTATGCCCGAATGAATGTGTGATTGTCCTAAGTGATACAGCTCGTGAGAGCATAAATCAGGAGTAAGAGGTACCACATTTAGCATATCTGAGCAGTGGGGCTATAGCATCAAGGGTTGTGAAGGAGCCGGTATCATTGCAAGTTTAATCAAGTGATTTGATAAGCTGCTATACATTTTCCCTTGTCATTTATCTAATCAGAATAAGCTAACAAGAGTGAACAAAATTTGGAAAAAGGATTTTCGATTCCCTAAAACAGCAGTCATTAACCCCACAGTAAATTAGAACACTTTTTAATTTACTGAGCCAGATTGCCCTTCTTTTCATTAAGTTGAATAAATCAGAAGAGCTGTTACTTAAAGTTGCATATCTTTAATTTTTCTTGATGAAACCTGTATGAATTTTTACATCGTTGATGACAGCTTCTGTTGACAATATGAAATAATTTTGGAAGCTGTCTTTCTTTTCCCTTCTGGGTATTATCCTATTCCAGAATTTGATATTTACACCTAAAGCAATCAGGGAAAAAAAGCAGGTTCTGGGACAGAATCAGATATTTTGGAGCCTTTTTTTTTGCAAACCTCCCTTTTAGATCATACAGTTACATAACCAGCTATATTTTATGTATACATATGGGTACATATATAAACACACATACACAAACACATGTGTACATGCATATACACATACACATATAAATAAGTATGTGTAATACACATAACACATAATATATCATAATCTTTATATCTTTTAAAAATAATGACAATATGCAAATTATGCAGGTCAGTTTTATTTTAATCCAATCTACTTATACTCTCTCCTCCACCAAAATGCAATTCTCTCAAAAGGAATTTTCAACCCATTTTTATCTTTTATTTATTTACTTTTATTTCCTTTGGAGGAGTTTGTGGCTGTCCAGAGCCTTTGTAAATAATGTAATACCACTCATTTTGTCATCAGCTTTAGAAATAAACACAATTGGCCAGGCGCAGTGACTCATGCCTGTAATCCCAGCACTTTGGGAGGCCGAGGCGGGCAGATCACGAGGTCAGGAGATTGAGACCATCCTGGCTAACCCGGTGAAACCCCGTCTCTACTAAAAATACAAAAAATTAGCCGGGCATGGTGGCGGGCGCCTGTAGTCCCAGCTACTCGGGAGGCTGAGGCAGGAGAATGGCGTGAACCTGGGAGGCGGAGCTTGCAGTGAGCTGAGATCACACCACTGCACTCCAGCCTGGGCGACAGAGCGAGACTCTGTCTCAAATAAATAAATAAATAAATAAATAAATAAATAAATAAATAAACACAAGAAGGACATGAAAAAGACACATTGGAAGAAATAAATGCATGGTTTTAAGTGAGTTGAGAACATTTTATTTTGGCCTGTTTCTCCCTCCTCTTGCCACCTTTATGTTGAATAACAAAGGTTTGTTTTATCTGCATTGCATTTTACACATTGAAGCAAAACTCAGTTTACAAACTTCACTAAAGATTCCTGCATACAGGACTTTCAACTGTTACCAGACTTTTTGTTTTTTTGTATATTATCTGAAGGCTATTTTTAATAACAGATAAACTTAGACAATTTGGGTGTTATTTCCATGTGTGTTGTGTTTATTGAGTGCTATAGCTGATCATGTGAATACATCAGATCATGGCTGCATTGAGACTGTTTGGCCTTGGAATAGACAGCAGAAGGAATATTGTCTGTGTGGTTCTTCAGTCACCATTTCTCATTGTGCGCTTCTGTAGAGCTAGGGGCTGAGGCTGCACACACCTTGAGCACCTCATTGTCCGTCCTCATTGCCCCAAGACTCTTTCATTTTCTTCCTTGGGAGGCTTCTGTCCTCCGCCTTCTCCATCACTCACTCCCCTTTGCGGTGGGCTTGAGAGCACTGAGTGCCTACTGAGGAATGTGTGCTTTGATGCAGCACTCCCATTCCTTATGGCTTCAGGACATGCCCCTTGCTTCAAGAGCACAGGAACCACTTTGGAATTAGAAGCATTTCTAGTTGCTGTATTTACTTTTTAAGTTTGCCACAGAAAATGCCAGTTTCCAATTCATATAATAAAAATGGAACCTCCTCTGCTGGTGGATGTTTTGTTCAGCATCCACAGTAAATTTGACTTTTTAGTTTGATTAAATAATGAACCCCAATCTAATTACACATGGCTTCTTAAGCATGCACTGTAGTCAGTAAGAATTCAAGTCTTACAGACAATAATCTAGTTAAATTCTGTCCAGAGTTGTTCTTATATTGGTAAGTGATATGTGTACCAAGATTTGTTTTACCCCCAGAACAGATCCCCAATGGGATTAGTCCTCAAAAATAGCAATTTAAAAGCATATCCAAGGCACACATATTATTAGAAGCTGCTTTTCTTTGTGCAGGATGTGTTGTTGACGTGTGCTGACGTGAGATGTTTCTTTCCACAGAAGTGGGTGGACGGAGGCCTCACCAACGCTCTTCCCATCCTGCCCGTCGGCCGGACAGTAACCATCTCCCCCTTCAGTGGACGACTGGACATCTCCCCGCAGGACAAAGGGCAGCTAGATCTGTATGTTAATATCGCCAAGCAGGATATCATGGTGAGTAATTATGTTCAGTGATATTTGAAGAGTTCTGATCTACTAAAAATTCCCACAGAATTCAACGTGTTTCCCAAGCACTGGAAGTTCATTGATAATTGTAGGTAGGAGTTGCATCTTCTCCTTAGTGTGTTGTTTAATACTTTATAACATGTATCAGCCATAGGAACGGGGCTAATTTTTTTATCTTTTGTAGAGACAGGGTTTCACTAGGTTGCCCAGGCTGGTCTCAAACTCCCTGGCTCAAGTGATTCTTCCACCTTGGCCTCCCAAAGCACTAGGATTACAGACATGCACCACGCCCACCCATTTTTGCTGCTTATTAACTGTCACTGCTTTTTCTTCACTTCTTTTTTACATCAATAAACTTGGTAGGATATCAGAGCAATTTTTTTCTTCTTTGAGAGAGGGTGTTGCTCTGTCCCCTAGGCTGGAGTGCAGCGGCAAGATCATGTCTCACTGCAGCCTTGACCGCCCAGGCTCAGGTAATCCTGCCACCTCAGCCTCCCAAGTACCTGGGACTGCAGGCGCGTGCCACCACACCCAACTACTTTTTTAAAAAAATTATTTGCAGAGACAAAGTCTCACTGTGTTGCCTAGGCTGGTCCTGAGCTCCTGGGCTCAAGTGATCCACCTGCCTCGGCCTCTCAAAGTGCTGGGATTACAGGCCTCAGCCACCACGCCTGGCCCAGAGCAATTTTAAATAAAATCATTTATTTGCTTAGAAAGATGGAGGTAATGAAATATATAAAAATAGTGGAGAAAAACTTAGGGACCCAAATGAATAATTGACATAAAAATACTGATTCCCTTAATCTAGTCTAATAGTTTTCCACATGGGATGATATTGTACTAGACATTTTTGGTTATCATGTCCCAGTGGTGCTACTGGCATCTGGTGGGTAGAGGCCAGGAATGGTGTTAAACGTCCTGCAGTGCACATGACTGTCCCACAGTTAAGACGTCGTGGCCCCAAATGTCAGCAGTACCAAGGCTGAGAAACTCTCCTTTAGTGTATCAGTGGAGGTAACTTCTGAAGTTTAAATTTTTCCTACTGATTTTTTGTTACTGCTAATTGTATCTGTGATAAGAAAACCTAGATTATAAAAATAGTGTATATTTACCTGTACTGCAATATCCTACAGCTTAAATTTTGGTCTTTTTATTCTAGTTGTCCCTGGCAAACCTGGTGAGACTCAACCAAGCCCTTTTTCCCCCAAGCAAGAGGAAAATGGAATCTTTGTATCAGTGTGGTTTTGATGACACTGTTAAGTTTTTACTTAAAGAAAATTGGTTTGAATAAAATGCATAAAAGTTTATAATGCAAAACACGTTTTAGATAGTTTTTGATGGAAGTTTCTAATCAAATCCTTTTTAGAAAATCTATCATGACTCAATTGTATTACTCCTTGTAATATTTGTGTTTATTTTTAATATTTGAATTATTACTTAGCACATGGATATAAGAGGCACTTTATTAGAATTTGACAACGTCATTAAGAAGGATACACTTAGGTGATAAGGAATCATTTTTGGTGAACTGTTGTGTCCTTTAAAAAATGGAGGAGGATAGGTTCTTTGGGTAAATTGAGGAACATGGAAAATGGAGGGCCACCACTTAGGTTCCATGGAGAATATGTGGCATGATCTTGACGTGAAGCATGGGTGTTTCCGTGACTTAGCTGTGTCCCTGTAGCTCTGGAACTGAAGGAACTAGGTAGGAGAGGAAGGATTTGAGAAATAGGCAACTCATGGTTAAAGACCTTTGATCAGGACTGGAGGAACAAAGGTTTGTGTATTAGTCCATTTTCACACTGCTGAGAAAGACATACCCAAGACTGGGCAATTTACAAAAGAAAGGTTTAATGGGCTCACAGTTCCACATGACTGAGGAGGCCTCACAATTGTGGTGGAAGGTGAAAGGCATGTCTCACATGGCAGCAGACAAGAGAAGAAAACTTGTGCAGGGAAACTCCCCTTTATAAAACCATCGGATCTCTTGAGACTCGTTCACTATCATGAGAATAGCATGGGAAAGACCTGCCTCCATGATTCAGTTACCTCCCACTGGGTCCCTCCCACAACGTGTGGCAATTGTGGGAGCTACATACACTTCAAGATGAGATTTGGGTGGGGACACAGCCAAACCATAACAGTTTGCTTTCCACAGGTGTGTGCAGTTGCTCCCAGTGCAGTTAGGGGCAGATATCCAGAAGCCTAGGAGATTTTGAAGAGGCTTATCCCCTCTCATCTTCCTCCCCTAAACCCCACCCCAGTTTAGGAGATTATCAAGCTGGTTGTCATTCATTCTCTCTCTCTCTCTCTCTCTCTCTCTCTCTCTCTCTCTCTCTCTCTCTCTCTCGCCATACCTCTCTGAGTATTTAGCTATTGTTCTATATACTGGATACATCTATTATGGGAACTTAAATAGATAAAATACTACTAAACACAAAGAACCAAGTAGCCTAGTAAATAAGAATTAAATCCAGAATAATCATTCACTTCTCATTTTTAAATCACGTTGTACTGATCCCAGGTTTTTTACTTTCTGAGTAGTTGTCCATCACTTTGAGGACTTGTGTATGGGCTTGTACCAATTTACTGACACTGTCTTAAATCCTAAATCTGTTTTTATGAGGTTTTGCCAAGCAAGAACTCTTGATTACTAAGAGGCAGTTAGAGACAAACCAATTTAATTCCATGTCTTCAATTGTCACGCATTTCTTCTTTTACTCTTTGAAACTATTCTTTGAGTCAATTTTATGGTTCTCAGAAGCCAAAATACACAACTTTTAGCACATAAACACCAACGATGGCCTCTTTTTGAGGAGTTATGCATAGACCCACTCTAGAGTAATGATGGTCCCTGTGGTATATACTTTCTCCTACTCTAGCAAACATGTAGTTTAATCTTAATGTGTTGTTTCCATAAGTGACATGAAGTGGATAGATTCTCAATTGTTATGTCCACTTATTCACTAGGTAAATTTTCAGTTTTAATACTTTTCTCCTTACCCCTTCCTTTGATCATTTCATGTGAATATTCTATTTGTATGATACACTGTATTTCAATAAATTCCTTGTTGATGTACCCTTAAATTGAAGAAATTTAAGCTGCAAAACCAAATCTCATTGTATAAGACTTTTTTGAAGTATCTTGTATCGACTACATATGTATTTGACCCTGTGGGAGGATGGTACTTTTCTTTTTAACTTTTATTTTAAGTTCAGGGGTACGTGTACAGGTTTGTTATAGGTAAACTTGTGTCACGGGGGTTTGTTGTAAAGATTAATTTATCACCCAGGTGTTGGTACTTTTCTTTAAAAATACTGTAAGATCATTGACGTATCAGTCTGCAGCAACTTTCCTACATGAGGGGAATACAGCGGTGTAATGAAACACATACTTGGTGCACACTAGGCGCTCTCCGGGGCTGGTGCACCAAATTCTCCTGTGAGCATGCTACCAAGCATGCTCTGCTTACCTTTGCTGGAGTGTGTGCTCATGCAGCCATACTAATTGAAAACAGGCATTCACAACAGGATCTGCCTCACTTGTGGGATCAAAATTTTGAGGCATTGTAGAACTGGCATATAGAAAATCTGAAAGGAGTTTCTGACCCAGATACTGATATGTTTGCAGGGTAATTACTGTGATTGGCAGCTTGATAAATTCCCAATTCCCTGTGGGGGCAATTTCCTTATATATTTGAATCTGTCATTAAAAATGTCATTAGTCTTCCTTTTCTTCTTTTCAATAAGACACTTTACTATGTAACTATGGTAACCCAGTGCTTCCATTGACAATTAGAGAAAATAGGTTTGGTTTTGAAGTTCAATAGTGCTCTAAAGGAACAAGCCATATATTAAAAAGTAAGAAAGAAAAAAAAACTGTTAATTCTGGGTTCTTAATATCAGGTGCAGGGTGTGTATACTAGAAGCTTGCAAAGATACAGTCTCACCACTCTGGGCATTGAATTTTGATTCTAAACAAGCATGAGCACTCAAAATACACAGATATTAGTGATTATGCTTTTAATTTTTTGGAAGATTAAAAAAGATAAATACAATTACATAAAAACATGTTTATAAATATTAGTCGTAGAAAGTTTTTGGATCCAGTCTATTACTTTTACAATTGAGGAGCCTAACTATGGAAGATCAGTGTTTTGGGATTTTTCTTGCCTAAATTTTGTCTACGTGATAGCAAAATAAAATCAGAAGTTGAAGTAATTATCTAAATAAAGTAGGAAGGAAGGCAGTTATTGCAGTTCATGTAAAGTGGACAGATTTTTAGACAGCTATCATGATTCTGATTTGCAAATTGACAGTTTCTTTGGGCAGAATTCACCATTTATTTGCTTAGTTCTGCACTTCAATTTTTTTCTAACTGCACAACTCAAAGCTCTGCTTACTTAATGCTAACACACATGTTTATTTTTCCTCACACATATCCCCTAACTCAGTATAATTTCCCCATTTTGACTGACTTAGAGGGGAGAAATATGATTTAACTTTATTCATACTTTAGAATGCATGTCTGAGTACACAGTCATGTACAAGTCATAATATCACATCCAACTTAATCTTGAAATAAGATAATTTGTGAAAAACATGAATATGAACAAACATACTTGCACATATATATGTATGTACATATACACATACCTAAAACATGTCACAGCAGCTGCATTTTAACTGTGCCGAGATGAAGCAGCATTTATGTAATGCCCGATTTCACTGAGTTTATAAGTGCTCTTTAACCTTTATATAGTCAGATTCACTTTTGTGGACAGACCTAGTAAAGTGCATATGCGTACTCTACTCTTGGAAAGCCCCACAGTTCCAGCCAGTCCAAGAATATCAGCCCTCCCTTGATGGGCTCAATGGCTTTGCAACATGACCTTCCAGCTATGGCCAAGCTCATGGCCCTGCAGGTGGGTCCCTGATTCATAAACTGTCCCTTGCAAGATTGGACTTGGGCCGTGCAAAAGTCTACTGGGCACTTTTGTGGATCCCTCCCTTCACGGAGCTCACCTGAGCAACTAAGAAAACAATCATGTGAGATAATTCAGGCCACACAAGCAATGTGAAAGGGCCAGGAAGCTTGAGGAAGATTTACGGTGGCTGCTTCTCCTTTTGTCCAACAGCGAGATGTGCTGGTGTCTGTTGCTAGCCAAGACAGGGACTTCACTATTACCCCTCACCCACCACTCACCTGGACACCCACCACTCACAAGAGGACCCCCTGGAGGAAAGGCTCAGGATGACACATGTTCAAATCCTGAAGTTACTCCAGGAAGAAGGTAAAATGGTCGAAGGGGTGATCACTGGGCTTATTGACACTGTGGACACATCAACCCCAAAACTTGGTTCCTGGCAAGGTCATGGAACTAGGCAATTTAGCTCTACTGATCAACCTCAGTCAGAACTATCTCTTGACAATTTCAAATCCAAGGGGGTTACTAGCGCCAATCACTCCCAGTGAGGGAAATGATCTGTTCTATTTTGCCATTTCTGGTTCCTCCTCCTACTGGCTGAACAGAATCATGGTAATGGATGATCTTATTGTACTTGTCAAGGGGAGATGGATTTGCTGCCATATGATGGGGATAGGGAGGAATGAGCATGAAATTGGGGTAACCCCTCCGGTTATCCAGTCTACAACCAGCACTAGTGGAATAGTTAGTGGGAAGCCATTGCAACCTTATATGGCAGAAGCAAGGGTACACATCCCTGAGGACCTAAGGTTTGAGTCATGTCACTGGAAAATGGACTCTGATCACCTGACCTGTGCCTGAAAAGGAAGCCACCTGGAATAGAGAATGATTGAGGAAAGTCAATGTCACCTCAGAAACAGTGGCAGCCACAGTGACCTAGGATGGCCAACCTGATGCCAAGTAGCTGAGTTTTAGAAGCCTGTTCTCCTACCAGCTGCCAATAGTAGGAACTGTTCATATCATATCCTTCCAGTACCTGCTCTGTGTGACTTAACACAGCCAGGGTCTATTACTTGCTGCTAAAGGACCCCACTTAGAGTCAATGTACACTTGACCCTTGGAGAAAATGGGTTTGAACTATGAGGGTCCATGTGGATTTTTTCAGTAAAAATTACACCAAGTGTGCCTGCCTCCCCTTCCACTTCCTCTACGTCTTCTGCCTCTGCCACCCCTGAGACAGCAAGACCAACCCCTCCTCTTCCTCCACCTCCTCAGCCCAGTCAATGTGAAGACGAGGACAAAAACCCTTATGATCCACTTTCGCTAAGTAAACAGTGAGTATATTTTATCTTCCTTATGATTTTCTTAATATTTTCTTTAGCTTACTTGATTGTGAGAATACAGTGTATAATTCATATAACATACAAGGTATGTCTTAATTGACTGTTTATGTTATTGGTAAAGCTTCCAGTCAGTAGTAAGCTCTTAGTAGTTACATTTTGGGAGAGTCAAAAATTACATGTGAATTTTTGACCACAGGAGTGGTGGACAGGGAAGTCAGCACCCCTAACCCCCATATTGTTCAAAGATGAACTGTATATAAATACCTGCCCAACAACTGGTGAAAAAGCAGATGAGAACTTAACAATTATTTCTTTATTAATTTCTTATGTTAAAAAATTCCTGTGTAGGGCAGCACAGTTGTGCTTGTTTTAGGGTACCTAGGTCTTTCCTCCTAAAGTAAGCATTGAAAGTTAGGAAACATAAAGGGGCTTTGATTAGGTTGTCATTTACAAATATGCAGCTTTGACATGTGTCTTTAAAACAGGAGAGGTTGTCATCTGTCTCCCAACTAGGAACCTGGTGCTTAACTAGAACTTACGTGTGGGGTAAAAGAGTAGGAGTGTCCGCCTTCAAATACAACATCCTTAACACTCAGAAACTGAGAGGAGGAGCTGAAGGAGATCAAATGGCTTATCACATTATCATTCCTTACATTTCACCATGAAGTTGTTTTTAGCTGACAGTCTTTGCAAAATCCTCCTCACACACTAAGAACTGAATACATTTTGGTTGCATATTATAGCCACCTATGTATTCTAATGTTTGGTACAACATTTTCTTCAATGACTTCCAATCTTTCTTGAATATGACCTGTTTTATAAGGTAATCCAATACATATATGCACATATTTTACACATATATTTCCATATGCATATAGGTGTACATATGCAAATATAAATTTGAGTAAAACTATTTACTCATATAAATAAAAATAATTTTTATGAAACACTTTTATTATGTGTAATATTTTTTGAGGTTTTTATTCCATTTTGATTTGTAAAAATTGTCATGCTACACTTAAATAATTTCACAATCACTAATGGATCACAATCTGCAGTTTGAAAACATTCTAATGCAAACTTAGAACAACACAGACACTGAAATTCTCAACTTGTGTTTAAAAGACTTTACAAAAAATATGGCATCCAAAAATAATTACTACTTTATTTAAAATAATTTCCTATTCTTTCTCCTCTTAAGTCTTAGATATGTTTTATTTAACTTTATGGCTACAGAATATCTCAGAAATTATTTCTGCTCAAAAGCATGATTATTTTCTATGGGTGCTATGGATAAAAATTCCTTAGTTTATGTATTTCATCTATATAAAGCTACTTAAATGGTGATAGTCATTCCATGATGAAATTCTTTAATCAATTAATTATATAAACCAAAAAGTATTCTTATTTTTTAGCCACATTGTGGACATTAAGATAAAGTAAATATACCTGTAAGTATGCAAATACTTTATATCTAACATAGGTCATTGTCACCTTGCAACAATAAACATAAAATCAGTTGGCTAGATTGTCCTTGAACAATTTAGTACACCAGGCCACTAGCATGAAAAAGTGCAATTGATTTCATTTTCATTTGTTGTTATTTTATATAACAACAGTATATAATATATTTTTAATTGTGTTTTACAATACCTTCACTATCTCTGTCAGTGAAATAATTAACTTACTGTTAAAAAAAGAATGCATATGGAGTTAGAATATGCAATCAACATTGTAAAATACTTTGCTTAAAGATCTTTCTACAATTCATGTTCTATATTGATCTATCACATTTACTTAGTGGCTACAATTTACTGGTTAGCCTGCATGTCATCTTAAATGGTGTAATTAAATTATTGTCTATAACTGGGAAGATTGAGAGGGTACCAATGTAGTTTTAATGTACATTTCAAAATATCAGTGATTTGCAAAGTACTTCTATGGATTAGAAGGGTCAGAAAGAAGGTATTTAATCATTGCTTTCTGGTCTATTCCATAAATATTTATTGAGAATTTACTATGTGCCAGAATTTGTGCTACATACTTGATATGTAGATGAAAACAAATAAAGCAGGTTCCTGACTTAAGGGAATATTTGTTTTACTGGGTGAGAAAGCAGTAACAAGTAAATGAGTCAATAAACAAGGTTAAAAATGGGGATTTTATTAAATTACAAAAATAAATAGAATAAAATAGTCTATGGTGCTATAGACTAAGGGGGAAGATGGCCCCACAAAAAGCATAGCAGGATCAGTGCCATCCTCACTCCCAATAGTATCCTTGCATTAATTCAAAAAATGACTTTATTTCCTCAAGAGGTTTATTGCCGTTTGCTGGGAAGTTATTGTATTTTTGCTATTGTAATGCACATCTTCAATGACTTTGATACGAATGATGCCTGCTCAATCATAATCAGCTGCCTTTTTTCTTATTTTTTTTTAAGTTTTAGAAATAGGGTCTTGCTCTATCACTGAGGCTGGAGTGCAGTGACACTATGCAGTGAATGCATAACTCACTGTAACCTTGAACTCCTGAGCTCAAGCGATTCTCCTGCCTCAGCCTTCTGAGTAGCTGGGATTATAGGTGCATGCCACTACAGCCAGCTAATTAACGTAGAGATGGGGTGTTGCTGTTTCCCAGGTTGGCCTTGAACTCCTGGAGGGATTCAAGGGGTCGTCCCACCTTGGCCTCCCGAAGTACTGGGATTACAGGATTGTGCCATGATGGCCCAGCTGCTGTTTTGAAGACGTTGTTAGAGATATTAGCTCACAGTAGTTTTGTTTTGTCTGATGGTGCTAGTGCTATTGGGACTGATCTTTAGCTTTTCCTTTTGGATTAGTTTAATATGCTTTTGGCACAAATAATGTAAAATCATAGATAATAATAAAAATAATAATAAATTTTAAAAGTCTTTTTTGATGTTGTTGTGAGGGTTGTGTGTAATGCTCCAGGTGCTGTATCAGAGAGATTGGCATCATCCCCATACAGTTCTTTTGTAGACACAACACTGCCCTTTTCTGACTTTATTCAGTCAAAGCAGACCATCCTTTTGAAAATGCTCTTCTTTCACTGGGCATGATAGATTAATAAAATAGCTATACTCAAGAATAAAAAAGAAGTTTCAGTAAAATACCATTTAAAAACTCACAATCAAATGGCAAGCCTCATTCTGGGTCATGAAGCATGGGAGCATTCCCATTAAATCAGGGATAAGGCTTGTGTGCCTGACATCTCTGCTATTCCACACACTGTTCTGCAAGACTTGGAAAATGCAGCAACAAAGAAAAAGAAAAACCAATAAAATGAAAAAAAAGATACTGGAATCATTACTGTTGGTCCAAACTGCATCATTTTGTAAGCTCCCCGCTATTTTGCAAACCTTGAAAGAATGTGAGTCCAAACTGCACCTTTATGTAAGCTCCCCGCTATTGTGCTGACCTTGGTCAAAGTGAAACATTTCACGGGGGTTCGGGCCGTGAGAAACATCCTGCCTAACCACCTGATCACAAGGCAGACAAAGCCCCAACTAAAGAAACGTCCCTATCATATCTTGCTGGGCAAAGATCCAAGGAACACCATGATGACATCCCGCCAGAACAAGGACCAGAACCACCTTATCGTGGGAACATCTTATCAACATCCCGCCAGGCAGCAAGCCATACTGCCCAAACCCAAGTACCCCCAGCCTGTAAGCAGCGGTGGGCTCTGGCATTAAGCTGGTCCCCCACTTCTTTAGGTTTTATGCTGGACACAAAGCCTGCATTTGCTGTTGAGCCACCCTCTTTCTGTGTGTGTGTCTTTTTTTAACCCTCACCTTCCCTTCAAAACCTAACAATTATATTTGTAAATTGTCTCTAGTATCATGCACATCCTCAATAATTGTGGAATAAATAAGTAACTGAATGCCTAAATATTTCAGTATAATCAACTGAAAAAGTAATATGAGAAGTTAAAGAATTCACTCAAATGTCTATAAGAATATATTGAAATTAATAATACTTTATATCACCAGAAATTTTAAAAGTAGAAAAATGAAATCACAATAGCAAAAAAAAATGGCAACACACAGAAAATGTGCAAGATACATTCAAAAACTCTGCACATTAAATCTGCTTATGTGATACTAGACATATTATGTTGCTGAATGGGAAAATTACGTTGTATATTGGTGTTGAGTACCCATATATTAAACCACAAATTTTACAAATGGCAATCGCACTCAGAACCTTGGTTTTCAAAATGTGACAAGTAGATGTTAAAGTTCATCTGCCAGACCAGGCGCGCTGGCTCATGCCTGTAATCCCAGAACTTTGGGAGGCCAAGGTGGGAGGATTGCCTGAGCCAGGAGTTCAAGACCAACCTGGCAACATGGCAGAACCCCAGCTTTTCTAAAAATACAAAAAATTAGCTGGGTGTGGTGGTATGGGCCTGTAGTCCCAGTTACCTGGGAGGCTGAGGTGGGAGGATCACCTGAGCCTGGGAGGCAGAGGCTGCAGCAAGCCCTGATCACACCACTGCACTCCAGCCTGGGAAACAGAGTGAGACCCTATCTCAAAAAAAAAAAAAAAAAAAAAAAAAAAAAAAAAAAAAAAAAAAAATTCAATTGGCAGAATAAATGCTCAGTAATAGCCAAAAAAGATTAACTATTTTTTAAATCTATTTAAAAATTTTTTTTGAACTTTTATTTTAGATTCTGGGGGTACATGTACAGGTTTTTACCTGGGTATATTGTGTGATAC
This sequence comes from Homo sapiens, assembly GCF_000001405.40. Lineage (NCBI taxonomy): Eukaryota > Metazoa > Chordata > Mammalia > Primates > Hominidae > Homo > Homo sapiens. The sequence goes on along the minus strand of NC_000023.11, from coordinate 7,890,966 downwards.
TGAGGTTTGTGGTACAAGTGATCCCAGAACCTAGGTGCTGAGCATAGTACCCAACAGTTTTTCAACCCTTTCCCCTCTCCTCCCTCCCCCTTCTAGTAATCCCCAGTGTCTACTGTCCCCATCTTTATGTCAATGAGTACCCAGTATTTAGCTCCCACTTGTAAGTGAGAAAATGCAGTATTTGGTTTTCTATTCCTGTGTTAATTCACTTAGGATAATGGCCTCCAGCTGCATCCATATTGCTGCAATGAACATAATTTCCTTCTTTTTAATGGCTATATAGTATTCCATGCTGTATATGTAATTTCTTAATATTCACTTTCTTAAATTCTTCAGTGAATTTTCTCTCACTGTCTTTTGCCTATTTTTCTAAAGAGGTATTAGAGGTTTTTTGTTTTTTGTTTTTTCTTTTTTCTTTTGAGTCAGGGTTTCACTCTGTCACCCAGCCTGGAGTTCAGTGGCTCAATTACAGCTCACTGCAGCCTCTACCTCCCAGGCTCAAGTGATCCTCCCACCTCAGCCTCAGAAGTAGCTGGGACCAAAGGTGTGCGCCACCACACCCTGCTAATTTTTATTTTTATTTATTTATTTATTTATTTATTTTTTTTTTTTTTTTTTTTTTTTTTTTTTTGAGACGGAGTCTCGCTCTGTCGCCCAGGCCGGACTGCGGACTGCAGTGGCGCAATCTCGGCTCACTGCAAGCTCCGCTTATTTATTTTTTTTGTAGAGATGGGGTTTCCACATGTTGCCCAGGCTGATCTTGAATTCCTGGGCTCAAGTGATCCACCTGCTTCAGCTTCCCAAAGTGCTGGGATTACAGGCATGAGCCACTGCTCCTGGCTGGAGATATTTTTATTTTAGGAAAACAGAGTAAAGAGAAATATCTTTTTCTTTTTATTTTCATTTTTACTTTCGTTTATTTTAGCCATTTGAAAATATTCCAGGAAGAGCAATACAATGCTGAATTTTTCCAATGTGTTAATTCTTAATATATATGTAGGGTACTAAGTAACATTTTAGACATTGAAAACATAGCTGGCCAGGCCTGGTGACTCAGGCTTATAATCCTAGTGACTCAGCCAAAGCAGGAGGATTGCTTGGGGCCAGGAGTTTCAGACCAGCCTGAGCAACATAGTGAAATCCTATTTTTACAAAAAATATGTTTTTTTTTAAATTAGCTGAGTGTGGTGACGTGCACCTGTAGTCCTAGCTACTCAGGAGTCTAAGGTGGGTGGACTGCTTGAGCCAAGGAGTTCTAGGCTGCAGTGAGCTATGATTGCACCCCTGCACTCCAGCCTTTATGATAGAATGAGATCCTGTCTCAAACAAACAGAAGAAAACCCCATAAAAACATAGCTAACTTATTATTTTCCCAATTGTTAAATTGGTAATTTATAAAACTTAAAAACAGTTACTAAGATTGTTTATATCCAAATTTTTCTATCTATTGTAGACGTGTCATTTTCTCAGCTATTTTTTTCTCATAAAAATCTATAGATAAGAGATTATTTATGAGGGATTATTGTCAAAACTTTTTGTTGCATGTGAAGGAAGCCCAACACAAATTACCACAAGCCACAGAGAGATCAAAGAAAGAGAAAGGAATTTACAAGTACATATAGCTGTACAGTCTAGGGCTATCTCCTGGCCACCTGGGCATAGCAGCTGAAATGAAGGCATTCAAATGCCATCTGTTTTCACAACAGATCTACAGATGGTGGGTGAGATGGCTGTTCTCAGAGCAAAACTCACATTCTATCATATTTTAACAGCCACAGAGTATAAGCTTTCTTTTGTTTTTGTTTTTTTTTAATAGGCCCGAAAGAAAGTGTAAGAGAGAATTCTGATTGGGCATGATTAAGTCATGTATCATCCCTGACCTGCTGTGGGCATAGGGGCTGGATATCCTGACAGTTCGGTTTTAAATCATGTGTTCAGTTTGTTGGCCTGTGGCTCAAGCAACATGGAAAGAGGTAAATATTTAAACCTTTTTATGACTTGGTTTTTTCGAAAGCACAACATAAATGTTACCCAGTAATGCTATAAGGGGAATCTCTTCCTCCATAGAAGCCACAGTTGTACCGTTTCATTGTATGAGTAGTCTGTGTTGAATTCAGCAGAGGCAGCCAATGAGATGATGAAGAAAAATCTATTGGATGTGACACCGCAGAGATGACTGAAGAGAATGGATTGTATGGAGAGACGCACTTGGAAGACAAGTAGCAATGACTTAAAGAGGGAAAAGATAAAAATAGATAGACACTATTTTAGGTTTAATCTTCAAATGACAGCCTGTAAAAAAAAAAATAACAAGACTTTGGGTGATGATCCACTGGCTCTTTGCATTTCAAATTCTGGTCTGTGAACCAATCCTGGGGCATCCCTTGGGAGCTTATCAGACATGAAGACTCTCAGGCTCCATCTCCCAGCTACTAAACAAAAACCACATTTTTAACTACAATCCCATGTGATTTGTATGCGCATTAAGTTTTGAGAAGCAAAGCTAAGATGGTGGTTTCTATGGTGATGGGAATACAAATTTATTTTTAAGTGTGTAATTAGTGACAGATTATACAGACAACATTGCTGTATTTTATAAACTAACTTTTCCCAAGTTGTGTGATATTAAAAACATGGAGAGAGGGCTGTAAAATTGAAAGTTAGGTGTGTGAATAGAAATTAGTTTGGGTTGTGGACAGTAGGATGATGGGAAAAAAAGAAGAATGGGGCATATTTGTCAGCAAATAAAGAAGGGCCAGAGAATGGAAGACAGGAAGAGAATACCCAGGCAGTCCATTTGTTGAGCGAGTTTCTGGTGAAAGTTGGCATAGGGCAGATCAAAAACACTGATGGAGGACTGAGACAGAACTCTTCGAGAGAAGCATAATCTTAGGAAGAGAGAGAAGCTGGCTATGACAAAGGGATTTGGGAACAGAGAAGAGAAACATGAGCAGGTCTGTTGTCTTTCAGAATAAAAGGCAAATCATCTAAGTTTGGAACAGCTATGAAAAAGTGGGGGTCTACCAGAGAAAATGCAAGAGACTAGCTGAGATTATGTATTTTGACAATTAGTGAAAACAGTACCATGTTTTTATAGCATCCTACCACACTTAAATAGTCTGCAACCGCAAGCAGAGAACTAGGACGATGGTAGTGGGAGCCGGACAGGTGGGAGCCTGGAAGGTTGTGGAGTGAAGAAGCCTAGGATGGCAACAATGCCTGCTGGTGTCATGGCTGCCTGGGTTAGGTTTGGTTAGGTAGGTTGATGAAAATGGAAGAAATGAGGGATGGGAGTTTGGAAGAGAAACCAGAAAATATCCCAATCAAAAGTTTTATTTCTGATATGAAATTTTATGAAACATTCTGTACATAGAACGGTAGTGTTGGTGAGCAAGTTTCTGAACTCATTAGAGAACATTGCTTTACTATTGCCATTAATAGAAAATGAATATACAAATTCCACTACCATTCCAGGAAAAATACTATTAATAACTAATAGAGCATTTGGTAGTAACCTTTTTAAAAGATAAGTAATGATAGTATTTGTCTTTCTACCTCAGATGATAGAATCACTTTAGGGGTTTGTTAATAATTTGAGGGTTAAGGCTTTATAAAATAATTTATAGGTTATATTTTTATTATATCCACATTTTGCAAAAATCTTAGTTTTCAAATTCTATTAAATTAATTTTAACACTTAAAAAGAGCCAGTAACCAGTGCTTCCTAGTAAATTCATCTTTCACTTTCCCCACTGGGATAACGGTTTTGTTCTTCCTCTCTTCTCCTTATCTATCATGGTGCCTCCATTCTTTTCAGAGTCAGCATATTACCTCATCTTCCACACCATGGAGGAAATGAAACACATCTAATGGGGAGTCCATCACCTTCTCACGGTCAATATATCCAACTTCCCCTTTTTCCCTTTTACAAAATGGAGAAAATGTCTCTCCCTCTCTCAAAGCCCGAAATGTGTGTTGACTTTGTAGCCCAACACATCTTACCTTTTCTGGGAGCTCTTTCCACCATGTATAGACCCTCTCCGGCATCATCAACCTCTCCCTTTCTCCTTCATACTCTCCGCCACTAACAGGCTTCAATATCCCCCATGTGAAAAATAAAAGCCTCCCAGGGCCCCACTTTCCTCTTAAGGCACCACCGTATCTCTCTACTCACCTTCAGAACCAAACTTCTCAGTAGTCGTACCACTGCCACCTCCGTTTACTCATTTCCTAGGAACATTTCTTCCATCGTGGTGTAGGGTATGCCCCCAACATGCCATCAAGATTGCTCTTGCTGTGATACCAAAGAGGTATTTGAGTTGACAAATGCAGGGGACATTTTTCATTCTTGACCTTACTTCATGTCCTGGCAGTATTTAGCATGCTGTCTCCAAACACTTGCACCCTCCTGCCATTTTCCTCCTAAGTCCTTGGGCACTCTTTTAGGTGTCTAATGTCACCTTCTTTGCTTCTGCACAACCTCTCAAGGTCAGAGCTCTTCAGATGATCTTGTGAACCCTCTGCTTTTCCCACTCACTCTTCTAAGCTGAGTAATGCAGGCATCAAGTGCAATCCATCAGTCGATGACTCCCAACTTCTAGCTCTGGTCCAGACTTACCATCATATGGCCCCAGACTGGTTTATCTAACTGCTCACAAAATACCTCAAGTTGGGTGTCTCAGAAACATCTTCAAACTTGACATATCTGTAACCAAACACTGATCTCATCCTCACCATCTCTTAAACCCTCAAAATGTTGTTTTTTTTCTCAAGTGGCCCCATACCCCATCTAGATGTATGATAAAGTATATATAATATATTTGCCAATTTTACATTTTGTCATTTGATTTTTAATTCTTTCAACTTATTCCTTTAATTGCTGAATTATATTGCAAGTTTTCCTTGCAGTGTCAAAATCTCTCTTAAGAATGAATTCTACTAATAGCTATAAATACTTCCATGGAGTGATCTTCTTTGCTTCCTATCACTCGATTTAAATATGTTAAAACCACAATATTTTCAACTAGTGATTATATCCTTCAGATTTATATAATGTATTTACCGTATTCCAGAGGTCATTGCATCTTTAGTTTCATCCTTCCTTTACCAGTATTTCCAGAGTTTAATTTGTACAAGCTATAAACAATGTGAAATACTGAGGCATCTGCCCTTTTTAGTGTTGAGAAATTACTTAATATCCCAAAAGTTTATGCACATTAAGATCACCACCATTTTTACTTTTTGATCTGGTTTATTTTTATTTATGTAGCATTCTTTTAAATATCCATATTTATTTATGTAGCCAATAAAGCAAAAGCGAATCAATTTAACAAATTAGATTCCCATAGACATTTAAACATTGAGTACACACCTAATCAAATAATTTTAATCATTTCATTAAAATCACAGTCTGATAGATCTGATTTTCTTCATGCTTTAAGCGCCATACAAAGCAGACAAAACAAGCACAGGTAATGTTACAATTGTTATAATTAGATTGGTTCACTCAGGCTAAGGAGGTCAAAAGTGCTAATACCTGTAACTTCATGATGTCTCTTCATTATCTATATTCTTATTCTCTCTCATTCATTTTTAGAGCTCTCTTTCTTGTACATTTTTATCAGTTTTACTAATTGTACATGTGTGGAGTGTTTCAGTAAACTCACGCAGCCTGGAGACAAAGAAGAAGCATTTTAGATTGCCCAAGGTTGAAAGATCTGGTTTACCAACAAATTTATGGTGTGGGTCATCAGAATTTTTTTCACCTTCCAGGGTGATTTTACCCAAGTTGATTACACAACAGGTGAAGTCTTACTTTTAGAGTTAACTTTGCCCTTTACATAAGGAATTGTCCATATCACTGTCTCCAACAGTTTGTCAATATCTTTTTTTTTTGGTAGCCCTACCTTTGATCCCAAAACATCTATTGGTCTGGACATCTCATCCTAGTACAAATCAATCTAAACTTACCTGTTTCATGCCTACCTTCATTTTCAGACTGGAGGGAGTGTTCTCTGCCATTGCTTGTTCTGAAGGAGACCTGGCCAAAGCTAGTTACATCTAACTGTTTAGTTCATATGGCTCTTGGAAATCATTGCTCATCCACCATTTAGTCCTAAGTATTGACGCTATTGCCATTATTCTTATGAGATTAGGAATCCTAGTGTTTGATCTCTTCCATTGTCACATGCCTATGATTATTCCTCACATGTAGTCCTGTACTGTTCATGTTGAAGTATTCCCAGTTCTAGTTCTGTGAGTTTGTCCAAATTTCTTGATGGGGATAAAAAATAAAATTACAAAGTTTCTTTTGATAGCCATCTGTCCTGCTTGAGAAATAGTATCTGAACACCCTCTCAGACTATCACCAGCTGTGACTTTAGAACTATATTTGTCCCTTGGAAATAAAAGCAGGTGTTTTACATACCATAAATATAGTTAGACAGATGGAATGTTTAGAATAAAGAAAAACACTCGAAAACAAGACTCCATTATCTTGTTCTTCCTGAATAATCTACGACTATCAGTAGAAGGTGATTTATGGGAAAACAGGCATGGAGAAGTGAAAGAAACAAACTTTTATTTATGGTGTATAACAAAATGTTGAAAATAAATGAATACATAATGATACAAAGAGGAGTTAATGCAAAGACTTGAATTACTCTACATAGGCATTAAATTTTTATATTATACTTAGTTTTTGTACTTCCTAATGTTTTTTGATTATGGTGACATTTTTAGAATTGACCTATCTCCCCACACTTGATGAATACTCTTATTAAAAGCTCTGTTTGCATTTGGCAGATTTGTCAGATAAGCAGCCTTATTATTATATCATTCATGACACCAGATAATCTGCAGTAACATTCATAGAAATATTATATTCCTGAAATTTTATAGAGAAAAAGTCACTTAGTTTTACAATTGTTTTCTACATGCAAAGCATTTCCAAACTGTGATTTGAGCTGAAGTATTTTCTTTTCAGGGTTATTTTAGAATGAATAAGCTTTTGAGCCTGACAACATGGGGCAGATTGGTTTTAGATGGGTTTACTTCTTCTAAGCAAGACAGGAGTCAGGTATATGTATGTCTATATATGGCTGTCAAGCCACCCATTGAGATTTGGGTTTTCAATGGGCGGCAGGCAAATACCCAACTATTTTCTACTACATGGATTCTGAGTGTTTTTAGAAACTTCACATCTGGCAGCACATTTAAAAAATTCTGTGTATGTCTTAATGCCAAATGGTGATGCATATTGAAAATCAAAGTGTATATGTGCTTAAAAAACAACAAAAAAAGCACCTTCCAATCAGTCCATCATATTCACATGTTAGGAGTATTAACTGTTCTTCTTTGGTGTGTATTCCTTTGTATGTAGGTACACAGATGCAAAAGTGTATCTTTTTTTCTTTCTAGTACAAAAATAGATTTGGTTCATACTTTCTATAAGGTATGTACTCATCTGCAACTTTCTCTTGTGTTTTTTCCTACTACTAGGTAGTACACCACAGGAACCATTGGTTTTAACAGATTGCCCATGTCTGAGTACACTAAAACTCATATGATCATTTCCTACATGTGGTCACTTAGATTCTCTTTGATCTTTGTGCATCTGTCTTTGCACACTACAAATATTTCCACGGGATATTCCTCTACAGGTAGCATCACTGGCTCAAAGGCATACGCAATTAAAATTCTGAGACATTCTAGGCAATTGCCCTTCAAATAAGGCTGTACCAAGATATACTCTCTCAACATTTTTTGAGAACATTTTCCTCCACACCTTCAATAACTGTGGATAGTGTTAATATTTTCAAATTTTGAGGATCAGGTTGGCAGAAATACACAAACAGAAATATACCGTGTTTAATTTAGAAAACATATTAATCTTAAGTTGGGTTGGTTTTTATCATTTTAAGGATCGATTTCATCCATATTTGGAAACTCATGTCTTAAGCTATATCCATTAGTTGGAGTCCTTATTCACATGTTTCTTTGATAGTGGCGGCAGAATTATGTCTTATTATTCCTCTTCTTATTTCCTGTCAAGAGAAGAAAAACTCTTCTCCATGGTTAAGGAGTTATGAGCATTGGGAAAATACTCCCTCTACATCTTTCTGCTTCCTTCATTCATGTCTATGCAAGAGAGAAGGCGGGCGTTTTCTCAGTGGTGTTCTCTAGGTAGATGGCAATGCGCGAGATGGCCCTGGACCTGGACTTGGTTCTTTCTTTCTCTTGGAATCTCATTTTGCGTTCAAACAGAGGCTTCAAAATTCTTGCACAGAAGGCTTACCTCCTTTCAGTTTTCTTTTCTATTCATGAAATATGAAAGGAAGGCTGTAGTTTTTCATGCATCCAGCTTGGTAACTGGGGTTAAAACTTGCTTTGCTGGTGCCATTTCCCCCAAGATGGACTCTAGGGCCTAAATGGAGGAGAAGGGAAGTTGCAAGGGTAGAAGACCTTTTAAGCCCAATTTATTCTCAAACACATAACACATCCTACGGTTTGTAGGTAGAGAGTTGACGCAAATCTTTACATGAGTTCTTACATCTGAGCGTAAGTAACTAAGAGAGGAAGAGAAATATGCTGAAGTAGCACTCCAAGTCTTCAAACTATTTGTGTTGAGAAAAAGAGTTGGTGTGTTCGTGTAAAATTAATTTGACTTGGTAAATTTTACTGTATGGAATTTCTTTGCTTCTCCGAAGGATATCAGACTGGGGGGAAGTGTGCAGCACTGCTTCACAGATCATGTATATAATCTAAAATTATAAGCACAATGTGATATTTGAATTATCGTTTCCAATTTGAACTGTAGTTCTAAGATGAAGAGGATAAGGAATAAGTTTTATATGACAAGGAACAGAAAAGTTGTCAAAGTTTCCAAAGCTTTTGTAAAATCTGAAGACAAACATTGGATAAGAATGCTAAACTTCCATGTACACAGATGTTTCTCACAGAATGGGCTAATCTTACAGTAAATTTGCTACACTCTCTGCATAATACTAAAACACACAACTCAGAATAAAGGCAAAGTCCATATGCCAGATGTACACACACAAATAAACTTTATCAATATGGATTTAAATATTAGTCAACATTATAAATAATCAGCCTAATAATTTGATATTTGTTTAGGGTTTTTCTAAAATGAACAACTCATGGAGAAAATTATGAACAAAATTGAAAAGCAATGCTGTATCTGAGAAGATAAGAATCCCAGTTTCACTTCTAATTTAAGCATCATTCTAAGTGAAGGTAGTATCTGAAGAGGCAGAAAGGCAAACAAGAAATTCATATAATATTCCACTAATCATTCATTCATTCATTCACTCACTTGCTATACGTGAATGAAAGGCCAACACAAGAGTGCATTCCAACTGCAATTAATAACCATGTAGAGGACGTTTTGGGTGCAAATTTTTAAGATCTGATGGGAAAACAGAGTGATCAAGGCCACACACAAATTTAGAAAATCTTAGATAATTATACTCTTTTCATTAAAATACAACAAATAAGCTTTCTTCCTTCAGAGCATGTTAATGATACTAAATTAGAAATTAAGAAAATTCTATAATCAATGATGATTGCCTTCTCTTGCTCACTAGATCTATTTACAAATTTTCTTTCCCTACAGCTTTAAGTCAATGGTTAGAAGTTAGTGTCTTTCATGGGTGTATTAGTCTATTTTCACACTGCTATGAAGAAATATCTGAGACTGGGACATTTATAAAGAAAAAGAGATTTAATAGACTTACAGTCCCACATGGCTGGGGAGGCCTCACCATCATGGTGGAAGGCAAATGAGGAGCAAAGGCACATCTTTCATGGTGGCAGGCACGAGAGCATGTGCAGGGGAACTACCCTTTATAAAGCCATCGGACCTCATGAAACTTATTCACTATCATGAGAACAGCATGGGAAAAACCCACGCCCATGATTCATTTACCTCCCACCAGGTACCTCCCACAACATGTGGGGATTATGGGAGCTACAATTCAAGATGAGATTTGGGTGGGGACACAGCCAAACCTTATCAATGGGGAATGATGCTCTTCTGTGGAACACGTTTTTGTTTGTTTGTTTTTGTTTTCCCCTGAGCCAAATGTTCCTTGTCTTTCTGATTTTATGACTTGCAGTTGTTAATTATGGTCTGCTGATTCCTACTATTGTCCTAGAAGAGTTCTGTGGATGCTTAAAATGGATGAACAAGCAGAAACTTTATTTAACCTACTCAGTCTGCAATCCTAAACTGTGTTCTAGGCTTAGCACTGCCAATTTAGCACTGAACACATATACTCTCAGTCTCTCTTATTTGGGTCTGAGCTCTTTCCCTTCTCCCAGGCATAGAAAGATAGTTCTAAAACCTGGATTTACTTTACCTTATCATGTGATACCTATTCCAAGTTTTATTCTAAAAGTCCACTTCTGTTCAGGCTTTTCTTTTATTCTTTACCTACCCCTCTTATGATTCAACACCTGACTTGGTTACTTCTTTTTCCAGTTGACTTGGGTAAGAGTGACACCAACTGTATTGAAATTTTCTTCATTGCTAAAAAGTCATGTGTACATTTAAAAAAGATAAATCTTCAGGGTAAGGATGGATTACACTACATGTCATATGCACTACATCAGGTGTAATTGGGTGAGATGAGGGTACCCTAATAGTGATATACCAGTACTCAAAATGATGAGCTATATTAAACACAGTCCTGGAATACAAAGTGGTAATACAAGTATCGTTGAAGGCAAAAGAGTCTTGAGACAAGGGAATAGGAGAGCTTCTTTGCATGGGCGGCCGGGTAAGCACTATGTGCAATAAGATGCCTTGTAAAGAAGCTGAGAAGATCACTCTGTGCTGAAGAAAGGGGGTGTATGCACAAACATATTTAGAAACAGAAGGTTTGCTAATGTGGAATTCATTTATTTGAAGCATCTTTTAAATGCACAGTAGTGAAAAGTGGAAGATTAGATGAGGGCATGTCCTGGAAACAAACTTGCATTCCTGTGACAAAGGAATTTGTAATGACTCTTTGGCGACGGAACAACATTGACCATTTCTGAGTGTGGAAGGAGGAAGGTGTTAGAACTGTATTGGAGGAAGGTGTCATAACTGTATTTCAGGAAGATGAATATGAATTCACTGAGTGGGAACAAGAAATGACTTAAGAAATCATATTTAGAGATGATTTTATCATTCTCTGATGGGATTAGAAGGTTCTGAATTGAAGTAATGGTGGAGAAAAGAGAAATCGTTGAATTTCCAGGAATGCTAGCTGGGTCATTCAAAACAATTTCCTTTCTGACTGAAAGTAATTTTTAAAAATCTGAATAAAATATGATTTTAAAGTATCTTTAAAAGATTCAAGAGTTTGCAAAGACTCTAAAGAATTGCCAGACCAGTAGTTTTGGAGAAAAGCCTAAAGCAAGAGGAATTAGGTAAATATTGGGACTTTCAAACTGCTTTGACTCAGAGAGGATTGGCTAACACCACAAATATGGGTTTGGATTTGGGTGGAGCTCTTGCCCTGTGAAGGGGACAGATGTCTGGGTGCAAGAGCTCCCCAGTATCGCGGTCTTATGGGAGACACTATAACTTTAAGTATAGGCATCACATGAATGTAAACCAGAATTAAACGTCTCCATTCTACCCCCAGCTCCAACCTCAGCACTGTGGAGTGGGCTGCTTTGACCCTATTTGCAGAAGATACGAGGAAGAAAATGATTAACAACAACAAGTCCTTGAGACAGTGTGGCCTAGAGAAGATGGATTTGCTTTTATGTATATTAAATGTGGGAATTGTAGACATTTCATTGAAAATAATCCAATTGGGAGCTTTGGAGAAAGGTTAGCATTGAGGATGGCAATTTGGTATGTGTTGTCCTGGAGGTGATAGAGCTATGACAGTGCAAGAGGTTTCCAGTGGAGTGGTGGTGGTGGTGGTCATGGAAGAAGGGAGTGGTTCAGGAGGAAATAAATAGACCTAAAGATGTGACAGTGAATGCAAAGCTAGAGTCTAATGATGTGATAATGGGTGGAATGATGGGGTCTAAGAAGACAGGGTGTCTGTCTCAGGTTCTTGCAGAACTCCCCCCAGCCCAGGGATTCAAGTTCAAGGAATATAACAGGGAAGCTTTCTCAGGCAAAATCATGAAGAGGCAAGCAGGGAAGGAAATGAGACAAGCAACTGCCAGATGAGGGGATTGATCAGGAGGAGCCTGCAGCAATGGAATCACAGAAATACAGTCAGGGCTCATGGGACACAAAGAGACCAATGGTGTCAGGTAAATAATAAGGGAAGTAGCAGGAAAATCGAGTGGGCTCATTTGATGCCAAACGGGAGGGAACAGAATGGTCAATTCCTTGGAGATACCAAAGATGTGAGAATGATGTAACCAGCATAAATTCATAAGATGCCTCAGAGAAAGCAGCTTCAGGAGAGCACTGGGAGAAGAAAGTGACTTTAAAAGGGGGGCAAATGAAATGGCAAGAATTCTTAAATAGATACAGCAAGGCAGAGCTCTCAATTGGACTGTTTAGCATGAAGTGGAGTGGCACAAAGGTTCTGTCTTGACGGGAGATTTGGGGAAGAATTGTTCTCCACAAAGGACACCTGAGTATGTTTGTATATTAGTCCATTCTCACACTGCTAATAAAAACATACCCGAGACTGGGTAATTAAAGAAAAAGAGATTTAATGGACTCATAGTTCCACATGGCTGGGGAAGCCTCACAATCATGGTGGAAGGCAAAAGAGGAGCAAAGGCACATCTTACATGGTGGCAGTCAAGACAGCATGTGAAGGGGAACTGCCCTTTATAAAACCATCAGATCTCATGAGACTCATTCACTATTATGAGAAAAGCACGGGAAAGTCTCGCCCCCATGATTCTATTACCTCCCACCAGGTCCCTCCCATGACATGCGGTTGTGGGAGCTACAATTCAAGGTAAGTTTTGTGTGGGGACACAGCTAAACCATATCAGTTTGTCATCAAAGAAGACTGGCAATAGCTTACATGCATAGAAAAGTTCCCAAAATTTCACACTTTTAGACTGGAAATCATTCTTATTAAACAGCATTCTGTAAGAGCTACAGCTTCTCACATTTTGTCTGTTCCAGGAACTAGAGTATTGATTGCAACAGGAGGAGGGGGCATGCTTTGTTCTAGGGAAGTCTGTCTGAAAAATTGTGGGAAGATCTCAAAACATGATGACATCCACAGAACAATTACAGGAAAGGACTCTGCACACACTCTGGATTTACAGCTTTGTAAAGTATACTTTTAACTTAAGCATATTGTGTAAAATCCATGAATGATGTAATATCTTTACATAACTACCCATCATATTCTCCCACCCACCCTCCTTTCTTCTCTCCCTCTCTGCTTACCTCCTTCTCTCCCTACCTTGCTTCCTGTACAACAGGACCAAGTTTCCTGTTAGTCAATAGCAACAGATGGCACATGCCTCCTCTAACCCCACAATGAGATGGACAGGGTATGGTCCAGCCTGAGGTGCTGGAGCATGCCTGCTAGCAACTGTAGCCCAAAACATTTCTCATGTGATGGCTCTACTAGAAGCCCAGTTGAGGGAGTCTTCCAAGGAAATAAGTCCCTCATACTGGGACCAAAAAGACTAGGAGCACATTACCACCAGCCCCTTCTAGTTCTCTAAGTCTGCTGGACTCTTAGCTCCCATATCTGGATGCTGGTTTAAGCTCTGGCATCCAAGCAAGCTGAATTCCTGCTACCCCTATGTCTGTTCTCCAGTGATAGAGTTTCTCTGTACCGGACTCCTGCTTTCTCTGACCTTTGTCACTAGTTGCCTGGTGTTTTTATCTCTGCCAGTCCCTGGATCCACACTTTCTTGAATAACACATTAGATTTCAGGTGTTGCTGAGATTTTTGCTTCTGTGCTGAGTCTGGCCCATGTCTAGCTTCAGATCAAGCTTAGAACTCACATCCTCACACGCTCTAGCACCTCCCTTAATAAAAGCAGATACCTCATTTTGCTTCATTCTTGTTTTCCAGTATAGCCTGCCCTGAAACTGCCTAAATTAATTTGCATTCTTTTGAAGTCTATGAGCTTGTCCACCATTAATTTTTCCCCACAAGTACGAACACATCATTTCCGTTATTGGAACATCCCATTGAAAAGTAATCAAAGCCAAACAACCAGTTTATGTGAATTGTGTTTTTCCTTTTCAATTGACAAGGGATGTTGACATTCTGTAGTTTTTCCCAGTTTATAAACCACAAAGCAGTCACAGTATATAATAATATGTTTCTTACTTATTTCTCCACAACCTTGCCTACAATGGCTATTAGTTGAATTTGTAACCCAATAAGCAGAGGGGAGATAGGGCAAGTGTGAACAATTGATATTATTTGTAAAGTTCACTTATCCAAAGTAAATAAAATTCCATTTAATACACAGCTGAAGAAGAACTCACAAAGATTTACATATATTATTAATCTAATCACATCCTTTATCCAGTCAAATAGAGCATGAGCAGATTTATTTTGATTATATTTGTATTCACGTATTCAAGAAGTATTGAAGTTGCTAGGATCTGCGTGTGTTAAACAAGATGAACAAGGTTCTCATGGAGCTTACATTTTCTGAGAGGTGAGGGTAGGAAGATTTCAGAGGATAAAAAATATGAGAAAAGGGGAAAAAAATATTCCTAATGGCAGAATTACAAGAAAAAATTCTAACATAGTGGTTCTCAACTGGGACAGTGTCACTCCCTGGGGGATATTTGACAATGTCTGGAGTCATTTTTGGTTGTTATACCTGGAAGCGGACTACCACTGGCTTCCAGTGGGTAGTAGAGACCAGGGATCCTTCTCAACATCCTCCAATGCACGGGTTAGCCCCCACCACAAAGAATTATCCAGAGACAAATGTCAGTAGTGCTGAGTGGGAGAAACTCTGCTTTCACACTTGACTTATGTAAATGATCTTTCTCTCTTTTTTTAATTTTTATTTTTATTTTAAGTTCTGGGGTACATATACATGATGTGCAGGTTTGTTACACAGGTAATCATGTGCCATGGTGGTTTGCGGCACCTATCAACCCATCATGTAGGTATTAAGCCCCTCTCACACATATAACATAGATAGTATCACTGCTTTGTTATTTACACTATTCAATTTGAATTTAACAAATATTGTTCAAATGATCCCTTGAAAAGAATCGTTCTTATTTTATAGATTTTCTAGATTTATAAATAAAAACAATATTTATAAGTTTAATTTAAAGGGGCTAAAAGAAGCCACATTTTGGCTGGGCGCGGTGGCTCATGCCTGTAATCCCAGCACTTTGGGAGGCTGAGGCGGACAGATTGCCTGCGCTCAGGAGTTTGAGACCAGCCTGGACAACACGGTGAAACCCCGTGTCTACTAGCATACAAAAAATTAGCCAGGTGTGGCAGCGTGCGCCTTTAGTCCCAGCTACTTGGGAGGCTGAGGCAGGAGAATCGCTTGAACCCGGGAGGAGGAGATTGCAGAGAGCCGAGATCGTGCCATTGCACTCCAGCCCGGGCGACAGAGCGAGACTCCCTCTCAAAATAAATAACATAAATTAATTAATTAATTAAAAAAAGAAGCCACATTTTAAAATTTGTAATTTAATACAGTCAACATTAAGTTCAAATCAGTAGTGTTTGTAAGATTTAAAATTGCATGTTTCTTTTTTCTCAAAAGAAAGGGAGTCTATCTTTAAGATTTTTTTTTTCTTTTACAATATACAATGATCCTGGTTTCCTTTCACAAAATGCCTTCTTGAAGAAGAGATGTGACTTTCAAAACTTCATAGGGATGATCACCACCATCATTTAATTGAAGATGGACCAATTCCAAGGTGCTATTTTTTTCAGAAACACTCTTAAGAATCTGTCTTTGTGACATTTGAAAGTGGGAGAAAGTCTTAGAAGCTTGCAGGGTCTCTGCTGTGTTGGAATCTTGTATAACTGGCTTTCCAGGTCAGTTGCAGTGTCATTTGTATAGTTAAATGAGCAAATTATCAGAGCAGATGCATCAAGGGAAATGTTACTTTCTGGAGTGTACTGCCAAACATAAATTTCAGATTCATTACTCTCTGCAAAATAGAACTGAATATACTAAGTCTTGATGATGTAGACTGCGATTGAATTATATTAAATTGCCAATAAAATTGTGAAAGTTCCCTAGCACTCTAGACAATATTTGATCACTTGGAGGATCTTCTCGAAGGCTATCCTAACTGTTTTTCCTTCCTCAATGGCAGCCACCTGCCAAGCTCTGCATTTAAATTGTCTTTGTCTTCAGAAGCAGCCTTCTCTCTTTTTTCCTTTTTAATGGACAAGTCTGAAACTAGTGCTGTGTCTCAAAAAGAAGCAACTAATTATAGTGCTGTATATTCATAACTTTTTTATGTTCTGTTCTATCCTTTTTATATCTTTAATTACATTTAAGTGTTTTAGGAATCTGTTCTGTATCATAATCAAACATCATCTCGCCTTGTGTGTCTATTCCTCTTTTACATCCAGATTTCTAAAATGTCTATGCTATTTTTATGTCTTTATCTCCATCCTCTCTAGTTTTCCTATATGAAGAGATATGTTTCAATGGTTTGTCTGCCAGTTGCTACAAACAGGCCGGTCATATGGGTTACCCAATTAATCATATTTATTCTCCCACAGAAAATAAGAGAGGGAGCAGTCACAAGAGCCCAGACAAACCAAATCCTAATCTCAGCCACTTACAAGTCACTTAACCTCCTGAACTCAAATGTATTTATCAGCCAAATGAGTACAAAATTTACTTGAAGTTGCTAAGAGGATTGCCTACACAGGGAGTGATGGCGGCATAGGAAATGTCGGTTTCCTTTCCTACAAAAATACTGGATTCAGGCTCTTCCCCCAAGCAGATGCACCAACCACAACAGACCTGGTTTCCTTTATCCATGACCCATAATCCTATCAGTGCCTTTGTAGATTTGTCAAGGAAAATGCCATGTGGACATGTGGGGACCAAAACACCAATCAATCTCTATTTCAGAACTTGATTAGCCATGTAGATATTACTCTTGAAGTCACCTTGGCATAAGAACCACAGGAGAAGAACTGAACTGAAAAATAGGTTTAAAATTCTTTCAAATATAACATGATTCATAACAGCGGAGGTTTTTGTGAGCCTGCAGAACTCTAAAGCTTTTGTTTGTTTGAAAAAATATATGTAGGCTGGGCACGGTGGCTCACGCCTGTAATCCCAGCACTTTGGGAGGCCGAAGCGAGCAGATCATGAGGTCAGGAGATTGAGACCATCCTGGCTAACACGGTGAAACCCTGTCAAAAAATTAGCTGGGCGTGGTGGCGGGCGCCTGTAGTCCCAGCTGCTCGGGAGGCTGAGGCAGGAGAATGGCATGAACCCGAAAGGCAGAGCTTGCAGTGAGGGGAGATTGAGCCACTGCACTTCAGCCTGGGACACAGAGCGAGACTCTGTCTCAAAAAAAAAAATATATATATATGTATATATATGTATGCATTTACAAGTGGTATCAAGTGGTATGAGGGATGAGGGATTATCACAGAGAGAAAGCATACCTTTGTATATAAGCATATATTCTTATAAAAGCAAGAAACATCTTCAAATGTTGCTTCAGGAGGTAGATGGAGCTGCTGGCAAACTAGTCAAACTCACTCAGCATAAATACAAGAAACATTTCAAGAAGTAAAAGAGCAACTTTACTTAGGTGAAAAGTTTCTGACAAAAGTCAGAGAAACTAAAAGCACATTTCCCCTTAAATTTTTAAAAAATTTTACAAGTGGAGATTTCACATAATCCGTTAATGTCTTGTATTACCTTTAGGTGGGTATTAGCAATATACATGGGGGAAATGTCCCTGCTTAATCTTGATTTTTGCTTTTGTCCTCCAGCCCTGTAGAATTGTACCAATTTGCATACTATCCTACACCATGTGTCAAAAGAGGCGAAGAAAATGCCACGGCTTGTATTACCTGACAAGGCCACTGTTTTGAAGCTCAGCGGCGTTGCTACCAACAGGGACTTTTCCTATAATGTAACGGAATGAATCAATAGATTTGTTTGCGTCATTTGTCAAAACTTCAGGTCTAAATAATAATATTCCATAATATAATAAAGACAGCATGCCAATAAGAAGTAAACATGGGGATTTATAATATTTAAAAATTACATAAATAGTTTTGACAGGAATTAATGTTTTAAAACCACAGACTGGTTGTGTATCCATGTATATGTAAACCCACAGAAGGGAATGCTTTGCAAAGCACTGCATAAAATAATAAAATTATTGATTAAATGAAAAAACTCAATGATGCCTAAAGAAAGTCATTACCAAGGAGTCTTTCTGTGAACTTCAGACATGTGTTTCATTTCATTACCACTAACAAAAGAAAATAATGAAATATGATGCAAAATAATTAAGCTTTTTACCTTTTATTTCTATCTAGATGGGAAATAAATTTAAGCCAGCAATGACAATAAGCAATGAGTAGAACTCAAAGCTTTTCAAATTATTCTAAAATCTTGAGCTTGCAAAATTGGTATAGTAAATTTCTTTTTAAAAATTGGACTATCTCAGCTGTGTGCTGTGGGTTTCAAAGAAGTTCCAATACAGCTGCATTGTACAAATGGTGATTCCACCCTGAAAGAATTATTCTTTTTACTTGACCACACCCATTACTGCGTTGCTGTGTGGATTCTAAAAATATGCATATTAACACGTACCAATGTGCCAAGTGAAATACATAAATGGATACAACCAAACAAGACACGTCATGATACAATGATCTCTAAGGTTGAAGCGCATGAGATAGTAAAATGGAAACCATGATTTGATCAGACACTGAAAGCACTTTGAATATAAAGTAAATATCAGTATTTCAACCAAGGAATGTGCATGCCAATATGTTTTCTCTTTGTCTAGTTTTCTCTTTTTAAAAGTCGAACTGGATTATCTCATCAACTTGCTGTCAAAATTAATATACATCGAATGATAACAACTGCATTTAGTGTTTTGGTTGATATTTGAATTGTTTAAATCACCCTAGGAAAGGTTACTAAGAAGTCTTTATATTTTGTTTTCACAATCTGAAATTGGTTTTAAGTAATTTGACTTAGTTTCATCTTTATAGAAATCATATAAAAATGAATGTTTCAAGTCTTTGCCTAATTCATATGACTAAAGAAAGTTAAAAATAAGACAAAACAAAACAAAAACCTCTAAAATGGAACAAAGTTTGATTTGCTCAAACATTTGATACTAAAATATGTCAAGGACAAAATTTGAAAGCACTCTTCAATTAAGATAAAATGTCAATGGAGCTATTCCCATCATGAATATTTATGAGGTGAATGATAAAGCATCCATGTGTATCTGAAATGCACTCACAACATGTTTTTTGAAGTACAAAGATACTAAATTGTTTGACATACTTTTTCTGTCATTGACAGAACAAGTCAGCAGAAATTGACAGAACAAGTCAGCAGAAATACATAAAAATGTGGAGAATTTGAGCAATATGACCAATAATGTTGGTTAATAGATGCAAATTAATTAAAGTGCTCTTTCCGTTTTAGCAAGTATATACATGTTGCTTCCCCAAAAGGATCATGTTAGGCAATAAATAATTTATACTAAGCTTTAAAATAATAATAATAATTTTGAAAATATTCTTTCACCTAAACACATGGAAATACACACATACGCAAAATTTGATAACATTTGGTAGCAATGATATTACTGTCCCCACAAGAGCAGCAGCAAACTCTGACAACTGGGAAATTAGCTTCACTTACCCAAATAAGAGGATGTTAATTACCCTCAGAGAGGAAGCCCAGAGCCTATTAAAATTTGCCCCCTCCCCTTCTTTCCTATCATACTATACTAACCTCAGCCATTTCCTTCAAAAACTCTTATCTGAAGTATCTTTTTAAATTGTTTAGAATAGTTTTAGGTTCACAGCAAAGTTGTACAGAAAATAGAGTTCCCTATACCTCCTGCCCTGACACATGCCCAGCCACCCCAACATTGACATATTATTATCATCCAAAGCCCACACTTTAGGGTTCACTCTCGGTGTTGTACATTCTATGAGTCTTGACGAATGCATTATGTTGAAAGACTATCTTTTCTCCATTGCATTGCCTTTGCTACTTTGTCAAAGAACATTTGGCTGTGTCTATGGGGCTCAATTCCTAAGCTCTCTATGCTGTTTCCTTCATCGATTTGTCTGTTCTTTTGCTAATATCACACTGTCTTAATTGTAAAGCATCTTTTTATTCATGCATTTATTTAGATTTTGACTATTTCCCCAATCTTATCTACTGTATCTTGTTCAGTGCATCAACAAATAAATATTTTTAAATAAATAAATAGGGTTAAAGAGGAAAAGGAAATAGCAACTATGTCCATTTAGAAGCATGCTGAAACTGGAGCGTGTTGGGCAAACAGGACAGTGGCACTTGGTGGCATTGATGATCAGAAATTACTAAATATTGAAGTGCACAGAATATGGTTAATGTGTATGCAGAGGCAAGTTCATACTCACAAAAGTTTTCTACGTTAAACAAAGAAACAAAAATACATTCACTATTCTTTCAACTTACTTGGCTACAAATAGGAAAAGAAAACTGGACAAAACTCAAAAGCACAGTGAACTAATATAAATAAATGTGTGAATTAATGAGTTAGGAGAAAACCTGAATCTTTGAAAGGAAACCATAAATGGCAAATTAAAATAAATGTGACAGCTGAAGATATAACCTATTTCTCTGCTCCTGACACAAGAAAGCAAAAAATAAACAAGGAAAATGTAAGAAAATCATAAAGATCACTATATATTATACTGTGTGGCATAAACTCTACTTATTGGATAACTGACTTTTCACAATTTGGTTCATCTAATGCAAAATTCTCCTAAGGCAAATTATTGCTTTTGCATATGCCCAGTTTGCCAAATTTGCCAAAAACATGTTTAAGGAAAATTCATCTTAAATATAGTGAATGAAGTTGAATTAATTTTTCTCATTTAGTCTTTCTTAATGAAGGGTCTTTACCTCAACCATACAATATAAAAATAATTTTAATAATGTTTTTTAGAACTAGTAGTGGCAGATGCAGAGAAGAAAAGTCATTGCTGGAGGGATTAATTCTCTCCAAGAATCTGCTTTGAAAGGAGCTACATGGACTTATCCACGTTTCATGGGTATATTCTTCTTCCATATCATTGAAGAATAAATATTTAACCCTAAAGGGTTTAAGTAAATTCACATTAAAACAATAGAATTTTTCATCTATGCAAAAATGACATTTGAATATTGAGTATTGTTTATCATGTTGGCTATTATATTTTAGGAGTGTTATTTATTTAAATCCTTTTCAATCCTTTAATCCACCGAAAGTACTTCTGAAACATGTAAAAAATATGATATAAATACACAAAATGCATACTGAGGGACTGAAAAACAATTTGCTTACAATAATAAAGATCAAAACATGGCCATTGACACTGGTGTAAATTTCTTGAGGTGGTAAGTACTTGCAATCACAATACTCTCATCATCCTTGTGAGGTAGGTGTGATCATCTCTGCTTTCTACAGAAAATATGTGGGAAGAAAGATCATCAGAGTGGATAAAAAATACTCTACATTTAATCTCACAAAGCAGTAGCAGAGTGAGCATTTGAATCCCAGTCTCCGTAACTCCATCCCCACCTTGATTACTCTCTATACTGTCAAACTAAGAATAAGTCAAGGATATAATCAAGACTGTCATATGAGACCATTTTAAATACAAATAGGCAGGCAGAGTCTGTACATAAATGCATAGAAGCATCTTTACAGAGAGCTATTGAATATGCATAGACTAACTGTCCACCAATAGATGTAAGGATAAAGAAAATGTGGGATTTATTCACAATGGAGTACTATTTGGCCATAAAAAAGAATCAGCTCTTTTCATTTGCAACAACATTGATGGAACTGGAGGTCATTATGTTATGTGAAATAAGCCAGGCACAGAAAGATAACTATCACATGTTCTTATTTATTTGTGGGATCTGAAAATTAAAACAATTGAACTCATGAAGATAGAGAGTAGAAGGAGGGTTACCACAGGCTGGGAAGGGTAGTTGGGGGGTAGGGGAAAATGGGGATGGTTAGTGAGTACCAAAAAATAGTTAGAAAAGATGAATAATCCCAGCACTATGGGAGGCCGAGGCGGGCGGATCACGAGGTCAGGAGATCGAGACATCCTGGCTATCATGGTGGAACCCCGTCTCTACTAAAAATACAAAAAATTAGCTGGGCGCGGTGGCGGGTGCCTGTAGTCCCAGCTACTCGGGAGGCTGAGGCGGGAGAATGGCATGAACCCGGGAGGCGGAGCTTGCAGTGAGCCCAGATTGTGCCACTGCACTCCAGCCCGGGAGACAGAGCAAGACTCTGTTCCAAAAAAAAAAAAAAGAAAAAAAAAGAAAAAATGAATAAGACCTAATATTTGACAGCACAACAGAGTGACTATAGTCAATAATTTAATTATGCATTTTAAAATAACTAAAATAATCTTGCTTGTAACACAAAGGATAAATGCTTGAGGGGATGGATACCTAATTTTCCATAATGTGATTATGATGCATTGCATGCCTATACCAAAATATCTCATGTACCTATGAATATATACACCTACTGTATATCTACAAAAACTTAAAACAAATTTTGAAAAAGAAAATAATAAATATAATTAACATTTTAAAATATGCCTAGGTTGTCTCTGATGACTAGTTTTGCCTTTTCCTACAGATCAGTCTAATTTGTCTATAATAAATGTTAGTCTTATGTATGTTTATATTTCATAAAAAGAGAAAACTGAAATACATAAGACCAGAAAATTAGTCTTTAAATCAATGAGCAAGATAGACAAAACTCTATAAAATACAACAAAAAGGCAAAAAAAGAGAAAATTTAAAAATTAGACCTGACAAATTGAATAGGACAGAGAAAAGATATTAAATGATTCTAAGGCAACACTACGTACAAATCCCTAAGACAAATTGGAAAATTTTAGAGAAATATCATTAGAAAATACAAATTATCAAAATTAAATGAAGAATTAAAGAAAAGTTGGAAATGTGTATAAATCAACAAAGGAAGAAATGGAAAGGCAAAACAAAAAAAAGGAAATGATATTCAAGACTCTGGGGTCACACAGATTTACTAATGAGTATATTCTAGCTTAAATAAAAAAAAATCAATCTTATGCCTTGCATGTGCACACACTCATACACAGCGGGAGCCCATTGTATTGTCAGACACTTGATCTGATGAATACAGAGGGGAAAGGCATCATACATTTCAGTGCATTTAACTCTTGCACACTTGCTTTTAACTCTTTTTCAGAAAGCTAAAATGTAGAACAGATACAAAGGGAGCTGTTCTAGTTGGAAAGGAGAATTGTGGGTGGGAGAGAAGGCGGGACAGCAAGTGGAACATCATCTGCTGTTCTCAGTTGCTTGGCAGAATCTCAGCCTTCATTAAATCCACTTCATTGCCTCTTCCACACCTGCACCTGAACAGCCATATATAGCTGGAGAAAAATTCACAGCCTAGAAGACTGGTATCTTTAAAGAAGGATCATTATCCTCAAGGGGGCTATCCCGAGTTTATTTACTTGCTTAAATACCCAGAGCATTCGGTCATCAAAATTGATTTCATGTTAACATCACCTAGGTAGTTTTAAAAACTACTGATGCTGGGGTCTCAATCCCCAGAATATTGTTATGAAATTGGTCTTGGGTGTGACCTGGGCATGCAGATTTTTAGAATAGTCTTGATTCATTCCAGTGTGCAAATTTGAGAAAAGCTGGCTTTGAAATCACTTGGAGATCTTAATAAAGTGCAGATTCTGGTTTGTTTGTTTTGGGGCGATTCTTCATTTCTAACAAGCTCCCAAGTCAGGCTGATGCTGGTGGTCTATAGACCACATTCTGAATAGCACAGACCTAAAGTCTTATTTCTCACCTGTTCCTGTCTCCTCAGAAATGTCCAATACTGTGATACGTTCTCTCTCCTATCCTCACTTTCCATGCATGACCTTGCTTCCCATTTTACTAGGAAAATCCAAACCATCAGTAGGGAGATTACACAAGCTCTGACCTCCACTCTACCCACCTACATGCCATCATGCCCACACATTCTTTCCTTCACTCTTGTGATTTCAAACCATCTTTGCTCCCATCTAATGAAAGCACCCCACGTTCACACCAGAGTGGACCTCTCTATCCCTTTGACAAGTCTCCCTCTCTCTGTCATTATCAGCTTGTCACCAAGGACTAGATCACTACATTTGGAAGCAAGCCAGAACTCTACAATACTAACAGGAAGAAAGACAGTCAGGCAGGCAGGCAGGCAGGAAGGAAGGAAGAGAGGAAGGTAGGAAGGGAGGAAAGAAGGAAGGGAGAGAGGAAGGGGGCAGGAGGGGAGGAGGGAGGGAGAGGAGGAAGGAGGGAGAGAGAGAGAGGGAGGGAGGGAAGGAAGGAAAGGAAAGGAAAGGAAAGGAAAAGGAAAGGAAAGGAAAGGAAAAGAAGAAGGAAGGAAGGAAGGAAGCAAATAAATCTCTTTCTTATCCCAATTTCTTCTTCTAAACCAGGTTTTCTTCACAACTGACCAGTGAATATGCTGTTTTTCTCAATCACCAATGATCTTCACATTGCTCCATGCAATGCCAACCTCAAACCTCAGCTGACTGGACCTACAGCATCATTTATTTGACAGTCATCATCTCTCTTCTTACCTTAGGAAGTTTTCTTGGTGTGGATGCCTCACACTCCTGTTCTTTTCCTTCTACCTCCCCTGTTGTTTCTTCCCAGACTCCTTTATTGATTTATCCTTATCTACGCAACCTTTAAATGTTATTGTGGTCCAGCCTTACCCTTTGAATGTTTCCATTTTCATATCTATACACAGTCCCATCCTGGTCTTATCTAGACTAATGACTTGAAATCCTATTTGTCTGCTGGTAACAAAATTTTTATCTCCAATTTGTACCTCTCACCTGAACTCTAATTTTGTGCATCCAACTCTTCCTTAATAGTTCTACACAGTTGCTAATATTCACCTCAATCTAACATGTCAAAACCAGAAGTCATCACCACAACCAAAAATTAAAACAAAACAAAACAAAACAAAAATGGAAAAAGAAGAAAGTAAAAATCCCTTCTTCCCTTGCAGTGTTTTCCATGTTAATTAATGTCAATGACTCAATTGAAGACTCAGGAATTATTTTTGAGCTCTTTCTGTCCTTCCCAACCTACATCTGATCTTTCAGGAAATCTTATAGAGTCTGTCTTCCAAGTACAAGCAGAATCTGACCACTTCTTCCCACTTTCTCTCCTACCTTCTCTAAGCCATCTCCATTGTACCCTGGAGGCACAGCATTCACATTTTAGCTGGATTCCTGATTCCAATGTTTCCCCTTGTAGACTACTATTAACACATAGGCAGAGAGACACTGTTCTATGATAGAATGTATCATGCCAGCCTCTGTCTGCTCCAGCTTTCCAGGAATTCCCCATTTCCCTGGCAGTAAACATCAATGTCCTTACAAAGATCTGCAAGGCCCCACATGACTTCCCTCCCACCACTTTATTACTCTTTCTCCCTTTATCATTCTAATCCGGCCAAAATAAGCTTCTTGCTGATCCTTGAACACTCCAATTGCCCTTCTAAGGCATGGGCAATACCTGCTTCCACTTCCTCTCCCCAGAATACCCTCCCCCCAGGCAACCAAATGGCTGGGTGTTTCACCATCATCAAGGTTGTATGAAAAATGAACTTCTCAATGGCTCAGTCAAGTAGGCAGTAATACCCTTCCCCAAGTATTTCTCAATACTTGGGATTTACATTAAGAAAAGAAAAAGTTAATGGCAATATCAGGTACTTTTTTTAAAAATGGAGAGATTCATTTTACGAGTTATTACAGCAAACTCTTTTAAAATAGTACTTCTCAAACTGAATTTTGCATCTAAAACACCAGGGGATCTTGTTAAAATGCAGATTCATATTCAGTAGACCTGGAGAGCCGACTGAGGATTTGTGTTCCTAACAGGTGCCCAGGTGATATCCATGATGCAGCTGGTCTTTTTGCCACAATTTGAGTAGAGGGTCCTCAGAGGATTTTTAAGAACTTTTAGTAATATACAGAAATACAAAAAGTAAAAAGAAGAAAAAGAAATCATCTGTGTTTTACCTATTCATAATTTGTTAGTATGTCTTGGTCAGTACAGGCTGCTATAACAAGTCACAGACAGAGTGGCTTAAATAACAAATAATTTTTCCTCACAGTTCTGGAGACTGGGAAGTCCAAGATTGAGATGCCAGCACACTCAAGATCTGATGAAAAGAACCCACTTCCTGGTTTGTAGACGGCTGTCCTCTCTATTTGTCCTCACATGTTGGAAAGAAGGAAAAGAAGAAGGAAGCTACTTTGTGTCTCTTCTTATAAGGGCACTAACGCCATCCTGAGGGCACCACCCTTATGATCTCATCACCTCCCAAAGGCCCCCACCTCCAAATATCAGCCACTGGGGGTTAGAGATTTAACATATGATTTTATGGGGATATAAAATACAGTTTATAACAACTAATAACATGTTTAATATCACTGGGTTTTCTTCATCTGTAGAGATTGCACATTCCTTTAGTGCATTTATTCATTAAAATAAGTATCAAGGATATACCATGCAACACACAAGTAGTGTATTGGATGCTGAGTATCTAAAAATAAGGGGAGGATTGGTGCAGTATCTCATGTCTGTAATCCCAGAGCTTTGGGAGGCTGAGGCAGGAGGATCACTTAAGGCCCAGAGTGTGAGATCAGCATGGGAAACATGGTGAGACCCTCATCTCTACAAAAATTTTAAAATATTACCTGGGTGTGGTGGCATACACCTGTAGTTCCAGCTACTTGGGAGGGTGAGGTGGGAGGATTGCTTGAATCCAAGAGTTCAAGGCTGCGTTGAACTATAATCACACTACTGCACTCCAGCCTGGGTGACAGAGCAACACCTTGTCTCTAAAAAAATAAAAAATAAAATAAGTGAAGAATCGGCACTTCTGGTCAGAGATTTCACAGAAATATTGGACTCTCTGTCCTTTCTTTCCATTCATCTTTTCTGAAGACAGAAGGGTAACAATTCAGCATTGAGTGATAGGTGAAGAGAAGCCAAAATTCCATGTAAACATGTGGACACTGTTTAGAAAATACTGCAACTTAGCATTCCCTTCTGGACATTAACAGTCAGAAGTTTAAAAATAGCTCACGATTAACTCAAAGAACTTTGCACATAATTTCTCTGTAAAATTCAGAAACAACTTCTATTATTGATATTTCATCTGAATAATATGTAACGAGACGGCATAGACAAATTAAGTGTGAGATATAAATGATATTTCAAGAGAAGTATTTCAGAAAGTTCATTCCGAGTGAACAAACACACATCTTATAATATTTTGTTTGATTTCCTTTCTAGCAACAATTTTATTCTGCTGAGAGACAGTTCCTGTGAAACTATCTCATTATAATGATATTATATTTGTACATAAAATTGAATGTTTTGCAAATTGATAAAGGAGCTAATTCACTTCTGTGGTTCATAAAAATTTAGTATTCGAACAATGGTTTGGATTGTTGTAGGTTAGTTTTTGATATTTGTTTTGGGACGCTGCATTCAGTCGCTCCTGGCAGATTTTACATGCAGAAGAGGAAGAATGACTTACACTTACACTGCACCTTTGCTGGTCATCCCCCCACTAACTTACTCACAATGTGTTCATTGCCTGCATTTCTGCTGGGAGCCAGCTAGTGTGCTAGTCCAGCCCAAAGGATGTAAAGAGGAATAAGACACGGTCTCTACCTTTGAACATCTTGGTTCAGAAAGAGTGTCATGTGAATAAATAACTATTCTTTCTCAGGAGAAAGGAGAAAGAATGGAAATAAAGTATTGTGGGCAGAGGAAGGTAATAGGGGAATTGACTGCCTCATCTGAAAGGAGCCTTAGTTTTAATTGGTCTTGAAGAATTAAAAACTTAGAAAAAAACTTATTCCAAGTTTTTTATTCTACTGGGGGCAGGTGAAGGAATTTGATATTAAAAGGTGCAGAGCATAAAAAATATTGGGGACGGTTTCATCATGGCCAAGGTGAAGGAAATGGGAGAAGAGGGTTGAATGAAATCTGAGAAAGAATGGGCCAGATTTTGACAGATTTTCTCCACAAAGGAGAAGTTTATCTAG
Source organism: Homo sapiens (assembly GCF_000001405.40). NCBI lineage: Eukaryota > Metazoa > Chordata > Mammalia > Primates > Hominidae > Homo > Homo sapiens. The sequence continues at coordinate 7,862,650 of NC_000023.11, read as the reverse complement.
AATGAAAGGACACAGCCTTGCCCAATAATACCAAAACTTAGAGGTTGAAAAATGTTTAAAGATTATGCAAATTAAACTGACATTTGCATGTAACAATGCGTGTATTCCTTTAGCAATATAGGGGAAAAAATCTCAGGGCAGTCACAACCTTTAATTTTGTAAAAATGCTTAATTTCAACATAAATGAAATTATATATATATGTAATATTATTTATGTATGCATATTTTAATGAAATTGTCCTAATTGGACTACAATAAAAACCAGTAGTTCTTTCCATCACTCTTCTCCATTTCTGGCATTGCAAATGCACGCATTTTTAACTATTTTAGTTGTTTTCTCAAGATATTTACTTCCTTTTTTTGAATAGCAAGCTTATGGTTTTTTTTTTGGATTTAGATATTATCCACCTATTACTTATTGATTTATCTCTCTTATCACTTCCGCTACCATTTTGCTTCTTTCACTCCCTCTCCACCGATAATGAACACAGGAATTGGCTAAATCAAGTATACTTTGCTTATGTTATTAAGGCTATATTTCAATTATTCACGGTCAAACCATATGATGAACAATGATTGCATTCCCTTCTAGTACATCTCTTTGGTTTTCCTTGGAGTTAGTAATTGCCTTTTGTTTACTTGTCTAATTTTTATATAGCTCTTCTTGAATTGTCTCTGCCTCTCCCACAGAAATATACATCTGTTTTCAAAATAACCAAAAACATCTGTATGTTCTTGAACCACTGAACTCACTGCCTCTGGACATGCTGCATAGCTTTGATATTGGAATTTCTTATCACCATTGCTCCTGTAGTTTCTTTAGTTTCTCTCTTGTGTTGGCACTATGACTTCTTTACTCTCAGTCCTTTTCTGTTTTGGTAAAGCATACCCTTTAGTAATTTCCTCAGAAAAGATGATACATTTTTCGGACTTTAAATATGTGAAGATATTTGTATTGTATGCTCAGATTTGATTGGTAACTTTACCTGGCATTGTGTAATGTTCTAGGTGGAGAATAACTTTCTCATAGTTTTTTGAAGGAATTGCTTTATTGGCTGCCACCCTCAAGCATTTTTAGTGCAAAATTCCATATCAACATGATTATTGATTTTTTTTTCAAAGTAAACATTCTTAACCTTGCAAGTCTGAATTAGGTTAAATTCTTTATACACAATCATTAATTGATTTTTTTCCTCTGTTCACCAACTGCTAACAGCCAGAATTCCTCTCTCAAGAAATTGACCAACCCAAAGGAAAAAAATTTAGATGCTGAGAGTGATGGTCATCTTGTGAAATAGCAAGGTTTCTAGTGAGTTATTGTACCATAAAGGTCACCATTAGAAAACAGGAGCTACCAACTGACATTTTAGTGTGTCTCTCTCAACATGGAATGAGCAGTCCAGGAAGACCAAATAGTTGACATAGGTTTTAACATGATGTATAGACTGAGGCAAACAAAATAGAGATTAAAAAACAAGAGACTCAGAAGAAAGAGGAAAACTATCCTTAAAGGAGCATATCTCTACTATTTCTTCTTTTTTTTCTTCTGATGTTAGATGCTTAGTACATTGATTTTGAGCCTTCCATCTTTACAAACGAATATGTCAAAGATAGTGAATGCTATGGCATAAAATATTAAAATATAAAATAAATAGGGACAAAAGTAAGGAACATCTTCTAAAATAAAATCAGCATAGAGCTTAGACATATTGGACTACTAAATGAGCCTCACTCTGAAATCTTGCCCAGTGGCAAATGCTACTAATAATTTCACACAGCCAAAACAAAGTTTGGGACCATCCACACTCCTCCTTGAATCCTTTCTTCTTTCATTAGGACACGTTCTGACTCTGGGTTCCAACTATGAGTTCTCTAAGTAGTGCTTGTGAGAGCACCTTTCATGCAGAAGGGAGTTGCTTCTTTCATGAGACATTTCCAATTAGACTCAGTTACATAGTTTATGTAACATTTTTCAGAAATCCATGTCCCTAAGTCTATAAACAATACTAACCAGGCCAGTTACAACAGTCTGCTAAAAGTGGATCATAAAAACTTGGTAATGGTATCTCCCACTAAGAGATAAAATTATAGTGTTTTCCAAGGGGTCTGACATTTGCAAGCTTACAGGTAAATTGCCCAAGTCATCTTTCTTTCTTTCCCTTGGCGTCCCCAGTAAAACAAGAAAAAGAATTCCTAAACTGCTCTTAGCCCTTTCTTTACCAAAGGTTTTAAGATTTTGGCACTAAGGTATTGTTTTCTCTAAACTATATTTATTTTATTTTTTTTAGTTAAACTTTAAAAAACATAAAATATGAGTAGAGATTTTGAGTGTTCATATAATTTTAGGAAGTTAGGTGAGCTAATATCAATATTTAAGATATGCACACAAGAAAACAATAATAAAAGTGTGCTGCGAACTGCTTAGCAAGAAGTAGGCACTTGTCTAATAGAAAAATTACTTAGAGACTGGGTGGTAGTTCTGAATTAATCGTGTGTCTTTGTTTATCATTATTGTTGAAAAGTCTGGAGATATGGTCCATATTGCCTTTAAATTTCTTCACATTGGTAATAGCATAATTTCTGACTTAGGGTAAATGTTTTCACTTTAATAATTGTTTCAATTTATTTTGAACTATTACCCTATTCTTAGACAATATTCCCAAAATAGTCCTCCTATGTTTCAGATTGTTACACCTGCAGAGAGTCCTTTTGTGGCTAAACCAGATGAACCCCCCTGTAACAGTTGTATGCATTGGGAAATGGTATTCTCAACAAATAGAAACTTTCCCTGCAGTTAAATTGAGTATTGGGCCAATGAATCACTACCCTTCTGACCGAGGAAGAGTTGTATAAATCAATGGTACTCTCCAAATAATATATGAGAGTGAATACTCAATCTGTTTCACATTGAGTTTGCGGGGGAGTAGGTTTGGGTTAGGCAGAGTAGAGATTAATGAGACCATGTGTATTTCCTGCTCTGTAGGTAAATAGCTCAATATTCACCAGGGAAGTCAGTGAAGGAAAGCAGTGGACCCTGCATGTAAGTGTTAGATATTTTGAAACCATGCTTAATAGAAATTAATTAAGTACTCCAATGTCCATGATTAAATAAGTCTTTTGGGGGAAACTAGAAAACTCACTGAAAAGGAAATGGAAGAAAAATGAAATGAATTCTAAGCAGCAATGGCAGAAACAACTATAGACTATGTTGTGACCAGGGCTTGTGCCAAGTGTGGCCAAAACGCCTCTGTGTCCTTTATATATAATACTTCTCACTTTCTTGTGCCATCCAATCAGTATTTGTCAGGGCTTGTACCTATAAAGAATGATACTTGAGTCCTCAAATAGGAGAGTAAATTAGTCAAGAGAAAGTCCAAGGCTGGTGGGACTGGGGTCTTGGAAGTGAGAATAGTGAGAACTAACTGGAGAGGAGGGTAGAATTATGGGAATATGATGGTGAGCAACGGCAAAGCCATCCCTGTCTTTATTGGGATGCAGGCATATGGGGAGAAACAGACACATTTGCAAAAGCTTCTACAACGTCATATGATGAATGTCTGAAGACGTAAGTACATGTGAGTTCACCTGAAAGGTCGCTGATATGGTTTGGCTCTGTATTCCTGCCCAAATCTCATGTCGAATTGTAATTCCCAATGTGGGGACAGGGACCCTGTGGAAGGTGATTGGATCATGAGAGTGGATTTCCCCTTGCTGTTCTCATGATAGTGATGAGTTCTCACAAGATCTGGTTGTTTAAAACTGTGTAGCACTTCCACCTTCACTCTGTCTCTCTCTCTCTCCTCCTCTGCCATGGTAAGACGTGCTTGCTTCCCCTTCACCCTCTGCCATGATTGTAAGTTTTCTGAGGGCTCCCAGCCGTGCTTCCTTTACAGCCTGTGGAACTGTGAGTCAATTAAACCTTTCTTCTTCATAAATTACCAAGTCTAGGTAGTTCTTCATAGCAGTGTGAGAATGGACTAATACAGTCCCTAAATCAGTTACAGGTGCAAGTCAAACTTCATGAAGAAAGTGGCATCTATCAGGAACCAGCAATTTGAAATGGAGCAGATGAAATGTGGCAGAAAATTTTTTTTAAAAAGCTTCCATCTTGGAAAAGATGTGTTGTTTCCTTGAAATAGGAGTTGGCATTACGTATGTGATAATCCAGAGAGGAGAATAGGGAGGAAATGGATGAATGCAGAATAGCAGAACATCCAGACAAAGGAAGAGCACATTCAAAGGCCTTTGCCCTTTAGAGTAAAGACTAGCTTTAATTAAATACGACACTTGGGGTCTCCATAAAATAGACCCTGCAAGACTGTCAGCATCATCTTTTATCACCCACTGCAACAGACTGAATGTTTATGTCACCAAAATTCCTTTCTTGAAATCCTAACCTCTGGCTAGGTGCAGTGGCTCATGTCTGTAATCCTAACAGTTTGGGAGGCCAAGGCGGGTGGATCGCTTGAACTCTGGAGTTCAAGACCATCCTGGGAAACATGGTGAAACTCTGTCTCTACTAAAAATACAAAAATTACCCAGGTGAGGAGGCGCGTGCCTGCAGTCCAAGCTACTTGGGGGAGCTGAGGCAGGAAGATCACTTGAGCATGGGAGGTTGAGGCTGCAGTGAGCCATGATCTTGGCACTGCACTCCAACCTGGGCAACCAAGAGACTCTGTCTCAAAGAAACTACAACAACAAAAAAAAACAAAAAGAAAAGAAAAAGAAATCCTAACTCCCACCAGATAGTATTAGGAGTTGGGGGCTTTGAGAGTTGATTAGGTCATGAAGGTAATGTCTTCATGAATGCGATTAGTGCCCTTATAAAAGGGACCCCAGAGAACTCCCTTGCCCCTTCCACCCTGTGAGGGTATAACAAGAAGGCACCATCTCTGTGAACCAGGAATTTAGTCCAGCAGACACAGAATCTGCCATGCCTTGATCTTGGAGTTCCAGCCTCCAAAACTGTGAGAAATAAATGTCTGCTGTTTATAAGCGACCCAGTTTATGATATTTCATTATAGCAGCCTTAACTGACTAATATACCACCTTGCCACCTGGGCATTCAAAGCCATACAGCCACTTTTGACTTTATTCCAGATCAAATAGCAACAGCTTAACAGCTGGTTGGATATGGGCAGTGGGGTAGAGAATTCAGTGGAATTATCAAATGGTAATGGAAGGTTGTAAATTGCTACAAGCATTTCGAGGGGCAACTCACCTTATGGTCTGCTAAGTGCCTTACAAATATTTTTTCAAGGTATTGTTGTCTCCATCCTGCATAAGATGGAGCCACAGCTCAGAATGGTATGGTGATCAATTTGAAGTCACATGTCAGAGCTTGGTTTAGAACTCACATTTGCCTGGTTTCGATGCCCTTGTTCCTTCCATTGTATCTAACTCTCAGCAAAGCCAAGATACAAACATAAATTATGCAAAGTTATGGTGCTCGTTTTGCTTATGTAAAAATGAGATCTTTTTATTATGCAAAGACAAGTCACCAGAAACTCATATCCATGATAGAAATGGCTATTTAATATGAACATTGTTTGTATTCATCTAAGAAATGACATTGTGATGGGAAAATGGATTTAGTCATGGTATTTTGATTCCATTGTAATAATGCTTTATGTTTTTAAATGTGTTTGTATTTGTGATGGATCAGGACTCAAGTAACCTGTGAGGAAGTTTAGACCAACACTGGGCTTCGTATATGTTCCAAATGGGTTTATTTTCTATCCACTTCTAAACCCATATTGCATAAGAAAAACACAAATTCTAAAAAATGAAGCCCAATTGATTAGTTCTCCCAATATAAAGACCATGATAAATGTATTTGTACTTTTGTAGGATTTACTCCTTCGTCCAGGTAAATTAGTAAGACCAAATCAAAAGACATACAAAAAATGACACAAAGGAGGAGCCCAATGAAAACACAATTGGAAACACAAGAAGAGAATGAATTTAGCCACAAGTTGTCAATTTCTATAGTTAGAATCTGATTAGACAGTGAAAGTAAAATGCCAAATTAAATATAATTAACACACTTTACGTAAACCGGGGCAATAAATTAACCACACCACACATCACATACAACTCAGATTAAATATGTTGTGTCCGTAGACTGGGGAAAGAGTCTTAAAAAAACACAACAAAGTAACAAAGTTTATGATAGCGCTATCTCCAAACCATAGAAGGTTAACTCTAAGAATTTTTATTTTGATAGTAAAGTCCACTAGAAAGGCACATTATTAGATTCAATTTTTATGCCACAATATTTGAAGTTGTGTCTTAAGATACAAGATATTATTATTCAAAATTGTTTTCAATATATTCATTTCTCTTATTGAATAAGCATATTTGTCTACTGTAAGGAATTGGAAAATAGTTTGTTTATATAGGGAGTCAATAGTGAGGCAATATTAGATTTGCACACAATAAAAAAACCAATAAAACAATTATAGAACATCATCTTCATGTTAATTATTTTTAAACCTTATAGATGGCACAACAATATGAGTATTGTAGCAGTATCATAACTGCACTGAATAAATTAAAAGTAGAAATGTATATTAGCTATCATTTTAACATTCATACTTGCTGGTAAATCCACCTGAAAGATATTCACCTTCAGCTTAATTATATATTTATGTGGATTCAAAATTCTTATGAGCATTAATGGGAACTTTGACGCTTTAATAAATGAAAGAGTAGGAAGTTAGGATGAGATATTGGATGATATATTCAATTTATTCCTAAAATATATAATACTGCTTGCTGTGACGCTTCCAACTGGAGTAATTGGTTACAATTAAAATAATGAGATATTCCAAACAGTGATATAGGCATTACAAATGTAGAGTGATATATAATTTGTAATTCCTATATCATTTTTATGCTGATATATTTCTTTCTAATTATAATAATCTTTTGAGCTAATAGGAATATGTTTTGTCACATGGATTATATTCTCAGATAATTTTTTTTATGATAGCTAATTTGAAAATCTTTTGACTATACCTAAAATATAGTATAAATGTGTATTTTGGAAAAAGAACTTTGGGAAACTGTTCAGAAGTATCTACAAGCTGAATACATGCATGCTCTACGACCCAGTATTTTCATTCCTAGGTAAATATCCAACCTAAGTGGGTACATGTGTTTACCAAAGACACATGCAAGAACGGTTATAGTGTCATTGTGTAGTAATTTTAGCTATACACTTTTAGGGCTTTTGCCATCTGACCTGCTTGAGTGTGAAGGCAGCAATGGTGATTTGAAAATTGGATACGGGCACTTCATGGCAGAATTAATACTTATCGTCTGCAATTTAAAACAAGTTAGTTCATATCCTGAATAATATGATAGTTAATACTAGTCCACCAACATTTACTGACTGCTGTGTGGAAGAATAAATTGATTGCTTCTGTGAATATTTACTCTCAGCACTTGATGTGTATTAACTCCTTTAATACTCAAATCAACTTTATGAAATATGCTCTTTTTAAAGTCAGAGAATATGAAATGTAAAAAGATGACTTATTCAAAGTCAAGTAAATAGTAAGTAATAAGTGACACGAAAAAAATATGTCAGGTAAATGTTAGGAAGACTGACTGGTAGATGGCTTCATTTTGTAGTGTCAGGGCTGGCTTCTTTCTTTTTTTTTTTGGAGTAGATATATAAATTGCAATCTAAAAGACGAGAAGAACTCAGACATATGAAGATACTGGGGAAGATTATTCCAGGCAGAGGGAGCAGCTTCTAAAACAGGCTGTAGGCCTGAGTGTTTAGCCTGAGTGTTCAGGCCTGAATGTTAGCTTTGAGTGTTTAAGGAACTAAAACATTGAGCTAACAGAACTGAAGGAATCATGACTGAGAGGAGAGTGAGAGGGAATGAGGTTGCAGAAGGGCATAAGCCCGAGTCACATAAGAACTTCTCGGCTAGGTAAGAGTTTCGCTTCCATTTTAAAGTATGTTTGGAAGTGCTGGAGAATTTTGATCCAAGGAATAATATTTTATAACCCAAAGTATGGGAATTTTCAGCTAATGGTGTCTGGAAGACCATTTAGGAAACTCTTGCAAGAACGAAGATGAAAGATGATGGCTGCATGGAATAAGGTGACACTAGTGGAAATGAAGAAAATTGAACAGATGTGGAATATAATATAAAACCAGAGCTGACAAGAGTTATTAATACAGCCTGTTAATGGATGTGAGATGAGGGAAAGACAGGAATCACGTGTATATGCCTGGGTGCACATGCTGTTCACTGAGACACAGAAACTGAAGAAGAGAGCTGGAGTTTGTGTAGGATCTAGAACCAATAGCTTTATTTTGGACGTGCTGATTTTGAGTTGCCTTGTAGGCATCCAAATGTAGATACGAATTAGGCAGTTAGATTTAGGATTTAGGACTTTAGAGGAGAAGTCAGAACAGGAGATAAGAATTTGGGGTCATCGTGATATAAACGCTATACACAACCATGGGAATGGATAACATTGTCTGCAGAGGCAGAAGAGCTGGAGGAAAAACAGGTGTCAGGAATGGGGTCTTGGGAGAGTTCAACATTTGGAAGAGGAGAAGATGACCAAGAAGATAAGAAACATTGACTAAGTGTGTGCTATCTTTGGAGATAAGAAAATGTGTTTACAACAGAAATTGTTTAATAACAGTATTAAAACAAAAATAACAGCTAAATAATTTAAAATGCTTTTTGAAAAATTTCCAAGATTTAACATAATAGGAATCAAAAGTATAAAATTAAAATATATACAAGTATATGCTTTGTATACTTGTTTGTGTGTGTGTGTGTGTGTGTGTCAAAGAAAGGAATCTCAGCTATCTGAAATATGTCTGAAAAAAATCTTTGTCATGCTGCATGAAGAGTTTAACTATCCTCCTGATAGCTAGCGTAAAAAGAGATCTAACAAGAAATATGCTTATTTTCTTGTGCCAACAAAACTAGATAAAGGACAAGGTCTTTTTCAAGTAACACTACTACAGGCTCCACACCTTTCAAGCTCATCTTTTTTTGGTTCAAACCCAAAGTGGCTACCTGGTAAAGGATGGTGCATGATTACCTGATTCAGGGATGCTATGTTAATTTCGGTTTCCCAGGTGACCATCTCAAATGAATGCCAATGGCACCTCAACCAGCTGTCAGACCACACAGAGCCGTCAGAACAGCATCTGCCTGGCACTCATGCCTTTGCTGAAGTACAATCAAGATCATCTAAGTTTCCTACTAACACACTACCTTGGAGTAAGAATGCTCTGTTTTCAAAAGTCGTATTCATTCGTGTTCATTTGTGTAAAAGCACAGTTCTTCGGGTGGGTGCCAAAGGTAAGGATTTAACAATTTAACAATTATTTTCTTCATACTTGTCCTAAGTGAATAGTGCCGTTCTCCCCAACTGATATACAGGACCACAGTAATTTGTGGGGAAAAGGTAGCAAAACAACATGTCTTCTGTCAGTAGGACAATCACTTTTAGACTAATGCTTACTTGCTTTGAGTGCACTACGCTTCCTGGTCTAAATTTAGTCTGAGTGGTATTACACTATAGGTAACTTACAGTTTGACACTTCCATGCCTTGAAACTAAATAAAGGGATCTTGCTGGGGATGCAGTGAGCCCACAGAATTGCTTAAAAGGAAACCTCTTTATCCTTAACCTTGATTCTTTGATGCAGACATTTTCTTGTCCCCTATTACTGAAAGTAAGGGTAGAGCCTCAAGCCTGATCCTCACATTCTCCTGTGTTGTGTTCATCAGAAAACAACCAACATTAACCTCATGTAATGCTTGGGGCCCTGTCCCTATTTTTTTTTTTCCTAATAGCAGCTTTTGACTCCTATGCATCTTGCTTTTCACAAAATTTGGGGTTTCAGCTTTGTTACACTCTCTTAATTTTATAAAGTACCAGTTACGACAATAGTTAATGATATTTTGGAAATCTTGAAAATAAAAAACAGTAAAAGTTACTATAATGTTGTCACTTAGAGATAGTCATTTGTTAATGTCTCTTAAGATTCTATTTTTCCTCCTCCTTGTCATCTTCATCTTATCCTCCTTCCTCTTCCACTCTTCCTTTTCTTCTTCCTTCTCCTCCTCCTTCTCTTTCTTCTTCTCCCTTCTCATCCCTCTTTTCTTCTTATTTTTCTCCTCTCCTCCTTCATCTTCTTCCTCCTCCAGCAAGGTATTTTGTTATACCACCCTGAATGGACTAAGACAAGTGATCAACTCAACCTTCAGTTGCTCTCCCCTTCCTAGAGGGAGCTCTAACCCTCTAATGACATGGTTGGTTTCCCTGGCAATCTGCTTCCATCGTGAGGCTGTTCAGGAGCCCACCAGGAGAACAAAAGATGCTCCTATCACCCAAAACATTCCTAGGGACTTAAAGGCTCTGTGTCAGGAACTGAGGGTCAAATACAAAATATTAGAACAAAAGATTCTCCTAGCACCTCTACCTAGAGGTTGTTAGGCATTCCTGGCAAGTTCCGGTGCAAGGAACTGAGGGCCAGAGACTAAACATGTATTTCTTATGTTATATATATAATACCTGATATGGTTTGGCTGTGTCCCCATCCAAATCTCAACTTGAATTGTATCTCCCAGAATTCCCACCTGTTGTTGGAGGGACTCAGAGGGAGGTAATTGAATCATGGGGGCCAGTTTTTCCCGTGCTATTCTCATGATAGTGAATAAGTCTCATGAGATTTGATGGTTTTATTAGGGGTTTCCGCTTTTGCATCTTCCTCATTTTCTCTTGCTGCTGCCATGTAAGAAGTGCCTTTCACCTCCTGCCATGATTCTGAGGCCTCCCCGGCCATGTGGAACTGTAAATCCAATTAAATCTCTGTTTCTTCCCAGTCTCGGGTATGTCTTTATCAGCAGCATGAAAATGGACTAATATGGTAAATTGGTACCAATAGAGTGGGGAGTTGCTGAATAGTTACCTGAAAAATGTGGAAGCGACATTGGAACTGGGTAACAGGCAGAGGTTGGAACAGCATCTTCAGCTTCAGTTCCATGATGAAATCATTGTCTGGCTATACTGTTAAGTGAACAGCGTTAGAGAGCAACGTAAGCTCACAACATTGTGAGGTCAACATTAGCACATGGACAGGGTGGGAAAGAGCTTTACAGTGGCATATATCACATAGCTAATATAGATCCTCACTGAGGATCTATAAAATGTAACATCTATAAAATGTTACTCTCTGTGTGCTTCTGTAAGGCTTGAATAATTGTTACTCAATCTTGGATTACTGTTGTCACCAGGAAAAAATTAAAAAATCAAAACCATCTGACTTGAGGCAAATTCTTAAACACGCCCAAGTCAGTTTACTTAAAAAGTAATCTAGGACTTGCTTTAAAATAACTGAGTTGGGCAGGGGATAGGTCAGGTTTGGAGAGGGTAACAGGTGAAATGGAATTAGCTGACTTTTGTAGTGGTTGGAGCTGCATGATGAAAACATGGTGATCACTATAGTAGTCTCTCCACCTTTGTGCATGTCTCACAAGTTTCAAAACCCTCTCACTTTGTAGGATGTCAGAAACCACTCCTACAGGACAGATGGACCTGAGGACATCATGCTTAAGTGAAACAAGCCAGTCACAGAAGGACAAATGCTGCCCAATTCTACTTTTATGAAATATCTAAAATAGTTAAACTCACAGAAAGTAGAATGGTCATTGCTAGGGGCTGGGGGAGGGGAAAATGGGGAATTGAGGTGCAATGGGCATGGAGTTTCAGTCATACAAGACGAGAAAGTGTATTAGTGTTCTCTAGAGGGACAGAACTAATAGGATAGATGCATATATGAAGGGAGTTTACTAAGGAGTATTGACTCACATGATCGCAAGGTGAAGTCCCATAATAGCCCGTCTATAAGCTGAGGAGCCAGGAAGCCAGTCCAAGTCCTAAAACCTCAAAAGTAGGGAAGCCCACAGCGCAGCCTTCAGTCTGTCTGTGGCCAAAGGCCAGAGAGCCCCTGGCGAAACACTGGTGTAAGTCCAAGAGTCCAAAAGCTGAAGAACTTGGAGTCTGATGTTCGAGGAAGCTTCTGGCACAGGAGAAACATGGAGGCCAGAAGACTCAGCAAGTCGGCTTCTCCCACCTCCTGCCTGCTTTATTCTAGCCACGCTGGCAGCTGACTGGATGGTGCCCACCCAGACTGAGGGTTGGTCTGCCTCTCCCAGTGCACTGACTCAAATGTTAATCTCCTTTGTCAACACCCTCACAGACACACCAGGGAACAATACTTTACATCCTTCAACCCAACCAAGTTGACAATATTAACCATCCCAGAAAGTTGTAAGGATCCACTGTAGGACAATGGGCATATAGTTAACAATACCGTACCATGCACCTCAACATTTGTTAAGAGTGTATATGTCGTGTCGTGTGTGTTTTACCACAAGTTTAAAAATACTCCTGAGTATCTTATTCCATATACTCAACACCTTAGCAAACCTTAGTACTTCACTGCCCTTTTCTGGCTGCATGGCGTATCAGAGAACGTGTGGGCTTTGGAGTCAGACAAGCTTCGGTTCAAGTACTAGGTGATCTGGAAAAGGTTATTTAGCCTGGCTGGTCCTCAGGGTCATCTCTTGTAAACTCAGGATGGAATAAGACAGCCCCATCTATCTTCCAGCACCAGTCTAAGGATGACTCACAGGCATTGCTCAGTCCTGGCAGCGATTATTATTTTTTGATTAGCATGTAGCCCTCTACCTGGACCATGGAAGGTGCCCAATAAATGTTTGTTGAATGAATAATTTAATTCATTATTAATGAATTTTTATTTTAATTTACCCTGCTCTGCGCCATTTTTTTTTAGTGCAATTACTCTTTTCTAGTTTTGAGTTGTATCCAAATTCTCAATCTAGTTAAGATTCAAAATTACATATCGGCTTACTGGGCTAGCACTTTTCCTTACTTCTCTTCCTGAAGGGTCCCCAATTCTGTTTCTATTCTGTGTGTCTTTTTTCCCCACTTCCGTGGACATGTGTCCAGAGCCCCTTCCCCCAAAGCCCTTCAACTAGTTATTCTCTAGCAGAACATTTTTCTGCCAGTAAAAATATTTTCTTTCAGGAATTGGCTAAAAGCTGTTTTCATAAAAACTTCCCTATATGAATCGAGCCTATAATTATCTGGCTCTTTCTTAGGATTTCTGCAGAGCGTATGCACACCTAAAGCGTACCAATTCACACTTGGTTCCGGGGTCTATAGTAGAGTCACAGAAACATGACTCCTGTCATGAATGCAAGCTAAGATGTGGTCCCTAAAGCAGGGGATGTGTCTCGAATGCCTCTTCAATCCTCGTACAGTGTCTAATGCAGTACTGCTTCCACAGTGTTGAGCAGCAGTCCTTAAGAGGGTGGAGTTTAGAATTTGGTCTTTGCAGACCTGAGTTTTAATCCTGGCTCTATAACCTATAAGCAGTATAAGAAAGGTACCCAAACTGTCTGTCTCATTTGTCCAGTGGGGACACTACCCATTTTACAGGGTGTGATGGTTAATTTCAGGTGTCAACGTGACTGCCTTAAGGAATACGTCAGGAATTAGTAAAGCATTGTTTCTAGGTGAGCCTGCACAGGTATTCTTGGGAAGATTGGCGTGAGCTGGTGGACAGAGTGGGGAAGATGTCTTCAATAGAGACAGGCCCCATCCAATTCTCTGAGGGCCCAGATAGAAGAAACAGGGCAAAGGAAAGGCACTTTCCTCCCTTTCTCTCTTGGAGCTGGGATTCTTCTTTTCCTGCCCTTGAACACCAGAACTTCAGGCTCCTTTTATACTGAGAATTACACCATCCACTTCCCTAGTTCTGAGGTTTTTGGTTGTGACCTGAGTCACGCTCCTGGCATCCCAGGGGCTCCAGCTTGCAGACAGCCTGTCCTGAGACTTTTCACCCTCTAATTCCCCTAATAAATCCCCTCTCATCTATCTTTGCTGATAACCTGTTGGTGGTGTCTCTCTAGAGCCCCGATTAATCCACAGGGGTAACGTGAGGGAGAAATGAGGTCGTGCTTGGGGAGCATTTCACACCCTGCCTGACACATGCCCAGGTCCAACAGGCTGCAGCTACAGTTATTCTAGAGCTTAGCATCAGTGTTCAAAACAGCGGAAGGCCTTCCCTCTGGCACCCAGCCATCGCGTTGAGCTTCCCCTGTCATTTTTCAATTCCAGAGTGTTTTTTGAGAGCAATTCTGTGTCGTGTGTATCACTGACGTGGGGCCAAAAACAATCGGTATGCGTGGGGATCTGAAGCTGGGAATGACCAATAGGTCAGAAAGTTCTTAGGAGTCAGGAGCAGAGGAAGCTGCATGGTCAAGGGGAATCGACGTGAGCCTTCCTGCCATGTGTCCTGTTTCCTGTGGTCTAATGAGACAGAGACATATGTATGTATGCATCAGCTCATGCTTAGCTCTTTAATATGTACAAGGTGTTTTCAAATTCTCCCACCGTCTTTGACAGCTGAGAATTTCAGATCACCTGTTGTTCATGACTGCTGTCAAGGGGATCCTCCTTTTAGGGACACAGGAAGATTTGCCTAAAAACGTCAGGAAGCTTTGATATTTATCATTTGATTACAAAAGTCAACTGCACCTTTGCTGTTATATTATTTTGGGTCTTTACGCATTCCACTGTTTATTTTAAGCCTGAGATTGTGGGTAGTTGGAGAAGGAGGGAAAGTATTTAACACTCTTATTAACTAATTTAACTGTGTGTATAACATGTAGAATAAAGAGAGACTTAAATGAAGATGTAGTATTTGTGAATGCTCCAACAAATTAAAAGATTACTTAAATTATTTATTTATTTTTTTTTTTTTTGAGATGGAGTCTTGCTCTGTCAGCCAGGCTGGAGTGCAGTGGGTGCAGTCTTGCAATCTCTGCTCACTGCAACCTCCACCTCCAGGGCTCAAGCAATTCTCTTGCCTCAGCCTCCCAAGTAACTGGGATTACAGGTGCACACCACCACGCCTGGCTAATTCTTGTATTTTTAGTAAAGACAGTGTTTCACCATGTTAGGCAGGCTGGTTTCAAGCTCCTGACCTCAAGTGATCTGCCTGCGTTGGCCTCCCAAAGTGCTGGGATTACAGGCGTGACCCACCGCACCTGGCCTGATTTCTGATTAAACCTCTTATTGTCTATAATGAATTAAAAGTTTGTGAAAGTAAATTCAATGACATTTTTGCATCTATAATTTCAAAATCATAGTAACTTTCCAAATCTGAAAATGTCTGAAACACAAGTCTGCCAATCATCACAATAAAACATGAAGCCCTAGTGAAAGAGCTAGTCAGGATGGGTTCCCAACAAATAGCAGTTGAAGCTCCTACTGCCATGAAATGATGAAAGAAACACGGTTTAAGTGCCATGGATAATTATTTCAATGCCAAAAGAATCATCACAGACTGTTTTGACATGCAGAGCTTGAATGGAAATATGGCATTAAAATAAGGTGCATGAAATTAATCCTTGAATGTAATTTTGAAACACATTGCAAAAGTGCTCCCTAATATACACCAACCCCAAAAGTGGCCACTGACAAGATAAGTTTATTTCAGTTTTTATGCTGTCATTATGGAAAAAACTATAGCAGAGAGTTCACCAATTTCCCTTTGGAAAGAGATATACAACCACAGCCAATACGCTTTCCTAAAAGACAGCAGGAGCTTTTCATGCAGACTTGTTTCTCATCCGTAACATACAAATATTTATTGTCCAGGGTCAATACAGCCTTGCAAATAAACAGGCTTTGAGTTATACCAAGCATGCTCATTCTTATATGGTATTTCCATATAAGAAATAATACAAAAGAAATATACCACAAAATGATGGTGTTCAGGACATGGGGCAAGGCCCTGTTTCTGTGGTATAGCGTCCTAGGTTTCGTAGGATTCCACAGGAGGCAACTACAAGATCAACATGCAAAGCTCTGAAATCCCTTCCTAAGCTAATGAAGTGAAGCCCTGACTGCACCAAGGAAAGGATGAAACAGAACCCATTTATTGTTTCTCAAATGATGCTACCATCTCTTCAAAGCCACCATTAATTTTAACATCTTTAAAGCTCTAAGAACAATCTATGTAACAAGTGAAAACTGCCTATAAAGTTAGTGCTTTACATCTCAAACCCTTATTATATGGAAATTCATATTTTCAGAATCACATAAAAGTTTAACGTGCTATTCATTGTAAGATTAAAGGACATGAGTTATTCTGTCTGTGTAATTATTAACAACTGGAAATTAAATTGTGATAATTTTGTACTTTATTCTTCTTAAAATGATAATTTCCTTTCTCCTTTTGCCTGAGAAGCATGCTTCAACAATACTAACAGCTTACCTTCTAAAATAAATGATCACATATAGAATATATATTTTATATATTGTATATTTATCTTTATGCATTACATATTTATATATTATTTATATATTATACATAAATATAAATATATTTACATATTTATATATGTATTTATATATTTACATAGAATATATTTATATAATCTATATGTGAAATAGATCTCTATCTAAATGTAAATACATAGAAATAGATATATAAATATATAGAGATTATATATTTATCTATAAATATACATATAAATACAAACTATATATATATCCATTAGAAATATACAGGTCTTTTCTAAATATAAATATAGAAATACACAGGTCTTTTCTAAATGTATCATAAATTCTACTATACAAAATTCTACTATACATAGAAAAGACCTGTGTGTTTATATGTTTATATAAATACCTGTGTATTTATATAAATATGTATAAAACCTGTGTATTTATATAAATATATATAAATATAGGTTTAATATATATAACACATTAGAAATACAGCAGTGCATTATACTATATATAGAAAAGATCTGTGCATTTATATAATTATATATATAAATGTACATTACATATATACACATTAGAAATACTATATACATAATATATATATTAGAAATATATATAGAAATACTTTCTATATATAGCAAGTTCTATATTATTCTCTCATTGTAATTATTGACAACTGGGAATTTTGTACTTTATTTATTTTTTATTTTTATTTTATTTTTCTTAAAATGATAATTTCCTTTCTTTTTTTAATCTGTGAAGGATGCTTCAACAATCACAACACCTTACCTTCTAAAATAAATGATCACATATAGAATATATATTTTATATATATTTATATATATCTATTTTCATGTATTTATATTTATAGATAGGTTTCATATATAGATTTGATGTCTATATTGATATATTATTTATAAATATAAATATATGTTTAATGTTTTATATATAATATATAGAATATAAATATTTATATATGTAATCTAAATATAAAAACATAAGATATATTAATATATAAATATACATAATAGGTTCTACTATGTACAAAAAAGAGTTGTGTATTTCTAATGTGTATAATCTATATTTACATTTATTTATACTTATATATTTTATATATAAATATATATTCCATATTTTGTCTATATGTATATATTTTATATGTAAACATATAATCTGTTTGTCTATAGTAAATATAGTTGTATATTTTATTTATATAAAAATTTACATATATTTGTATATAGTAAATTCTACTAGATGTAGAAAAGACCTGTGTATTTCTAATGTATGGAAATATGAATTGTACTTTCTGTCTCCTGAGTTGCAAAAATAAAAAGGCTTTTTTCAAGTAGATAGATTTTTCTCTACTTTGAATTTTTCTTCTTAATTATATTAGATTGTAGGGAGGGGACGCTGAAAGGAAAGAGATGGAAACGATTCTTCCATAGGTTTCTATAACCGAAAAGGTATTTTGACAGTGAAACCTAAGTAGGTAGAATCCAGTTCTTGGTACTTGGTGTATGTGCTAGCAAGATTGCATGAAGAAACAAACCGTGTAAGAAGCGGAGTCATCCTGTGAAGGGGAAATTTGTCTCCAGTGCTCAGCCATGACGCAATCCTTATCCTCCTGTCTGGCTAACTGTGACCTGTCCCCCTGACCTCAACCCCACGGGACCCCACTTCCCTCCCTCCCCACATACCACTTGTTCCTTCCTTCTTTCCTTTCTCCCTCCCCACACACCACCTCTTCCTCCTCCCTCCTCACACACCTCTTCCTCCCTCCCTCCCCACACACCTCCTCTCCCTCCCTCCCTCCCTCCCCACACACCTCTTCCTCCCTCCCTCCCTCCCCACACACCACCTCTTCCTCCCTCCCTCCCTCCCCACACACCTCTTCCTCCCTCCCTCCCTCCCCACACACCACCTCTTCCTCCCTCCCTCCCTCCCCACACACCACCTCTTCCTCCCTCCCTCCCCACACACCACCTCTTCCTCCCTCCCTCCCTCCCCACACACCTCCTCTTCCTCCCTCCCTCCCCACACACCACCTCTTCCTCCCTCCCTCCCTCCCCACACACCACCTCTTCCTCCCTCCCTCCCTCCCTCCCCACCATCAGAGAACACAGAGTCACTCAGATCAATTTGCAACACATTCATTTTATTATCTTCAGAATGGCAAGCACCCCGCTGGTGAGATCTCTGAGGTCTGGCGGCTGGGCCTGAACTTAGTCGCTGCTCTCGGAGATAGGGGAGTACTTGGCCGTCTACACACTCGGTAGTTCTTCCATCTCGCTCTCCTGACTCGGTGGTTCCTCCACCTGGCTCTCCTGACTCAGTGGTTCTTCCATCTCGCTCTCCTGACTCAGTGGTTCCTCCACCTGGCTCTCCTGACTCAGTGGTTCCTCCACCTCGCTCTCCTGACTCAGTGGTTCCTCCACCTGGCTCTCCTGACTCAGTGGTTCTTCCACCTCGCTCTCCTGACTCAGTGGTTCCTCCACCTGGCTCTCCTGACTCAGTGGTTCTTCCACCTCGCTCTCCTGACTCAGTGGTTCCTCCAGCTCGGCCTCCTGACTCAGGGGGTCGTGCTGGGTCCCCTCGCTCACTGGCTCCTCCGGCGGCAGCTCGTGCTGAGGGAGCTCCTGGCTGGGCTGGTCGCTGGGGCCGGGTGCCGCTGGCGCGCTCTCCGCCTCAGGTGCCGTCACGGCCGCCATCTTTGTCGCAGCCCCTTTCTTCCCGCGTCTCCCTCTACGAACTGCTTTTCCCTTCTTGGCCACCTTGGTAGTCTGGAAGGACAACAGGGAGATCACAGAAGGGCTCCGGTTTAGGGACGAGGATGGAGGAGGCTGGGAACAGGGACGTGTCCTCAGAAGCGGTGGGGGCCGGGTTGGGGGGTTGTGCCAAGTGAGGACAGGAGAGGCTTCTTGTGAGGAAGGAGGCGAGGGGAAGACGAGGAGGAGCTTGGGAGGGTCACTCACCTTCTTCTTCGGGTCACTGGGGCTCGGCTGAGAGGAGGACTTCCTCTTTCCTGCCTCCGTGGCCTTGGCCGGAGGTCCCGAGGCTCTCGGCTTTGGACTCATCTTCCGCAGCTCAACGTCTCGCAACGGTCGGCTAACTCCAGGCTGCCTGGCCTCCCTGTATATACCCCTCTCGCGATCCCAGGACGAGACAATCACGCCCCTGAGCTGTGATTGGTCAACACTCCACTACCCAGCCAATGGTCGCCCTGGGCGGGAAGGAAGGCCTTATACGTCACAAAGCACCATCAGGACATGGCGGATGAAGTCGGGGGCGGGGGGGGGGGTGACATCTAATGAGGAAGGCAGGGTGCTCTAATTGGAGAAAGGGAGATTTGGGTTAGCACCCCTAAAGATAGTTCCCAAACTGACATGTCACCCCTCCTAAACTCCCCGTGTTCAATTTTGGCAGATCACGTGGCACGGGAGGATATTTCCGCCACATGTTTCCCCCGGACCTCCCATTCAGTGGTACATTCTGTTCCTCCACACCTGCCATCATTACCCGGTTTCTGTATGACCTACCTAAAATCCCTCCATGCTAACTGGGATAGACGGAGGGCTATATGAAGACGTCAGTTGACCAGGCACAGTGGCTCACGCTTGTAATCCCAGCACTTTGGGAGACCAAGGTGGCTGGATCACCTGAGGTCGGCAGTTTGAGACCAGCCTGACCTACATGGAGAAAACCCATCTCTACGAAAAATACAAAATTAGTCAGGCATGGTGGCGCATGCCCATAATCCCAGCTACTCAGGAGGCTGAGGCAGGAGAATCGCTGGAACCCGGGAGGCAGAGGTTGCAGTGAGCCAATATAGCGCCATTGCACTCAAGCCTGGGCAACAAGAGCAAAACTCTGCCTCAAAAAAAAAAAAAAAAAAAAAAAGCCGTCAATCAATCATCCCTCTCTCCTACAAATTCCTCTGCTGCACCTTGAGGACCATTCACTTCTTGGATGCAATCAAAGAACTTTTCCATCTCACTTCCTTCTCCCAGTGTCCACATAGTGCCCCTCAATGTTTCATTCTCATGGTTTAAAGCACTGGCTTCAGGCGGTGAAGATCAGCAAAGACACTCGCTCAGCTGGGTATTTGTATCAGGCTGGGTTCCTCAGAGAAGGAGAAACTAAGCCAACAGGATATTTGTGTGAGTGTGTGTGTGTGTGTGTGTGTGTGTGTGTGTGTAATATATGTCATAAACATCTATTTACTATTGTATGGTATTTATTTATGAATAATATTATATACGATATGCTTTACTCTAAGCAATTGGCTCACACATTCACACATTGTGGGGGTCTAGGAAGCTGAAATATGTAGGGCAAGTGAGCAGCCTGGAAACTAAAAGCTTCTGCACAGTCAACAATCAACAAAATGAAAAGGCAGGGTATGGTTTGGGAGAAACTATTTGTGAACCATATATCTAATAACGAGTTAATATCCAAAGTATATAAAGAACTCATACAGCTCAATAGCAAAAAAAAAAAAAAAAATAGTCTGGTTTACGAATAGGTAAAGGACTTTAATAGACATTTCTCGAAAGAAAACCCACAACTGGCTGACAGGTTTATGAAAATGTGCTCAACATCATTAATAATCAGAGAATGCAAATGAACCACAATGAACTATCACCTCACACCTGTTAGGACGGGTATTAGCAAAAAGTCAAGAGATAAAAAGTAATGATGGCAAAGGTGTGGAGAGAGTGAAACCCTTTTAGGTTGTGCAGAAAAGGGGACCCTTACAGGGCAGAAATGTTATTGGTACATTATGAAAAACAGTATAATGGTTCCTTGGAAAATCAAAATAGAACTACCATATGACCCAAAATTTCATCTGTTGAGTATGTACCACCCCCCAAAATGAAATCCACATCTCATAGAGATAGCTCCAGTACTAATTCTAACTCATTAATCACACAGGAAATAAGAGTTTCTATTTGAAAACACTGGTTTTTTTTTTTTCACCATCTGGTGTCAAATACTTATCCTAGTCTAGTCATCTCTTCCTAGTTCTTGATTTGTAGTAACCTAGGTACTACTACACATTAACAGAACTAACTCATTATTCCAACAAGAAATGAGAAATGTTGAGAAGAATGAAATTTTATACTTGTCTTTAACCAGTTATTCTAGTTTTATGGAGGATTCTGTATTTAACTCTTACCCAGGTAACTCTAGTTACTGTATCCATAGTACCTAGTCAACAATCCAAAAAAAATAAGAACACAGAGTTGACTAGAATGGTTACTAAACTTTCTATGTTCAACCAGTTTTCCTGCTAATTGCTAGTTGTTTATTCAACTGTTTGCCTAAGTACCACTAAATGTCTAGTTTTATGTCACTAAGACATAAGAAAAAATATGACAAAGAATATGTTTATTCCAGGTACTGGCTTCATCTAGTTATCTCTAGCCCAGGAGGAAAACGTGTATTTTATGGGCCAGGCCCAGGGTCCCTGTGTTGTGTGCAGCCTAGGGAGTTGGTGCCCTGTGTCCCAGCCACTCCAGCTCTGGCTGAAAGGAGCCAACGTACAGCTTGGGCTGTGGCTTCAGAGGGCGGAAGCTCCAAGCCTTGGCAGCTTCCACGTGGTGTTGTGCCTGCAGGTGCACGGAAGTCAAGAATTGAGGTTTTGAAAGCTTCACTAGATTTCAAAAGATGTATGGAAATGCCTGGATGCCCAGGTAAATGTTTGCTGCAGGGGTGGGACCCTCATGGAGAACCTCTGCTAGGGTAGTGTGGAAGGGAAATGTCAGGTTGGAGCCCCCACACAGAGTTCCTACTAGGGCACTGCCTAGTGGAGCTGTAAGAAGAGGGCCATCATCCTCCAGACCCCATCATGGTAGATCCACTGACAGTTTGCACCGTGGGCCTGGAAAAGCTGCAGACACTCAACGCCAGCCCATGAAAGCCAGGAGGGAGGCTGTACCCTGCAAAGTCACAGGGACGGAGCCACCCAAGACCATGGGAACCCACCTCTTGCATCAGCGTGACCTGGATGTGAGACCTGGAGTCAAAGGAGATCATTTTGGAGCTTTAAAATTTGACTGCCCCACTGGATTTTGGACTTGCATGGGCACTGTAACCCCTTTGTTTTGGCCAATTGCTCCCATTTGGAATGGCTGTATTTACCCAATACCTGTACCCCCATTGTATCTAGGAAGTAACTAGCTCACTTTTGATTTTACACGCTTATAGGCAGAAGGGACTTGCCTTGTCTCAGATGAGACTTTGGACTGTGGACTTTTTGGTTAATGCTGAAATGAGTTAAGACTTTGTGGGGCTGTTGGGAAGGCATGATTTGTTTTGAAATGTGAGGTTTTGGAGGGGCTAGGGGTGGAATGATATGGTTTGGCTGTGTCCCCACCTAAACCTCAACTTGAATTGCATCTCCCAGAATTCTCACATGTTGTGGGAGGAACCCAGGGGGAGGTAATAGAATCATGGGGGCCGGTCTTTCCCTTGCTATTCTTATGATAGTGAATAAGTCTCATGAGATCTGACGTGAGATCCAGGGTTTCTGCTTTTGCTTCTCCTCATTTTTCTCTTGCCATTGCCATGTAAGAAGTGCCTTTCACTTCTCACCAAGATTCTGAGGCTTCCCCAGCCTTGTGGAACTATAAGTCCAATTAAACCTCTTTTTCTTCCTAGTCTCAGGCATATCTTTATCAGCAGCATGAAAGCAAACTAATATAATACCACAGGCACTTTATGGGAGTATTGAATGGAACTGGACAAATATGTCCAGGGTCCTCCAAGCTAACTGCTAGGTCATTACTAGAGTGAAGGTCTTTCCTCATTCAAACACAAACACAGGCCAGCAGCATCACACTGACTGACTCGAGAGAGAGAATAGACAGAGACATCCCTGCTCTTTTACTCAGGTCCCAGAACAATCAATTCCACCACTGGGAAAAATTAAAGTGGGTGTTTGTTTTCTGTAGGTGCTGGTGCTTTTTTTTTTGCATTGCACTGCAGCTTTTTAAAAATTATCACCTCTTTCCCCCTTCTCCTTCTCTTCCTCTCCCGTACCTCCTCTTCCCTCACCTTCTTCTTCACCTTCTCTCTGTGTCTCTCTTTCTATGTATGGTGGCAGATAAACAAGAGAGAGTATAATGAGGGGCATATATAGATCTATCTATCTATCTATCTGTCTGTCTATCTATCAATCTATCCTTAAAGATATATATATCTCTAAAAACTTAATTAATATATAGATGGTACCAATAGCCTTTATGTGTCAATATTGTATTTTTGATCATTTACTCATGAACTGAAATGGGTTAAAAACATGACTCTTAAAATCTGTAGAATACTCTCTTTCATGCAGGGTCCATGATGTACCTACCTATTTGATATGGTTTGGCTCTGTGTCCCCACCCAAATTTCATCTTGAATTGTACTCCCATAATTCCCACATGTTGTGGGAGGGACCCGGTGGGAGATAATTTGAATCACGGGGGCGGTTTCCCCCATATTGTTCTTGTGGTAGTGAATAAGTCTCATAAGATCTGATGGTTTTATCAGGGGTTTCTGCTTTTACATCTTCCTCATTTTCTCCTGCTACTGCCATGTAAGAACTGCCTTTTGCCTCCCACTATGATTCTGAGGCCTCCCCAGCCATTTGGAACTGTAAGTCCAATTAAACCTCTTTTACTTCCCAGTCTCGAGTATGTCTTTATCAGCAGCATGAAAACAGACTAATACACTATTCTTCTACATGGAGTATATTGATCTTTTCCATTTTCTAAAATTAAGACACAATTGGGTTTAGGATGCTTCTTTGACCTGACTGTGACCCTGCATGCTGGTTAGCCAGAGCCCGTGGTATGTGACTGTGAAAGAAAAGCTCTTAGTTTCATGTAGCAAGAGCAAGAATTGACTTAATATCAGCTACTCAGAAAAATAAATGCATCAAATAACCATCCAACTGTGCATATGGAAGATGTCCAGAAAATCCATAAAATAATAATATTATCATTGTCACTGTGACCAAGGTGGAAGAAATAAGACTGTTTTGTACCCAAATCAGACAGGTTATATAGTCTCACTTCAGTCCAAGTATGTTTTTTCCACATGATCGTTTTTCAATGCTGCATGACCATTTTTAAAGCAGCATTTACTCTGAATAAATTTGAAGACCTCTCATCATTTTAACCAGTTTTATATATGTTGACAACCTGGGTGAGAGTTGTCTATGATCAGGAGAAAGATTTGGTGGTTAAGAAAATCGCGAGGCATGTTTAGAAGGTGGAGAGGAGAAATTCAGATTCTGTGACCTGTTAGGTCTGTTTTTAATCTATTTCTGAGTCATCTACAATTTTGATGATCTTTTGGTTGTTCCCCCAAATTCATCAAGTGAGCTCACCTTTTAATTATTGTTATCCACTGAACCAAATCATTCAGAATATAGTTTTTGCATTTATTTATGTTTTTCCTTTTGTGTCCTTTTTCTTCATAGGTCTAATGAGTCATTGAGCCCTATGATACTGCAATGTATGGATGGCTCTATTTTCGCTGTATTATCTAGAAATGAAATACAATCCATGGCAGGAAGCCCAAAGAGGAGTTTGGCAGTTAGGCCTCCTTATGTCTCAGAATTGTGTCCTGAGAAACATAACTGAGAAAATGGCTTCTGGACACCCCAGGACACTTGAGACTCTCAAAGAGACCAGGCATAAACAGCCCCAACAAAAGACTTTCCTTCTCACTAATTTGATGTTTGTGTCAGCTGAAAACCAAAAGACTGTGAGGCAACGCTCAAATGAAGACAAGGCACAACATAAAACATAAAGAATAAATGAAGACAAAGTCCATCAGAAAACCCTGAAGAATTTGGTACTCCTGAGCGCTCATATTGAGTAGTTTGGGAAGCTTGAGTTGTAAATTTAGGTCAACATTTGTTGATGGCTATATATATATATATATATGTATATATCCTTTACCTATGAACTCTTATGGGTTGAAAACATGACTCGGCTAGGAGTGGTGGCTCACGCCTGTAATCCTAGCAGTTTGGGAAGCAGAGGCGGGCGGATTGCCTGAGCTCAGGAGTTTGAGACCAGCCTGGGCAACATGGTGAAACCTTGTCTCTACTAAAATACAAAATATTAGCCAGGTGTGTTGGCACGTGCCTGTAATCCCAGGTACTCGGAAGACTGAGGCAGGAGAATAGCTTGAATCCAGGAGCGGAGGTTGCAGTGTGCCGAGATTGTGCCACTGCACTTCAGCCTGGGTAACGGAGTGAGACTCTGTTCAAAGCCAACAACAACAACAACAACAACAAAAACATAACTCTTAAAAGGTGTATAATTCTGTCTTCATTATTTACCTACATAGATATACTTTTTGCTGATAAGAGAAAACATACACATTTATTCCTAGGGGTGAATCTCTTCCTTCCCCTGATCCCCTGCTACTTCTCGAATTAAAATTCAAGGAATATTGTGTGGGCTTTTATGAGTGACAGTAGATGCAATGTGCAATAATTCATTTGCAAAATTATAAAAACACTACCCAAATCGACATCTGTGTGATAACGTTCTCTAGAGAAGACAAAGATATAACATCAAATTGCCTCTCAATGAGTGTATTCGCGAAGGCCCAAGAAGTGTGTATCTGTAATGCCCTGATAAACTGTTGACTTCAAAAGGACTGTGTGCAGTTTGCTCTCAAGCATCAACTATCTGAAGTAAAGCACTTGGCCTTTTTCAGAGTCTCCAGATATTTATATCGATCCAAGAACCACATTTACTTTGCAACAATAGTCCTGAATCTTGCTGCTGTTTGGGACCTTTCCCTATCTGGTATTTGGGAAAGCAGTTTGCCAGGGAGGAAGGAGAATGACGGAGTAGACATTGAGTACCTCTCTCTGTTTTCATATCCCCTATCGAGAGGCTCAATATAAAGAGTTAGAGGGGTGACTTATTCCTGACAACTGCATATGATTGCAGGAGGACCTTCCTTCCTTCCTCTGAGGCTACCCTACCTTATTCCATTTGATAGTCTCTGTCAGTGCTAGAAGATTAATGACAGTCACCCAAAAGCTTCCCCTGTCTCTGAACGCAGAACATAATTAGTACATTATCATCATCATCATCATCATCATCATCTTCATCACCATCATCAGATAAGAGTTTCTGGTACCATCAGCAGCATAGCAATACATCCTTGTCCTTTTCTGATACACTGAAAAAATCAAAATGAAATGATTCATACCTCACACTCCATTTCAGCATGGCCACTGGAGCCCACATAGCATTAACCTCAAGAACAATGACAGAAATGTCCTTATGCAAAGCACATCTCACTCTCTGTAACAGTTCAAACTCCATAAATGTCAGCAAACTGCCTTCTGGGAAGAATGGATAAAAAAGGCTAAATTGCTACAAATCTATGCCCCCAAAAGAGGCAATAGGAAATCATTTTACAATAGCCGAGTGCACAAAATATAATACTGTAAAATACGGAGCTGGAAATCACAAATTGGAAATAAAAATGGGGACCTCAACCCCTGCAGAAAGAGAGATAATCAACTACTATATAATGACTAAGAAAAAAGGGGAGAAGAACTACAATTTACAATAATAATAACCATTATTCTGAAGTGAAGTTGGAAAGATAATCTTTACAATATGGAGAGAAAGATGGAATTAAACCGATGTTACAAAATGATTTGTTCGTATCTGAAGAGGCAGTGTGAGTGAATCATGTTCACACAAACACGTTATTTTCCCATGTCAATAGAGCTATTGCATATGAATTTTCAATTTCATTCATTTGTTCAAAACATGATTTCATAATTTTAAACAAAGAGGCAATTTTAGCAAAGCAGGATATGAAACATGCCTAGGATAAGGACCCTTTTTGAGAAAGACCTCACGCTTTGTCCTATTCAATAATGATGTTTTAGACTCATGGTCTCTCATGAATGACTCTTTGTAGGGGGTAGGGAGATGGATGATCATTCAGGTTAGAATTGTTAGCTCTGATACTGGCAATAATTTCGGGTTGGGTTTTGTAATACGTTCCATCATTTATATCGTTTACTTCTTTTGGAAGAGCATTTTCCTCGATAATCGACTCACACCCTGCATCTCATCCAGCAGCAAGTTTTCTTCTGTGTCTTACAAATGTGCTATGAATCTGATGGCTTTGGCCCATGTCTGCTTTCACCTCTTGTCTGAGCTCCCAGGTCGTTCTGCTTTTCTCACGTTACCCCTTCACACCACCTTCCACTTGGTAACCAGAATGGTCCTATAAAATTGTAAATCAGGCCTTCTTACTGAGAGGCTACTAACCTGTCCATCGCTCTCCATCCAAATATAATTAAACCCATCTTTTCCCCATGGCACATCACTTTTATCTCTTTGAGTTTTCCTCTTACAACTCTCTCTCCTCCTGTTCATTATGCCGTGAACACACCACACCTTTCTAGAGCCTTTATCTCAGCACCTTGCCAGTTCTTAGTTGCACTGCCAGAAATACATACTCCTCACATTTATTTTTCATGGTAGGTTCCTTCTCGCCACTCAATTTTCAGCTCACTTGTTGCATCCACCAACTTATGCCGCCGTACCTGCCCCCAACTTACCCGTTGGCCTGTTACTCTCTCCTTTTCTTCATAGAGGCTCATCTCATCCAATGTCATCTTCTGTTCCATTATCTTCTTTCATTTTCTTCATTGTTCCTAATTTTAACCGATAACAGCTGTTTTTTTGTGTTATGTACCATCTGTCTCACATCAATTTAAGTATCAGCTCCAGAAGACAAAAAGCCTTGTGGTTTTGTTTATTATTCTCTTTTTAGCACCTAAAACCACTCAGAACCCAGAATGCAATCTTTAAGTGTTTGCTGAGTTAATGAATGACTCCATTCCTTGGTGTTTTCAGGAAACAGGACAATAGACAGGCAGCCAAGCTAGGATCTGGGAGTTGATGCCCTGAAGTTGCTCCAGTGTTATCTGTCCCTTCCTGGCATTGCTATTAGAGGCTTCTCTGAAGTGGCTACTGCGGCCAGCAGCACACTCCCCAGGCCCTTCAGGCTGGCCCCAGCTAACTTGCTAGCAGTTCCCATTAGCCATCCTGAGCCAGCACCAACATTTACTCACTCACCACTCAGAACCTGTGAGTGGTCATTTATTTGCGTTGTTTTTTTTTTTTTTTTTACCCAGTCCTCTGTGAAGCAATGACTATGGCCATGTGGATGAGATAACAACAGCAAAGGTGATGCCTCCATGAAGACACATCAAATACCGCATTGCCCAAGTGTGGCTATCAAGAAATAGTTCTGGCGAGCTGCAAGGCCTCTCTTCTTTCTTTTCGATGTTGCCAGGAGGATGGCGTCCTTGGTGGTGGTAGGTATGACTCTTGGTACATGGTGGTATGTGTGAGTGAAGGTGTGTGTGAGTGTGTGTATGACCCTGTCTGTGTATGCATGTGAGTGAATTTGTGTGAGTACGTGCATGACTCTGTGTGTGTGGGTGGGAGGAGGGCTTTGCTGCTGATGGAAGAGAGCCTGAGAGCACACGGGACAGGTAGGTGAACTGCGCTTTCATTCCTGCTTGCCACTCAAGCATTGCTCTCCTTCATATGGGAGCTAACAGGACACTTTGTTACTGATCGGAGATGGTTCACAAGTGAAAAATTGGTTT
This sequence comes from Homo sapiens, assembly GCF_000001405.40. Taxonomy (NCBI): domain Eukaryota; kingdom Metazoa; phylum Chordata; class Mammalia; order Primates; family Hominidae; genus Homo; species Homo sapiens. The sequence goes on along the minus strand of NC_000023.11, from coordinate 7,833,616 downwards.
CCGCCCAAAAAATGTTTATAGTCATGCACTGATTAATGATGAGGATACATTCTGAGAAATGTGAGACTGGGCAATTTTGTCATTGTACAAACATTACAGAGTGTGCTTGCACAAACCTAGATGGTACAGTCGATCACTCACCTAGGCTATATGGTATAGGCTATTGCTCCTAGGCTACAAACCTGAACAGCATGGTACTGTACTGAATACTGAAGGCAATTATCACACAATGGTATTTTCATATCTAAACATAGAAAAAGTAATGTGTTGTGCTACAATATTTGTAGATGATAGAATATTTTCAGCTCCCTTATAATCTTATAGGACTACCATTTTATATGTGGTCCATCATTGATCAAAATGCCATTATGCTGTGCATGACTATACTTTTGTTTTTCGTTTCATTCATAACAATACAACACCAACAATTATAATGATAAATATCTATTTTCTGCTTACTTTTGCCAAGCACTTTTCTAGGAAGGTTACACATGTTAATTTACTTAATTCTCGTAGCACCCATGGATTAGATATTTTTCTCATCGTTAGTGTTTTGTCGATGGAACAATGGAAGAACAAAAGTAATTTTGCAATGTGTACATTGGCAAAATTGATATGCGTGGAAATATGACTTGCAGGACTGATTTTATAGCACACACTTTGGGATAAACCTTTGTCTTCCCACAGTTATAGAGAAAGAAGAAGAGCACTTGATATGAGTTCAATGGCATAAATGGCCGTTGACCTAGCTGACAAAAAAGAACAACTCTTGCCCCTTATTAGGGTATCACTTTCAGCCTCTCTAACGCTCAATTTTCTCACTATAAAATGAGATTAGCACCTGCCTCACATTGAGGAAATTAAATGGGCAAATGTATGTGGGAAGACATTTTAAACTGCAAGCACTATATTAACATGATATATTTAAGGCACACCGTCAACCAACAATTGCCTGGGTCCTTTAGCTATTTCCATGTAATTCACCAGTGTAGGTTTGTAGAGGAATATGACAATTGAAGAGCACCTTAACTCCAGGCCACTGTAATGACATTAATCAAGAAGCTACCTAATGTGCTATTTTAGGTCATAAAAACTACACTATATTGTATCACAGGGTGTTCCAGAATTCTCTGATCGTCATCTCTAAAGATACACTCATGCAACTACACGTAATGGAAACGTTTACTTCCACTCCTGTCCCTTCAATTATGATAATGTCCTCTGTAAACTTCTCCTGCATATATTAGCTAATATATTTTCTAATATCCATTTCAGCCCCTTGGAGAAACTCCTCTTAGGATCCTTTCAAGCATCCTAAGCCTCCGAGACTTCTTGGCTTCTTGTATTTCATTTGATGCATTGTTCCTCCTTTATAATTTTTAATTTTCTTCGCCTAGACACTGCCTTCACATAATCATCTTTCATGTTTCTGAATACTCCTTCCATTCTGATGGTTCTTCTTTCTCTTACCTCAGTAACTATGGACCTCCTTAACACTTTGACCTAAGGAGCTCACTTATCCACTCTTGCATGTCTCTTTTCAGAGATCTAATTAGTTTTTACGATGTGCTGTGGGTGGTTCTAGGCAAAATTACATCAGTGACATTTTACATCTTCTCCCTCACCTCTCTGCCTTTCCTCAGTGTTGCCCAATTGCCTGTTTCTCTGATGCTCTTGTAAAGTTCCAAGTGTCTCAGGGCCCCCTTCCTGTACAACATGCAGGATTTTCTGGTAATTTTTGGTCAAATTCCATCATCAAATCTTAGCAGTTCTGAGCTTACTGCATTGTCAGGGGGTAACAACAAAACTAACGAAATCAAGGTTTTACAACATTTTTATTTTGACCAAGCTTGCTCCTGCCTACTTTTAAAGAAGTAGATAAATTCTGAACAAGAGAAGAAAGAGAGTGAGAAGAAGGAGCGGAAGGAGAATAAAGAGAAGGAGAAGGAGAAGGAAGAGGCAGAACTAAGTAGAAATCTGGGAGGGTTTTGGTAGCTTCGGGTTGCATCACAGGGATAGATGCTCAATCACTTAGAGCACTTAAGAGATTGCCTTGAATGTTTATAACAGGGTAGAAAGTTCTTGTCCAGGAGGAGATCCAAAGTCTCACCAGGCATAAGACCTGGTACCAGAGGTTTTGTCTAATCTAATCTTTCTTTGAAAGGACTACTCTGATTTATTTGTATGTTTTAATAACTTCAAAAAAATGTAATGAGCATTTCTTTTTCATTTTATGCCTCGCCCCTACTTTTTTCTTTCTTTCTTTCATTTTTTTTTTTTTTTTGAGACAGAGTATTGCTCTGTTGCCAAGGCTAGAGTTCAGTGGCACGATCATAGCTCACTGCAGCCTTGGACTCCTGGGCTCAAGTGATCCTTCCACCTCAGCCTCCTGAGTATGTGGGACCACAGGTGTGCATCACCATGCCTGATTAACTTTTTAAGTTTTTTTGGAGAGATGGGTTCTCCCTATGTGGCCCAGGCTCATCTCAAACTCCTGGGCTCAAGCAATTTGCCCACCTCAGCCTCCCAAAGTGCTGGGATTACAGTCATGAGCCACCATGCCCAGCCTTCTTCCCTCTTTTGCACACTATGAACCATTTATTAATCCATCCATCTATCCATCCATCCATCCATCCATCCATCCATCATTCTATATATTCACTTAACCTCATTCATTTGTTTAATAAATATTAATCGAGTACTTTTTCAGGCCAGATACTGTGCCATGTTGCAGGAGCAGACCCAGTCCTTACTTACTGTTTAGCAGGAGAGAAAGGCATCGCATTCAGACGTTCCAATAAACCCAGAGGTATTCACATAGAACCCGAATAACACTTTATAACCTCTACTCCCCTGTTCACTTCACCTCTGCACACAAAACAAAGTTCTCAGTAACAATCCATTGCCCTTTCATCCAGCATTGCTCTCTCTCTCACTAAGAAAGTTGTCACAATAGTAAAGTGAAGTCGTGGGCACGGGAAAGGAAACAGATAATTCATTTATTGTCAATCATAAATAGAGCCTGGCAAAGTGGTCTCCTTGCTGAACAGGCTTTAAAGGCAACATCGACCCCCATTTTCACCTAAAACCATGTAAAAAGCTGCAGTCCTACCCTGACCCCTGAACCAACTCTGGCAGGGTCCAAACTAATATCCCAATGTCTAGGACACCCTTGGGGACTCAAGCCTCATGTCCACAGCAGCCTTCAATCTGCAACTTTGCATTTAGCAATTGACTTGGTTTGCCCACAGACATCCTGATGTCCATACCAAAAATATTAGGCTGATGGTTTGTATGCTTTATTTACAAACCACCCCGTGTTCCTTCAGCCAAGGCACACTGACCTCCTGGCAGTCCCATCCACCAGAAAACACCCTCAGTTTTGTGTTTTCCCTGTTCCTTCTGCAGTACATATATATAGCCCATAAACTGACATTGGAATTCCTAGTCTACTTTGCATGTAAATTCTTGAACATCCAAAGCGGCTTTTTCATTTTATATGCAATGAATCAGTAATAAAAGCCAACTTCATTAATTCATTCACTGTATTCCTCCAGAGGGAAATGCAAGTAATAAAAATCATGTTAGGACAAGCATATTATGTGTACTTCTCTGCTCTGAGGTACTATGCTTTTATTTGATTTATGATGAGCCTCAGACTATACAAATAGATAAATAGTTCATAGGAATTAATTCTCTTGTTGGTAAAATATTATTTTATTAAGTTTTATTGGATTTTAAACATTGTGCAGTTAACCAAAGGTGTATTAGACTTTCCCAAGTGGATGTTTTCTGTTTGATAAGTGAATTAAAGTTCAAAATATTAGATAACTTTAAAATACTTTTGAGTGCAAAAGTATTGAGTGCAAAATTTTATTGATTTAAATGGCAAGTTTTTAAATGACTTATTATGTAGAAGGTATTGCTCATTGAAATATCACCATCTAGCCATAAAAATTCTAGTTTTAAATGTTAAAAGAGAAGGTGGACTGTAGTATAAATTAATTTAATCCTTTAGAGTCCATACAAATATTGGAAATAGCCTCCTGGTGGAACACAAATCTTTTAAAAAAATCACACACACACAGATATATATTTGTACTATATGTATGATTGTATGTACCGCATATATGTGTATACACATACTACTGAAAAAATCATATGTATGTATATATATTTGTACTATAGATATGATTTTTAGTTATATATGTACACACACGTTTGCATGCACACATAAATACATGTACATATGTAAACACAGATACGCCCACACCTACATATGGAAGCATTTGAACCACTGAACCTTGTACTATATACAGAATGCTATGTCACATTATTTATTTATTTTTGAGACAGAGGCTGGCTCTGTCACCCAGTCTGGAGCGCATTGGTGTGATCTTGGCTCAGTGCAACTTCTGCCTCCCAGGCTCAAGCGATTCTCCTGCCTCAGCCTCCCGAGTCGCTGGGATTACAGGCACATGCTACCACGCCAGGCTAAATTTTGCATATTTGCTAGAGATGAGGATTTTGCCATGTTGCCCAGGCTGGTCTCGAACTCCTCGACTCAAGCGATCTGCCCACCTTGGCCTCCCAGAATGCTGGGATTACAGGTGTGAGCCACCATGCCTGGCCCTATGTCACATATATTTAAATATAATTTTATACAAATTGACAAATATTCAATATAAGCATATTAAATATGTTAATCCTCAAAATAGGTATTAGAATGAATTAATGAAAATATGGCCAGATGCCTTACTCTGGGGCAAAGAACAAATGTTCTAATGAGAAGAAGACAGGAGATAGGTCAATAGGGGGAGCTGTAACAATGCCTGGTCATGCACATCTGACAACGCTTGGTCATGCACATCTAACAGTATACGATTAAGAACCATGGATTATCTTTGGCTTGGTGTTTTCAACACAAGTCTTGAGTAGGAAAACAAATTGGGAAATGGTGTGCTATATTTTCTTCCCTAGATTTCCAAAATAAAGCTGTTTATTCACATGCACTTTTTTTCCATTGCTTATGTTTCCATGGGTTAAAAAAAATGTTTTCATCGAACACTACTTGAGATATGATTAGGTAAAAAATTGCCTAGCAGTTTTTAGATAATCAGGAATAAAAAATAAACTCTTGAAACAAGTATTTGGATTCTTGTTCATTTTAAGCCTGCTGCCATTGATAAGCCACCATCTCAATTATGAAATGCATTTTTGGAACTCAGCAATGCTATCATAATATTAGAACATGTTATTAGACAGCACGTGGAAGGGTGGTGGATCATTAAAAAAAGCCAAATTAAAGTCTTTCTTGATTGACGCATACAAGGAGCGCATGAAATACTCTTAATTTAAAAAGAAAGGAATTTAGAATAAAATAATCAAATAATGCTTCTAGAGTTAACCTGAACTTGTGGCAAAAGCAAGGTTTGGATTTGCATTTCTATTCTCCTGCTTCAACCAATTATTTCTTCCTATAGGATGTAGAAAGCAATACTGTCCCTAAACTGTCATGGAGAAGATTTCAGCAATTTTAATTGAGATAATATTTTTAAAGGTGTTAATACACAGTAGAAACTCAATCACTTTCTATTCTTTTCTTGCATGAAAACTGTGAATATCAACATTAGGTTTAGTATGCATATGATCTTCAAAGCCTCATTGGAGAGGGGCAATAGGGTTGTGCATATATATACTACCACTTTGATCTTCTTCTCCAAGGTGCAAACTGAGTCTGTGAGATTTTAAGAGATTTTTCTTGCATCCTCAGTGCTCCAACTTGGCCAGAACTCCTGGCCCCAAGATCTAATACTCACATCTCAGTGTTCTCCAGGAAAGACTAGAGCTTGGTAGTCCAGGCAGCCTAAGAAGTTCCTGCATAAAGTTAAGAAGTCCCCCATGGCTCAGTATCACAAAGATAAGATCCTGCCTGGTGTACTCAGAATCAAATATACCCTCCTCAATCTTATGTCAGCACTTTTAAAGTTGCAACTGACAGCCAATGGTATTCAAACTTTAAGATACCAAATAATCAGCCCAAGTGCTTGTTAATAATAAGATTGCCAGAAGTAGTCACTGGAAGCTTCCCTTTAAATAAGGTTGCCAGGTGATGCTGATGCCTATATCCTAAGGGCACCATCTTGAAAACCACAGAGAGGTAGCTGTCTATGGAGGATATCTGCCAACACCCAGAAGTACTTTTGGTTTAAAATTGATGTCTCTCACCGTTTGGATTCAACGAAGTCTTCTTTCTCTATTAAACAATTCTTTTGGTTAAAAAAGAGACCTATATATTGGTTAAAGAAAAATGATTTATGCCTACATATTTAGAGGCAGAGATTATATAGAAATATGCCATCAGTATAGAATATGTCCATTAATTGCATTAATTTCTGTAAATAACATTATTCCAGGTTTGCTTCCCTAATCACCTTATACAAAGTTGCCCACATTCTCCTTTTACTCTCTTTCAATCTGAAATACATAACTTTTTCTTCATAGAGTTTAACCCCATTTAAAGAAATAATCTTTTGAAATATAATTTTGCTTGATAATTCTCTGCCCCTCACTGCAATCGAATGTAAGTTATATAGTATTTATCGACTTTAGAGCAGTCTTTTAAAAATCAGAAAGGTTCAATGAATATTGAATAAATTTGAGGAAGGAAGGAGGGAGGGAAAGAAAGAAGGAAAGAAGAGAGAGAGAAAGAAAAGAAGAGAAAGAAAGAAAGAAAGAAAGAAAGAAAGAAAGAAAGAAAGAAAGAAAGAAAGAAGAAAGAAAGAAAGGAGAAATAGCTGAGTTATATGGTCACTATGCTTAACTTTATGACAAATTTCCAGGACTTTTCCCAAGTTAGACTCCCACAAGTGGTGAGTAAGCATTCATATTTTTGACAACACTTGAAATTGTCAGAATTTTCCACTTAAACCAGACTAGTGGGTACAGAGTGGAGTTGCATTGTGATATAATTGACATTTCCCTGATAACTAATGATGTTGAGCAACATTCCGTGTCATTATTGGCCATTTACATTTCTTCTTACGTAATGTGTCTTTTGCTATCTTTAATTGGCTTTTTTGATCTGTATTGTTGAGTTATCAGAGTTCTTTATATATATTGAATTCCATTACATTATTAGATTAGATTGCTAATGTTTTCTTCCATCCTGTGTCTGACATTTTTTTGTGTATTTGTGTATTCCAGAGAAAAGTTTTAACATGGATGAAGTCTAGTTTATCAATTCTTTACTTTTATAGTTTATAGTTTTATGTCTTATCCCTATGGTTGCTGATTTTTCTCTTATGATTTATTCCAGAAATGTTACTGTGTTAGCTTTTGTGTATAGGCCAATGAATTTATTTTGTGTTAATGTATTTGTAGTGAGATAAGGATTGAGTTCCCAATACACACACACAAAACAAACATGTCCTTTAAAAATACTACAAGAAATAACTCTACTTTGCTCATAAATTTTCTAAGCTTTATGTTCCCGTGCTGTGTGAGTATATAACTTCCACTTAAATACATGTGTATATGTGATAAATAAATTTGAAATGCACGAGTTCATCCTTTCAAGGAACAGTTCAAATGCTGCCCTCTTCATGTGGGTTCCTTTTTTATTGATGCAACCCTTCCCTGCCTGTCCACGTAGCATCCACACATGGCAGTGCCTCTCCATTTCTCCTGTCCAACATCCAGATCACTCCCAAACCCTGCCAGTTGACCAAGCTCAACCACTTCTCACCAATTCTACAACCTTTGTCTTCCACCTGGACTACTGGGATACGGTTAATTCTGCTTATTGGAGGTAGTTGTGCTCTAAGAGGTCATCACAAACACTGAATATGGAACCATTTCTTCTTGGAAAATTCAGGGTTAGGTTCCCGTGAGCTCCAGTTTCATTTTCATCAACCAACCAATATATAACTTTGTTTTGGGTGTGTTTTCGTACAAACATACTTTACTGGATATATATTGTTGATTCACTAACATTGAACTGACACCCAACTGCACTGTCATGCATGCATAAATGAAGCATATCTAAGACATGTATTTTCTCTGTAAGGCAGGCACATCACAACTGCCTTGTGTTTGGGAACACTAGGCAGCACTTCAGCACTGCATTTTTGGGCCATTGTAAACAGCAAAAGCACCAACAAAAAGCACAAAAATACAAACAATATAGCCCTAGATAGACCACGAAAAGAATAGTTATTTACAGTATGAGAACTGAAACAAGAAGGCAGAGTGTCTCCTTACTCAACCTCAGCTGGGAATGTACTAGAATATTTCACCACTCTGCACATGTCCACAAAAGCACAGGGAGTATTCACTTGGGGGTTACAAATAAACGTAGCAACTAGATGGATTTACAAATACAGAATCTGCAGATAATGAAGATCAACTGCAGTGTTCTAACTGGGTCTCCCTGTTCCGATTCTCACCCAAGCACCACTCAGCAGTCAAAGTGATTTATACTCAATCCACATGAATGATTACTAGACTCTTCTGCTTGACACCTGCCAGTAGCTTCCCGTAGCAATCAGGGTAATAAAATTGAAGGCCCTTTTACTACATCTGAATAAATGGTTTCAGACTCTGGCACACATGTGTCCCACAAAGACTCACCTGGGATATTTCTCCAAAAGATCTCCCTCTCATTACTTCCCCCTTGTTGGTCACGTTCTGACTTTCTGTTTCTCCAAGTCCCTCAAATGTCTTTGCATTTGCTCTTTCCCCATTCTCTCCTCATGTATTGCCATGGCCAACCACCTTTCTCCATAAGATCTCAGCTTAAATGCCATCTTATTAAAGAAAAATTCGGCCATAGTCTATTATCAGGGAAGAAATATACTTTTTCTCATCCTCCATAAGCTCAGTTGGGATGAACTCCTGTAACAAAAGGCAAGTCAACAGAAGGAAAAAGGAAGCTGATTCGCCTGTGCTGTTCACATCATACAGGAGAAATCTCAGTGAAAGGTAGCTCAAGGCAGTGGATTAGAAATCTGGCTTACAGGATATATTCCACCAAGAACAATGCATGTGTAGAGAAATGGTAAGACAAAGGAAAGTGGTTTCAGCTACCAAGGGACAGCAATGGTGGGAAGGTAAATATATTGTAAGAAACTTAATGGAGTAAGTTTTGTTTGCAGATCTCTCTGATGCCATCTCTGGGCTGATAAGAGTTTAGAGTCATCTCCAGTAAAGGAGAATCTATATTTTGCCTTTAGGCAGAAAAGCAGGAGGACAGGGCCAGCATTTCCTTCATTTTATGCTTTCTAATTACTTTTGGCTCATAAATAATTTCTATGTTAAAGAGGCATCTTTTGTGGGACAGATCCTGGTTTCCCTCACTGTCTATGGTCACAATTCCTCTCAACTCTGTGCCCTGGCTGTGTTCTGCACTTTTCTTGATCTGAAAGGGTCTTGTGTGTTTGCTTGTCTACTGGTTATTGATGTGCACAGGGATATAGAATTTCTGACAGCAGGATCCTTGTCTACTTTCATCCCTGCTGCATTTATAGCATGAAGAGCAATGTTCCTGGGACTCAGTAGCATGCCTTACACATGCATTGAATGAATAACTTGCAGAGTACTCCTGTGTACTATTTTTATGGTACTAATTTATGTATTTGTCCCCATTTTCTCCCATTATAATGTAAGCTCCTGAATAGCAGCAGTGACTTAGGCTCTGGCTTCACAAGAAGATATTTCTTAATAAATATCCCCTCCTTACTGTGTAATGTGGGGACGGCAGGATATGGGTAGCAATGAAGCCACACATTTGAATAGCTTTGGTATGTTATAAGCTAAAAATAAGTTTATCAAATAAATGGTTTCAGATTCTGGCACACAAGTGTTTTAGTTGTGTTTTGCTTCATAACAAATGATACTTAGTGGCTGAAATCAACAGCAGTCTTTTTTTTTTCCCTACAAATCTGCAATTTGGGCAGGTCTCTGTGGGCACAGCTTGTCTCTGTTCCATGCGACAGCTGGCTTGCTGGAAGGATAGCTGGGGGCTCCATCATCGCGAGTCTGACGACTCACATGTCTGGGGATTTTGTTGCCTGTCCCTGAGACTTCAGCTGAGGCTGCTGGCAGGGGACTTGATGTGGGACCTATCTATATGGCTGCTTGGCTTCTCCAAAGCATGGTGCCTGCATCCCTAGGGGAGAATGCCACAAACACTGGGAAGAAGCCGTATGATCTTTGAGTACCTCGTGTTGGGAGACTTTCAGCATCACCTCCTTCTTAGACACATTGTAGGTACACCCAGAATCCAGGGAAGGAAGCATTAACCCTACCTACTCATGGGAGGGCCATCAAAGACATTACACCTCCATGTATAGCAAGACAGTTCGTGTCCATCTATCACATTCGAATGGATCGAATCTGGGGCAAAATGGTGTTACATGAATGCCTTTATTCTTTCATTTGCTCCTCCATAGTACGCATGTGAGCATGTGTATGCATGTATGTGTGTGCATATGTGCGTGTGTTTCACTCATGGAAGCAGCAGGGAGCAGAGAAAATAATTTTTTTTTAAAAATTGAATTCCCTTGGACCAATGAGTTTTTTAGAGCAAAGCGGAGGAGTAAAATGTAATTAATTGCAGAATCGAATCTCAAAATAGAATAGAGCCCCAATAAGTAATAAATTTTCCCCAAGTCAGTTTTCTAGAAAAGTATACCAAAACATTGGTCATTGTAAGCAGTTCCCAGTGATTATTTTTGATATTCAAATCTGTAATTACAAGCCAAATACTGCCAGTTCCAGCAACAACCTTGCCCTTTTGCTATTATGTCTGCAGTGGAACAGAATGCCAATGGGATTGCATCCTTTTGCTCCCATCTCAATAGGAGACATTGATCTATTTTAGTAAACTTTTTGTGTGTGTGTGTGTGTGTGTGTGTGTGTGTAGCTCATAATACTCACCCTTTGATGTCTATCTCTTCCCCATCTGTATTGCAAATTGCCTTAGGCATTCTTTCAATGAATACTTTTGAGCTACTCTGTGTCAGGAACTATATCAGGGTTTGGAGATACTGAGATATTAGCCATGGTATCTACCCTCAAGTGCTTTCCAGTGCAGTAGATAAGAGAGACAACTGACTCCAAATCTTATAGTCCATTTTGAAAGGAAGATAACATTTTGTAAAACTCCCAAGGAGTTTAACTAACTTAATAGTGTCAGTTCCTTCACGGGGTCTGCATACATGCTATGAAACCTCAGAAGCTCACTCAGACTTAAAATAGCCCAGTCAGTGTGAAACTTTTAAGGCAGATTATTCCCTCTCAAAGTGGAATCATTACAATTCATATGTGGATATACAAATAGGTATTTATAGTGCATATATAAATGCCAATGTAGAATAATCAAAACTCAACAAATATACATTGATATACATTTATGTATATATAATAAAACACGTGAAGAAATTGGTAGAATTGGCCAATGTCTATTCTCCTAACACTCTCTTCTTGTCAGAGAAGAATGTATTACATCTGCAGGTGAATGTTTCCATGAAAATTTAGGTGGATGGATATTTGGCTAAAGTTTAGGAGCTCTTATGCTGTTATGCTTTGATAAACCACCACCAAACTTCTAAATGAGCAGCCACCTTACTCACTAATTGAATATTTTAACTTTTTTTCCTGTAGAGCTAGTGTTTCATTATATTTTCCATTTTCTGTCTTGCTTTTCATGCATTTAAAGTGCTGGAGCAGCTGTTTATTTGGAAAGGTTCCATTATGGCCATAATAATCTCCAACTAATTGCACATCAAATATTTATTTCTTGCACATTAAATTAATGAAGCAGTTTCAACAAGAGAAAAATTGGATCAGGATGGCAAACAGTGCCTATAAATTCATGAAAGATTCCCAGTTCTTTTTTGGCAGGATTCCTTTAATACAGATTAACAGTTTTTAAATGGAATATTTTTTTGCTATCTAGTTGTGACTTTGAACATATCCAAGCTTTACTGTGTAAAGTGCTTTTCTCGATTTGCTCTGGATATATCGTATTATAATTTTCAGAAATAAAAGCTAAATCAAACTATCAATTTTTAAATAAATTATTTGCATCTTTTTTTGCCTTAGATTTTATATAAATTTTTCCTGATTTCACTTTTTTTTTTTTTTTTTGGAGACAGAGTCTCACTCTGTTGCTCAGGCACGAGTGCAATGGCATGATCTCGGCTCACTGCGACCTCCGCCTCCTGGGTTCAAGGGATTCTTATGCCTCAGCCTCCTGAGTAGCTAGAACTACAGGCACATGGCACCACACCTGGCTAATTTTTGTATTTTTAGTAGAGATGTGGTTTCGCCACGTTGGTCAGGCTGCCCCCGGACTCCTGGCCTCAAGTGATCCTCCCACCTTGGCCTCCCTAAGTGCTGGGATTACAGGCATGAGCCACCATGCCTGGCATAATTCTATGTTTTATACTATAATTTTTTCAGTGGGTGGACTTTAACTTATTTTCTATTTTATTTTAGTTTTTATTTTTTAACAGCTTTATTGAAGTATAATTGATATACACATAATTTCACGTATTTAATCTGTATAATCTGATGAGTTTGGACATTTGCAAATAACTGTGATACAGTCACCACAATCAAGGTAATAAACTGATATGGTTTGGCTGTGTCCCCACCCAAATCTCATCTTGAATTGTAGCTCCCATAATTCCCACGTGTTGTGGGAGGGACCTGGTGAGAGATAATTGAATCATGGGGGAGGTTTCCCCATACTGTTCTCGTGGTAGTGAATAAGTCTCATGAGTCTGATGGTTTTATAAAGGGAAACCCCTTTCCCTTGGTTCTCATTCTCACTTGCATGCCACCATGTAAGACATGCCTTTCACCTTCCAACGTGATTATGAGGCCTCTCCAGCCATGTGGAACTGAGTCCATTAAACCTCTTTTTCTTTATAAATTACCCAGTCTCAGGTATGTCTTTTTCAGCAGCATGAAAACGGACTAATACATAGACAAATTGAACATGTTCCAAAGTTTCCTTCTGTTGATTGACAGATTGATTAATTTTGTGGTAAGAGCACTTAACATGAGATCTCCCCTCTAAACGAATTTTGAAGTGTAGAATACCACATTGTTAACTATAGGCATCATTGATGTGCAGATCTCTAGACCTTATTATCTAGCATAACTGAAACTTTATACCCATTGAACATGTTTCCCACTCCAGCTCCTAGCAACCCCTGAGTAGCTTCCATCAGTGTCACTATTTTAGATGCCTCATCTAAGTGGAATCATGAATTATTTGTCCTTCTGTGACAGGCTTATTTCACTTCCAAAGCAGATATACAAATGGCCAACAGGCACATTAAAATATGCTCCACATCACTAATCCTTAGACAAATGCAAATCAAACTATAAAGAGATATCACCTCACACTTGTTAGGTTGGCTATTATAAAAAAAATGATAGCAAGTGTTGGTGAGGATATGAAAAAACTGAAACCCTTGTGCACTGTTGGTGGGAATGTAAGATGGTATGGCCATTATGGAAAACCATATGGAGGTTCCTCAAAAAATCAAAAATGGAACTAACATATGATCTAGGAATCCCACTTCTGAGTATATATCTAAAATAACTGAAACCAGGATCTTGAAGAGCTATCTGCAGTCCCATCTTCATAGCAGTATTATTCATAATAGCCACAATGTAAAAACAGCCCAAGTGTCCAACAATGGATAAAGGGATTTAAAAAATGTAATCTATACACCCAATGGAATATTATTCTGCTACGAAAATCCTGCCACTTGTGACAATATGGATGAACCTGGAGGACATTATGCTAAGTCAATGAGTGAGCTTTTAAAGCTTTGCTAATTAAAAGTAGCAGGTGGCTAATGATTTATTCTGAACATTTATTCTGAAAACTAATTTGTACTTTCAACTTACATTTTTTTCTGTTGATACGGTCTCTGAAAGATCTCTGATACTATTTTCTCTTAGTCCTATTGCTGGTGTGTGTAAAATAACTAATTGTTTTAGGAAACAGTTTCAGAAAAGAATTTCTCTAGGCAGTTGGTCTGTCAATGTTAAGGATAATGTCTATGGGTTTCTTTCATTGGAATAAATTATGTTACAATTTTACAACAGGGAAAACTTGCACGGTTGTCACCAACAATTCTTGAATACTTACAATTCTTGGTAAAGAATACAGTTCCTACACAAGGCTAATGGTCGACCACTGAGTTGGTATGAGCCAATAATTATCCTTTTTTGTATAACCCTTTTGAGTAGGGTTTTGGCTTCAGTTACTTATGAATGCAACATAACTTACATTTGTTTGCAGAAAAGTCCTTTTGAGGTCGTTGTGATCTCCCTGTGTCGTTTCCTTAAAACAGCAAGTTACCAGTAACTTGTCCTCTAGGTGGGGCAGGATGGGTTTGTCTTTCCTCACTTCCACCCATTACCCTTTATTGCACATGGTCTTTAATAGAGGAAAATAAGATGCGTCACATATATGCTCTGAAAAGCACTCAATACAGCAATATTTATTTTCTATATATTTTACTCAAAATAATCTGATGTGTCTAAATTTCTTTTAGAGACTCACAGATTCGGATTCTACCCCTTTCTCTTCAATGCATGGCTAGGACCAAGGGCAGGAGAGGCACAAGGGGCTATGCTAACCTGCAGAAGCGCTTTGTTTGGTCAGCCTAGACCTCATGTTTACTGTCTCCTCCACCTTCTCTTCTTCCTCCTCCTCTTTGGTTTTCTTCTCCTCCTCCTCATCCTCTTCCTCTTCCTTCTCCCCCTACTCCTTCCCCTTCTCCTTTCCTTCTTTCCCCTTCTCCTTTTCCTTCTTTTTCTCCTTCTCCTTTTCCTTCTCTTTTCCCTTCTCCCTCTCCTCCTCACTCTTCCTCTTTCCTCCCTCCCCTTCCTCCTCTTCCCTCCCTCCTACTCCTTCTCTCCTCTTCCCTCCCCTCCTCCTCTTCCCTCCCTCCCCCTCCTCTTCCCTCCCTCCCTTCCTTTTCTCCTCCTCCTTCTTCTTCTTCTCCTCCTTTTCCTCCTCTTCCCCCTCCCCGCCCTCCTTCTCCTCCTTCTTGCAGTGGGCAAGCACTCTCCAATTGCAGACATCCCTAGTTCCCCGCTGTTCACACTCAGCCTGAATCATGCCCATGTGATAGCTGCCTGTCTCCTGCAGGCATTTGAATTTTCATCTCTGACTTAAATGATCGTATGTGGCTCTCGTAAGATACAACTAAGAGGAGAAAGCAAAAATAATGTTGGTGATATGACAGCAACTGAGACGTGACACTGGGTACAACACTTATATGTATTTACTGAAGATATCATAGTGCAATACCACTGTTTTGTTATGTACTTACGATTTTGTTATATGCCACTGTCTCTATTTTACACTATATTTTGAAATTTGCATAAGTTATCTTTTTTAAGTCTCATAATGGTGACATGAGTTATGTATTATAACCCAAACACGTAGAGAAAAAAACAGAATTAAACAGAATTAGTTATGTATTATAACCCAAACACATAGAGAAAAAAACATCATGTATCCAAGCTGACACAGAAATTTTGTAAGGAGTAGATTCAGGATTGCGGCATGCTTGAAAATGGGAACAGCACGTTTTTCCTCTCCAAAGCACGATACTGAATATAATTTTGATGCTACCCAAAATGTATCAGTTGAAGAAAACAATATAGGTTTGTGGTCAAAGTTGAAAGATTATAAAGAAAATGGGGACAAATATAAATTTTCTTTCAAAATACCAACAGACTGGTTGTAAGGTCTTTTGGTCAAACTTGAAAGGAATAAAATTAAATGAAGAATAGAAATATAGTGAAAATGAATATGTATGCATGCATACATGTACACATACATGCACGCACACATGGATAGACAGTCATTTTGATTTAGGGAAAAATAAATGTTTAGGAAATATGTCATTAATCTTATCATACACTCTCTACCTGGAGGAATCCATGCCTTTTTCCCAAATTTTTATCAGTATCTCAGGAGATGCCAATAGTCAATCTCCATGCTTCCCAGTGATGACAGCCAAAAATGTCTCCAAATATTACCAAATGTCTACTGGGGATACAATTGCCCCAGGTGTGCACCACTGCCCTAGCTCAATCCCATTTCATTGCAATGTCCCCTCGAAACTCTTCCATATTTCCTACCAGTGTATTAAGAGCTGTGCAACAATCTTGATCTAATTGTCAAAACGAAAAACCCAGCAATTACCGTTGATTATTCCCTATGAGTAGTGACAGATTTAAACTTCTTTCTGCTCCTCTCACACCATTTCCAAGTCTTTGTAGAAGAGATCGGATATTATTGTTTAAATTCATGGTTCTTAACTTTGTATGCACCTTAGAATCATCCAAGGTTTTGTTTAAAACTCCAAACACCAGGTGGCACCCCAGAAAATCAATTCAGAATCTCAGAGGTGGGGGGCCACACAGGCATGACTGTCTTTGCAGTTCCTCAGCTGATTCTAAAGCATAGAAACATTTGCAAACTGCTGGTCTGGATTTTGGCCAAATCTGCGGATGAGCCATGATATTGGAAATAGGATGCCTCTGTTGCATCCCTCAGAAAATTTTCACATCATCTTGGGTATATGACTTCATCCAACTCTGTTTTTCTCTATGAGTTCGGGCTATAAGGCTTAACTCATGAGACTTAAATAGATGATGTGAATTTCAAAATACAGTGAATGGCATCTATAACAAAATGGTGGTTACTAAAATAGCTATAATTTTTAGTATTATTCCTTTTCAATAATTATGTTGAGCTCATTCTTTCCATTACAATCAAGTTTTCAATAATTGTCTAGTAAGTTGATTAAATAAATAATTCAATCAGGGGATTTTAAGCAGGGTCATTATTTTAATCTACATGTTGGTAAACTGGAATATATATCCAAGTAATTTTTTTCAGAAAAGCTATTTGTGTGGTATATATCGTAAACCATAGCATACCTTAGTGTCTCTTTCTCTTGCCATTACACTTGAGGAAAATCTTTTTTGGGGTTGAATTCTTGGGCCCTGAATCCTAACCCGTCAACACTCTGTAGATATTACTTGATCTTTCATTGTTTGGTATTACAGAGAAGTTGGACCCAGCCCAGGAATACTTCCATCCCATGCCACATACTTTGTTTGCCAGGGTGATTATAGTTGATATTTCACTTTTATTTAAACTATGATGATACAACACATTTTGGTTTGGTTCTATTTTTATTAAGTTTTCCTCAAACCAAAGTGAACCCAATTAATCTGCAACTCTGCTTTTTTTTTCTGTAGAAAAGTTTTCTTTTGTTACAACCTTGAATATTATTTCTGCTCCATTTGCTTGTGAATCATCTTCAAGAACACTAATTATAAGTTGATTCTTTTGTTTGTCATTTGTATTTTTAATTTCTTTTTAAATTTATTCTATTTGTCCTATTTGTCTGCATTCTGGGAATGTGCCCCATGTTTTACATGCCAGAAAATTTTTAGTGTCAGTTACATTCTTTACAAATTCCAATGCGAATTTAAATTTGGTCATTGAACTTTGAATTCTTTTTAAAGTCATGTCCATGTTCATTTTATCCTGTTCTCTTCTTATACTGCATGGTTGCCTTTGTATTTGCAATACTGGGAGAATAAAATAAATCTGAATATTCTGAAATCCAAATGTTTAAAATATTTAAAATCCAATTTTTAAAATAACCCCAAATGCTTAGAAGCCTTATTATGTACAGGAAGATCTAGAACATTTTCTAAAATGACTCTTTAGGAAAAACAGCTCTTACCTTTTAAAAGTTTCTCTTTTTCAAAGTTAAGGTACAGACACATCTAGAGATTTCTGTATCTTACATGTACTTCTCTGAAAAGCAATCTCTTGCTGTGAACCATTTACACTTCTATAGATAACCCATACCAAATTAGAAAAAAAAAAATTGAAGGCCTATATTTGTCCCTGCCTTGAAATAGGTTTGTATCTCATACCAGATTAACCCATGCTGTGAGGAACACAGACAGTGAGGCACTAAGTTAGAGACTGAAATCTCACCTAACAAATTCTGAGAAAGGCAACATTTTTCTTCAAGTGCAAGTCTCCACTCCCATTTGTGAAGATTTTGTCTCTTTTCCTTCCTGTGATCTGTCTCTATGGCATTCTTTCCTGTTATAAAATAAACTATTTTCCAACGAAAGTTAGGACCTCGTGACAGGGGCCACATGACTTTTAGACAGGAAGTAGCTATAAGGAAGTGGGCTGTTGGACAAGCTGGTTAATGCTTAGCTTTGCTTCTGCTCAAAGCTTAGGCTTTTGCTTAAAAACTAACCAATTCAGTTGCATTAATTTCATGATGATGGCTTCACAGGCACTGTTTTAAGTGCTCACACTGCATGAATTCTTTCCATCTGTATGACAACCATGTGATGTAGGTACTCATAATATCTCCATCTATAGATGAAGGAATAGAAGTACAGGGAAGTTAAGTATTTTTCAGATATACAGATGGGATGGTCAAAGCCAAGTCTGTTCATCAACTGTTCATAGTTGATTTTATAACAGGAAAGAATGGAAAAGACTCAATGGAAAAGACTCTGTAAACTTATCCACATGAAGAGTTACATTTGGCATATTGATCAAACAGCAATTATTGATTGAATGCTTGCCATATGTAAGGAAAATACAGGCTCTGGGAGGCATTGAGCAACCTCTGCAAGCAGCTTACAGGTTTTGAGGTAGAAAATGATTAAGAATAAGGCTTGCCTGAGGAAAGATGGAGCCTCCTGGCTGAAGAACACGGCTTTGCACTTCACTCCAGGTAATAGTAATGTGATTATCTAAGTGAGTATAAAGAGCACAAAACTTATATAGTGAAAGGAATGAATCACAGGGGACACAGACTAAAGGCAAGAACCCTGAGTCCCAGGAATAAGACTATTTCAGGGAAAAAGATAATTTCCATTTTGTGGTTGCCTTCTTGCACCTGTCATTGGGTGGGATACTTTACAAGCATTGTTTTGTTTCATTGTCTGAACATGTTTATGCAGATATAGGGATGGAGAAAGCATGTAGAGTCTAGTCCAGACTTGGCTTTGACCATCCCAACTGTATATCTGAAAAATTACTTACCTTCCCTGTACCTCCACTTCTTCATCTGTAGATGGAGACATTATGAGCACCTACATCACATGGTTGTCATACAGATGGAAAGAATTAATGCAGGGTGAGCACTTAATACAGTGCCTGTGAAGCCATCACCATTAAATTAATGCAACTGAATTGGTAGTTTTTAAGT
This sequence comes from Homo sapiens, assembly GCF_000001405.40. Lineage (NCBI taxonomy): Eukaryota > Metazoa > Chordata > Mammalia > Primates > Hominidae > Homo > Homo sapiens. The sequence goes on along the minus strand of NC_000023.11, from coordinate 7,814,312 downwards.
AAAAGCCTAAGCTTTGAGCAGAAGCAAAGCTAAGCATTAACCAGCTTGCCCAACAGCCCACTTCCTTATAGCTGCTTACTGTCAAAAAGTCACGTGGCTCCTGTCACAAGGTCCTAACTTTCCCTAATTGTTTCTATAGATAACATCTTAACATTAAGAAACTTCAAGTTCTCCATTGGAGATATTTTCCAGATTCTGCATTCCAATGGGTCCAGTGATGCCAGTCTGTCTTAAGATCCCCTCCAAGGAACTGACTCAATGAAAAAATGCAGTTTCTATATCTTTATGGTTTCATCCCTAATCACACCCTATAAACAACCCCCAGCTCCTCAGCCCCCTACCCACCAAAATTCCCTTAAAAACTCCAGTCCAAAACTCCTCAGAAAGGTGGGTTTGAGGTTCTCTCCCATCTCCTCATTTAGTTGCCCTATGATGATTAAACTCTTTCTCTACTGCAACTCCTGCTGTTTTGATGCATTGGTGCATTGGTGCCTGTTATCATGCAACAGGCAATCAAACCTTGTTGTTGTATAACACCTGACAGTCAGAAAGGACCATGGATGTTTGTTGAATAAAGCTATTCCTCCTGCATAGATTAGGAAATTTCATCCTGATGGAGTCAAAGTTTGAAAATCAAACACATAGAAGAACCACAAAACGTTCTGGATCCTGACTTAGGGAATGGAAATGGGAAAAAAAAAGTTTACAAGAAAAGAAATAGCTAGACTTAGGGAACAGTCATCTGCAGTCACTCAAAGAGTCATCTGGCTAATATTCCTTTCAATAAGTACAATTTCTCTTCCACTGTCTCTTTCTTTTATGCTCCACTGGAAAACTCCTGGAAGAGCCTGACTTTCACTTTAATCACTGAAGAGGAAATAGGATAGTGAATTACATGTTGACTAAACAGAGTCCACATTACACCACCTTTAACAGACCTCACAAGGTTGTTTAAATCTGGAAACCATAAGGTTTAGCGAGAATGATAAGGCTGACCACCTGTTTTCCATCTCTAACAAGAAACACAGTTTAATTTTGCTTCCTTTAAGAAAATTAGCACGCTTATACTGGTCACACTTAAGACACCATATGGGGCCACAGGTGCTAATGAAACCATCATGATGTCTCCTGGTCATTAGATGCACAAGAATAAAATCACCTTGTGACAAAGGGCTAGAAAACCAGACAATGAAAAGTGACACATTCTTTTCAAGTTCCTCTGCCACAGGTGTTTCAAATGCTCAAAGTAATACCTGATTCCTCTCATATTTTTGTAAGATTTTGAACCAAAATAAGCAGCTAATGCACCAGCCTTTAAAAGATCTTATATAATCAGAACTGTTTGTTCTCCTTGTATCTCCCATGAAGGCATGGACATTATCAAGCCTTCCCTGACACACATGAACAAGATAAGTCAATGCCCCCCTCCCAGACTCAAGATAATCTGGAATCAGTACTGTGTTGCAAAGCATATAGCTATGGCACTGACTCTACATTTTATGCGCAGAGGAGCTTGGAGACATAACATTGTTTTAAACCAGATGTACTTTCTTTTCATGGTACTTCAAAGTCTCCCACTGACACTAGCACCAAAGTCTGAATGTCAAGAATTGCCCATATAGATAGACAATTGTCGGTCTAGTGCAGGAAAACACTGAAGACCCTCATGCACAGAGACCTAGTTCATCCAAGCAGGGAGCCACCCTTGCTTCTCATATCTATACAGATTCATGCTTTCTGCTTTTTCTTCCCCATTCTACAGGTACAATTCCCTTGCAGGAAGATTTTCCACTGAAGAAAAGCTTTTGGGATGAAGGGGGCGAGAGGCTGATCACTGTCTATCTATATGGGCAATTCATGAAATTGAGACTTTGGTGCTAGTAGCAGTGGGAGACTTTGAAGTACCATGAAAAGAAAGTACATCCTATGGTTCAAAACCATGTTATGTCTCTGATCTCCTCTGCGCATAAAATGCAGAGTCAGTGCCATAGCTATATGCTTTGCAACAAAGTACTGATTCCAGATTATGTTGAGTTTGGGGTGGGATTGACCTACCTTGTTCATGTGTGTCAGGGAAGGCTTGATAATGTCCAGGCCTTCATGGGAGATACAAGGAGAAAAAAAAGTTCTGGTTACATAAAGACCTTTTAAAGGCTAGACATTCTGCTTTGCTGTTTATGTGTATCCTCAGGTGAATCTCCACACCTTCCCTGTGAGCTAGATACCAATACATCCATTTTAGAAAGGAGAAAATTGTCAATGTTGACCAAGAATAAAATCAGGTCTGTCCAATGTGGAAAATTACACACTGGTCTTCCAAATGTCACTGGCCTCAGTAAGCGGGAAAGGAAAGGGATGAGAGGGTCTGAGGTATGGTCTAGCTCCCATTTTCTTTGCTCTTTTAGGATCGTAACATGCTGTGCTACAGGTGTGCATTGCTGTATAGAGTGGTGTATACCACTGGGCTAGTAGGAGTAAGAATAAACTTCTAATCTCATGTTAGGACCATGAGCTGCTAGAATAGGCACCCTTTGTTTCTTCTAGAAATGGGCATTGCTATGAATTTCAAAGCAAAATAGAAACATTTTTAGGCAGTGCCATTCTTTATATAACTGTGAATAAGTAAAACACTGGTTAGTATGTTTTCTGTTTTATGATGAATTCTTTTAACTACTAGGTTGGTGCAAAGGTAATTATGGGTTTTGCCATTACTTTCAATGGCAAAAACTGCAATTACTGTTGCACCACCTAATACGTATGGTGCTTCAAATAAAGTAGCATGTGACAATAACATTTATTTGAAGGACTAAGGGAGGTCACTGGATTAATAATTATACATGTCATTCTATAAGAGTACCCAAGATTCAGTAGCATCTCTTCAACTCCAAGTTTAAGGGAATCCAGACTGAAAGGTAATATCAGAGGACTGTCAGTGAATGGACGTGCCAGATTTTGGGCATGAGCTAATGGCTTTTAATGCTAACTCCCATCTCTATGCATTTGGAACATATTCTGGCAACCTCGCACAGCTTTGCTGGTGCCAAAGCATTTGGGCATTCTCCACTCTAAGTTATTTTGACTAAGTGACTCCTTCCAAGTCATAAAAAGAGCATGGGTGGATTTGCATCTTTGGAAGGCAAGGTTCATATCCTATGATATTATTTTGCTCATTTTCCCTCTTGCGTATCATGAATTATAAATTTGTGTATTATTCAGCCAGGCTAACAGCTAGAAGCAGCTCTCAAAATGCAGGGTATGCATGAATTTTGCTAAGAAAGACCCTTGTAATATACATATTTTAAAATGCATATCATCCTTGTCTCTTGTGACTACGCACATTCAGTGAACATATTTGTATGTCTGAAAAGAGGGTATGCTGGAAAAATAATAAAAAAGCGATCACTGTTTTTGAGCTTCGGGATCGGAGACTCAAACCCACTTCATCCCTTTCCACTCTTCCTCAATAGCCTCTCTATGGCCCAGTTGTTTTATTTATTAACTGAATGTGTGAGGTGGCATTTTCTGTGAAAAATTAGAATCAGATATCTCTAAGCATTTTAACCTCAACAATAGAGTACTTGGTTATAAGAAGTAATATTCAGTTCAAGAGCAAGTGTACAGGGAAACATAAAAGAATAAGATGCATCCGGGTGAGAGGCATGGTGCAAAAGATGAAGTGGCCTGAACCGCCGCTCCTGATCGCCACACAGATGCTCTGCGGACAGACACTCCATGCACTGCCACTGGGAAACAGATAACCATGCCTGCCACTGGAAGGGGAGGTCACAGAAAGAAATTGCTGTCAGACATCACAGAATGGGTTATAAAACAAAAATATCTATATCAGTGAAGACCTTTTAAATCCAATACAAAAAGAAGGGCTTTCTTTGTCCTTCCCTTTGTCATGCCTGCATTATCAAGGATAGCTGCTAGCTGTATACTTGTCTGAAAACAGCAGTAAGAGCTGGAGAAAAGGCCCATTAGATTTCCTTCCTAGTAAAGGAAGACTATTATTGTAGGAAATCACACTCTAATTCTGTTTATGTAGACAACTTCTCTTTAAGGGAAAAAGAGTATTGAATATTTAATGCCATTTACATTTTTCCTGCAACTTCTTATGTTGAGCAAAAGCCATGTAGAAAAAGGCAAAAACACATTGGTACACAGACAAGTACCATAAAACATTAAGGGAGAGGGTGAACTTCCAAAAGGGCTGGAAGTAGACATATTCAACAGGAAACAGAGACTACTGTTTGCATGGTAAGAAAATAATTGGACAAGGAAATCAGAAAGCTGGAATCCAGCCTCAACCCTGTTGTGAACAAGATTTATGTCCTTGGGTAACAGGCTTAACCTTCCTGGGATTGAATTTGGTTGTGTCTTACATGAAAGGTCAGGTGACTTAGGCTGCCCAGAGACAGATATCAATCAATCAAGGAGGAACGTGGAAAAACCAAGATCCCCTGTTTAAAGTCTTCCAGTTACCCAGCTGCAACAGATCACCATGAGTGTGTTCATACACAAGATCTGAGGACTTCAGTGGTAGGTTCTTTTAAGAATAATGTTAGGCCAGGCACAGTGGCTCATGCCTGGAATCCCAGCACTCTGGGAGGCCGAGGCGGGTGGATCACCTGAAGTCAGGAGTTCTAGACCAGCCTGGGCAACATGGTGAAACTCCATCTCTACTAAAAATACAAAAACTAGCCGGGCATGGTGGCACGTTCCTGTAGTTCCAGCTACTCAGGAGGCTGAGGCAGGAGAATTGACTGAACCCAGGAGGTGGAGGTTGCAGTGAGCCGAGATAGCACCACTGCACTCCAGCCTGGGTGACAGAGCGAGACTCCATCTCAAAACAAAACAAAACAAAACAAAACAACAGAATAATGTTAAATAGCACTTGATTAATTACTGAGATGCATAGAAAATGTCAAGTATCAAGGAATATTTGAGGATTTTTCTGCTCAAAATTACTCAGAAGGACTAGTGGGACTAGTGACTTGGGTTAACCTATCGTCCAGGGGTCTGCAAGCTAGGGCCCATGAAATACATCTTCTCTGCCACCTGTTTTTGCAGAAGAAGTTTTATTGGAACAAAGCCACACACATCCCTCTATTTACATAATGTCTATAGCTGCCTTCCTGCTACAATGTAATGAAGGCAGAGTGGAATAGTGGTGATAGAGACCATCTGGCCTCAAAGCTGAAAATATTTACTATCTTGTCCTTTGCAGAAAAAAAGATTGCCATCTCCTGCTTTTGACCTAGAGGAGGTTATAAGGCCGCCTTATTAGAGATGAAAATGGAAAAGTGTGGTATAGGTCGTAGGTGACATCTGGTTCCTCATGATAGTTTTTGTTGTACTTAATGCATTGTCTAAACACTTAAGGTAAATGCTGAAGGAAAGTTTCCTTATTTTAGAAATAGCTGGAGAGAAGTGGTGTTATTCATGCATCTCCCCAGTCAATATGCACCCTTTAGACCTGCACCACCTGGGGGCTTGTTAGAAATGCATACTCTCAGGCCCTGCTACAGCCCTACTGAACCAGAATCTGCATTTAACTGGCTTCCTGGGGGATTTATACCCACATTTAGTTTAACTAGCACAGCTCTAGACGTTAGAGGAAGTCAGTTTTTACAGACACAACAGAATCTGGGTGCTTTTGCTTTTAACTGGATTCCTGGGGGATTTATATCCACATTTACTTTAAGTAGCACAGCCCTAGACGTTAGAGGAAGTCAGTTTTTACAGACACAACAGAATCTGGGTGCTTTTGCCAAATTTTCACAGCTATGGACTACAGAGTTGACATACAAATCTGCTGTTAAAAGCATTTTAGGCAGAGGGAACTATAAATTCAGAATATTGTATGTTTACAATTTCAATACACTTACGTTTTCAATAAAGTATAAGTTTTAGTTATTTAAAATTTAGCATGTTTATGATATTTGAAAACCACATCCCATAACCATCCTCCTTCTAGAATTGGGTTTACCTGAAATAATAATTGCAATCTTTATCATTTGGTCTTAGTGGATGGCTCACGAAATTTATCAATGTTTAACAGTATCTGAAATCCCCATTATTTTCTGCCCAATTGTTTCCCTTTATTCCTCTGAAGAACTGTCCTGTTTCCCCTTTATTCTTGCTGAAGAACTGTCCTTGTTAATTTGTTCATTAAGGATATATGGGTGGTAAATTCCTAGTCTTTGTATATCTGAAAGTGGTTTCCATAGCTTCATCTTGATCTGAGGCTACCTGGATATTGGATTTTCAATTGACGATTATTTTTCAATACTTAGGCTACTTCTCCAAGACGCTTTCACTTCTCCTGAGGTTTATGTGAATCTCCTAACAGACTAACAGTTTTTCTATGCAATCTGCTTTTTATTAATATCTTGGGAAGGTACTTAACTTTATCTTCATTCTCAATATTCTTTAGTTTTACATCAACCTGTGGATTTACTGATCATTTTATTTGGTACTCAAGTGATGTATTTCAATGTGAGAGCTCATATGTTTCTTTAATTTAGGAATATTTCCATCCTTTATCTACCCAATCATTGTTGCCGTGGTTTACTCTCATCTCCTTTTACTAACCCATGTCCATAAACATATCTCCTAACAGCTCTTTACGTATTCATATTATTTTTTATTTCTTTGTGCATCCTCTGTACTATGTTTCAGTGTCCTCTTTGATTGTAGAGTCTACACTTTACAGTATTATATTTTATTTCCATTACTATATTAGTCTGTTCTCATGCTGCTAATAAAGACATAGCCGAGACTGAGTAATTTATAAAAGAAAGAGGTTTAATGGACTCACAGTTCCACATGGCTGGGAAGGCCTCACAATCATGGCAGAAGATGAAGAGCAAAGGGATGTCTTACATGGTGGCAGGCAAGAGAGTGTGCGCAGGGGAACTGCCATTTACAAAGCCATCAGATCTCATGAGACTTATTCACTACCATGAGAACAGCATGGGAAAAACCCATCCCGCATGATTCAATTACCTCCCACCAGGTTCCTCCCACAACACGTTGGGATTATTACAATTCAAGGTGAGATTTGGGTGCGGACACACAGCCAAACCATATTATTTACTGTATCTTTTTTGTTTCTGTAGTTGTGATTTTGCAATTTCTATACCCACTTGCTTTTATCTGGTGCCTGCCTGTCTCTGTTTCATGATTTTTTTGCTCTTTTCATGATTGCTGTTTTTTCTTGCATGTGCCTTCCTTTGTTTCTCCCTTGTGGTCTCCAGAGGCATTAGAGGTACCGTTCCCTGGAGGCATTATAGGTCCTGTGCTGAAGGCAACTGCTCCTCTAGAGAATGCTTGCCCCATTCTAAAGAATTTCACTTAATGTCTATTTTAAAATCTAAACTTGTGGTTAATTTGGAAGACTGCATTTTCCACTTCTTGATTCTTTTTGCATGTGTTTTGGGATTTGGATCTTCAGGTGAGTAAGATGCGTCTCTCTCACTCTGTCTCTGTCTCTCTTTCTTCTTTGCACACACATCTGTCTTCATGTGTCTATTTCCTTATCCCCTTACCCTTCTCTATGGTCTTATCCTCAGTGGTTGGAGCTCCCACCCAGAGACGTGAGTGGCATAGTCATGAGTCCATTCACTGAATCTGTAGCCTGCTCAGTTGGTTCTTGGTGGTGACGTTTTGTCAGCTCCCTTTCTCCTCCCTAGGATATCAATTTCATAGAAATGCCAGCTCTGAGTAATGGTCAGTAGCTGTCTTCAAACTCTCTTATTTCTGGAAAGAAAGGGCTCTGTCTCCCAGACTCCTGGGGCACCTTTCATAATTTCCCAGGAATTACACTCCGGGTGTCTCCTGGCTCTTGGGCCTAGAGTCCAGCAGTTCCTGGCCACTACTGTGTTGAGTTCCCATCTGGTTTCTATTCCTAAGAAGACAATTTCCTCATTTGGAAATCTGACTATCACTGTTCCATTTTTATGTATTATGTTTCAACTCTCGGTCCTATATGTTAGAAACAAAGAAGAGACCTCAAGTATGAGCTTATAATTTTGTCTACAATAAGGTACAACAAGAGACATGACCCCCTCTATTAAACAGGCCAGGGGAGTGTACCTGAGTGAGTCAATTTAAGCTGGAGACCAGTGTAAATGTATGTTGTGTGTGGACATGTTGGTATATATAATAATAATATGTAAATGCAGTTGAAATATTTTGGATACTGGATATTTTCTTAAATACATTACCAGAATCAGATTTCTAACCTGAACCATTTCTTGACTATTTATTTATTTATTTATTTATTTATTTTGAGTCAGAATCTCACTCTGTCACTTAGGCTGGAGTGCAGTGGTGCTATCTCGGCTCACCGCAACCTCTGCCTCCCGGGTTCAAGTGATTCTCGAGCCTCAGCCTCCCAAGTAGCTGGGATTACAGGCATGTGCCACCACACCAGGCTAATTTTTGTATTTTTAATAGAGATGGGGTTTCGCCATGTTGGCCAGGCTGGTCCCAAACTCCTGACCTCAAGTGATCCACCTGCCTTGGCCTCCCAATGTGCTAGGATAATAAGCATGAGCCACCGTACCCAGCCTTGTCTTGACGGAGTTCTGATATCTTCAAATTGAGATGAATACGCAATAAGGATAACATTTTCTAATGTGCTACCACATTAGAAGCTTAGGGACAGGACAAGCTGTAAATAAATAAATGAATTAGATGGAAAATAGATGGATATGTAGCTAAAAATACAGCATGTTTATTATTAGTGAGTGACTCAAGCCTGCTAGAAAAATGGAAACCTTTTCAAGGACAAAGCTAAACCTTTCCATTAATTACATTCCAAATACAGGAACTATATGAAAAAATAAAGCCACTGAAAATTGCTAAAAGTATTAAACAGCTACTTTTATATCACAGACAAGACTCATCTTTTATATGTGAGACAATATCACCTATTTAAATCTGAAGCTATTTTTGCATTTGCCTTGAATGTGCAGGTACTATATTTAAGGCAGACGGGTGATGAAGGAAATAACGCCTACTCCAGTGGATTAATTTAGTGGATTCACTTGAAAAATAGCCTTACCTTCCTCTAAATTAAGAAATATTTACTCTTACTCTGCAGATGTCAAATGAAAAAGAAATGATAGGGCCCTTGGTTTCAAGAGAGACGTCTCTATAGTGTTATAAATTGTGCTTTGCAAATTAACCTTGTACAAGCAAAAGTTTCCCTTCATTCTGGGAAAATAGGCCTTGTTAATACAGTGCTTTTCCTCCGCAACTTTAGAGTTTCTGCATAAACTTAAAAGAAGTTAAAAATAGACAAATATGATTTATTTAGCCAAAAAAAGAAAACAGGGTAAATCATTCAACTTACTAAGAGAAATCTAACTATTCAAGCTGCTGAAAAGACCACAAATACTTGTTTTTGCAGAGACGCTCTTATTTTTCAGTCTATTTATTTTACATAGTGGCCTCAAATACAAATTTTAGATAAACATAAGTTATGAGCACACATTTTTTTCTGCTTTAAGTATTATATTCCACCAGATGGATAAAACTTAACAGTTTTATTAAACTGCAAATTTAAAAACCGCATTTTAAAAAAGTCAATGTCCACACAAATAATTCAAAACACCAATGTATTTTTAAATTCAGATCTATGTATCTGGGGATGAAAATCTTAAACCAGCCTTCCAGCCTTTCACCTTGGGGTAGAGGGAGCAAACGTTAGCACTGTGGTTGGGGAGAGAGGAAACTGTATTGATTGATTGAGACAGGGTCTTGCTCTGTCACCCAGGCCAGAGTGCAGAGTGGCACGATCACAGCCCACTGTAGCCTCTATCTCCTGGTCTCAAGCAATCCTCTCACATCAGCCTCTCAAGTAGCTGGGACCACAGACATGCGCCACCAAGCCTGGCTAATTGTTAATTTTTTTTTTTTTTTTTTTTTTTTTTGTAGCAATTGGGTCACCCTATGTTGCCCAGGGTGGCGTCAAACTCCTGGACTCAAGCGATCCTCCCGCCTCCGCCTCCAAAAATGTTGGGATTATAGGCGTGAGCCACTACATCCAGCTGGTTTTAAAACAGAATGTTTCAGTAAAAACAATGACTTCTATGGCAAGAGGTTTTAAAACCTGGCCATGGAAGAATCATTGTTTCTACTGAAAATGATAAGGTAATGTGACACCTCACTGCTGCCATCATGTAGCTTATATCAATAAGGGCATGTCAGCAACTCACTCTCCAAGGCAGAATAAAATGCATAATAGAAGCTAAGAAAAAAAGTTGTGATACCTCTAAATAAGAAAGAATCCTTTCCGAAAGAGTGGGGCATGAGGACGGGGTGCATGGCAGCAGGTGGTATGAGGGAGATGGCCTTGAAACCAAACCTTGGAAGAGGAAGACATATTCAAGTTGTAAAGAAAACAGCCTGAAATTACACTAAAAATTAAATCAATGTTTATGCTACATGCTTTTATTTCAATTTGAAAAATAAACAATCTTTTTTTACGTTAACTGTTTCAGGCATCTTAATTTGTTACGGGTTTGCCTGATAGAAGCATTACAATGCAAAAAATAAAAGAGGAAAAGGAGGGAGATGTAATTCTGGAAAAAAAAAATGTACACTGGAGGTAGGGAGCTCAGGGATGGCAGCTCAGATCCGGAACAATTACAATTCAATACTTGGGCATCAGCACTCTAAATCCCGAGGAGCTAGCCAGGAGTGAAGTGAGGAAAGAGCAAATCAATTTAAACATTGCTAAATACCAAAGACAAGCTAGCTATTTCTTACTTTGCATGAGGCTTGCCCACGTCCTTTCTTGTAAATTGTCTGGACCATCTCTGGTCATTTGGTGGCATCAGCAGGACAGAGATATAGTGAGATGCAGAGAGCCATCGAAGTTGTCTGACTTGGTGGAAACAAATGTGACTTGGCTTGGAGTGTCAAAGCAAGAATGAGTGCGTGCATCAGATGAAAGTTGTCCATGGGGTCTTGCAGACATGCATCGTTGCAAATGCAGTCTAGTGAAAAAGCAGAATTCAGATGCAAAACACCATTTTCAAAACTCCTCTTTCAAAACCCAAATGCAAAGTGTATTTCCCCATATAGAATATACTAAATAATGCATGACCAGCAGATCCATGCTCACAGTACATCACGGAAGCATTCCCAATGCCTTTCTTCAACCAGTTATTTTAAACTCAATATTATTTATCAAAAACAGAAAACCTTTTTACCTTTATTGCTTAAAATTCCTTGAGAGGCTTGGGCATTGTATAGATAGAAAAAAAATGCTTTCAGGATGAAAATAAATAATTAATGACCTGTAGATCTGAAGCATGGAAGCAAAAACCAAATCGGTTTTGCATTTTCACCCTCACTCAAATATATTTATAGTCCAAAGCTTCTTCTCTGAAAGTAGACATGGTTTTAAAAGAAAGCTTACCATGTACTTTTTGCAAGGTACTTGAACACATGATTTTTATTTCATGAGGAAATAGGGGATGGAAGTGAAATAATAGAATACAAAATAGACCCTCCCAATTAGAGGGTGCTAAGGCAACTAAAAGAGGGGAAAATCACACTTGCTTAATTATTAAAGATTGGAAAAGAAATATCCATTTCTTGTAGAGGAATGACATTGCACAGCAACTGCAAAGGCAGGTGAATAAATAGGTTGCAGAGAATCTTATTGAATGCTTGCTTCAGTTTACAAATTAAAGAGAAATCGAATGCATTTTAATGAATATAACAGTGCCCAGGCAGAGAGAAAGCATATTATTTGTGGCTTGCACACACTGCTAGAGATATGCAATTTCATAGGAGTAAAATCTATAATTTGGAATTGGTTTAACAGTTATCATGACTAGCATGCTGCTGATTCTTAATGAATGTGTGTTAACGTCAAGTGTTAATTTAGAGTTTAAAAATCAGGGCTCCCTGTTTACTTCCATGAATGTTTATTGATACCGACATGTGATAGGCACAGTGTAAGTCACACAAAGATAGAACCATTGTAATGCTTGCTAACTGTGTATACTTCGAGTTAAATATCCACCTCACTACCTGTCTCCAAGTAGCTGGGACTGGCAGGCAGACAGCAAAAGTATAATATGTAGGAAGAAAGTGTATTCCCTTCATTTTTTTAAAGTTTCTCTTTTTCAATACTTCCTATGCCAATCTCAAAACCCTTTTTGTTCTCTAAAGTCCATGCAGGGTTTTAACTTTTCCCTCATAGATGCTTCCTCAGACTCTGGATCTCCTTCACCCATTACCTCATCTCTATTAATTTCTTCCTCCCAATTCTTGCCTCCGGAGAGTCCACCCACAAGTCCCAAGCACACCTGCACAGCACTCCGATAACCCAATTTTGTGCTCAGCCTAAGCCAGTGCTTCTCAACCTTGGCTGCACATTAGAATAACCTGGGCAGCTTCCAAAAATTTCAACAGATTCTGGCAACAATGTTTTCTAAAGCTCCTATGAGGCCTCCTGTGATTCTAGTGTGCAGCCAATGAATCCTGGGCTGAGGGGAGGCCATTGGCTTATTCTATGAGTCATTTTGGGGTATTTGTACATTAATCAGGGCATACTAAAAAAAAATCTTAACATAACAGTCCCTTAGATAAACACTTTTGAGATTTATTAATAGGTATTGGGTGCATCAAAAAAAATTTGGAGTTCTACAGTCTGATAAATTTGTCAATGCATGTATATCATGTCACCCTCTCAGAGACAGGAGTGAATACACCAGATACTCTATGAACACATGGCTTTAAAAAAAACAAACAAAAAACCCCAAATAACAAAAAATAAAACTCATTTCAGTTTTATTTAGTCCAGGACTCTCAAATTTATTTGACCACCAAATAGGATTTTTTTTTTTTTCAGAGCATCAAAATTAGCATCCCATGAAAATGAGACTCAATTTTCCCTTGGGAAAAGGCTGTTTCAACACCATAAGATTTGTCTTTAGAGGTGGAACTTGGTCCTCAGTGCAAACTCATGGGGAAGAAATCAAGGAGAGATTGTGGGGAATTTTCTCAGACTTTCTTCACTTCTTCTATAGAAGGTCAGTGGATTCTACAATCTGTGAAGTCAGCTTAGAATGCAAACTTTTCTTCAACCAAGCTAAGCTATTCGCCACTTCTGTAGTGGAGATTCATGTTACTTTATTTCCATGACAAAATTTAAATTTTGAACATCAGAGCTGGAAAAATTCTAAGACATTATCTGGAATGAAGAACTAATTTTTCCACTGTGGGTCCAGTACCTAACTCAAAGAAACCTCAGCTCAATCATCTATAAAATGGGGATGATGAAAAAAACACTGTCCTTGTCATGTATCTGTGACAATTAGATAAAACGCACTTTCCAAGAACCCAATGAAATGACTGATCCAGAGAACACACTCAACACATGAATGCAGTCATTATTGCCATTTTCAAGAAGCCAGATTTTATGGGAACACCAGGTACAGCGTTTACAGGAAAGGACATGTCAGTAAGACACACACATAGACCTTTGACCTTCCCACACAGGAACTGGAAGAAATGTGTGGTTTGTCTTTAGCAGGTCTCAAATTCTAAATGACAAATATAGAAACAGGAAGGAAAGGAGCAAGAGGAGACATCTGCAAAAAGGTTTGAGGAGATTCCCTGGTAATTTGTTTGAGAAGACCTAGGGATAAACGAAGTGGGATGTAATATACAAAACTATGAGGAAACATAGAGAGTTGAATGTTGATACTTAAAAATAATGGATGATCAAAAGGAAAGAGTGGTACAAATAATTTAGGCTGGATTGAATTGGTGGGAGATTTCCAAAATTAAATGTCATTTAGGGCTGGGTGTGGTGGCTCATGCCTGTAATCCTAGCATGGAGGCTGAGGTGAGTGGATCGCTTGAGGCAATGAGTTTGAGATCAACTTGAGCAACGTAGTGAGAACCTGTTTGTACAAAAGAAAAAAAAAAGAAAAAAAAGAAAAAATTAGCCAGGCAGGGTGCCACGCACCGGTAGTTTCAGTTACTCGGGAGGCTGAGGTAGGGGGATCACTTGAGCCCAGTAGTTTGAGCCTTCAGTGAGCTATGATCGCTCCACTGCACTCCAGCCTGGGTGATAGAGGAAGACCCTGTCGCTAAAAAACAAAACAAAACAAAAAGTCACGCAGTAATGGAGATAGGTTGTGAATTTTGAGGAGGAAAATGAGGTGGTCACAAGAACAGAGTTTATTGCTGTTAAAAATTTTTGTTTTAAGTATTGCCTTAGAAAATGGGCATAAGTTATGGCCTCAGGAGTTTACATCAGATCCTTATAATTTTTATCTATCATACTGGAAAGTTTTCTGAGAATCAAATATGATGTAGGCAAAATCAGCTGTTAATCCAGGTTCTACACCTGATGAAAAGCCACTTCTGAAAATACCAGATTAAGCTACATTCATTAGGATATTCCTCTCCTACAATAAAATGTCATTATTGCTGCTCTAGCTAACTGAGAATTCATGATGATTTAGACATCACTTAGTAAAATGTTACTCATGTAAAGCAAAGCTCTTCTTTACATATTGTGCAAGTTCTTAAAGTAATAAATATGTATATACCTGCAAATTGTAACATAATTCAGACTACTTTTTCCACTAATGTAAAGCAGTCAGGTTTATAGATTTTCTCTTTAAATGTGCACTTCTGAGTTTTCAAACTAGAATATATGTTTCATCCACTGCATACTGTTTATTCTCACATTTACTTCCAACTACTCATTTTGTACATATGAGCATAGTATGTAAAATATTCTATATACCTAATTCTTTTTTTTTTTTTTTTTTTTTTTTTTTTTTTTTGAGACGGAGTCTCGCTCTGTCGCCCAGGCCGGACTGCGGACTGCAGTGGCGCAATCTCGGCTCACTGCAAGCTCTGCTTCCCGGGTTCACGCCATTCTCCTGCCTCAGCCTCCCGAGTAGCTGGGACTACAGGCGCCCGCCACCGCGCCCGGCTATATATACCTAATTCTTATAGGTAGAGATGTTTCTTTCTTTTTTCTTAAAATGGGAAAGGTCTAATTTCGAGGGTTCATGAATCCATATAAAATCAGAACCATTACCTGTGTTGTTCATTGCTATGGCTACATACTCATGGGATCTGTAGACACGACATAATTCAGGTATCTGCAAAGCAATATCATTGCAAAGAAATCAAGAAAATTTAAACAGCACAAGAAACCAAGAAAAATAATTTATAAAAAGGATACTCTTGGAGATAATAAAATTTCTTACTTTATTTTGTAATATATTTTCAACTTTTATTATTAAATATTAACATCTTTTTATATGTATTCTGTCTCGCCTAAGAATCTAATTCTTCCATTTAATACTTAAAATGTATTCACTAACTGGATAGGAAAAAAGTAGAGAAGATTTTCTTAGCTATGGCATATTGCATAAAATAATGTAAGACAGTGGTAGCGATTAAAAGTTTATTGTTTGCTATTTTAAATAAATATTGCTTTTAACTTGTAACTTGTAGAGGGTATGTTTGTGTAAAGAGATTTCTTTTTCTGGCATCAAATATATTAAATTTACTGAATGACCTTTGATAAAATAAAAGAGCTATGCTGCTTTTCTAAACAATAATCTAAATTAGCAGGTGGGTTGATAATCTGGAAATACAAATAAAAATTTAGAATAACACAATGATTAGGTGTTCCTATTATAAATAAGACAAGCCTGATAGTATTCATGCATGGCTAGATGGTTGAGAGACAGGTGGTAAGCCAAAAAACATACAAATGCATTCAGATATTAATTGCGTAATAATTCGTTTCACTGGATTGTACATGTTTTCACATGAATTCATTGTAGCCAAAACAAGTGTTCACCTCCTGAATCACAGGAAATAATGCTTCTTGATTGATATATTAAAGTGACTGGTAAGTAGTGATTTTTATAAGAATGTTATATTTCTGACCATGTATTTCCTTAATCAAAAGTTAAAATTCTAGGAACTATATAAATTTGGATAAGCCTGATAAAATACTTAAAAGAACATGAAAGTGCCAATGAAACATTAGGAAAGTGTATTATTCTGTCCTCATGCTGCTAATAAAGACATACTAGAGACTACATAATTTATAAAGTTCCACAGTTCCACATGGCTGGGGCGGCCTCACAATCATGGCGGAAGGTGAATGAGGAGCAAAGTCACATCTTACATGGCAGCAGGCAAGAGAGCATGTGGAGGGGAACTCCCCTTTATAAAACCATCAGATCTCGTAAGACTTATTCACTATCACCAGAACAGCATGGGAAAGACCTGCCCCCACGATTCAATTACCCCCCACTGGGTCTCTCCAACAACATGTGGGAATTATGGGAGTTACAATTCAAGATAAGAATTGGGTGGGGACACAGCCAAACCATATCAGGGAGAAAGAAAACCCACCAGGAGACAAAAAGAAATCTACGTTGATGAAGATGAAAAACACTGAAAAAAGAGAAGAGCGACTGAAGATAAAGGAAACACTGTGAACAAATCCAGATAGAAGCCCTGGGTGTGAGTAATCAAGTAACAGTCAATGTGAAAGAAAGCTGGTTTCATAAATATAAGTTTTACCTGTGAGTTATCAGTCATATTGATCTGTCCCTTCACACTGACTGCATTGGTCAGAGTTTTCCAGAGAAACAAAACCAATAGGATAGATAGATAATGAGGTAGACAGATAGATATATAGATGATTGAAAGATAGATGACAGATAGATAGATAGATAGATAGGGCTAAGTAGATGATAAATAGCTAAAGAGAGATGACAAATGATTGACAGATAGGCAGATGATAGGTATATTATAGAGAGATCAATAGATAGACAGACATGGATAGGTAGATGATAAATAGCAAGAGATAGATAACAAATGATTGACAGGTAGATGATAAGTAGATGATAGATAGATAGATAGATAGACATGGATAGGTAGATGATAAATAGCAAGTGATAGATGACAAACAATTGACACGTAAATGATAGGTAGATTATAGATAGATCAATAGATAGATGATAGATAGATAGATAGATAGACATGGATAAGTAGATATAAATAGCAAGAGATAGATGAGAAATGATTGACAGATAAGTAGATGATAGATAGATAGATAGATAGATAGACATGGATAAGTAGATATAAATAGCAAGAGATAGATGAGAAATGATTGACAGGTAGATGATAGATAGATAGATAGATAGATAGACAAATACACATGCAGATGTACGTTTTTGTCTTTCTATATGTATCCATCGATGACATTTACTTGTAAGGAATTGGTTCACCTGATGATGAGGACTGGCAAGTCTAAAATAAGTAGAGGAAGCAGTATGCCGGAAACTCAGGATTTCTATGTTACTGTCTTGAATTTCCTGAGGCTGAATTTCTTTACTCTAGGAAATCTGTTTCAGCTCTTAAGGTCTTCAAGGGATTGGATGTAGGCCACCATGTATTGAGGGTCAACTCCTTGATGTCAAGTGATAGGGAATGTTAATCCCATCTACAACATACTTTTGCAGCAATATCTAAATTGGTGTTTGGCCATGATTGACTTGTAAAATTTAATCATCACACCAACCTGACTTCTCTCTGCTCCAGACATCCCTCTCACATTGAAGAGAACAGAGTTCTCTTGTTTAGTCTTTTCAGTCATCATGGAGTGGATAAGTTTGTGTTGTGTTCAGAGTAAGTTGCACCATTGAGTAATCTCTGGAATCTTTAAGAGCTTTGTCTGATCATAAGAAGGTTAATTGTATCTACAATGAAATATGTAAGTGAGAGGGAACCGGAGAGACAAAGGAGAACACTTGGGCCCAACCTCTACATTCATGGACTTTATGGCTACAACAAGATTGGTTGATATGTTCAAATATCCCTGCACGTTTTGACATTCTTTTGTGTGAGGCTCAGTCAGGGGTGGTGTATAGCATGGTGACTTCTGTCATCAGGCTACTCAGGGTCTGATATTAGCCTTGTCACAGATTAGTTGAGTGGCTTTCAGGAAATTTTTTAACCTCTGTAGACCTCAGTTTCTTCGCTTGTAGGACAGGTACAACAATGGTACCCAACTGGATTGCTGTGAAGTTGTAATGGCATAATTTGTGTAAATTAAACAAGACAGGGTCTAGCGTGTAGCAAACATTCAGTAAATGCGAGCTACAATTCTTAGCTTCTCCCCTGTCATCTCTGACTCAGATCATGGGAGCCTGCGGTGTCTACTAAAGATGGGGTGGCATATATATGTGACTCTCCATAAAGCTTGCTTTACTCCAAGAGTAAGTTGGCCTGTAGCAATAGGTAAGGCTGATGTTCAAGTCTTTCCCATGAAAACATCACTTATGTGATTGAATGACTTGCTGTAGCTATTATTCTTTCCTTCACAGATAAACTTATTAACAGGGTTGTCTATTACTTGTCCTTGAGCTATTACTGCTCAATTCTCCACAACCTGGCTTCTGCACCAAGTATGCTACTGAAATGAATTGAAAATACTGTCATCTTCTCAGTAATTTCTCCTGCCTGCCACCAAGCTCATACCTATTTCCTAAATCTTAACAGTAGTCATGTTTGCCTTATAAGTCACATTGTAGCATCGCAGACAAAAACTAATGGTGATACAATGTATTGGTGTCACACATTAGCTAAATAAACTTGTGGACCTTATTAATATTTTATAGGTCCTTTAAAAAGGGCACTTTCTGATGGCTGGGGATACCAGAGTGATAATTAATCATCCTCCACACTGTCACCTTGCCGGGCATTTTGCAAGTCAGGAGGATGGGTTGTGGTGGGGCTTCCTAGATTCTTACCTGTATACATCTCCACAATTTTTTCTTTCTCCTTCTGTTATTTATGTTTTTAATCTGTGAGGCAGCAGAAAGTGGTACAGTCAGTTGATGACTTCATAGTTTGTTGTAATCAAATAAATATACCCCTTTCCCCATCTCTATGGGTCTCCTTCTTATTTAATCTTGAGTATTTGATTTGAATAGAATAAAATGATATAAATCCAAATTTTCTACAAATAGAGCAATATGGTTTCTTATGGTGAAACTGAGTGGTAGAGAGAAATGATATGGAAAAAAGGCTTACTTTTCAATCCATGTATGCCCTTTCGTACCTTTGAATTTTCTGCCATGTGCATGTATTACTTATTGAAATATGTTAAATAAGTAAATTAAATGAACAACCATATGAACAAATTTAACTGCAGAATATCAAAACCCGTAGTTTTTGTGATATATACATACATATATATTCAAGAATAAATGTTTCTATAGATCTTCCTTTATGATTTCCTTCTTCCAGATTTAGCTTTTCAATAAATAGAAACTGTGTCACAAAAGGAACCATGTGAGGATTTAAGACATGGACTTCAGAAATCAAGATGCCAGTCATGTTCTCTTTGAGGCAATTCAGAAAGAAATGTTGCAGATTGCCTTCCTAATAATGCCTGATGAATGACACCTTCCTGTGTCCACCATAAAGACACAGAGTCTATTTCCATGCCCTTGATCTGAGAATAGGCTTGTTATGTACTTTGACACACAGAATGTGGCAGAGTAAATGCTGTGCGAAGTCTGGGAATTCAATCTTAAGAGACCTTGCAGCTTTCACTCTTGTCCCCTGGTAAAGGAACTCTGAGGCCACCATACACTGAGGAAGACAAGTGTAGACTCTTGGAGAGAGGTCATATACAATGCAAACCAAGGCACCCCAGCCAGCAGGAAGCAGCAACTCTGGGCAGGTGAGTGAGGTTATGTTTTTCTACTTCTCAGTTCCTTCATCTTACACCCTGTGATCTCCGATCAGTGTAAAATGGGATTTCTCTTTTTGATGTTTTCTCCTGACATTTCTACTTTTGAACCGTGAAATGCACCTATAACTTTCTAGAATGACGTGAAATGAACCTATGCAATAATAAGAATTCCATATTAGATATCAGAACTGCCTTTCAAGTTTCTTCTCACCTTAGAAAGCTATACTTGATCCAAGCGACTCGAAAGGGCTGAGTTTCTCAAATAAAGACGAGCAGATGCTTCTAAAAAGCTCTCCTCTGGGCTCATTCTCAGTGTACAGCTGCCGTGATGCATCCCTTCCCATAGCCTTAACTTCTGGTGTTGAGCAAAGAATAGAAAACCAGGGTTGCAGCTCATTGGCATCACAGAGGCAAACAGCATTTAACTGTCTCCATGCATCACTCTGATTTGACTTTGAGACTAAAGTATCTCCTTTTCCTCTTTGCATCAAGAAGAGAGGGGAGCACCAGATTAAATGGGCAGATCTTAGGCCATGCCATGCCTGTCTTCACATCAGCCTGACACTTCTATCACCACCTTCCACAGGTAGCAATCACTGAACTTTGCAATAGCTCAGCTTCTGCCCACACACGTCTTTCACCAGTGGAGACAATGGAGGCATCATTGCACCAAGAGTGCTGGCTAAATGTTTGATGAATGCAGTCCAGAGCACATCTGCCTTTAAAACTGTTTCACATTCAAACTAAGGTAGAGTCACTGGGAGAGATTTGGAAGATGAGCACTTCTCTCACATCACATCATCCCACTGTTCCTTTAGAACATATGGATCGCTTTCGAAAACATCGTCATGTTTTCAGTAATCTACTCCTCTTTTGTTTTACTCCAAATGATTTTCCCAACCTTCCACAACCTTTATAGGGACACACATTTTCTCCTAAAGATTTTTTTGCATCATACCAAACATAGTTGATTCTCTACAAAAATCTGCCATTAATAGGAATATTTAAAGAAAATGCCTTAGGCATTTAAAAATGTTTTAAGTAGTGCCAACATCATTGGATTAAGCACGTAGCCTTAGAAGTTGACCACTTTGATAGACAATGTTCATTTGGATAGAGGACAACTGGTATCATTTTTTTTAGATAATTAAAACATAACCACTGCAATCCAACCATAAACATAAACCACAATAAAAAGCAAAACAACATACAGGTATTTATTTATTCTCACACTGTGCATCATTTGCCCATTTGA
Source organism: Homo sapiens (assembly GCF_000001405.40). Lineage (NCBI taxonomy): Eukaryota > Metazoa > Chordata > Mammalia > Primates > Hominidae > Homo > Homo sapiens. The sequence goes on along the minus strand of NC_000023.11, from coordinate 7,793,274 downwards.
AGATCTAGCATTATTTTAATCTCACAATCTAACATTTTGGTCTCCTGGCCTTACTTCGCTTTTCCTCTGATATATGATGCTTTACAACTAATATCAATTCCAGAAGGCATCTTATTTTCCCCATATCCTAAATTATTAATAAATACGTCAAGGGAAGAAAACTAGCATCAACCCTTTTAGCAGCTTGACTATTCCTTAAGTCAATACAAATACGTATTATTGACCTTCCAGTCATTTCCCCACAGGGTGTACTCTTTTGGTGGGAGCTAATTTGCTCCTATTTGTAGGGAAGCAGAATGGTGCAGTGCATAAAACAATTGTGTGAGAGCAAAGGGGATAAGTTTGTATTCCTAATACTGCCAGACGTCATCATCAAACCTTTCCTGATCTCAGTCTCTTTCTCTGTACAAGCAAAGGAAGATCTGGGGTTGGAACTTCCAAGGCCCTTTCCATCTCAGGATTCCGTGCCAATTCTCCCTTTAATGTTGGAGGGGCAGGTAACCTTGGAATGAGAAATCTAGACAGAGCTTTTCCACCCTAGGTGTGCACAGCTCCAGAGCAGCCTCCTCACCACTTTTGATGGCTGCACTATACAAGCTGCTGGAAGAACGAATGACATGACCATGAAACCAGAGCTCTGATTACTTCCACCTATTAATCCTCCTGGCATCATTCTTGAAGGAGAGAAAGAGAACAGACAGAGTAATATGTCAAACACACTTACATTAGTTTCAATGTGAAGTCCCTACTCCAGTCAGGTATAAGAGAACCAATAAAAAGAGCAAATATAATTTCCTGGGTGTCTCCTCTGAGCTCTTTGATTATAAAATCCCATTCCATTTTTGCTGGACACTATGGCTCAAGTCTTCAATCCCAGCACGTTTGGAGGCTGAGGCAGAAGGACTGTGTTAGCCCAGGAATTTGAGACTAGACTGAGCAATATAGCAAGACCCCTGTCTCTACAAAAAAAAAAAAAAAGAAAAAAAAATTAAAAGCAGCCAGGTGTGGTGGTACATGTCTGTAGTCCCAGCTCCTTGGGAGGCTGAGATGGGAGGATCACTTCAGCCCAGGAGTTTAATGCTGTAGTGAGCTGTGATTGCACTACTGAACCCCACTCTGGGTGACAGAGCAAGACCCTGTCTCTAAAAAATAAATAAATAAAAGTAAAATGAAATAAAATCCAATTCCAGGTAAGCATTATTACTCTCTTACAACTGATAAAACAAACTAGGCTTAAAAGAGTAAAATAGCTTGTCTAGGGTCCCTTGGTCCCCTGCTCCTCCCTGGAGTGAGGAGAAGTGTGGTTCCCAGATGGCCTGCCTCCAGTGGCTGCACTGAGGGGTGGCTTGAAAAGGATTTAGACCACACAAAAATCTCCATCACATCCCTCTGAGTCACCCAAACAAATACACAATCTCAGTGATATGGTTTGGCTGTGTCCCCACCCAAATCTCACCTTGAATTATAATAATCCCCAGGTGTCAAGGGTGGGGCCATGTGGAGATAATTGAATCATGGGGGTGGTTCCCCTCATACTGTTCTCATGGTAGTGAATAAGTCTCACAAGTTCTGATGGGTTTATAAATGGGAGTTCCCCTGCACATGCTCTCTTGCCTGCCACCATGTAAGATGTGCCTTTCTTCTCCTTTGCCTTCTGCCAGGCCTGTGAGTTCTCCCCAGTCATGTGGAACTGTGAGTCCATTTAGCCTCTTTTTCTTTATAAATTACCCAGTCTCAGGTATGTCTTTATTAGCAGTGTGAGAACAGACAAATACACTGAGCCATCAGAAACCAGGTGCTTGCTGTGTAAACACAGCTTCTAAGCAGCATCCTTGCCCTCCCTTCCATCACATTGATGATCCCAACCTCCTTCATATAGAGATTCTGGGGTCTCCACTACCTAAATCAGATCACAGAGGGTTCCACTTTAGAAACACAACAAAAAAAGTATGTTCCCAAGCTTCATCTCAGAATTGGACCACAGTGCAGTGGGGACCCAGAATCTGCACTTTTAACTGGAAAGCCAGGTAATTCTTGATAGTTTCAAACAGCAATGCTTGAAAACTACTGCCCTGGAACACTCTAAGTTGTACTAGGTTGAGGTGAGGGGAATGGAACAAGAGAAGATGTCAGGGGGTAGAAATATAAGGAGTCTGTACTAAACCTGCTCCCTGGTTTCCCCCATGACATAGTGCTGCCCACCCTGGGCATCATGTGGTCCATGAACCAATAGCACCAACATCACCCAGGAGCTTGTTAAAATCACAGAGTTTGGGGCCCATCTCCAAATCAACCAAATCATAATCTGTATTTTAATGCGATCCCCAGATATTTCATGTACACATTGGAGTTTTAGAACGGGTGAGGGAATAAATATGATGATTTACCAGGAATCTCACCTTCCCCAACTCAGGGGAAAAGAAAACAAATATTCACATAACATCTGCCAGGCACACTTTATAAACAATGTTAATTATTTCTTTCATGATTCACTAAAGTGTAGTGCACTTGGTTTCTCGAGTCAGCTGCTTGGCCCTCTTCCAAGTGTACTTCCCTTCCTTTCTTTTCTTTCCTTCCTTTCCTTACTGTTCTAAAGCTTTTTAATAACCTTCCACTCCTGCTCTGAAACATTCCTCCATCTTTTTCCTGCCTTATGCCCCCCGTTGAATTCTTTCTTCCGAGAAGGCAAGAATTGAGGTTGCTGCAGATCCATATGGATTTGCCGCCAGTAACTTGGATAACTTCCACCAGTGACATATTTGGTGCCACATGATTCAGATACCTTCCTTAGTGGTAAGAGATCTCTATGCCTCACCTTCTTTGGCTGGAGGCATCTGGCCCCCGTGCGTGGTTTTTTTTCTCCTCTCTCTCTCTAATTAAAAATAAAGATTCACCAAAGTAAAGTATCTTATTTCAAATTCATAGAGCAAGGACAGAGCAAGGATTTTTAAATCAAAATGAATCTCTCTCCAGTTCCCCTGGCTTTTGCACAAAGAACCAGACAAAAGAAGGCTACAGGCAGTCCAGGCGCAGTGGCTCAAGCTGGTAATCCCAGCACTTTGGGAGGCTGAGGTGAGCAGATAGCCTGAGGTCAGGAGTTGGAGACCAGCCTCACCAACATGGCGAAAACCATCTCTACTAAAAATACAAAAATTAGCTGGGTGTGGTGGTGCACACCTGTAATCCCAGCTACTTGGGAGGCTGAGGTAGGAGAATCGCTTGAACCTGGGAGGCTGAGGTTGCAGTGAGTCGAGACTGTGCCACTGAACTCCAGCCTGGGAGACAGAGCGAGACTCCATCTCAAACAGAAACAAAAAACAAAACAAACAAAAAAAAGTGGCTGCAGGCAAGAGGAGCCAGTTTTCACAACACCCCCACCATGGACTCACCACCCTTGTCCCCTATACAGGAAAGACTTAACACAGCAGGCCTGGGTTGCTCAAACCCTGCACATTCCCAAGAAAGTCCCACTTTAGTGATGGGCCTTGGTTAGTTTCCTGTGATTTAAGCGCTTAGAATGTTCCCATTGATTAGAGGGCTTTTCATGCTTTGAGTGGGAGGAGTGTCTTGAACCATACAAACAAGATTGTGTATATAGTGCATGCAAGCGGTGTGCATTGTGGTAAACACTTTTTGTTTCCTTCTAAGAGTCTAGAGATTCAAAAATCATGTTTGATTATGTGCCTTTGTGTCTGCCCTCCAATAAAAACTCTGTACTCCAAGGTTTGAGTGAACTTTCCCAATTGACAATACTTTGGATATATTATTACAACTCATTGCCAGAGGTATTAAGTGCACCCACTGGGAGGACACACTTGGAAGTGTGCCTGGTTTCCCTTGCACATTGGAAGCTTGTGTCTACTTTCCCTTGCACCTTTGCACTTTGCCCATCCATCTTTTTCCCTGTGCTGATTTTGTTTGTGTCCTTTCACTATCACAAACCGTAAGTATGAGTAGTATAACAACTTCTGAGTCCTGTGAGTCTTACCAAATCATTGAATGTGGGCATGGTCTTGGGGACCACTGACACATCCGTCTTCCTTCTAAGAGGCTGCCCTGTTATCTCAAAGCCTAGTGGGGAAGATCTTTTCCACCTCATCAAGCCATCTGTCTTAGTCCATTTTGTGTTGCTATGAAGTATCTGAGGCTGGGTAATATATAAAGAAAAATGTTTATTTGGCTCACAATTCTGATGTCTGGAATAGTTCGAGTTTTGGCATCTGCATCTGGCAAGGGCCATGGACTGCTTATACTCATGGTAGAAGGTAAAAGGGAGCTGGTGTGTGCAGGCATCACATGGTGGGAGAGGAAGCAAGAGAGCAAGAGAGGCAAGAGGTGCCAGGCTTTTTTAACAACCAGCTCTTCTGGAAACAAAGAGAGTGAGACCTCACTTATCTCTTCCCTCAACTAGGGTATTAATCTATTCATGAAGGATCTGTTCCCATGTTCTAAATACCTCCCATGAGGCCCCACCTCCAACACTGGGGATCAAATTTTAACATGAGGATTGGAGGAGTCAAATATCCAAATCATAGCACCATCTAACTTTTTTTCTACATGGTTGATCTTCAGATACAAAATCACATCTCCTACAGGCTTCTCTATATTTTCCCCAGTCTTTTTTCTCCAAGATCAAAATTCTCAGATGCTTTGATATCATCATATTCAGCTACTTCAACACACTATGGTCATCCTCTCTTAAATGTGTTCAAGTATGCCTGGGCTCTTGTCCAAGTGATTAATTCCAATACTCCCAGATGCGTTCCAACCTGCACAGAATGGAACTTGGTCAACACCAACCTCTAGGAATGAAGCCTGAAATCTTATCTCAGCTATTTTTTTAGATACTTTTAATTTTCCATTTATTAAATAATAACATACTTGAGCTGTTTTTTATTTTTCCTTATTCTGTGCTAAAGATTCACAATCTGTTTTTTTCAAAGTTATTTTCAAGCCACCTGAGCAAAGCCTGCAACTTTCATACAATCATCATTCTTCTTGGGAGAGTGGATTCATAATTCCCATCTGTCGATATCTTTTGGATCCTGACGAGTTGATATGAGACAAGATTGTAAATGTTCAAACAGAGTTTTTATCAGACAACTAAGGGTAAACATGAAATTCTCCCCAAAGAGCGAGAAAGAAAAAAAAATTTACAGAGTAGCAGTGGTTGTTTCTGATCCTAACTTCAACTGACATTGAGCTAAAATATACTTTGGTCGGTGATATTTGTGAGCATCTAGGCCCCGGGTGCTTTTGCTTTGCCTCTAAACAAAGACATAACCCTTCTTTTCTGAGATGAACTCAGATTGCCACTGCTTATGTTTGTTCAAGCTTTACCCCTTCCAGCCTGGCTTGCTGTCCTCCCGGCAACTGGAGGACAATCCCTGCACAGCATTTCCTGCTTGGCTTCTGGTATTCAGTCCCTAAGGTCCCAGAGGTCAAAAGATACTTCTCATTGCACTGCAAAGTTTTCTTTCCTGGTTTCAGGCTATCTTGTATTTGGTTTTGGATATGTCTTCAATCCTTTCCTAGTGGACCTTATGACTTTGTCGTTATTCTAGCTGTCAGGAAGCTATTTAAAACCTACCTCATTCTGCTGAGATGCTTGTGATCTAAGTCTCAGATGACATGAAAGCTCCTGATATCTCATGTCCTTGCACGCAACTCATTGATAATCATGTCAGGGCAAAAGAGCCTGAAATCTAAAACTTCCAGCACTAGTGTGTTGGTCCATTCTGGACATCCTTTAGACCAATCGTTTAGAGAGCTGTTAGTTTGCTTAATTTAGCCCATCTTTTCTCACCTTACCTTGTATAATTCATAATTTCAAAGCAGGAGAAGATCAGTAAAGCCAGGGAAACCTATTTTAAGCTTTAGACGGGAAAACAGCGACCCAATAAGAGTAAAACTAAGCCAAAAATGTTCCAGTATGACTTCAATAAAAATGTGTGTTCTGCTTCAGTAGATGTGTGAGCTGGGAAGAGAGAATAGCATTTAAATGCTATGGGAGACAGAAGGGATGATTGGGAGGCATGGTGAAAGAAAGGTCTCAGAATATGGGATGAGACAAAGAAATAAAAGTGTTCCGAAACACCACAAATTGAATTATTTTAAATATTCTTAGAGAGACACAGTTAAAGAATAGAAGTCGTTTTTAGTAAGTTTTTGTGATTGGATTGTACTTCTTTAAATAAGACACTACTATGGCACAAACCAAGTAAGTCACATACTCAATGAACTTGTTATATTATAGGACATGCATGCATGAAATCCACAATGGAAACCATTATAGCAATGTGCACAGAATTTAATGTGGGGATTCACAGAATCTTGACTAACTTGGCCAGTTGATTCAGCTCTATGGCCTCGTCTTCCCCAGTGAGAAAACAAAGGGTGTGCAGAAGAAATCTAAAATCAATTCTGCCACCATTCTATGTTCTTATCAGATGGTGTATTTTATCTGCTACAGATAACATTGTATGTATAGGTAAAAGGAAGAGACTTTTGGAGAAATGTATTTATATTTTCTTTGAATCCTTTTGTTTAGTCACACTGAAGGGTAAAAGTGTACATATGGAGTGGGGATAGTGTGATGATGATAGTGACAGGAGACAGACAAATTCCTAGGCAGACAAGGAGAGGTGAGACCCGACCTTCAAGCCAAAGATGGTTTAAACCTGAAAACTGAGCTTATCTGGTTCCGGATAGAGTCCACGACTGGAGCGAGAACTTCTATCCCCATGTTACCCTCTCTCTCTCAATTGTTTCCTTCTGGATAATGCCTTTTTACCAATTGAATGGTGCTTTTGCCAAGCCCACCGATGGATCAATCAGCACACTCTCCCCCATTCTAGGTCCATAAAAACCCCAGACTGAGCCTCACAGATGGCAACCTGCTTTCAGGTTCTCCTCTCACAGGTGAAAGCTTTCCTTCTGTCACTTGATAAAATTCTTCTCTGCCTTATTCACTCGCTAGTGTCCATGTACCTTATTCCTCTCAGTCACGGGACAAGAACCTGAAACTCACTGAGAAGCAGGTGGTGGGAATGAAAGAGCTGTGATGCTCCTGGCCAGCTCACCGAGCTGCGAGCAATGGGAATAAAAGAGCTGTAACACGCTCCTGCTTGCCAGACGACAGGAGAAAGAGAGCTGTAGCATGCTCTTGCTTGCCAGGCTACAGGGGTGAAGAGCTGCCACATTTCTTCAGGGCTTGGACCTCGGGGCTCCCTGAGCAAGAGCTATAACACCTCTAGGGGCTCCGTGATTGCTGGCATCTCTGAGTTTTCAGGTGCCACTGTGTTTGCCTCATCTAGATGCTGGTACTAACATGGAAGCCATTCGTGGCATGCCTGGGAGTCATGTAAAGACAGCAATGGGAAAACTCATGTTGCCCAGTTATCTACCAAATATGGATTTCAGGGCAATTGAAGATTCAAAGTATTGGAAGGGACAGTTCATCAGTGAAATACAGCATTTACAGTGTTGGAAATACCTTTCTCTTCTCAGAGAGGAAAATATCTCAAAGAGTATAATGATCCAAGGAGACATTTAAAAAGACAATCATACACAGATTGATTTCAAAAAGTTTGCAAATTACCTCATCATCCTGATTTTAACCTATTTTGCGCAATATGTATAAAATAATGCATGGTTCCTCAGATCAAGTGTCTCTTGCACGCCCATACCCTTTTATTTGAATCTGTTGGCTCAATAGAAATGATAATTGAGTGTAATTAAAACTTTATGGGTCTCCTTCAGCAGTGTTATTATGGGATCACTGCCTTATGTTTTGAATGAATTTGTAATTGATTATTTAATTAAGATTATGTTTAAAAGTGATATGGTTTGGCTGTGTCCCCACTCAAATCTCACCTTGAATTGTAATAATCCCTATGTGTCAAGGGTGGGGCAAAGTGGAGATAATTGAATTATGAGAGTAGTTTCTCCCATACTGTTCTTGGGGTAGTCTCACAATATCTGGTGGTTTTATAAATGGGAGTTCTCCTGCAGAAGCTCTTGCCTGCCACCATGTAAGACGTGCCTTTCTCCTGCTTTGCCTTCTGACATAATTTTGAGGCCTCCCCAACCATATGGAACTGAGTCCACGAAACCTCTTTTTCTTTATAAATTACCCAGTCTCTGTTATGTCTTTATTAGTAGCATGAGAACAGACTAATACAAAAAGCCATATGTTAACTTCATCAGCAAATAACCTTCCCTTCTTTGGAGTAGCTTGGTTGAGAACTCCAATCATATCCAAAACTGCTTTGGTAGAAAACTCTTTCATGCTTTTTGACTTCATATCCTCTACCTTATTTTTTTATTGTAGTAAAATGCACATAACATAACCATCTTAAGCATTTTTAAGTGAGTTCAGTGGCACTAAGGATATTCGCATTATTGTGCAAGCATCACCACCATCCTTTTCCAGAACTTTTCTCATCTTGCAAAACTGAAACTCTGTATCTGTTAAACAATAACTCTTCATTCCTCTCTCCCCCAAGTCCCTGGCAATGGCCATCCACTTTCTGTCTCTATGGATTTGACTACTCTAGGTGCCTCATATAAGTGAAATCATACAAAGATGCAGTTACTTTGTAACTGCTGGTTACAAAGTACCTCAGCATTTGCTTGTCTGTAAAGGATTTTATTTCTCCTTCATGTATGAAGCTTAGTTTGGCTGGATATGAAATTCTGGGTTGAAAATTCATTTCTTTAAGAAAAGAAAATAATTTTCTTAATTACTTCTTGTCTTCTGCTAGCTTTTGGATTAATTTGCTCTTGCCTCTCAAGCCCTTTTAATTGTGGTGTTAGGTTAGGGTGTCAATTTCAGATCTTTCCCACTTTCTAATGTGGGCATTTAGTGCTATAAATTTTCTGCTTAATACTACTTCAGCTACGTCCCAGAGATTCTGGTATGTTGTCTCCTTGTTCTCATTGCTTTCAAATAACTTCTTGATTTTTGCCTTAATTTCATTATTTTCATTATTACGTAGGAGTCATTCAGGAGCAGGTTGTTCAATTTCCATGAAATTGTGTGGTTTTGAGTGAGTTTCTTAATCCTGAGTTCTAATTTGATTGTACTGTAGTCTGAGAGACTATTTGTTATGACTTCAGATCTTTTGCATTTGCTAAGGAGTGTTTTACTTCCAATTACGTGGTCGATTTTAGAATAAGTGCCATGTGGCACTGAGAAGATGTATATTCTGTTGATTTGGGGTGGATAGTTCTGTAAACATCTACTAGGTCCACTTGATGCAGAGCTAAGTTCAGGTCCTGAATATCCTTGTTAATTTTCTGTCTCATTGACCTGTCTAATACTGAAAGTGGGGTGTTAAAATCACCCACTATTATTGCGTGGGAGTCTAAGTCTCTTTGTAGGTCTCTAAGAACTCATTTTATGAATCTGGGTGCTCCTGTATTGGATGCATATATATTTAGAATAGTTAGCTCTTCTTGTTGCATTGTTCCCTTTACCATTATGTAATTCCCGAATGAAGGCACAATTCTTAAGAAAATGAAACCTGCAAATTCGATATCCCATGTTTTCCTAGAATCATTCATTTCCAGGATGTTTTTGTAGATTTGACAGTGCCTGGGAGGGATAGGGGGAAATGGCTCACTCTCCTTAAATTATTAATTCAACTTATTCTGAGGAAGCTAATGTTCTTGACAAAAATTTAAGATCAAATTATTGGGAACTGGATACAGCCCTTATTTCAATATGGTGGAGTGGAAGCACAGGGGCTTGGTAGGTTGGCAGGAATTGATTTGAAGACAATATCCATCCTCACCACATGAATAATCACATGTGACCTTCAGCAAATTACATTTCTTAGGGTCTACATGAAGGACTGACTTGGGTCCTTCATCTAGAACACACATATATCTGTATTATAGCACCTGGGCTTTTATGGAAATTAAATGAAATAATGAAGATTAATTGCTCTGTCCACCATTGAGATATTCAAATACGATACTGGATGGAAAGCTTTTGCCCAAGGGTGTACAGACTAAGACTTGTGAGCCAAATCACTCATAATACCTGTTTTAACAAAATGTGGGCATATTTACAAATAACAATTATGTGGGGGACACAACTACACCCATTTGGCTTTTGTACCATTTATAGTGTCTTCCTGCCATAATAGTACAGAAAATGTATGGCCCAAAGAGGCATCAGAAGGTATTTTAAATTGGGGGGAAAACACTGAAATACTTGATGTCTGTCAGATATCAGCAAACACCATGATAGAGATTGTTCTGAGATGCAACATTAAATCATGCTCCATCCTTTTCAGTAGTGCCACATCTTTGCAAAACTGAGTTTTGGCCTCTTGGTGGGATAAAAAAAATCACATACTGTTTTAACAAATCAGTGGGTAATAGGGAATGAGGATGGGTGATATGATTTGGCTGTGTCCCCACCCAAATCTCATCTTGAATTGTAGTTCCCACAATCCCCATGTGTCATGGGAGGGACGTGTGGTGGAGGGGAGGTAATTGAATCATGGGGACAATTACCTCCATTCTGTTCTCATGATAGTGAGTAAGTTCTCATGAGATCTGACAGTTTTAAAAGGGGCTTTTCCCTTACTTTGCTCTGCACTTCTTGCTGCTGCCATGTGAAGAAGGGCATGTTTCCTTCCCCTTCTGCGAGGATTGTAAGTTTCCTGAGGCCTCCCCAGCTCTGCGAAACTGTGAGTCAACTAAACCTCTTTCCTTCATAAATTACCCAGTCTCAGGTATGACTTTATTAGCAGCATGAGAACAAACTAATACAGCAGGTGAGTCTAATCTAATTTCAAGTTTTGTGAAATTGTATGGTACCAACAGGCATGCACATCCCATTCATTTGTCAATAGTTATGGCTATTCAAGAATGAAATATAAATATACTTCTTTGCTTTCAAATTAATAGACATGATTTTAAAATTGTTCTACTAAAATATTAGCACATAAATTTCTTGTAACTTATTTGGGCTAATAAACAGAAATTTTAGGTCTTTCTTTTGGCCTAGGGGAAGTAGGAAAAAAATTACTCAGACACTAAAGAAACTATGAGCTCACAAAGTCTGGGAAGTTCTGCCATAGTTGGTACACAGTTGCACAGAAGCAGGCAAGCTAACCTTGGCTGCCCTCTCTCACTGAGCCATCTGCATTCAAGGTACTTTTCTGAGTGTCAATATAAAACCCGGTTGGTTTTCAATTGACCAAGAAGACTGTTGACTTGATGGTGCTATGTACATAGGTTTACGAAAAAAAATTGCCTTTCTGGAAATGCTACACTGACCTTAAGAAAATACTCCAGTGGTTGGGGAAGGTGGCTTGTGCCTGTAATGCCAGTGCTTTGGGAGGCTGAGGTCGGTGGATCACTTGAACCCAGGAGTTCAAGACCAGACTGGGCAACATAGTGAGACCCCATCTCTACAAAAAAATTTAAAAATTGGCAGGGCATGGTGGTGCACATCTGTAGTCCCAGCCATGTGAGGGTAGGCTGAGGCAGGAGGATGTCTTGATCCCAGGAGTTCCAGGCTGCAGTGAGCTATTATCACACCACTGCACTCCAGCCTGGGCAACAGAGCAAGACCCTGTCTCTAAAAAAATAAAAAGAAACAAAAAATAAAGAAAATACTCTAATGAATACAATTCCTGGCACCATGGCAGTGAGAAAGGATGATTTGGGGGAATTATATCTTCCACAAGTCTCTAGCTTCATCGTCCAGTAATTTACCCACCAAGACTTTGTCAAGGGTCTGTCAGATATGGAATCTGATCTCATTTTCTCTTGCAAATGTTGCATCTGTATATTTTCTTTCAACCCGTCCCATTAGCTGCACAGTCTTCACTTTTATTTAGCCACTAGGAAAAGCTGATGATTTAGAGCCATTGTTCTTTCCTCTTCGAAGGCCACAGCTGCTGGTGTGAAGCTTGGAGATGCTGAGTCACAAAATAATCTTCAGTGGATATAATGCAGGGTTATCCCCCCAAGTAAATACATTTGGGACTACATATAGTTATCTTCCTTTGTTCAAAGCTAATGGATTTTCACTCTTCTCCTCCTCTGTTGATTATCATTTTAACCTCTTCATTTCTAATTTTCTATATTATTATTATTAGGCTGGTCTGGAGACCCTTATAGACGATACCTGACACATACCCATATACTAATCATCATTACTTTCCTTTGGAAAGATAATCAAGGTTATTTTCGTTCAGAGTGCATTTTGTGGTTCAGTGACTCTGGCCTACTTACAGTCTCTGAATTTCCTATTCAAGAGATGAGAATGATACTAATAATTTCACTGACAAAAAGTCCTGCATTGATACAGCTTTCTCTATTTTTATATTTATATGGAGAGAGATGTTTTATCTCGGGTCTACATGGTACTGCAAGTAAAATATTACCCAAGTCTATTCATGCTTTGGAAAACAAATATACATTAAAATTAAGTAGAAAAGTAATGATTTCTTCTCCTGAAATATGTTTGTCAAATATAGAACTATTCAATAATAGTGGCCAGACATCTCCCAAGAGGAACATTGAGTTTGTCAATCGTGATCCAAAGAATCAGGAATGACAGAGAATTCCTGCTAGCTATGGAAGTAATGATCACAATGTTCAGTTTCCAGGAGACCGTGGACCATGTGTCCATGCTGCTTGGATGGAAGTACAGTGACCTCATCTAGCCTCCTGTGCTGAACACAGTGGTTATGATTTTTTTCATGGTCATGCTTGCTAGACCTGTCTCCGAAGTATTCTCATTGGATGGGACCATTAGCAGGCTAGTGTTAAGCATGGGACCAATGGCAGGCTAGTATTTTTAGCAAACTCACTTTTAAGTCTCTAGGTTGTGATCAAAACGCACAACCAGTCCATATTGTCCACAGTGGGATTCTGACCCTAGAGCAGCTCCCAAGTTCACATTCTGCAAGTCTGACAGGCCATCTTGAAGATCACCTGAGCACTTTCCTGAATACTGGACACTGGTCCATCTCTGATCTTGTGATTCAAATCTGAAAACTAGATTTCACCTTCTTCCTGATACTAGCTTCCCTCTTTGTGGTTCTTACTCTTCCTCTTGACTTGTGTCCCTCTTTGGTAACTTTTCCAAGGTTTAGTCCTTTTATATTGAAGACATGGTCTTTGTGACGGTTACTTTCACACGTCAACTTGACGGGCTGAAGAGATGCTCAGAGAACTGGTAAAATATTATCTCTGGGTGTATCTTTGAGGGTATTTCCAGAAGGAATTAGCATTTGAATTCATAGACTGAGTAAAGATCACCTTCATCAGTGCAGGCAGGCATCATCTAATCAGTTGAGGGTCTGAATGGAACAAAAGGTCGAGGGAGGGAGAATTCACTCTCTGTTTGAGCTGGGACATCCATATTCTCTTGCAGTTGGACAACAGTGACTCTTGTTCTCAGACCTTTGGACTTCAGCTGACTTGCTTCAGCTGGAGCAAGTCTGCAGCTTGCAGACAGCAGATAGTCGGGCTTTTTGGCCTCCAAAACTTCATGAGCCAATTCCCACAGTAGATAGCTAGATATAAATATGGATATAGTTATATAGATATATAGGTTTAGATATGAATATAGATATAGCTATAGATATGGATATAGATATATAGACATGGATATAGATATATAGATATAGGTATAGATATGGATATAGATATATAGATATGGATATAGATATAGGTATAGATATGGATATAGATATATAAATATAGGTATAGATGTGAATATGGATATATAGATATAGGTATAGATACAGATCAGTATATATATGTATCAATATAGGTATAGATATAGAGATAGACGTCAATACAGATTTCGATATAGCTATAGATTTTCTATTGGTTTTGTTTCTCTGGAGAACCCTGATGAATACAGCCTTCCTCTCCGAGGCTTCTGATCACAGTTTCCAGGACTGATGTAATTTTCTTGGATGACGACATGGTTGTTAAGACTCTTTACCAATTGTGAAGGCTCTAAATTTGCTCTATCAATTATCACCTATCCCTCAGTTACTGGGCACACCATTTACCGACCCGTTGGATCTAACCTCTTAGACTCCAGATTATATGTCCTTGAAGCTCCCTGCTCAGCTTGGTCCATTTTGTGTTGCTCTCTGACCATGGTCTAGCCATCACACAAACTTCTGGAGAAACTCTGGAGAGTATGGCATTAGCTGGGAGCTTCCCGTCCTACAGTTAATTGGCCTAGTTAATTTTGCTTGGATAGGATGCCAATACTTGGACACCACATAGACAGCTAACCATTTCTTTAATTTTGATGGTTGTGCCACAGGGTTTAGTGCCATTCTCACCTCTACAGTTTAATCCCTTGGACTCTGGTTTATGTGGAAACAATTTCTTGGTCCAAGTGATCACTGCAATGGCTACCTCACTGCTGAAAATATTTCCCCATGTGTTAAGCCCACTGGTGGGTAAATTTTCTGGAGTGTTTCATGCTGCAAATCTAATCAACAATCTATACAATCTTGTGAAATTTAATTGAGAAACTTCCCATGCTGACCCTTTTTCACCTACTAGAATATATAATTCGCATGTTCTCTCAGGTCAAAAGTGAAAACTAGGGTCATTATCATCCCACTCCCCAAGCCTAACTCTAATTAAAATATCGAGCTTGCTTTAGTTTTCCTGTGCATTTTGCATTTAGATAGACACAGCATGAAGCATCTTTATGATAGCAGAAGTAATAGGTTTTAGAGAAAAAGATAAGCTTTCTCCATTCACTTGTTATTTTGGATTTGTGTTCTAACAAAATGGGAATACACACACATTTGATTAAGTTAAACTGATAAGTATGTTGTGGTAATTGCCTCAAAATGAATGTAGATAAGTTAAAAAAGAAAGAATATCCCAAAGTAAACAGGATGTTAAACATGGGCTCTTTGGTCGTGAACAAATCAGATATTTATCTGCTGCCAACAACAAAGTTAGAGAAGTCACACTTACTCTTTTTCCCTACGGTAGGGAGAAAAAAGAAATTGCTACCTATTACAAATATATGACAGGATGTAAGTATATAAATGCTTATATTTTATATATTAGCTAAATATATAACTTCCGATTAAATGTTATAAAGAACAGACAGTACTTAAATAAGTATTTGCCTAGGTAAGTGATTCTCAACAGAGGGAGTGATTTGGTCCTCAACAGGAGACATTTGACAACATCTAGAGATATTTTGGTTTCCACAACTGGGTGGGGAGGGGAAGAGGGAAGCAGCTAATGTCTAGTGGGAAGAGAGCAGGGATGCTGCGAAACACTCTTCTGTGCATAGCATAGCTCCCCCACAACCCAAAAACGCACAGCCTCAAATATCAGTAGTGCAAAGGTTGAGAATTTCTGGTGTAAATAAACTGAAAATAGGTATTTTCAGTTCTGATGTTAGGTATTCACTGTATTTATCTGGCATGATGCTTTGAATCTTTATTTAAATTGTCTCATTTGATTTTCACAACTTTCTTGTGAAGTTGTGCCCATTTTTGAGATGAGAAATTGAAGAACAGTAAGTTCAGTGACCTATTCACATTAGCTAAAAAAAACAAGACACCCACCATTCACAGCAAGATATAGCTGGTTCCAATGGCATCATGTATAATATCCATGGAAGCTTTTCATTCCTTTTATAGAAACTACCTAGCTTCACATTAGCAAACAGATTGGATTAGTGCTGCAATTCTCATTTTATAATTAAAGAAATTAATGGAGAAGGTTAATCATTGTCCAGGGTTATCACTAGTAGATATTGGAGTCAGTATGCAAGATTATTCTTCTGACTCCAAATCTAGAGCTCTTAAACAAAATATAATTTTATGTCCACACTGTCTAGATAAATCACTGTTGTAGGCAGAATCATGGTCCGCAAAGATGTTGATATCCTAATCAACAGAACCTGCAAATGTATTCTATGAAATGACAAAGGGAAATTAAAATTGCACTTGGGATTAAGGTTTGTATTAAGTCTGGAATTAAGAATGACTTTGAGATAAGATTACCTCGAATTGTATGCATGGGCCCACTGTTATCACTTGGCATTGAAAACCCTGTCCCATATTTGGGACACACCAGCCATTCTTGTTTTCATGGTAACAGAAAACAAGTAACCTCTTATTACAGAAAACAAATCACCATGTTTGACATGCCAAATGGCATGGGACTCTGTGGCCAGACATCTCCCAAGAGGACATTGAGATTGTCAATGGTGATCCAAAGAATCAGGAAAGACAGAGAATTCCTGCTAGCTAAGGAAGTGATGATTGCAACGCTCAGTTTCCAGGGGCCAGTGGGCCATGTATCCATGTTGCTTGGATGGAAGTACAGCAGCTTCACCCAGCCTCCTGTGCTGAACACCATGGTTATAATTTTCTTCATGGTCATGCCTGCTGGACCTGTCTTCCAAATGTTCCCATTATTTCCACCCACACTCCAAGCTTGTTTCTCCAGTTTTCCTGGTGATGATGTGAGATGCTCACTATCTTTTCAATATACTCCTTTAACATGCCATCAGCCCACATTAGTTCCTTCTCATTTTATGTATGTATGTATGCATGTATGTATGAATGAATGCCAAGTACTCAAAAAGGACAGCACCAGGTACATTAGCTCAGCAGAGATACTTAGTTGGTCAGAAGTCCCAGGACATATATAGGATCTTGACAGCCATGTATAGACTGGGAGAATGCAGAAGCAGACAACATCCACAGAGAGAGAAAAGGGAAGCAAAAGTGAAGAGAGAAAAAAAGGTAAAACTTCATGGGCCTCTTAAAGAGAGTCAAGAGGGGGTCATGGAACATAACTACCTGCTCCACTATCCTTGACACCTTACGGGTTCAAGACTTCATCCTCCCATGAGGTTCTGTTGTTCTTCCTGTCCTCAAATCCCTAAATATCATAGAGGAAAAGTTTGGCCAAAGAATGCTTAGAGGAATATCTTTTACTTGCCGGCAAGCATGTCTTAACTAAGACTTCTACTATGAGCCTGTGAGTGTGCTAGTTCCTACTGGAGATGCAAATGATTACCATTTGTGATGCCTCCTCTCCACGCTCCATGACTCATGGGTGGCAGCAACTCCACCACAGAATGAAAGGTGGTGACGATATATAACACTTAAGGAGGTATGTAAGAGGTAACAAGTTGAACATTCCAAGGTGCAAAACAAGACATGTTAATGATCACACAAAGTGAAAAACACTTGGAAGTTCAAGAAATAAAAAGATTTGAGTTTTTATGCAATTCTTAAGAAGAGATGAAGAAGGAATCAACATTTCCACTGAGAAGCAGATGTTGGGAGCTATGCTATGTTCGATGACAACAAATGGAAACCATAAACATTTATCTTACTACTAGAAATTAATGGGATTTTTTTTAGCTCAAGATGTCGAGTTAAAAAAAAAATATGATTCCCTTAGAATAAAAGGCTTTTCAAGAAGTTGTGGTTCACAGAACACACTGATAATGAAATTAACTAATTAATTATAAGAGGTGAGAGGTAAATGTAGAGAGAATCAAGACTAAATATGAAGAATACTTGAATATACTCAGCTTTTCTATCTTAGTTACGCTTTAATTGGCAACTAGAATTAAAAACCATGATATTTTAGAAAGGGACATTGGTAAATTCTACACTTGTGCAAATGTACAAAGTGGGAAGTACTGGCCTACTGAAAGGGCCATTTTCTAGTTTTGTTTTCCTCCCACCAAATTATCTAATCAACTGAATTATCTAATTGGCAGGCATCTAATGCACAGGGAGTCCTGTGCACCTGGGATGTTTAGCCACATCCCTGGCTTTTACCCATTAGATGCCAGTAGCATCCTTCTCCCAGCTGTGACAACCAAAAATGTCTCCCTATGTTGCCAAATGTCCCCTGGAGGAAGACTTGCCTCCAGTTGAGAAGAGTTGCTCTGATTAATGTCTGTCTTGGTAGTCTAAAACAAATGCTTGCCAACCCTTAAAAAATATGTTCAGAGACTACACCTTTTTGGATCTTTCTTTCTGATTCTGGTGTCTAACCATGAGCTGTATTTACAAGCCACCAGCAATTCATCAAATGACTAAATTAACTACGTTAAAATACAGTAAATTCTATTGTCTGTACATTCTGTTTAGTCAGTCCAATTAGTTACAGCTATGGAGTTGTGAAATTATTTTATTCAAATTATTCTCTCAATCTTCCGTGCTGGTAGAGAATTATTGACAAGACTCATTGGGTATGGAAACTTACTGTTCTGTGCCAGCGGTGATGAAAAGACCTACCAGGAGGAGATATTGCCTATGGTGATGGTGCTTAAGTTGCTGAAGAGCCAGTCTCAGCAATGCAGGAAGTTGCTGGATCTTAGTTTGTGAAAGGGAAAGGAGTTCATACAAAGTGAGTGTTGTCAATACCTTAAGCACTAGTCATGGGAGCTAAGGTAAGTTTTAGGTATCATATCCTCAAGAATTCCCCATCAGTAGTGTCTGAGCCTTTGTTCCCCTTTTCTATTGTCCACCCCTATTCCCAACACTTCTAGTATGTTGGTCCCAGTGTCTTCCCACCATGAATTCTGAAAGAGCAGCCTGTTGCCCGCTCCTTGCTAAAGCTTACTGTGACCCAGATAAGGAGCAGGAAAAGAGCTTCCCCTTCCTCTCAGTCTAATTTTCCAAAAAGAAATGTGGCTGGCATCATCCTGTGCCCGGCATCATCCTGTGCCCAAATGGTAAAACCTCAAGTTTTAGATAGATCTTTCTTTCTGATGTGCTGTACCTATTTCAGAAAGACTTCATGCATTTCAAAAAAAGAATATATCTAAAACAGCAGCATGCCCATGAAAAAGAAATGACAATTACATCCATAATATTTTCTTAGCACAGTATTTCAAAAGGCAATTCTGGGTATGAGACTTATTTTTGTAACCTATTTCCCAGCTTTTTCTTGAACCCAAAATTTATGGGATAATCTAAAGTTTTAGGATTTGAAAAATAACTACAGTAATCTTTTCATTTTCTACAGGCTTTCTTGTTTTGAACTACATTGAATATAAATATGTTTTATGGCCCCAAACTTCAGGTAGGTTTTAAAAGTCATTTAAGGATATACTTCGGTTATATTTGGGATCAAATCTTGATAAACAGCCTACTCTGTCTATCCCCTCTTGATAATCCACTACTTTATGAGGTTGGGCTGTGGCTACTGAATAAGAGTAAGAACAGACATCAAGGATCATGGTCAGAAGTGAAAATGTGCAATCATTGTTATAAGATACGATGCTGGGCAAGCAGCATGTTGATGTGCCTCCGGACAAGATAAACATGGCTATGTGCCAATGAACAAGTAAGCAAGGAGATGGAACTTAATGATCACACCCTGATTATAAAGCCTGAAAAGGTGGTAGTTTAGGGAGTCTGCAATTTCAGACATATACATTTTAATTCACTTTTATAAGTATTATGCCATGAATGTCTGCTTTTTAGCTCTTCCATGCTACTGAGGATTGGCTTACTATGTTATGAAAGGGGAGGAACTTATAAAAGTGATCTGTGTGGCCTCTACAGATCACTCTCAGATCTAGTATTCTAGCCCTAACCAAACTCCCATGTGAATCAGAAATGTATCCCCACCTGTCTGCTGGGGAGTTACACCTGAATGTCTTACTGCTGTTGACATCTCAGTGTGCCCATTGCTAAACTCTCTTTTCCCCAAACGCTCCCTGGGTGTGACTTTCCTATTTCCTCTAATGACATCATTGATTTCCAAACTCTTGGATCAGGAATCTTAAAGATCTTTTCTCTAGGCCCTTATATCTGATAGGATTCCAAGTGAATTTATTTTTCTTTTTCATTTTATTTTTTCAGCTTTGCCTCTATTAATTACCATTCTACCAACACCAACCAAAACCAAGCCATTGTTACTTGTCGTGCATGCTACCATTATAGCCTCCTAACTTATTTCCTCTTACCTGTTTTTTTCTTAATTCAGTTCCAAAAGAAATTTGTCTTATCTAACTCTTTTCCTACTTAATAATACCAAGAAATTCTCTGTAATTAAAATAACTAAAATTCCCTAGTAAGACAATAAAAGACACTATGATCAGCCTATCTTTACGATATCTTTATCCATCTAGTCGAATCAACCACCATTCCCATTTTTTGACCAAAAAAAAAAAGCAATCTCCATGGATTCTTTACCTATAATATTCCATGCTTCTGAATCATTTGCTCATTGTGAGGAAATAGGTCTAATATGTTCAAATCCACTTCCACTAAACAGCTATATAGCACTGTGCACACAGGAAAAGACATGTAATATTTGTTGATTAAAGTCAGTTGGCTACCTGTGGGATTAATACAATGACTACAATATAATCTTCTACATATTTCCTGAGGCATAAATGTCATCCAGTGAACTTTATTTTTGTACTTTGTAATTTTTAGTTAAAACATATGGAATTATCCTCTTGCCAAAATCAGAGATAAGAAAAAGCCTTAAAGAGGTGATCTTATACTAAAGAATATATAAGATTAGGTTTACAAATTTAATTGGTAGAATGCCCATTCCACAAATCAAGCATTAAGTACTTATTATAATTCCCACATTTTTAGAGCACCTACTATGTGCAAAGCAAAGTGCCTTAAGGGGAAGGAATGTAATAAAGAGTTGAACCAATAAGTAAGAAATATGTTTTTTATATTTTGTGAAATTTTATAAGAAAATTTGAATGAGACAAAGAGTTAGAGAGTAATTTGCATGGTGGCTACTTTAAATAAGATAGGAAAAATGAGAAGATTCTCAGAGACATCAATGCTGATACTGAGGATATGTTTATATAAGAAACATGTGAGGATTAGTGGGATTTATGCTTTAGACAAAAAAAAAGGGATAAGCAATAAACAGACCACTAGACAAAATATATGAAACAATTGCTTTCAGATGTTGTACAACGATCAAGACAGAAATGGGATCTCTTATGTGTATGAGTCTGACAATTGCCCTTTGCACCTGGACAAACATTCGAGGCTTTAAAAACAGAGGAAGGCAATCACTGAGTTGATAAAACAGAGATCAAAGTTCAGGGAAGCTGAGGTGGCAAGAGTTGCAGGACAGAGTTCTAGAAAGCATAAAACTTCATGAAGAAAGACCTCTAAAAATCTGTATAGAGGTTCTTTTAAGTGTTTTCTACAAATAAGGACATACATATAGTTGATGAAACTCTATCAGTCTGGGCAGAAATCTCCAGGGATCTGTAAGCGGAACAATTTCCAGAGCGTACACAGGGTAATAAGGTGTGGAAGTTTAAATTGTTCAGAGTATAGAATTAAGAACTAGGGCCTTATTATCGGCTGCGGTAGGACCACGTCTTAGTATTAAGGTTAAACTAAACCTAGGCTAATGGTTACTCTAGCAATGCCCTGACAAAGCTTAAAAACAACCCTTTAAAGCATCCATCCTATCTAGAAGTAACTTCAATTTACCTCAGGTGAGAATTTACTCCTAAAGGAAGATAACATTTAGACTCTAAAATAAATAACATGCATTATGTTTCACAACCAATTAAAAATTGTATAGAAAGGCCAAACATCAAGACAATGTAAAATATTTTCCATGATAAAAATAATAGAATCAGATTCAGAAATTAAAGTGACGGGATTAGCAGAAAAAGATTTTAAAACAGTTGTTATATTCAAAATGGTCAAGGATTTAAAAGAAAGCATCATTATAAATAAGGAAAAAATTGGAAGCCTAAGAACTGAATATAAATACTTGAGATGAAAAATAACATATCTGAAATAAAAATTCATTGCACAGGATTAATTGCAAGATGCAGAAGAAAAGGCATGTGAATTAGAAGACACAGTAATTGAAATTATTAAGCTGAGTCATAGAGACAAAACCATGAAAGAAAGGAGTAATTAAATGTGGAACAATATCACATGGCCTGATAAAAGTTCAATTGTAATCCTAGAAGTAGAAAATGGTGAAATGGGACAGAAAAATATTTGGGAAATAATGATTGACGGTTTCCTACGTTTGATAAAAATTACAAATTTAAGATTAGATAAGGTCAACAAACTCCAAATTGAACAAAATATAATGAAATTACATCAAGTCAAATCCTTAGCAAATTGGCTAAACCTAGCAATATAGTGAAAAATCTTAAAGTGAGTTAGAGGAAAAAAGCACATTTTATGCAGAGGAATAAAGATAATCATCACTTAAGATATCTTGTCAGAAATCATCCAAGTCAGAAGACAGTAGATTAGCATGTTTGAAACATTAAAAGAAAAAAAATTAACTTGGAATTTTTTATCTAGCACAAAAATTATTCTAAAATGAATGTAAATATAAGAATTTTTTAGACAAACAAAACCAGAGAAAATTTATGGCCAATAGAAATCTTTTACAAAGAATATAAAAAGAATTTCTCCAAGCATCAAAAAAATGGCATCAGATGGAAGATGGATATGTGGAATCAAATAAGGGAATGAGGACTGCTAGTCATAGTATAACAATGTATATGGGTAAATTTTGAAACATATTCATTGGTATAAACAAGGTAATAAATCTAAGTTTCAACTTAACAACTTATGCAAAAATTGACTCTAAATGTGTCATAGACAGTCCTAAACCCCAAAGCTAAAATTATAAGGAGAAAGCTGTGACCTCAAGTTATATAATGAGTTTTTAAGTGTGACTTGAAAAGCACAAATCATAAAAAAGATGATAGAGTGAATTTCAAATTTTAAATCTTCTGCTCTTCTAGAGACATCATTAAGAAAATGGAAAAAAAGACTGTAAGAGACAGAAATTCAACAAAATCTTAATTCAAAATGCATCAAGAACTCTTACAACTTATAATAATGCAAAAATCCAATTAAAATCATCAACGTATGTGAGCAGACATTTCGCCACACAATATCCACAAATGGCAAATAAGCATACTAAGAAATACTCAACATGATTAGCATTAAGGGCTAAAACCTGGAAGTACATAACACTATACATCCATCAGAATAGCTAAAATAGAAAGACTGATAATATCAAGTGATGGTGAGAGTGTGAAGGAACTGGAACTCAGATACATTTGTGGTGGGAAAGTGAAACTGTATAATTCCTTTGGAAATTACTTGGAATCTAGCTTCAGTAATGTTGATTGTCTAACACAGATTTGGATATTTCTCTTGGAGAAATTATTCCTTGGATTAAGGACCATTTGGCAGAAAAATAGCTTCTTATTTGTAAGTTTTTACCTCCTCTGCCCTACTCACCATGGTATGCTTTCATGTAATTATCTCAGGCTGATTTGCGCTTGCACTAATTTGGAGAGGGGGCTAGGAGTTTCTATGGTAGCCTGACCAAAATCTGCATAAAATCATCCCTGGAACTCCTACCAGAGCTGTACCTTATGGAAAATACTTTTACGGATAATATCCTTGGATGCAAAATATAGGTGTCAATACTTGCTAACATAAGAAGCAAGAAGATTTACTCAAGGTCATTATGCAGCTGACCAAAATTTCAAACTGCTACTGACACACTCTGTGTCATCTGCCCCCACTATAAAGTCCTGGATCAGAATATCCAAATGACCAATACTAGGTCATGGGCCTATGATTATCTAGGTCAGGGACAACCAGAATCTAACCTTGTTGCTTTGGTAACAAAAAGCAGAGCTTTACCTTCCCTTAAGACTCATCACTAACAATCTCCCCAAACCCAAAAAGGACCTCAGATATCCAGCCAGAAAATAATGACAGATGTCCATTACAAATAACCCATCACTCCAGCAATGAGTTGGGTACTTTCTTGTTTAAACCAAATATATGAATTAATTCATCATCAAAATATTATTTATAACTTTCTTTTCTAATTAAATTAAAAATATCAAAACATTGTATTCCTGTTGATATGGATTCCTCTGTCTGCCCACCCAAATCTCACCTCAAATTGGAATCCCCATAATCCCCACATGTCAAGGGCGGGACCAGGTGGAGGTAACTGAATCATGGGGGCAGTTTCCCCCATGCTGTTCTCCTGATAGTGAGTGAGTCTCACAAGATCTCATTGTTTTGTAAGCGTCTGGCATTTCCCCTGCTTGCACTCACTCTGTCCTGACGCCCCGTGAAGAAGATGCCTGCTTCTCCTTTGCCCTCTGCCATGATTATAAGTTTCCTGAGGCCTTCCCAGCCATGCGGAACTGTGAGTCAATTAAACCTCTTTCCTTTATAAATTACACAGTCTTGAGTATTTCTTCATAGCAGTGTGAGAACAGACTAATACACATGTTATCATATAAAATGAATCTAATATTTTTGAATAGGATCCTTTTGTTTAGAAATCATTAAGCTAGTTAGAGGAGCTTCCAGTAACTTAAAATTTCAATTGCAAAATTCCACAAGCTTCTTTAGTTGTTGTTAAATGAAAATGTGTATCTTCAGTTACATTGTTTGAAAGCTATAAGTAAAAGGGAAAATAAGAATAGAGGTTTCATTATGGCATTAAAGGATCTTAAAGCCGCAATGATGCATTTGCAAATCTAGCACTTCAAGTTCCAAATTATATCTCAAAAGAGGAAAATAAATCCATAACCAGTGTTTCTTCATAAGCCCCAGGTAAGGTGGGTTTTAGTCTTCTGTTTTCTAAACTCATTCCTGTTACAGATAACTTTAACACCACAGACATGTTGTATACACATTTTACACTGTGTAAGTAAAACACATATTATGTATATTTGTGCTTTATAAATAGAGGGAGATTTGCCCTTCTCAAGAAAGAACCCTTTCTTTGTCCCTTGGGGATGATTTGTCTCCCTCTAAGAATGCTTTCTTTAGATCAGTACTGTCCAATAAAATTTGCTGGGATGTGGAAATATTCTCTAATATGCAATACCCATTAGCCACATATGGCTAGAGAATGGGTTTTTAAATTGTATTTAATTTTGATTGATTTAAACATTCATATATGGCTAGATGCTACCACATTGGACAGCACAGTTCTAGAGGGTTAAGGAAGAAAATGATTAAATATAAGTATATGAAGAAGAGTCCTCTGTAAAATCCCTATGGGTAGCTAGTGTGATTCCTGGAAAGGCACAGACTACAGTCATGGTTTTCAACCAAGGCCATCTTTGTTCCCCACTCCCTCCACCCTGGGGATATCTGGCAACTCCTGAAGACATTTTGGCTTGTCGCAGTGGGAGGAGGTGCTTCAGGTACCAACCGTATCCAGTGAGTAGAAAAGCCAGGGATCTCAATAATAATTCCTGCACAGAATTATTCAGCTGCAGTCCCAACAGTTCAAGACTGAGAAACTCTGCAGTGGTGAAGATAGTCTAGCTGAACCCAAAGCTTGGAATTTAAGCCTCTCCAGACATTCCCTTCCATTTTGGCAAGCAACGGGGCTGAGAACCTGGCCTCTTGTCATTATCTTTAAAAATATATTGGAGCTGCAACGCTCAACCAAGGTGTATATTAAATCTGCCTCTTGAGACTTTTTGGAGTTCTGTCAAGCAAGAATACAAATAATACTTTGGATAGAATGTTTACTTTCCATTTCCCTTAGAGTATGAAAAAAACAGCTGATACAATGACTGTGTGTTTCTGAAAATCTTCAATGCTTGCCTCTCAAATTAAGGTGCAACAATAGCTCTCTTGAAGCTGGAAGGAGTGTCAGAAGTCTATTCAGCTTGGTTTCAGATTAAAAATATCATGAATATTATTTTTATGCCAGTTTGGAGAATGGGCTCAGAAGACGAGAACTGGTAAGAAACTTTCTGAGGCTATGCATGAAAAATCTACTTTCTTCAGCTAGGCGTCTGATGAGGCTAACTGTGGAAATGTGATAGGGCAAGTTCACAAATATTTGCACTCCCGACCGAGAGAAATCTTAAAGGCATAGAAAAAAGGGGTCTAAGATCTCCTGGAGTAGTAAAGCAAAACCTGGAGATCATAATACAGTGGAGTGGATTAAATTACAAAGACCATTTTGCAACAATTCTGTTAGTGTCTGGATCTCTATTTTGTTTTTGTGCTATAAGCTTTGTCACTGTGAGCCATGCATGGCATAAAATATTTCATGAAAAGTAATAGAAGAAATATCACAGAAAGGAAAGTGATTATACAGAAGGTTGGGTTTCTGCTAGAGGAATCTTATAGTCTTACAGTGGATCTCCATTTTATATGGGGAGGGGTGTTTATTCATACCACTAGGGAATCTCAGAAACAAAATTTACATGGGGCCCAAATTAGTGTCAAATTCTTTCTTATTAATGAAATTTAGTTTCCTGGAAACTAAAATAAGCTACGAATAGAATTTAAGTCACAAAGGTGGTTAAATATTTTCAAAGAGAACACATTTTCACTTATTAGTCACCTGGGTAGGTTTTCCTTTTCAACAGCACGGTGATCCTAAATATGATTAGAGCCCTCAAATGTAGGGACGAAGATTCTTCGATTTCTTCAGGTTGAATTTAATCACTTTTTTATTTTTTATATTTTTAAAATTTTTAGAGACAGGGTTTCACTATGTCATCCCAGGTGGCATGCGGTGGCGCAACTGAAGCTCACGGTAGCCTCAAACTCCTGGGATCTAGAAATCCTCCCACCTCAGCTTCCTGAGTAGCTGGGACTACAGGCATGCACCACAATGCCTAGGCAAATATCTTTTAGCTGTAAACTCAGCTGTGAATGAAAAGTGCCTAGAACAAAACATCGCTGTTTAGTTCATTATGAAACTCTGCTAAAAGTTAAAATGCAGCCTCAAGACCCTAAGCAATTTCACATTTCTGAAATGTACTAGAGAATCAGCCAGTTCCCTGTACAAATCAGTTGCCGATGGGTTGTACCACTCGAAAAACAACTCTCCCCTAAGGTATCTAGAAATCTCCAGGGAAGAGGAAAACCTGGAGAAGCCCATGGGAGGCAAACTGTTTAAAGATCTTGAGGCAAAAGAAAGAAGACAAAAGGGAAGGCTTTGGTTTAAGAGAATTGTTCATATATTTCCCACCTCCTGCTTTAAGCTTTTTGTTTGTTTGTTTGTTATTAAAAAGATCCTTTGAACTTTATGAGGAAAAATTGGGATTTTACAAAATGAAAGAGGAAGGCCCCACCAGCTGTAATTCTTTTCTTAATTGAGGCTTACAAGGAATCTCATGCTGTCATGGGTGAGATTAATGGCTACAGGAACTGAACATTGCAGGCAATCCTATAAATAAGTACAACTCTCTGGGAAACCAGTTTTGAACTATGTATCCAAATGAAAGAAACTCCTATGCTTTTTGACTCAGAATCCAAATTTATATGAATGCATGCTAAAAACTATTTAAAGCAGAATAAAAACGTTTGGGTAAGGATGTTCATATGGTGAAAATTACCAGCTTATCATACATCTAGCAAGAGTAGAAACACTAAACAAACTAGGATACATTTATTTGCTGGAATATTTTTAAGACAGTGTAGCCATGGATAATATTTTGTGTAGCCTTATGGAAGGAAGGTAGCTTGGACACTGCCTTTCCTATCTATTCCTCTTTGGTAATATCACATCCACGGTATGTTGGAAAAGTATAAAAGTATGTCCTAGATCTTGAATTGGCCTGAGATTTTCAGGGGACAGAGTGGGAAAATCTAGCATTTATTGTCTGTGCTGCCAGGCAAACAAACAAACAAACAAACAAAAACAGTAACCTAGGATTTAGAAGAATGATAATACATCCTTAAAACTTGGGGCAAAAGCATCCAAGTCTCTTCTCTGGTAGGATTTTCTGCACCCTCTCTGTTATAGACTGGAGACCTGAGAAGCCACTCAAGCCAGTGGATGTGAGTCTGAATAGATCCTGCACCATTTTATGTCCAAGGAACCATGGAAGAGGTCTCCCAAGACATGAAAAGGGGAATTTGGCCACAGCTTTCACTTTGCTGAGAGCCAGACCATAGGAAGAGTAGCCTTCCTGGCCATCAACTGCTACCTGGGTTACCAACAGGCTGCCCCCAATAGGGGTCCAGACATGACCTCTTACAAGCTGGCAAAAGGAAAACGCATTTCACTGAAGGAGACTGTGTAGTCCACAGGACTAAGGCTGAGGCTCATGTCTACAGCCAACAGTTCCTGTTTAAGTCGAAATAACGGGAAGGACAGAAGAAAAATTTCACAAGAGTTACAAGAATTTTAAGGAAGTTATAATTGGAGAACAACATAGGCTGCCTGGGTGTAAAACAATGAGTTCCTAAATAAATAAACAAGTAAACTCAGAAAGAGCATGGTAATTCTTGAGAATTGAAGAACCTTGCAGAAATCCATTCTTATAACAGGACAAAAGGAAATGAACATCAAAAGTGAAAAGTTGAGACTCGGAATACAGTGCTTTCAGTGAAGAGTTTACTGGGTATCCTTCTAGGCACAGAACCCGCAGATAAGTATGTATTAGGTATTACTACCTTATTTAAGTAAGTTGAATTGCATCATACATATCATTCTTCATTTTGCAACTCTCACTACTATTAGAGGAGTCAGGTATACCAGTATAAAAAGCTCTAGGAAATTAGTTTATGATAGCATTTAGAAGCATTGACCCCAAATTTTGACTGCTTGAATTCAGATTCTGCCTCCCCCACTTCCAACCTGTGAGATTTTGGGTGAATTACTGATAGCTTTCCTAGGTCTGAGTTTCCTCTTGTGTAAAATGGGCATGAAATATCACTGGCCTTTTAGGCTAAGTATAAGGATTATTTACATCAAAGCACCTAAGGAAGTAGAAGAATGTTACCCACATAACAAATGCTATATAACTAGTAACTATTATTCCCTTACTCTTTTTAACAACAGCACTCTACTGTCTAGAAGTCACTTAACAACGGCCCTCTTGACTAACATTTAGAACCTTTCCTTTATTCCCTCATTGCAACAAACTTCTTGGACACAGTATCTTTGTTCCTTTGTTCACATGCCTGCCACCTTTAAATTAGCATATTTGGTGTCAAGCTCGTTAACCTTGATGAAATGTAACATATTTCAAGCTAGTTTTAAGTCCTGAGGTACACAAATATGCTGGCTGTCTGGTTGTATGTAAAATAATGATGCCAATAATGACATTGATAAATAACTAGCATATGTCAAGCTTTCTAGAGGCACTACTTAATTTAATGTAAAATCCATTTAAAATGGGACCACCACAAAGGGGCTGCTTTTTTGAAAACACAATCATGGTTGTTTGAAACGAAAAAGAAATCTCCCTCTGTCATAGAAATTTATAAAATATGTATACCTTGTGGATCATTTAATTGTACATATTTGTGCATATTAACTTATTTTCTAGGTTAAAGCTTCTCTGATGGTTTATATTATATTTCCTTTTTTATAGTCTTGGTAGCTCCAAAGCACCAAGATAGTGACTTGCCCCAAAAAGAAAAGTAAAATAATCACAGTTATATTAGTAATCATAGTGGTCTGCATTATAGCAGTGACTATAAGAGAAAAATAATTTTTAATACAGAGGTCACCAGCTGTGCTCAGGTAGATATTCACAGCCCCCGATGTATTCATTTGTCCTGCAACATGTTTGTAAAAATCAAATAAATTGTAAACATTTAAAAATCAACGTAACAGTCAGATTGTGATGCAGCATCTCTTAAAAACGTGACAATTTGCCAACACCTAGAGGTCTCCTGCACGGTGTATCAGTGTTTGGAGGTGAGAGAATCTCCCCTTTGAAAAGCATGTTCCCTTTATACTTCAGCAAAACTTCATCTAGTTTTGCTCTCTGCAGTCTGACTTGTAAGCACTTGAAATACTGTCTGCTGAGTTAGGCTGTGTCAGCCATTAAATGAAGGGCTTCACATTCATTATTTCACTTAATTCACAACATCCTATGAGTAGATGCTTTTTAAATATATATTTTATAGGTGAGAAGACTGAGATTTGAGGCAGTCCGATGAAACTTGCTCAGTGTCACTCAATGCCCAGCCAGGATGTCACCCAGGACTTGAACTAAGGTCTATTTTACCTCACAGCTGAAATGCTTAACCACCAGGCTACAGAAATATTCCCTAACCCTATGTGAATTAAGCTAATTTGTGCCTGCATATTCTTAAAGTTTCCTTCTCGGAGGTCGCTGTGTCTATGACCATCTTCTCTTAGTGGACATGAGCATCGTCCGTCTGCCTGTCTGCAATTGTTGTATCTGAATGGTCTCCATTCTGCGTCTGTCTTCTTTTCCCTCATCTTCATTCCTGTACTCATTCCATCAATATTTTCTTCTCCCACACAATTTCTCTGTTTTTCACATCTTTTCTTTCTATTCCATCCTTAGCTCTCCAAAGATGCAGAAAATAAAATATTTTTCATTCCTGTACCCTATTTTGCACAAGAAACACATTTTGCCTGAATGGAAAGGATTATGTTGAACAATGTCATTTTTTAAATATCAGTACCCCTTGATAGTATACACCCAATTTCCCCTCATTCTCTGCTCACACTCTCATCTGAATTATATCTTCATCAGTGAAAACTTATTGTGACCCACGTGTGATAAAGTCCTAAACATCATCCCCTTTGAGTAAAAAGAGAATTCAATTAATCTTCCTTTGGGAATAAAGGTATGAATAAGATTCAGTTGTCTGAAAAAAAATCTTTGTCAATTATATGGGACAGAGATACCTATATGCACCTTAACCTAACAGCAGTGCCTCATTGTAATTCTCCATTCATTGCACAGTTCCATTCATCACCATGTGGTTGACATCTGTAAGACGCACTCCATGGCTCCCAAAGCTTCTG